>NC_000016.10:77630682-78255682 GCF_000001405.40 Homo sapiens | reverse complement strand
ACTTGGGTGTGTCTCTGGCATCTCAAGTGTACGTATTTTCCTAAGTGGGGTGTGTGTGTGAAGGAAGAAGATGCCCTTCTTTTGTGCCTCGCCTTCCCCAAAAGACATCAGGAGAGTAAACATGCCCCCTATAGTGCCAAGAGAGAAAAATGTAAATTCTTTTGGATAAATTAGCTTTTGCAGCTACCTCTCTCTTTGCTATGACTTCTGTTTCTCCTCTGCTTAAGCAACAAAGAGAGAAGTAACCGCAAACGCTAATTTATCCAGCGGAATTTACATTTCTCTTTCTCGGCAATATAGTTTCTTAGTGTCTTCCAAGTTTTTAAATCCTTTAGGTTTATTCATTATGTTCCTTTTTCCTGCTTCTAAAAGGTAGCTGTTCTTGCCCACTGTTTTGGAAGTAAGAAAACCTAGGAGCTGTTCTGTAAGCTCATAAACATAGTGTGCCAGAAACTGACTAGAAGGACAGCAGGGGGACGGGGGATCTGAATGTGCCAAGACAGTTATACCCTTATGGGTTATGGCAAACATTAAATGGTCTAGAAAATCAGAGGCCTTGGAAAAGACTTGTAAAAATAACAATGTGAGAACTTAGCATAAAGGCCAGGAACATGAAAGGGGAAGCCATGGGTGGCACATGTTGGAAACTGTGCTGGAAACACATCCTGAACTGCTCTTGCAAAGTGAGGCCTCTTAAGCAGTTCCTGCAATCCTCCTCCCAGCCCTCCATACCAGGCAGACCAAGATGTGCTCCCAGCCTCTGGGCAGACAGTGGGTTTTCAACAACCCTGACTGGGGCTGAGGTATGAGAGGTGCATATCAGAGCCCCAAGAGGGCTCTTAGAAAGGGAAGTTGGCCAGATGTGGTGGTTCACACCTGTAATCCGAGCACTTTGGGAAGATGAGGCAGGCAGATCGCTTGAACTTGCGAGTTCGAGACCAGCCTGGGCAACAGAGTGAAACCCCATCTCTACCAAAAAATATAAAAATTAGCCAGGCATGGTGGCAGTGGCATGCACCCGGGTGCTCAGGAGGCTGTGGTCCCAGCTACTTGGGAGGCTGAGGTGGGAGGATCACTTGAGCCTGGGAGGTAGAGGTTGCAGTGAGCTGAGATTGCTCCATTGCATACTAGCCTGGGCCACAGAGTGAGGCCCTGTGTCAAACAAAAAAAAAAAAAAAAACAAGAAAGAAAAGAAAAAGAAAAGTGATGGAACAGAGGTGGTGAACCTCTAAGCAAAAAGATAACATGGATTTTCTGGGGTGGGGTGGGGTGGGGATTAATGATCAAGAGAAGAATTCAGCTGGGTGTGGTGGCTCACACCTGTAATCCCAACATTTTGGGAGGCCGAGGTGGGAGGATTGCTTGAGCCCAGGAGTTCGAGACTAGCCCTGGCAACATAATGAGACCTGCCCTCCAACCCTGCCACCAATCTCTACAAATAGTTTCAAAAAAAATTTAGCCGAGCTTGGTGGTGAATACCTGTAGTCCCACCTACCAGGCAGGAGGATCGCTTGAGCCTGGGAGGTTAAGACTGCAGTGAGCCATGATCACGCCACTGCACTCTAGCCTGAGTGACAGAACAACTCATTGTCTCAGAAAAAAAAAAGAAGAATTCTTCACGAAAGACATTAAAAAAGACCATCACACAGAGACCTCTCAAAAGTTATGCTAGCTAAGCCACTACACCAGATTTTCTGAGTAAGCAGCTATGCGATGAGCTTCCCGGTTGCACTCAATTTGTAAGGCAAAATGAAATGCCTGTTGAGTTGTACCAGGGGAATGCGAGGCTGGAGGTGGGAAGTGTATGCCGAAAGCATGTACGTAAGCTTACCACCTTACATTTTTCTTTCCCAAGTCACCAGGACATAGCTCCTACAATTAATCTCTTGGGTTTTATTTAGTAAATTCCATTTTAGTTGAAAGTCATGTTGTTTATGCTGCTCTAAGACTCTTTAAAACTAAATTGAAGGTTTATGTTAGTAAAGTTAAATATCTTATTTCTAATATCCTAAATATATTTACGATATCTTTGGAACACCCATTTGAATCAACCATTAAACCAATACTGTTTGAACAGGTTTGTGAAATCATGGCATTCATGGGTCATGAGAAGACGGTCAAAGCACAAAAGTGTGACACTTCTGCAGATACTGGAACACAGTGATGACTTCCATCATCCAGTTCTGCCACTTACTAACCCAGTGATCTTGAGCAGGGTACCTAACTCCTTTGCACCTCAGTTTCAGCTATAAAGCGAACATCATAATAATGTCTATTCACAGGGTTTCTGTAAAGGCTGAAAGTCGAAGCACATGCAAAACACTTTGTGCATGGACTGGTAAAATAAGAGTTAATATGTATTAGATATGGTTATAATTATTATCATTACTATTATTAATAAATTACTGGCTTCAGACATGCTAAGTGTTATATGATGGAAAGAGTACTTATAACTTTAGAAGCAGGACCTTAAGTAAATTACTTAATCCATCTGAACCCCAATTCCCTCTCTTCAGTGATATAGGGAGAATACCAAAAATCTTTCAAAAATTAAAAGACACAAGGAAGTAGATGCCAAATTCATCTTTACTTTCTTGCAAAACAGAGCTGGAAAATTTGAACAATTGTTCCGATCTAAACAGAGGGTATGGTCCCACATTTATAAAGGGCCTACGTAAATAGATGATATTACTGCCACTGTTTGCGTTTCTATCAGCCCCTATGCTGAATAATCAATAATGAATGTTGTTTAAACAAATGGTGTAATTTTGCAATCTGTGTTGTTCTAAACCGACCTTTACTCCTTATTGCCATTTGTAATGCATGCATAATTCAATGCTGAAGCCGAGGGAGAAATAAGGATGTTGGTCTAAGTGGCCCTTTTTGGGTTGTTTTTTGATGATTTGCTATAATCCTATAAATAATACAAAGCTTGTCACTGTAAATATGTATTGTGTTATCTAGAGGTATATTCAGTGGCTAAAACAATAAAAGCTCGTCTACGTCTCCTGGCAATCTCAAGGCATAATTAATCGCTGGTAAGATGTATTCTAGAACGTGAGAGCCCTTAAGTAGAAGGAAAAATAAAGGCCATTGTCAACACAAATGCTAAAAGAAATGCCTAACGGGCATAGTCATTTGCCATCTGGGAAAAGTGTTTGCTAGTGTACTTGTTTGGAAGGCAAGAAGGATGATTCAAAAGGGATTTTTGTTCAGGTGGTGAAGAAGTGTGTGTGTCTGTATGTATATACATACCCACGTAGTTTTTAATAAATTATAAATCAAGATGTTTACCAAGCTAACTTGTCAATTTTAACTCATTTCTGTTATTTGTTTACACACACCTCCATCTGACAAATATATACAAAACAATGTATGTGTATGCACATATACATACATATGATTTTTTTTAAATAAAGCATAAATCAGGAGGTGCTCAGAGCTAGCTTCTGTCCATTCTAACCCATCTGCTATTTGTTCACTTGCACACACTCACTGTGCAATAAACCCTTTCAATGTGGGAGACAAGTGCAAGATGCCCCTCTTTCCCCAAAGGGCACCTCTGTGTGCTCCCTCAGATCATAGCTGATGACATGTCAATGAAACGGTGCTTGCTCTCATCCCAGAGATCAAAATGAGGGCTTAACCTGCAATTTACTTTACAAGTCCCATGACACTTGCCAGATCTGAAGACTTCATTCTAATCTTCCCTGTTGAAAAAATAATCAAATACTCCAACAAAGATGTATTGACAACTCTTAATTAACCATGCTAATGGAGGGAAGAGATAGCATGGATAAATGAAATCCACACATAACCCAAAACCTTCCTTCCCCATTAATTTCCAACTTCTTGACTAAACCTTACTGAGATAAGTGGGTGGGGAGTAGGGAGAGGCTGACTAATCCTTTAACGATAGAATTACTTGATGTCTACATCTGTACTATGCCAATCAGCTGTTGGACAAGGTAACAAGCAAGGAAGTGGCCAAGGACACCATGTGTTCCCAAAGCATCGGGGTTCAGCGGTAATGTTTTTGAATCTTCTCGGGTGTAAGTAAATATATTTCAGACAGCTTTTAGAATGAAGTTAGCTAGAAGAGTTTTGCAGCAATAGAAGCTGATTTGATGTAGACCTTCAGGTTTCTTATCTATTTATTGGTGCTGCTCAGTTGGATGGGAAAGAGAGGAGAAGCTGAGAGACGCCTGGCACCTGTACAGAGTGAAACAGGCAATGCTGTGTAACGAGCAGTTGACAGCAATGAATAAGGGTTGCAGAAATGGCAAAAGAGGGCACCAAATTAACCAAAGCCTAGGGAAGATGACGAAGCCAGAGTATTCATTAAGGGACCAGATGAACTAGCATTTATTGAGCACCTTCTGTTTGCCAGGGCATATAAGAACATACTGTGATGAGGCACCATGAAATACGACCTTTGAACAGAAACTGGGTAAAAAACAAAAGTAGGCTTCCTCCTCCTCCTAACAGCATCTAGTGCAGCCACATTAGATGGGAAGAGCCAGAACTAGGCAAGTTATTCCACTCCCTGATCCTCAGCTGCCTCGGTTGCCATCTCTGCACCTGCAGGGTGAACACACCCCAATAGCGGTAACGTAAGCATACCCTTAGAATGATCCTGTGTGGGAGATGCACCTGAATGTGTGGTCCGGGCTGGGGAATCCAGGAGTGACCAACCCAGAGATTTGTCCCTTATATATAACAGACATCTGTGCCCCATGCCTGTCCCGTGGAACACAGGCCAAACAGGGGATTGAGGTCCTGAGTTTGGAGTTAAATGAAGATTGCCAGGTAGAGGTTGTTAGGGGGAGGGTGTTAAGTGAAGGTGTGATATAAACCACATGACATTTGCAGGTGGTTATGGTTTTCCTGCCCAGCCCACCGCCACCACTGGACTGTAGGGAGGTGGATATCCTGTCCAGCCTACTGCCACTGGACCATTTCTGTATGTAAGGTGGGCAGTTGTACTATCCAGCCCGCCATCACTGGACTCTCTCCCCTATATGTAACCTCCTAATAAAACCCCATGTCTATCTGTTGGCTCTGAGTGTCTTCTTCAGCTCTTGAACCTGGTGCCTTTCCTATTGAGGTTAATAGGGGTTCAGCATGACAGCACCTCCACCTCCCATGGCACAGCATATGTACCCAATAAGCAGTCCTTACAATACCAATAGTTTCTATCTGTTGGGCACTGCCAATTAGCCAGGCATGTCAAATGGAAGATCTCACTTAATCTTGCCAAAAAAAAAATGTTGTTCGTTGTTGTTCCTTCTATTACAGAGGAAAAAACAAAGGCAGATGGAGGTTACATTATTTGCCTAAAGTTACACAGCTAGAAAGGAGCAGAGTTAAGAATCAAACCCCGGCCATCCAGCTCCAGAACCGAGCTTGTGACCCTGGCATGGGTATTTCCGGAGCTCTCGCTAATGTGCCAGATAGACGTTGTGCTAAAGAAATGATCTGTGTGTGTTTTCTCATTTAATATCCATACAGCCCCCTAAATTGGAGATTACTACTGTTACACAAATGAGGAAACTGATCTTGGAGAGGGCCAGTCAGCTGCCAAGGTCACAGAGCCAGGGAGTGGGGGTGGCTTGCCCAAGGCCAGGTCTGTCCCTCCAGGTGAAGGTAATGATTAAGAACACAGGTCTGGAGTGGGTTTGAATCACTGTGTGTTCAGCCGCTCACTGGGGACCTGGCCTCAGCCCTCTGATTACTGCAGGGCTTTATTACTTTCTGAGTTCTCTTTGCTATCTCACTCGCCCTTTCCTCCCATTTCTCCTTCTGGTGCCCCTTCTCCCCTTCCAGGCCCCCAGCCCCCAGCCCCCACCCCACAGCCATCTCTGTATTAAATGTTTGTGGAATGTTCACCGTTCAAAAGCCACGTTCTAGTTTGAGGCTTTCAATTCTTGGGAAGAAAGGGGCCATATAAATACAAAAAATCAAGTCCGAAATGTTGTTGAAATGATCATTTTGGTCCACCTAAGTTTATACAAAAACATTTTCCATGCTCTGATCTCCCCACTTGCACTGTTGGGTAGCCCAAGTTCCAGATGAACGGCCTTCTCACCTGCATGCTGAAACCAGCCGAGGCTGCTGCCACATTAAAAACTCAGCCCAGGCTGCTCCTGAAAATGTTTCTGCCCTCAGAGCCACGTACTAAAAATTAAGGGGATTAAGGGAACTCTAGATTTACATTTAAAATAAAGGAGAAACTCATTGGAGAGGCTAATGCGGCGTGCACTGGAGGTAGCTACTATCACTAAGCATTAAGATAAACAATACGAGTGGCATTCTGGCCCACGCCTGGCAAAGTGCAGGAGTCCCTGGAGGAAAAGGAATGAGAGTGCATCAGCGACCTCGTGAGGCAGTGCAGCTTTGCATTAATGCCTGCAGCTCTGGAGGCGGACTTCCTGGGTTCACATTCACAACACCTCCACCGCCACCACTCCATGAGCTTGGGAAAGACATTTAACCATTCCATGCCTTGTCATCTATAAAACGGGGCATGACGCCAGACACGGTGGCTCACGCCTGTAATCTCAGCACTTTGGGAGGTCGAGGTGGGAGGATCACAAGGTCAGGAGATCAAGACCAGTCTGGCCTGGTGAAACTCCATCTCTACTAAAAGTACAAAAAAATTAGCTGGGCATGGTGGCACGTGCCTGTAGTCCCAGCTGCTCCGGAGGCTGAGGCAGGAGAATCACCTGAGCCCAGGAGGTGAAGCTTGCAGTGAGCCAAGATCGTGCCAGCCTGGTGATGGAGCAAGACTCTGCCTCAAAAAAAAAAAAAAAAAAAAAGGCCGGGGGGCATAAGTACTTCCTCAGAGGGTTGTCCTGAGGACTGAATGATGTCATTTAATTCACATTGATATGGTTTGAATCTGTGTCCCCACCAAATTTCGTGTCAAATTTATTTATTTATTTTTTGAAATGGGGTCTCGCTCTGTTACACAGGCTGGAGTACAGTGGTGCGATCTCACCTCACTGCAACCTCCACCTCCCGGGTTCAAGCAATTCTCCTGCCTCAGCCTCCTGAGTAGCTGTGACTACAGGTATGTGCCGCCACGCCTGGCTACATTTTTGTATTTTAGTAGAGATGAGTTTTCACCGTATTGTGCAGGATGGTCTCAAACGACTGAGCTCAAGCAATCCACCTGCCTCGGCCTCCCAAAGTGCTGGGATTACAGAGTGTGCCACCGCACCCAGCCTTCATGTCCAAATGTAATCCCTAACGTTGGAGGTGGGGCCTGGTGGAAGGTGATTAGATCATGCGGACAGATTTCTCATGCATGGTTTAGCACGTATGCTGTGTGGTGAGTTGGCTCTCCTGAGATCTGGTTGTTGAAAAGTGTTTTGCACCTGCCCCCTTGCTCCCTCTCTTGCTCCTGTTTGCACCATGTGAGATGCTTTCCTTCCCCTTTGCCTTCCACCATGATTGTAAGTTTCCTGAGGCCTCCCCAGAAGCCAAGCAGATGCTAGCATCATGCTTCCTGTACAGCCTGTGGAACTGTGAGCCAATTAAAGGTGTCTTTTAAATAAATTACCCAGTCTCAGGTATTTCTTTATAGCAGTGCAAGAATGAACTAATACACACATAGAGGATGGAGCACTCTGCCCAGCTCATGCCAACACTCCATCAATGTTAGTACTTAGCATCAGCATTATGTTGCATAGCTGATGATTCATATACACATTACTCCCTGCAATCAATGCCCAAGCCTTGCAAGATATGTGCTTCAATCCCCACTTTACAGAGGGCTATGGATCGCCAAGGCTCCACCTGCAGTTGGGTTCTACATAAGTGTCCTCTTTCCTCACATCTTCAGTAAAGTATGAGACCTCCATCAATGCCTGCTTGGGTGAGGAGCACAGGTGGGTGAAAGGTAAGGGAACAAGTGGAACTCCATATCCAAGGTAGGCACAGTGTGGACCAGAAGAGCATCCCTAGGACAGTGAGGTGATCCACGGACTGACCTGCCCCAAGGCCAGAGACGCAGGAGTGGAAAGTCACATGGAACCATGAGCTTTTATAAGGGGCAGGGGGCAGGTGTTGGGAAATTGCAGAACTAGTGTTTGAGCAGATGCAACAGATCCGAAGGAAATAGAGATTGCAGTTGAAATCTGGGTCCAACTGGCCCTATCAGCTGCATTCATGTGTTACCTCCCTGGTCAGCTGTACCCTCCTTCAGGATTAGGACTGCATCCTTACCAATGCTGAGTCCTCTGGGATCCCCAGAGGCATCTTTTGCACCCATGGCAAAAAAAAGAAAGGTGGGCAGCAGCAATGAGAACCATGTCCACTAGGTGCAAGTAATAACGGGTGCATTGTTCGCTAAGGACTTAAAAGTATTAATAAAAGTGACCAAAGTTTAACTGCTTTTTATCATCACCATGCTTGGTGATTCCAAACAATGTCAGTGAAAACAGATTCCTCCTGCTGGCAGGGGGGCGGCCACACCCATCACACCCCCTCTTGGCACCGCCATGATTTTACACACTGCACTCAACAAATATTCTCTGAAGGGCTGAAAAAAAGGGGGCTGGGGAAGGGCAGAAATCCTGTTGATTTCTGAGCAGCAAACACGTAAACATAACTGACATTAAGATATACAAAATACATCTTTCAAGGAAAGATGTGCCATTCTTTCTTGTGTGAAATAAAAACACCTCCCCATGCAAGATTCCAACTGCACAGACTGATACTGCTATGGTCTGACTGGAAACAGGACATCTTGCATTCTTGTGGCTCCGAAAATCACTCTGGGGTCCAAGGATTTATTTCCTCTCTCGGGAGTCAGGGACAGATAATAAATACCCCTCATCAGCTGATCAATTGCTCGCACTTCCAGGCAAGCACCCATCACTCCCCACCAAACACACCGCCCCACGCCACCTGAACAAGGTTAAAAGAACGGACTCATGACTGATGGTCGGGGGGAACTGGCTTCAGAAGAGGAAGTTGAAAATATTAAGAAATCAACACGGGCATTTAAAAGCAAAGCCTTTTCCATGCCACAGAAGACGTTTTGCTATTCATCTTGTTCCCTGACTCTGCTTCACCAACTTGATGGAAGATGGTTTAACTGACATAAAAACCAGCTATACATGAACAGCAGTGATTGATGGAACCATTCCAAACATCAGCCAAAAATGGCACTGAAAGATGCCTTGGGCTTCCTGTTAACTGTTTTATGAGGGGACCAACAGGTTTCCCCCCTCTTCTTTAAAGAATATATTAGCAGTACAAGTACTTTCAAAAACAGGGTAGTGTTATACCAAGAGAGAAACAGAAGGGGAAAAAAAAGGTAGGAGGTCTTTTGCATGTTAGTATATGTATGAAGGGAGTTAGGACCTGGCAAACTGGGTTATATGAGGCTTTTTCCATACACAGCTCTTTGGTTTCACGGTACATGATTTAAATAGGTTGTATTTAATTCCATGTAATAACAAACTGTGCCATTAAGTAGTTCTCCTGTACAAATGCAATGTTTCAATGGCAACAGAAAGAAAATCCAGCCTTTAAAAAATGCACAGATGCTCCAAATGAGCCATGATAAAGAAAGGGGTGGGGAGCGGGATGATCTGCAAAAAAGAATGAGGGAAGGCAGATTTGTACCACTTGTGCTAAAGCGTGGAGCCTTACCATTCAGGGAGAATGAGACGTTTGCAAAATGGCATCCTAGTCTTTGAATGCTTCTTAATATGGAACGGACGAGAACAGAGGTGGCAAGAGGGTTAGAATTCCCCCTCTTTGTTCTCCTTTCTGGAATGGAGAGGACCTTTTCCTGCCTTTCTTTGCTCTTATTTTGAAGAGGTTAATTATGACCTGGAAGCGCCCAGGCACTTGGGTCTCAGCTATTGTCGAGGAAGAATATTGTCTGCGCTGTACCGCAAGAACTAACTTAGGAAACATTCAAATTTGGAACTGCTTTCAGAAGCCTCAGGACCGATTCCATGTGGTGGCATTCTATGGGATGACAAATCCCCACTCCGTTCCCACTACTTGTCTTTGAAGACATGCACATTAGTGAGGCAGAAAATTCACTCGACTTTAAAATAAAATAAGCTGGTTATTTGGCCCATCTAGAATACATTCGTATCTCAACATTTCAAATCAAAAGGCCCACTTATTCCTGTCCTCATCCTGGCTCTGAAGCCAAGCTCAAGGTGCTCTCAATTACATGGTAGATTTCTGGCCCAAGTTAATATGTATCAGGACTTCTCAAGCGTTTGTACCTTTGACCTAGAAATTCTACTTCTGGCAAATCAATCCCATAGAAATAATTTTAAATGGGAAAAATGCTTTAGAACCAAAGATGTTCGTGGCCATGGAAATGACGACTGAAAAGAGTTAGTGACAACCTAAAAATACAGTTAGAAGGAGAATGATGAACTAAACCGTGGTTCCTCTCATTGGTTTACTAACATGTCCCCATTCAAAGCACTGTTCAGGACCGTCTAGAACAACCTGGAGGCATGCTTTTAAAATGTTAAGAGAGAAAAGAAACTATTATCCATATGGGATAATTAACAATGTGTTAAAAATATACATATCTCTGGAATATTTGAATTGCAGGAGGAGAATTAATTTAGAGATAACAAGCAAATCCATCACGAGTACATATGCCACAATTGTAACAAAACAAAATAAAACAAAATGGCCTGGGCATTTGAAACTACTGTAAGAATATGTGCCAAAATGCTAAGAGTAGATATATATTGGAGGATTTTCTTTTTCAATCTTTTTTTCAACTTTGGAGTATTTTCCCTTTTTTATGAATATGTCCCTATTGTGTATGAGAAATAGCTAATTTTAAGAAGAAACAGAACTCCAAGGGGGAAAGAAAACACTTTTTTTTGCTCCTATGAGAATTCACTGGATAAGGGCTGTACATTTCGGGCCCGCCTACTTCATTCCACAGGAATTAGTAACTGCAGGTGCAAGTGTTGCTACTGCTCGAAGGCTAAGCCCTGATAAGGCCTGGGGAGGCCCAGAGACTAACAAATGGGTTTCTTCCAGGACTTTGCTGCTGATTGATCACTGCACTTAATCCTTTCCAGAGATAGTTACTCAAAAGGACCAGGAAAGGTAAATTTACCAACGCAGGCCAACGTGACTAAAAATAGAACCATAAAAATCTTGGGGAGATGCAATGTGGCAAGACCATGGTCTTCATTAAGGCAGGGCTGAAGGTGGAATCCTATTCCAGATACTTCACAGCTTAGATCTTTTGCCAAGCCTCTCACAGTCTCAAATTCCCCATCATCAGCAGGAGTCATACAGATTGCAAGGAGGTTTAAATGAGGCAATACATGAAATATGCCATAAACGGCAATTTATCAGCATCTATGATCCCTAACATTAAACACTGACCACTTCCTTATGTGCCAGACACAAAGCTGAGCACTTCACATGTACTGCTTCACATACTCCGAGAATTATTTTATTTAACCCCCATCGGGAAGAGACTATTATCATCTCCTTATCACCCACAGGGATGCTGAGGTTACGAGGTATCAAGGGACCTACCCACCATTGCACAGGCAGAAAACAGGAGAGCCAAGACTGACACCCCCAGCAGGAGGTGTTCCAGCCACCTTGGACACCTTCCACCACAGGCTAAGCCGCAGTGAAGGGCTTTCAGAGGGGCAGTCCACACTGGACATCAAACGGTAGAGTGGAGATTGGGTCAAGGACAGGAGCTTCATTATCTTAAATGAATTAATGCGGGAAGAGAAAACCAACTACCACATGTTCTCATTTGTAAGTGGAAACTGAGCATTGAGTACACATGCACATAAAGAAGGGAACAATAGGCCAGGTGCGGTGGCTCACGCCTGTGATCTCAGCACCTTGGGAGGCCGAGGCAGGCAGATCACTCGAGGTCAGGAGTTCGTGACCAGCCTGGCCAACATGGAGAAACACTGCCTCTACGCAAAATACAAAACTTAGCCGGGCATGGTGGTGCACACCTGTAGTCCCAGCTACTCCGGAGGCTGAGGCACAAGAATCGCTTGAACCCAGGAGGTGGAGGTTGCAGTGAGCCAAGATGGTGCCACTGCATTCCAGCCTGGAAGACAGAGTGAGACTCTGTCTCAAAAAAAGAAGGAAACAATAGACACTGGGGCCTACTGGAGGGTAGAGGGTGGAAGGAGGGAGAGGACCGAAAAAGCACCTATTGGGTACCATGCTTCTGACCTGGGTGACAAAAGAATCTGTATACCAAACCCCCATGACATGTCATTTACCTATTTAACAGCCCTGCACGAGTACCCCAGAAACTAAAGTTTTTTAAAAAATGAAAATTAATAAAAATTAAAAGAAATCACAGATGTTTGCATATCACATCAGTTACTGCAGATATTTCAAAATATCATTTACACTCAACACTACTCAAAAGTATAGGTGTTAGTAGATACACTATTACCTCTTGTGATTTAATGTACTATAGAAGAAACGTGTATTACTATAGAACAATAAAAATGTTGATATTTGTATTTCAAAAACAAAACAAAGGAATAAGGGCTTCCAAACTTTAAAATGCAAGAGAGCATCATGGGATGACAGTGGAAGAATGGACCTGGGTGAGAGGAGGCTAGGATGGGGAGAGGGAAGGGAAGGCTCACATGTCTCTTTTTTTGTTTTTGGTTTTTTTTGAGACAGTCTCCCTCTGTTGCCCAGGCTGGAGTGCAGTGGTGCGATCTCAGTTCACTGCAACCTCCACCTCCCAGGTTCAAGCAATTCTCATGCCTCAGCCTCCCAAGTAGCTGGAATTACAGGCGCACACCACCATACCCAGCTAATTTTGTTATTTTTAGTAGAGATAGGGTTTCACCATGTTGGCCAGGCTGGTCTCGAACTCCTGACCTCAAGTGATCTGCCTGCCTCGGCCTCCCAAAGTGCTAGGATTACAGGCGTGAGCCACTGTGCCCGGCTGGCTTTCATATCTCTTATTCTTTCTGCTTCCGCTCTCTCCTGTCCCCTATTAGCCATGGGTTCCAGAGAGGAGAGAAGGCTCGGGAGAGCAGGGGACTCAGGAGGTCACCCTGCTACCCTCACCTTTTTAATAACCCTCCTCAAACCCTGGTTCCACGTCTCCCTCACTCAAGGATTTATGTCTCATTTTCAATGGAATGTTACATTTGGTCAGACCACGAAGAAAACTCCTCATTATAAACTAGGAAATGTGTGGAGAGAGAATTATTTACCCAAGGCAGTGCTCAATCAGTGTTGCCCGAATATTTATTTAGCCCACACACGGAGAAGTTGTGTTAATGTTTGCCAAAGAATGTAGCTTTATAAAGTAACTGGGTCAAAAAAGACAGCATATCATTTTACAAATAACTTTAAAATTGCTTAAGTTAAATAGCTGGGCTCTCTCAGGTTTGTCTTTTCAAAAACGCTGCAGAAACAATATCCAGAATTATGTCTAATAAAATACAGGTATTACAAAGTGGCTGTTTAGCCCATTAAAGAAAATGGAGAGTGAAATCTGAATTATTTCTACCCGAGGCAGAAGCAGACAAAGTTACCAAAATTATGTTAGGCCGACGTCGCAATTCTTCAAGTCTGCAGGGCGGCAAGGCTAACAGCTCCTGCACCAAGACTCTATTAGGAGAGCTGTATTTTTCAGTCAACAATGACAGGCATTCCATTTCTCAGCCTCAAATCTAGTGTAGCTATGGGGAATTCACCCAAAACATTTGCTTTTGCTTTATCAGTGGCATTTGTCTGCCTCAAAAGCCTTGTGAGGGAGAGGGCTACTACGTGACGCTGCCAGGCAATGCTGTTGGAGGCAGCTGATTTGATGGACAAGAAGGGGAGCAGTGACCACCTGGGTCACTCTGACTCCGCCCTCTCTGAGCCAAGTGAATCTGAGCAATGATGTCATAATAATCATCAATAGCAACAGTGGCTGCGCGTGAGGGGCGTGGTGGTTCACGCCTGTAATCCCAACACTTTGGGAAGCCGAGGTGGGCAGATCATTTGAGCTGAGGAGTTCAAGACCAGCCTGGACAACATGCTGAAACCCCATCTCTACTAAAACTACAAAGAATTAGCCAGGCATGGTAGCACATGCCTGTAGTCCCAGCCACTCAGGAGCCTAAGGCAGGAGAATTGCTTGAACTTCCCCAGCTTCAAGAGGAAGAGTCTGCAGTGAGCCGAGATGGCGCCACTGCACTCCAGCCTGGGTGACAAGAGTAAAACTCCCTCTCAAAACAAACAAACAAACCAAAAAAACAAATAGCAACAGCAACCACAATCATCATCACCATCAAGGCTGGAACAAGGATGAGGCAGGCAGGCTCTGATAGCAACAGGAGGAAGCAGACCAAGGAGGGAGAGAAAGGAAGGCAGAGAAGGGGAAAAAAAAACACAAATGATAATAATAGATGCTGACATTTACGGAGCACTTACTATGTGCTGGGAACCATGCTGACGGCACACCGAATCCACTGAACAGGTGGGTAAGTATCATGGGTCAATATCATTCTCATTTTAATGTTGACAGTCACAAGACTTTCATCTGTACAATGGGGGTACTGCTGGCTCCCAAGGCCAGTGTTGGTGGAATACAGTGAATAGAGGTGAGTACCGTGTGACAGGAGGCTGCATCAGTAAGCAGGGGCAGCCAGCCAGGTGAGGAACATGCCCACTGAGATGGAGGTCAGGACGTTGAGAGATCCCCAAATTGCAAGTTGTCATCCTGAGACAAGCGATACCTTGCTGGACACTAATTCATTCTTGGAGTCTCTCCCTCTCAGCCCTTTGGCTTCATGTTCTGGAGAGAATGACCAGAGAGACCCATTTACTCAACGCTTCTCAATGAGACAGGGATCTTCTAAAGGGCACTGTCTTATATAGATCCTTGCACCTGCAATACCTGCCTGGCCCAGCCTGGCCCTCGCAGGTTCTTGTGAAATATTTGCTTATGAGTAAGCAAATGCATAACACGAGACGGCTGCTCTGGAATGACAGTTGCGAACACAGGAGGCTGCTGAGACTTCCAGAGACTGTAGATAAAGAACAAAGACCCTGTGAAGTTCCTCCGGGAAACCAGATGTGGCAGTGTGCTAGGGCTGCCCTAGCGTATCAGCACAAGCTCAACAGAAACTGACTCTCACAGTTCAGGAGACCAGAAGTCTGAAACCAAGGTGTTGGCAGGGGTGACTCCTTGTGGAAACCGTGCCAGGTTTCTCTCCTCGTTTCTGGGGGCTGCCCATGACCGTGGCATCTCTTGGCTTGTAGACGCATCACTCCAATCTCTGCCTCTGACTTCACAGAGCCTTCTCCTCTGTGTCCTCTCCTCCTTTTTCTGTTTTGTCTTTTGGTGTTATTTTTTTTTTAAGAGATGGGGTCTTGCTATATTGCCCAGGCTGGCAATGAACTCCTGGGCTCAAGTGATGCCCCCTCCGCAGCCTCCCGAGTAGCTGGGATTGCAGGCACACCCACCACTGTGCCCCCTGCTTTCCTCTTCTCATGAGGATAACCGTCATTGGATTTAGGGCCCACTCTAAAGCCTGAATGATTTAACCTTGAGATTCTTAGCTAATTACATCTGCAAAGACCCTGTTTCCATATAACGTTACATCTGTGATTCTGTGTGGGTGTGGATTTTGGGGAGACGCTATTCCACCCACTACCCTTACACTGCAACTCACACCCACACTGACAGCTTCCCTTGCCTGTGTCTGTCCAACTGGCTTAGAACCGGAGCATGGCATCGTCACCATGGACTTTGAGAATGTATAAAGACAGGTGCCTGGTCCCATTCCCTGTGAGTCTTGAGGAAAAAAGAAAAGTGAGCTTCAAAAACTAGAAGAGCCAGCCTGGTGTGGTGGCTCACATCTATAATCCCGGCATTTTGGGAGGTTGAGACTGGCGGATCACCTGAGGTCAGGAGTTCGAGACCAGCCTGGCCAACAAGTGAAACCCTATCTCTACTAAAAAATACAAAAACTAGCCAGACGTGGTGGCATGTGACTGTAGACCCACCTACTCAGGAGACTGAGACAGGAGAATTGCTTGAACCCAGGAGGCGGAGGTTGCAGTGAGCCAAGATCGCGCTGCTGCACTCCAGCCTGTATGACAAAGCGAGACCCTGTCTCAAAAAAAGAAAAAAAGCTAGAAGAACCAAATCACTAATGCCTAAGCAAGAACAGAGGGGATAGAGGGGCCTGGGAAGCAAGGCCTGTAAGATCCCTTGACAATAACACACCAGTCCCATGAGCAGGAACACAAAACATTATCCCTGGACCCAGTTCTCCATCAGGGTCTCAGCATGAATGAGGCTCTTCCTTCCTCACGGGGATGGGAGGACCACCCTGCTTTCTTTGCCCTTCCCAGGAGGAAGGGAACAGCACCTTCCCCATCTCTGCCAGCATCTGTCCATCAAGAGCTGGTCAACAGCTTAGACTCAGGGGATGCCACAGTCCACATTACAGTGTCACTGGGCCAGGGCTGGGAGAAGCCGTGGGAGAAATGCAGAATGGGGAGGCTGAGGCAAAGTCAGGATGAACCAAAATGTGGGTGAGCACCAGACACAGTGGCCACCTGAGGAGGAAACACACAACAGCTGAGAATCCACGGGGGATGCGTGGCCAGGTTAGAGCATCCTGGAATCAGGCAGGTACGAGGAGTCCACGAAGTGGAGAGGTGATGCAAATCTGCAGGCCTTGGGGACAAGAGCACATCAAACCCTTGGGGGCCGATGCCTTCAGTATTCCTAATTCCTCCATGTTAGAAAGGTATTTTGGGCCAGGTACTGTAATCCCAGCACTTTGGGAGGCCAAGGTGGGCAGATCACCTGAGGTCCGGAGTTCGAGACCAGCCTGACCAAAATGGAGAAGCCCCATCTCTACTAAAAATACAAAATTAGCCGGGTGTGGTGGCACATGTCTGTAATCCCAGCTACTCGGGAGGCTGCGGCAGGAGAATCGCTTGAACCTGGGAGGTAGAGATCATGGCGAGCCAAGATCACACCACTGCACTCCAGCCTGGGCAACAAGAGCGAAACTCCATCTCAACAACAACAAAAAAAGTAATTTAGCACATATACTGCATATTACAAAATACCTTTGCGGGGTTTGGGGCAACATCCTATAACAATGACATTTCTATTTCTTCAGTGAAAATATGATTATTCAGCCTGGCCAACATGGTAGAGAAACCGCATCTCTACAAAGACACAAAAATTGGCTGGGTATGGTGGCACATGCCTGGAGTCCCAGCTACTTGGGAGGCTACAGCAGGAAGATCGCCTGAGCCCGGGAGGTCGAGGCTTCTCTGAGCTGTGAACACACTACTGCACTCCAGCCTGGGTGATGAAGTGAGACCTTGCCTCAAAAAAACAAACAAAACAAAATGAACATTCACACTAGAAAGGAGAAACAGGGACGCTAAAGCTGAAGTCAAATTTCACCACCAAATAAATTTGCTATAAATATACAATAAATTTGTTTTTGCTTTTCAGATCTCTTTGGGTTTTGGAATAACAAAAAAGGGACTGTACATGGATATTTCCAAGCTGGAACCGAGGCACTTTCTAGACGAAGGCAGCCTTATCCCCAGGAGGTAAGGTGTGGAAGTGAGTTGAGGGTTGAGGCCAGCAAGACTCAGACCACAGCCTCCTGCTCCAAACAGCCACATCACTTAATCTATTTTGTAAACCAGGCTTCCCTCAAGGGATCTGGTTTAATGAGAGAATTTGGGAGCTACAAAAAAGACTGAAAATTGTTGTTGGACATCAGATGCTGGCAAACTTTTTTTGTAAAGGGCTAAATAGTAAACAACTTAGGCTTTGTGAGCCAAGAGGCAAAACCGAGGCTATTACAGAGGTATTTACATAACAGGAGAGAAAAACAAATTTCTGCAAATTTTTTATTGATGAAATTCAAAACTTTATGACACTGAAATCAGAATTCCATATCATTTTCCTCCTTCAAGAAATAATATTCTCCTCTTTATTCTTTTTTGCAGATGATTGAAAATGTAAGAACTATTCTGAGCCTGCAGGCCATAGCCAAAGAGGTACCGGCTGTATTTTGTCCATGGGCAGGAGCTTGTGACTGCTGGTCTAGGTCATTCCAGGTCAACCAGGGGCCTCTCCCAGAGTGAGAACCACTGGTGATTCCCCAGAGTGGGACCAAGTGAAAGCACTTGGCTGGATCAGAGGGATAGGAGCCTGGCTGCTCCTAAAACAAGACACTACTTGCCTTTGATGTTCAAGTCATTTAAGAACGCAATTGCTTCCTACTCAATTTTTCAAAACCAAAATAACAAATACGATATGAGCCATAACTTAGCAAAATTACGTGTTTTAAACAGTCTCTTTCAAAAAACAATAGATTAAAAAGTGCAATATTTTTACCCCCTCTTAAATTGGAATCATGGTATAGCAGGCAGGATACAAACTTCTCATTTCCATTACACATTTTCAGTGCCATCATTAATCTGAATGACATCAACAAAATGCCCAATGCACATAAATCAGTCAGACTTTGAATCATTCCTGCAGCCTCTGAACATTTACCATGGAGCTCAATAAGCCAGGCAAGAACACAGATTTTTTTTTTTTTTTTTTTTTTTGAGACGGAGTCTCACTCTGTCACCCAGGCTGGAGTGCAATGGCGTGATCTCGGCTCACTGCAACCTCCGCCTCCTGGGTTCAAGTGATTCTCCTGCCTCAGCCTCCTGAGTAGCTGGGATTACAGGCATGCACCACCACACCGGCTAACTTTTGTATTTTTAGTAGAGATAGGGTTTCACCATATTGATCAAGGTGGTCTTCAACTCCTGACCTCGTGATCCTCCCATCTCGGCCTCCCAAAGTGCTGGGATTACAGGTGTGAGCCACCGGGCCCAGCCGTAGGAACACAGATATTATCATCATGGGACAAGTCATCCATTCCCAGATTCCATGACCCTCTCTGGTGTCCACTGTGGATTTCAGCACATGTTTAACTATGAAACTCTAGTCACGCTTTTTGATATACAGGTTCATGGTTACTAGTGTCTTATCCTGCTTGAGCCAAGAATATGCACTAACACATTAGACAAACCTTGAATTAAAATGGGCAACCCACCATCCAAATGGGGAAAGATGATTACAGACAAGTTCGTACGAGTAAACTACTTGAAGGCAATTCCTGTGCTTAAAATGGCCACGTGAAAGGTGTCCCTGACATGGAAAGGACAAACCATGAAATGACCCTTGAAGCTCTTAATGTGTCTGTCAAAAAAGCAAAGCCAACTGTCAAACTGAAAAGCCAAAATCATCACAAAAACACCTATTCTTCAGAGGCCTCAAATCTCAAACTATCTCCCACCATCCTTTGTAAGTATGTATAAGGAGGCCAGGAAACTAGCATTTGCTGAGACTTTATTCTCAGCTTTGTATGCTTTGCATAAATGATGTCATAGAACACATTGACAGTGAGAAAACTAACGTATTAACATTTTAATTACCTTGCCCTATCACGAGATTAGAAAGATTCAGATATGAGACATCCAAAGTCTGTGATCTGAACACCAGAGTCAGAGGCTGGCAACCTATGGCCCACGGGCTGAATCTGGCCCACTGCCTGTTCCTATAAATAAAGTTTTATTGGAACACATCCGTCCATTTATATATTATCTGTGGCTGCTTTCCTGCTGTAACAGGAGAGTTGAGAAGTTGCAACAGAGACCATAAAGCCCACAAAGCTAAAAATATTGACTATCCAGCCCTTTAGAGAAAAAGGCCATGCCCAGGCTCCTGTGGGTACCTGCTATGCTACAGCCCCTCTGCTGGGGGAAACCAGCCCACTCACAGGTTCCCAGTGAGGCAGGATCTCTGGGCAGTTCCTTAGTAATTGGTGGCTCTGTGACTTCCTTCCCCCAATCACCTTGACCATCTAGTCTGGACAATATGAGCGCCCATGACGTGAGGACAGCCTTGTAAACAGGGTGGCCTGGCTGGAAAGCCTTGTCCAAAAGGCACAACAGTGACTACACTGAACCCATCCCATGCATCCTTTTGAGAGTTAGAAGGAGGCAATTGCAAGCCGGCTGCAAAAGACAAAAGACACCAGAGACTTAGAAACCAGTGAAGCCACGCTGAAGATGCAGACAGAGAGCTAGAGACAAGGTCAGGGGCCTCTGTTGCACTCCAGACCCGGTCCGGAGGCTTTTCCATGCTTAGGGGCAAGGATTGTCAGGGTTCTGCTGTCCCTTTCTTTAACCTCCTTTATGATTCCCCAAGAGCATCCTGAGTGCACCTCCACTCCCTGCCACCAGGGGTCAGATGAGCCGGCCTGGCAGGCTTGTTTCCCTCCACCAGACAACAGCAAGGACCAAGATTGGCAAAGTGACACATCCTCTCCAAAAGAAGAACATGCAGAACAAATCAAAGAACACAAACCACGACTGACAAACACAGCCACACTCGATTTTAAAGTACTGAGCTGTTTGAAGAAAGGAAGCATGGCAAGGCCCCTTCCTACTAATAACAGTAACAACAATAATACTAAATATTTTATAATAATTTTAAATTCTTAATTATTTATGATATTTCCCTCCATTAACATCACGAACATCATTACGTGTGTGTGTGTATTTTTCTCATTTTAAAACCAGCAGATGAGAGTAAAGGATTTCTTTTTCCTCTCCCCCACCTCTTTACAGGACCTACTGTTAAGTTTTCAAGACCACCCAGAAAGAAATTTGAAGTTGGGTTTATATCCTTAATCCCTCAGTTAGAAAAAAAAGAAAAGTGAAGAAACTGCATCTCCAAGATCCTGCTATATCAACTTCAGTTTTTTGAAGTTAAATTTGATTTTTAAATCCCTTGGCTGATGAGACCTGTGTGGGTTTTTTTTTGTTGTTTTTTTGTTTTGTTTTGTTTTGTTTTATCATTGTACCTCTATTTTAAAAATAGAGACTTGTGGTTCTTTTTCCAAAAGCAGTCCAACAGAAAGTGAATGGTGGTCAATGCATAATAAAATGAGAGTTACCTTTTGACTTGGAAGAATTATTAGCATTTTGATTTGATGGGTTCTTAGCTCTTCAAATTCAAAAATACCTTATTCAAGTCTAGGAGTTTTCCAAATACTTCGGTTCTAAAGATTACCCTTTTTCGATGCTTTGAAAACTAAAAGGGCATATCAGAATAGAAATCTGGCTGTTGAATAACTTGTAAGCTCTGCAGAGACGTACAAAAACATGGCCACTTTAGCCAGCGGTATGGCGAAAGTCTGGGGCCCACACTACACACACACATATGAACTTCTCATGACCCTCAAGTATATTCATATGATATATCACAAATACCATAAAGCAGCATTGTAATAACAGGGAGGAATTGATTTTAAAAGGCCTACATCAAAATGAATAGTCATAAAAGTATAATAACCTAGACTGGAAAATTTAGGGATTAGAGCATTTTGAACATTATACCTCAAATTTATAAAGGCTGTATATTAACATTCACAAAGGTTTTTAAAGATGGAATAGCTATGTACACAGTGAATTTATTCTAAAATCCAGACTCAAAAAAAAAAAAGAATATGAACTCCTCCCCACCGTGTTCTGGACTAAAATCAATAAGTTCCCTTTAGGTAATTAAAATGCTGGTCCCACGACCTGCCATCCTATTCCCAGGCTTAGAATGTTAGGAACACTGTTTCTGCTTTGAGAATGGAAGAGAGCAGGTTACCCTGATGCCTCTGGGGCCAAACACAGGGGATACATTTTCCCAGTAGAAGAAATCAGCCCTGATCCTCAAGAAGAAGAACATATTGGCATATTTTAGTGAGACTGAGGCATACTGCATCTTGGGGTAAAAACTGAATCATCAGGCCAGGCACGGTGGCTCACGCCTGTAATCCTAGCACTTTGGGAGGCCAAGACAGGCGGATCACCAGGTCAGGAGATCTAGACCATCCTGGCTAACACGGTGAAACCCCATCCCTACTAAAACTACAAAAAAATTAGCCAGGTGTAGTGGCAGGCGCCTGTAGTCCCAGCTACTCGGGAGGCTGAGGCAGAAGAATGGCATGAACCCGGGAGGCGGAGCTTGCAATGAGCCGAGATCGCGATAGTGCACTCCAGCCTGGGCAAAAGAGCAAGACTCCATCTCAAAAAAAAAAAAAAAAAAAATTTAATCATCAAAGGAAAATGTTTCAAATTCTAGGGTAAGCTGACATGGTACACATATACAGCGAAATACACCCAGGGAGGCTGAAAGTCCAATAGGCCACCACAGCACGTTAAAAATGTCCTGTTTTACCTATAGTCAACAATAATAATAAATTATATATTTAAAAATTTGTTAAAAGGGTAGGTCTCATGTTAAGTGTTTTTACCACAATAAAATATTTGTTTAATGTCCTCTACGTGGCTATTATGATTGGAAAAGGCATACCTTGAACAGAGATGAATAAATCTGCATATCTGTGAAATGTCAGTTCAGCATGTTGATCGTCAGTAATCTTTTCAGAACATTTCAGATATATGAAAATAGCACCAATGTCTGAGTTTGAACCTGAACTGGTTTCAGCTAAAGTGATCATCTTCAGCCAAAATAATGGGTATTTCTTTCTTGGCCTTCCTTCTACAGACTTCTAAAAGACAGTGGAAGCACTGAATATCCTTTTAGAAACAAACAATTACAAATTAGCTGGGCATGGTGGCGCACGCCTGTAGTCCCAGCAACTTGGGAGGCTGAGGCAGGAGAATTGCTTGAACCCAGGAGGCAGAGATTGCAGTTAGCCGAAATAGCACCACTGCACTCCAGCCCGGTGACAGAGCGAGACTCCATCTTAAAAAAAAAGAAAAGAAAAGAAAGAAAAAGAAAAACAGCTACAGATATTCATTCCTTTTTAATTTCTTGATAAATAATAGACCAGTAAGAATCACATAAGAAGCAGTCTACATTTTTCAAAGAGTTTTTACAGATCCCATTTGATCTTCAAAAGGGCCTCCATTAGGAAAAACTAAATTCAAGTTTAAAACTATCCATTTTATTTCTCCCATAAAAATATATTCAGCCCCTGGAGATAATCTCCAAATTCCTCAGATTTTAAAAGTTAATTTTTCTTATCTTGACCCAAAATCTGTAGAAACAAGGATTTTTCACCAACAGTGAGCTCCCTTTTCATAAAATCCTTATCTACCAAGATTTACCTCTGCAAACCTCTACAGTCCCTGGTTGTGAGCCCCTGATGGAAGAAGCTAGCATAAAGAAGTTCACAACTACTGGGGAGGGAACGACCTGACAAGTTGCAAGCAAGAAAGGAGTGAAAAACTGAGTTAATTGTACAAGAATTTGTGTATTTATAAATGCAGGATAAATAAGATCACGTAGAAACTCTCTTTAGACTTCCATCCTTACTGCTGTAATTGAACGAACAGACGAATGTGTTTGACCGCAATTGCCCTAATACTATTTTTCCCATAAATACCTGAAATTCTTCAATTGTAAGTTTTCCTACTCTGGCAATTTTAAGGAAAGTGATTCTTGAGGCTGTGGGTGAAATACCACATTCATTTTTTTAAAAAAAATAAGGTATACTTACTTGTACTTTCTACCATTTTATATATATTCTCTGTTTAAATTGTGTAGCCCCTAATAGACTGCAAAGACAATGATAAAAAGGAACTTGCCTTATTCACAGGTACATCCTTGGAACTTAGTAAAGGGCTTAACCTCCATAGCAGGCAGTCAAGACTTACTGAATGATTAAATAAAAACACTGAATTCCATATTGTGCAGGAAAAAAAAAATCAAGATTAGACCTCAGAAAAAATTGACATGTCTAGTAGAACTTACTATCTGGGCAAACTTGAAGAGAAGTGCAATGGGAAGGCCTCCTCAAAAAAGACATTGAAATCAAGATGGGACCCGTTCCTACCCTGGATTTCTCTGAATCAGCTACTCCTTAAGTTCGTATTTTGTTCCACTCAGCCAATGGCAATTCCAGGAGAGAGGCAATTGATAATAATTATGTTTTCTGCCTTCTCTTGGGTTATGAATTTATCATGATGCAAAAGTCGAGCTACTCCGATGCCACGTTAACAATGAAAAACACCATAAAGACAAAAAGAAACTGAATTTAAGCATTTGGATTCTGCAGAGGAGTTTATTGAACAGATTAACTAAGGAAAGGCAAAGCTACACAATTATGGAAAACAGGTAGCAACACTCAGGCTGACTATTTTCGATGGCCACCTGAGAGCGGATTTCCAATGCCCTCATTTCTGTAGGTACATTATCCTGTGTTTTATTGTTAGTCACAGCTGCAAGTTGATTAATTTGCATTCAGAAATTCTAAGTGGCAAATGTGCAATGCATAGTAATATACATTTTTTTATGGACACTGTGAAAATGCCGAAGCCACATCTCATAAGTAACTCTTGCTCAACCAGTGAGTAAAATCCATAAAAGAGTTTGCAAAAGGCTTTGAAAGAGTTTGGTTTGAAAGGAAAACTGCAAGAGCAAATCCCTCTCCTCCACCCCAGCCCTTAAAAAACAAAACTAAACTAAGTCTGAAGCAAAACCAAACAAAGAGAACAGTTGGGTGATGTCAAGCTGCCAGAATCATAAATGTTGTCAGTTCACGTCCCAGTCTTCCTGCTCTCTTGGCATTGCCAATAAAATCCAGAAACACCAGGGATGACTCAGTACCACAGTCAGTGCGTAAATAAGGGATAAAGATACCTGTTAAATCCATTGCCTCAAAGCAATCATGGGAGTTTCTTAAGAATACTGAACCTCCTCTCCGTTTTCTGCACTAAAGAGATAAGGAGTGGCATGGAGAATCTAAATGTGTGGAAAATATATACCATTGGTGTGAGAACACATATTGTGATAGGTGTTCCCCTCCATCAGCCCCCTAGTCTATACTCCTAGCTGCTTTATCTTCCAGATCATGCCTCCCCTGCTCAAAGTGAATTTGCCTTCCCTTTCACACTGACCTTAGAAGTGGATCTGAGACCATGCTTCCTAGCAGGAGAAAACAACTTTTCCATTTGAAAACCTTTGCGAATTACCCACAACTCTGACAACAGGTGCTCAGCAGTTGATAGTATTCTTTTTGGAAAGTTTTATCAACCACTTAAGTTAACTTGAAGACGCCTAACAGCAGGATATGGTCAAGCAAACATGTTCATCAATTAATTCAAATGCAATTTTAGTTTACTTTTATATGATTTCCCATGCTTAAAACTACTAATTGCTTTCCCAGGCTGGCTGCATGAACATGGCCCAATCAAAGGATGCAACAGTCAAATGCTTGTGTACATCATGTTACCTGTCCATTTCCATCAGAGACATCATGGACACAGCTGAAATACTAGGCCTGGCCTTTTGTAAGTTCATTAGAGCATCACAAACATAACTGCAGCTATTCTCACTGTTTGTGACTCTGTGATTCAAATGTTTTCACAAACCTTCCCTGGCACTGCGTATTAGATGGATTGAAAGATGCTGAAACGTAAGGCCGGGCACGGGCACGGTAGCTCACGCCTGTAATCCCAACACTTTGGGAGGCCGAGGTGGGAGGATTGCTAGAGCCCAGGAGATCGAGACCAGCCTAGGCAACATGGTAAAACCCCATCTCCACAAAAAATATAAAAATTAGCTGGGTGTGGTGGCATGCACCTGTAGTCCCAGCTACTAGGGAGGCTGTTGCAGAAGGATCGCTTGAGCCCCAGAGGTCGAGGCTGCAGTGAGCCATGGTCATGCCACTGCACTCCAGCCTGGGTGACAGAGTGAGATCCTGTTTAGAAAAAAAAAGAAAGAAAGATGTTGAACTATACACAAGAAATGAAAAGAAATAGCTGAGATATGGCTCTTGGGGAGAAAGAACAAAGCATCAACTAATAGAATTCAGAAAGAAAAGGAGGTACTCATCAAGGCACTCTGCTAAGGTTTGACTAATGGGATTCCACATGGTCTGCATGTTTATGGCTTAAATGAGCTACCAACACTGAAACTGTCCACTTAATTAGCCCCCAAAACAAGAAGTACAGACTGTGAGTCTGAGACCTACAGAGACTCCAAAAACAGAAACTACCATCGCCTCAAGCTAATCACTCTAAGTCCTAGAAATACATCTGAGGTTGCAAACAGTCCATTTCATTCATTATTTTATATATATATATATATCTCTATATAGATATAGATAAATATATATACAGATATACATATAGAGAGAGATAAAACAGAAAAAATCTAAATGTCTAAAGGACCAGATATAAGTTAATCATAAAACGATGACAACAAAAACAAAGGCTTCTTGAGTTAAAAAGAATGGAAAATATTTAACTAGAGTTAAAAAGAAAAGCAATTTGATCAAGAGTCAGGAATTGTAGGTTCTAGTCCTGGCTCTTTTTATTCTTTTTATTTATTCCTGTTTTTTTTTTCATTTCTTGTATATACTTCAAAAAGGCAAAATATTTATAAAGTCCTTCTGAGTATGAACACTATGATTCGTAACCTCATCTTTGCAATGGAAAATTCACTAGTATATTAAATTCAACCAATGGGAGAGGTTAGGTAGATGTATGATCACATGCTGGAAGAAGCTACAGAGAGGGTTATACAAACGGGACATGCTGGTATTATGAGGTCAAATAACAAGTATCTTAGCACAAACCAGCCCTGGCATAATTCAGGATAACAAACAACACAAGGTGCAAAAATAGAAGTAAGTACACATCAAGTGGACATGGAGCTTCCTGTTAGATTTGACCTTCCGCATAATCACCACAAAGGATTTAAAACAATTAAGTTGAAGTTTACGGACACTTGGCACAAAAAGCCACGAGAGCCTCACCCAGGTAGAGTATTTCCACACCTCCAGGAAGGAGAGAGTGGTAAATGAAGGGTCTTCCAGCAGACTCTGAAATGAAGAAGGATGAAACTTCAATGACATATCTGTCAACTAATGATGTTCACCAGAAAGTTTCAATTTTAAAAGTTCTACAAGGTGAATTTTTAAGTCATCTGAAATGTTTCAGTGAAGAGAATATGATTCCTAGGCCAGATACAGTGGCTCACACCTGTAATCCCAGCACTTTGGGAGGCCAAGGTGGGAGGATCGCTTGAGCCCGGGAGTTTGAGACCTGCCTGGGCAATGTGGTGAAACCCTGTCTCTACAAAAAATACAAAAGTTAGTTGGGCATGGTGGCAAGCACCTGTGGTCCCAGCTGCTCAGGAGGCTGAGGTGGGAGGATCTCTTGAACCCAGGAGGTCAAGGCTGCAGTGAGCTGAGATCACACCACTGCATTCCAGCCTGGGTAACAGAGTGAGACCATCTCCAAAAAAAAAAAAAAAAAAAAAGAGAGAATATGATTCCTATTGACTCATGTAAATGTCTACTGAGGAGAAAAATTGTTTATGCAGCTGATGCCATCTCCCCCTGGGTGCCTGCCTTCCCATCCAGTGAAGAAACGATTTCAGGGGTAAGAGAACACCCTGGACTCTGGGAAAATCTTCTTGTGTCCTGTTGCCTGCCTTCTCTCTCTATGCAAAGGCTGGAAGAGATGGGCCCCAGGGGAGGAAAGAGACATCAAGGCATTTGTGACAAAGCCAACCAGCTTCCTCTCCCCATAGCCCTGGGCAGGTGCTGTTTGATGACCATAACTCTATTTGCCAGAGAGAGGGTCCATAGACCATGTTGGTGTGGTGCCCTGGTGACATCTTGTGGTGAAATGGAATATAAATAAGCCTAAAATTCTACCCATGGCTGCACTGGGGTTCAATAGAACCAGATCTCCCGGTATGTTTCTTTTTGTTTGTTTTTTGAGACAGAGTTTCGCTCTGTCACCCAGGCTGGAGTGCACTGACACGACTCGACTCACTGCAACCTCCGCCTCCCGAGTTCAAGCGATTCTCCTGCCTCAGCCTCCCAAGTAGCTGGGATTACAGGTTTGCGCCACCGCACCTGGCTAATTTTTGTATTTTTAGTAGAGACAGGGTTTCACCATGTTAGCCAGGCTGGTCTCAAACTCCAGGCCTCAAGTGATCCACCCGCCTAGGCCTCCCAAAGTGCTGGGATTACAGGTGTGAGCCACCGCATCCGGCCCTTGTATGTTTCTACCTGAACAACTTCTCCTGCGGTCCTTCAAAGGGTGGATACTGAAGTCCAGTGGACACATACATTTAACCACAAATCGAAACAAATGCTTCCCAGTATACAGTATGCAAGAAAAGAGCAGCATTGATTGGAAGAATGAGAGATATTTTCAGAGATGAAAACATTCTTTATTCCCTCGGTCCCCATGTGTTCCAATGGAAAGGAACTACATCCTATGGGCGGAGAGTCTCAGGTAACACATGATTACCTCCCAAGACTCCTTAAATAAAGCCTTGGCTCAGAAGATAAAACTCCATTAAATTTATGTGAAAAGTCATTCTTATTCAACTACGAATTCCTTAACCTTAAAGCGTACAATTCGCAAGAGGTAAACTTAGGGTGTTTGTCTACCTGGGGATAAAAAAGAGTAATGAACAGGAAAGAGATTCCAACAGATAAAATGATTTCGTGGTAATATTGCGAGCCCGCGTGGCTGTGATTGCAAGCACAGATGAAGAGATTAGAGCAGTGAGGATCAGAACGGGAAGCTGAACCACTGGCATTGTGAACTAAAGAAGTAAAAGAGAAGCACATGCCAATGGTAACAGAAATCCCTCTTGTTTTTTTGCTTATTTTTTCACATGCCTGCTGTGTCAAAAGAAACACCTCTTTGTGTCCAAAGTAATTTCTTTTTCAACTTTGAAAGGCAAGGGGTGCATTTACTGGAAGCGCTATGAATCTATCTGGATGAAATCCTTAGGCTGGGAGCAGCCCTCAGCAGGTAGGGAAGGCTGGGGGAAACGTACTTCCTGCGTACGACACACTTATCATGCACCTGTAATAGTGTGCCCATCAGCAGGAACCACAGCATAGCCATGCCGGCGTCTATTACCTATCCAGTGTGACAATAAATGAGGCCAGGTGCACACCTCTGTTACCTATTATTCTCCACAAGAATGGCAGCAAAGCAGTGAGACCTGAGCTATACAAGAAAATAATACAGGAAGAAAGAAATAAAGGAAGAAAGGAAGAAGAAGGAAAGGAAAAGAAAAGAAAAGGAGAGGAGGAGGAGGAGAAGGAGAGAAGGAAGGAAGGAAGGGAGGGAGGGAGGGAGGGAGGGAAGACAGGACAGGACAGGACAGGACAGGACAAGAAAGGAAAGGAAAGAAGGGTCTTCTTTCTAATATTTTCTAGGCAGCATCAGAAAAAAAAAATCATTAAAGTTTTTCTGCCAGAGTATACATCCCTGAAAATGCTGAGATTTAATACACAGGATCTGAGCTGTAAGATTAATGGAGATTCAAAATGTTAGGTACCCTTTTCCTTGATGGCTGGGAGGCATCAGGCTTGGTGCAATCTGCAAGCTGAATTTAACCTAAACTCAAACTGGAGAGGGCAGAATTAGAGCAAGTTACCCCAAAGGGCTCAGCTTTGAGGGCTTAAGGCTATTCATCTCTAGCGGTTCATTCCACTCATTTCTCGAGGATACTCAGATGTTGCTGAAGAATAAACAACTGAACAGTATATGCTTTCATTCACCAAGTGAGCCAACATGCCAAGTTTTCGTTGTTTTGTTTTGTTTTTTTAAGATGCAGAAGTACCAGTAAAAGGAATAGCAGTATTAGAATAAAAATACAATTAGTACTAGAACTATTTTTAAAGTCCTGAGTGAAAACAGACAATGCACTATTTAGATGTAGAATAGAAGGGAGTCAAATTATAAAAACAGAGAACAGAATATAATTCAAAGAGAGGTGCTGCTTGGAAATAAGGAAAAAATACTAAAACATGGGATGCCATGTTTTTTCCATGTTAACCTAATATTTCATGCATTAAGGTGGAATAATTACATTGAAGCACAGTTTTCTTAATTAGCCCAGGTATATTTCCTGGGGAAGGAATAACTTATTGCAATAACTGGTGTTGGGACAATGAACTACTCATCTGGAGAAAATCAGCTGGATCCTTACCCAATTCCTCATGGCAAAACAAATCCTCAATGAATTTAATGATTTCAAAGTCAAACATAGGCACGTTCAACCAGTAAGACATATGAGTCAATATAATGTTACCATGGAGAAGGATTTTTAAAGCGTAACAATTAAAAGCAGAGATCATAGAAGACAGGCTGATAGATTTGGTTGCAATAGAATTAAAATTAAAAGACAAAAGTAAAACAAAAATTAAAAACTTAAAGACAAAAAAAGCAGAGGTCATGAGAAAACATAGTCATACACCTCATACCAACATTTCAGTCAATAACGAACTATGTACACAATGCCGATCCCATCAGATTATAATACCATATTTTCACTGTACCTTTTCTATGTTTAGGTGTGTTTAGATGCACAAATATGTCCCATTGTATTACAACTGCTTACACTATTCATTACAGTAATATACTATACAGGTTCATAGCCCTGGAGGAAGAGGCTATACCATATAGCCTGGATGTGTAGTAGGCTATCCATCTAGGCTCGTGTAAATACACTCTATGATCTTCATGCAATGACAGAATTCCGACAATACATTTTTCAGAATGTATCTCCCTTGTTAAGCGATGTGACTGTACCTGTGATATACATAACCACAGGTTAATGTCTTGAACATTTAAATAGTTCCTGAACACATAAAAATTCTTACCATTCACAAACGTAAAGACACCAAGATAGAAATCAGTCACAGAACATTAATAGATCATTTGCAAAAGAAAGAAATTGTTAACACATCAATAAAAAATAATGTTTAGCTTCACTAATAATCAAGAAAATGCACAGTAAAATTAGATTCTACCTTTCTCTTACTACTCAGCTTTAGAAAAACGTTACTTATTCCTAGTGAAGATACTGGAAAATAGTAGCCTCAATATTTCAAGAAAGCAATTTGGCAATTAATCTCAAAGCCTTATCTTATTCTTGGAACCAGCACTTCCAAGCGCACCAAGGAATCACTCACTGGTGTGTACTACAAAAACATTCATTGCAATTCCACTTACAATAGAGAAAAGCTGTGAATAACCTGTATGTCCAACAACAGGGGATTGGTTAAGTAAATCATGACTCACCCATCCATTAGGACATTGGGCAGCTATTAAAAATAATGCTGTTGAAGGATTTAGTGACACAGAAATACTATTACATGAAAAAAGGCAGTTTCTTGAACACTTCCATTTTCTTTTTTTGGCTGGCTTTTTTTTTTTTAATTTTTAAAGAGATAATATATACGTGTGTTATCAGGAATTACATATTGGAAATGACCACCAAAAAAATGACTTGTTCCACTTAACAAAGAAGGAAAAACAGGCCGGACGTGGTGGCTCACACCTGTAATCCCAGCACTTTGGGAGGCCGAGGCAGGCGGATCACGAGGTCAGGAGATAGAGACCATCCTGGCTAACGTGGTGAAACCCCATCTCTACTAAAATTACAAAAAATTAGCTGGGCTTGGTGGCGGGTGCCTGTAGTCCCAGCTACTTGGGAGGCTGAGGCAGGAAAATGGTGTGAACCCAGGAGACGGAGCTTGCAATGAGCTGAGATCACCCCACTGCATTCCTGCCTGGGCAACAGAGCAAGACTCCAGTCTCAAAAAAAAGAAGGAAAGATAAAGTTGATGCCACCTTTGGTCTCTTCCTTTCTACTGACAAATCATGTGTACTTCAGCAGTCACTTACTCCATCTGGGCCTCTGTTTCCTCATCTATAAAACAGGAATAATGACAACTTCCCCACCTTAGACATATGGATTCTATGAATATAGTCTTGACATGTAAATGGCTATTTTGTTGTGCTGCTGTTTTGGAAACTCCGCCATTACGCCAGCCATGTGAAAATCATTTCTCAGCTCCATTTGACAAAGGTGGCCACTCAGCTGGGCTCCAACACTCTTCCCCACTCTCTCTGCCACTGAACTCAAACACCCTCTCCTTTGGGAAACCCAGGCTGGAAACTGAAAGGATGGCTCCATCCTCTTGCTTCCCAAGACTCTGCACCGCCCAGGGACGCTGAGCACTTTGCATGTTTCCTGCCACATCATTCAGCAGCCCCTGCCTTCCACCGTCCAATGTGCCTATGCATCCTTCTCTTTGCCTACACCACCTTCCACTTGGTAGGAGCTCAAGCATCCCCCATCAACCTCTTGCAGACCCATCAACACATCCCTGGCATTCTTCTCTGACCTATTAGTGCTTCAAGGTTGAAAAGCATAAAAGGGCATGGTCCACACAAGTGCAGGGTTTCTCAGCCTCAGCACTATTGACTTTTGGGGCCAGACAATTCTCTGTTGTAGGATGCGCCTGTGCATTGTAGGAAGTTCTACAGCATCCCTTGCTCTTACCCACTAGATGCTAATAGCAGCCTATTCTCCTCCAAGATATGACAACCCAAATATCTCCAGACAAGTGTCCCTTGATGGGCAGAGTCACCCTTGGTACAGCACCACTGTACACAGTGAGAAAGGCAATATATTTATTTCTGCTACTGACAGTCACAGCCTACAAGCAGCAGGTACCCAAATCACATAAATGATCACCGCAAGGACACTTCTTGGGCAGGAAAGTCCATGCCAGAGCTTCAACCAGAATCTCCTGAGACTGAAAGGGGAATGACAGGGAGTGCGTCCCTCCCTGCATTCCTCTGGCTCCCCTCTGAGCCTTGAGCAAAAGGAAGGGGACAGCCCCCTGAACCCTGAGCCTATTTGCATCTCCTCTGAGAGCATGTTCTGGAGGCGCTCCACAGCGAGCGGGAAGATCTTTTGTGAGATTACTTATCTGGAGCGCGTGTCACTTCTTCAGCACCATAAAACTGAAATACTTGAAATAGATGTCACTACATTTGTCATGAACTGACATGGCCAATTAATATTACAAATTCACCATGGAGAAACGCTTCCAGCTCCCAAGGTATAAACTGCTGAACATCACAATTTCCTCTTGTAACAATGGGCCAGCCTCGCCAGGGCTATAAATACGAAGAAGTACAGGCTGATTAAATGGTAAAAAGTGCTGTTCACAGGGAGTCTCTTTCCAGGGCTGACACTAGCGCTGTGCCTAAAGTTAACAGGTACCCCGATGTCTCGGCTGCAAAATATGTATTTTTTTCTCTCTTTCTTCAGGAAAAAGTTGACTGTTGCATACTGTCATTTTTTTCTCCTCCCAGTGAGCAAATGGCACACTCATTACAGGACATGAAAGGCTGTGGGCACAGGTTGTCCCAAGTTCTGTTGCCACTCAGCTAGTTGGACTTCTCCTTTTTTTTTTTTTTTTCTATTAAGTCGTGTCACAGCCAAACTCTCACCCCTAATGAGGCACAGCTGGGCCCTTGGCCCTGAAGAAATACGCGTTGGAAATGAACTGGAAAACACTTGGCCTCCCTCAAACTTCCCAGGAGACAGCTTAGCCCCTCGTGCCCCCTGGGAGTTGGCTTCTTTTCCAGCGGCCATCTTCACAATCAAGCAGGAAAATGCCATTGTTCCAAAGTACACAATAGGTTCTGGTGGTTTTCAAACATCCTCCATATACCAGTGCAAATGGAGGGGCATCTGAGGCGAATTCCACAGGATGTTTTAGGAGCCCACAGGCCTTGACTTTCTTTTCTCGGCAGAAGTTTTAAGTTCCAGTCCCCAGGCTTCATTCTTTATATTCTTGGTTTGGAAGACAGAGGCAGCAGTAAGAAAATAGATTATGTATAAGGAAGACAAATAGGGCCCAATGAATTACCCAAACCAAACAAACAAAGTCTGCTTTGGAAATAAGGTTTTGGAGGGAGGTGAGACCTGTATGCATGAGTGTATAAAATCAGAGAGAAATGTGTCAAAAACAAATTACAAACCTTCCAAATACGGGATTACACATGAATGGATGGTAATAATCACACATCACTCCAAGGCAATCTGTGTATTACATCTTGCATTTCATCAAACAAGGCTTAGCTCTTGGGTCATTAATTAGCAACCTCGGTTCCAGATACCAAAATATGAGGAAGGCTATAGTACTCGGGTCCTGCTTCAATATTGTGATTTGTTTTTCTTATCTACTTCTCTTTTTCTTCCCTTATTTTGCTCACAATGCCTTCTGAGGAAAGACAAGACCTTTCTTATAAAAGGAAAAATATCCATGTCTCTACCCACAGAGTCCACCATTAATGGAAATAGGAGATTGCTTTCTTCAAAGTACACAATTAAAGTAACGTACTAACTCCTTTACACATAACACAAGAAAGCTAGAGGAAGTTTTATGTATTTATATTACACTTTTTCCTTCTTCCTCTTTTCTCAATATAGGAATCTTTCTGTTTTATGAAAGCTAAGCCACTCCATACAACGAACAGTTTACTCCAATACAAATAGAAATTATAGAAAATATAAAAATCCTACTAAACCTTTTAATCTCTAACTTTCCAAGCAGGTGAATTAATACAGAGGACATTAGAGATTTATTTTCTTTAAGCTCCAACAGTAAAGAGTGTTTCAAAGTCATTCTCAAAGCTGTAGAGATTTTTAAAATCCAGATGAACCGAGCTTAACTCTGTGATGTGATATATAATAAAATCTACTCCAAGATTCACCTACTTAAAGATATATGATACATTTGGATAAGAGAAAATGAAATTTTAAAATCTAAATACATATGAATCAAATGGTTAAAAAATTAAATAGAAGTTTCTTGCTTAGAGTAATAAATGCAAGCTTCTCAGTGGATATCCTTAATCCTGATTTTAGAATGAGTCCAAAAAGAAATTGCCAGAGTGAATACCAGGTAACAGAAGAAATGATGGGCATGTTTCTCTGTAGAACAACCTCCCTTCCCTAGCCGCTAACTATGGTGGTACTTACTCATCACATTCTAGCTCAGAACTGCCATTCTGGTCCTTTCATTCTTGTTAGTCATACCAGCATTTGTAAACTGCTTTCCACATTAAAAGAAAAGTAAATGGTTCACTTGTCCCTAAACTTTTTGTCTTACACAAGACAACATTAAGCATATTTCAAATAAAAATGTTCAATTTTCGCTAGCTATGTTAAAGGTTAATACCCAAGCTAAAACCACTGGGTTTTAAAAGATGGTTAAACTGAACAGAAAGCTTTGATTTTCAAGTTATGATCAGAAAATAACCATGGGAGACTGTCGAGAAATTAAAAATATAGTCAGAAAGCCTTTAAGTATTACTTAGCAAAACAGCTATGACCCAAAATAGCATTGTTATATGTTTGTTATTCACTTCAGTAATGACTGAAAGTGAATAAATAAAACTTGCTCGGAAAAATAAGGTTTTGAAGGAAGATAAAAACTGTACATTTAAGTGTATGAAATCAGAAAGACATAAGGTAATAGAAGTATCCATCACATAACTGGCCTTTAAACCATGTAAAACTCATTGATACCCACATGGGAGGCCAAAGAAACGCAATTTCCAACTCAAGAAACTATCACACAAAATCCCAACATGTTCTAGACACCACTGGATAAGAAATTTGAGGGAGTACCCCGAATAAACAAACATTCACAATCATTCACAATCATTCAGCATTACCTCCCATTCTACAGGGGGATAATCCATTTTAAATTAATTCTGAATTCATCAAAATACAGTTCACAGAATAATTATACTGGTAATGATTCAGGAGACACTTTAAAAGAGTATTATAGCTTTATTGTGATATATATAGTTCAAATACATTTTGCCCATTTAAAACGTACAATGTTTGGTAAGTTTCAGTACAATCGCAGATATATGCAAACCGTCACCACAGTCGAGAGAAGTCAAGATAAAACAAGAGAACAGGAAGAGAAAGAAAAACAAAGAGAAGGAGAGAAGGAAAAGAGAAGAGATTTGGAGGTACATATTCCAGGGTGAGTTCTTGGGGTCTTTATTGTTTTAGGACTTCTCAGTATTCGTCGTGGTAACAGAGCTTTATCTGCCTGGTTGCCAAATAATGTCTTCCCAAATAATATGAGAGAGAAAGCAAAAGAGAACTGTTCATTCGCAAAACTGAGACTCACCGAGTTAAAAAATTAAGTTGTACAGATCAGAAATGTAATCATAGGAGACAAGCTCTGAGAGTTTTTCAATCACTGTGGGGTTGCATCAATTTAAAGTCATGTTACATTAAAGAGAAAAATGTCTGGGAGAGTCTCTTCCTGTCACTTTAGATTAGATTTGTTGTTGTTATCTGGCTGTGCATTTTGTCGGCTTCATTTTACATTTTAAAGATATTGCTTAATGTCCATAAATAAAAAACTCATAACCTACGACTTTTTCTCCATTGTCCAGAGATTAGTAGATGGCGCAAATTAACAAGAAGAGCAAAACACTCAATGTTCATCTAGATTCATATTAACATATTAACTAACTTCCTTGGAGTAATCTAACATAGGCCAACTTCAAATCCAGTGATTTTTTTTTTTTAACTCTGCTCCACTTAATTTAAGAGTTACACAAAATCAATTTGTGGTCTATCTCCCTTCACCTAGTCTCTATCATGTAGGAGGGAATTGGAAAATTCCATCTGGTGTGTTTCAATGTTTCCTCAAGCGCAACTTCCTTTATCTCACCAAGATCTTGTTAAATTGCACATGACTTTAGTCCTGGACGCCAAGGACTTCTAAACATCAAGTTGCATAAAAGTGACATTTCACCAATTTAAGTGATAAGTTTTCAAATTGTGAAGCATCTAATTGCAACGATAAATCCACCTTGCTTTCCTCTATGGCCAGACATCTGTATCTTTAACAAACAAAAGTGGCAGTTTAAAAACAATTAGACTCAAAAACTCTAATGAATAAAAATCACTGTCCCTACAGATAGCACGTAAACTTACATGCGCACCGAAGCGTGCTTCCACACTGCACGGCGCACACTGGCCAGGGACATTCTGAACCAGAAAGGGCCCTGGCCCCAAAGTCGTGCTTTCCCTACTTTGCTTTCTAGAATGGAGACCACGCTACACATCATAAATCTAGAGAACACGTTAAAACCTTGATGTGCCTGTCATTAATGTAGCTGCTTTATCGTGACATTTTTTTTTTCCTTAGAAGAAGGAGAATAGTTTTCCTGTGGGTTGGCGGTAAATTTTAAAAAGCATTTTCTGTGACCTCATATAGTCAAATCATGACTCCTGTCAACCAACAGCCTCCTGGCATCCTCACACACCCTTAGTCCTATAGAGTTACATCATACACACATTTACATGAATTGTCAAAGACATTAAGAAAGGCAAGCAAAGGCCAGGCATGGTGGCTCAGGCTTGTAATCCCAGCACTTTGGGAGGCTGGAGGAGGACTGCTTAAACCCAGGAGTTTGAGCCCAGCCTGGGAAACATGGCAAAATCCCATTTCTACAAATATATATATATAAACACACATGCACATACATAAATATAAGTATAAATCAGCCAGGTATGGTGACACACATCTGCAGTACAAGCTACTCGGGAGGCTGAGGCAGGAGGATCGCTTCAGTCTGGGAGTTACAGGCTGCAGTGAGCTGTGATTGCACCACTGCATTCTAGCCTGGGTGACAAGAGTGAGAGCCTGTCTTAAAAAGAAAAAAGAAAAGAAAAGAAAGGCAAGCACAGGGAGGGAGAGGGAAAGTAAAAAAATTGAGGGGGTGAGATACGTTGGCCTCTGCTTTTTGTGGAAAAGGAGGCTGCTGCATAAATACAAGGAAGAAACCAGCATATGAGTGTCCAAACTGAGTTGCCAAGGGCATGAAGTCTGGAAGGATCTTTGAGGGTCATTTGACTTCACTCCACTTCCAGCTTATATGCTGACTTCAGAACTTGACCTGTGCAGAAGATGAGTCTCCACGGCCTGCACAGCACACAGAATTATTTATCCCTATACCCCCATATATTACACCCCCTTCCCCGGTAAGTGAAGAAACTGTCTGCTGAAAGAATGCATGAATCTTGCCTTTAACGTCTCAGGCATGTGTTAAACACTTTCCGAGACACCTGGCACCTAGTAACTTTCAATAGATTTCTCTTCTGAGCCCTCTGTTAAGTTTCTCGGTCTCTATTAAGGTCGGAAGCCCAGCATCTGGGAGAAGAGAGTGGTTCAGCTCTCATCTCATCGGCAGGATCACATGTCTCAACACAGCCAGGATTTAGGAACAGCAATATTCCATCTTAGGCAGTTCACCACTTCATACGATTATTTGGCACCCTCGATTTTTGTTCTGCTGCTCACATCACACAAAGGCTATTTCTACTTTATATCTTTAGCATTTTCCCCACACCAGAGTTGTACCTATATACATGCTGTTTCCACCAGCAGGAAAGTAGGAGTGCAATCAGCTATCCTCGCTTTGGCCAGTGGTGCTAGGAACTGATAACTCCACATATCCTGCAAGGCAGGCAGGAGAAGTTAGGAAGAATCAGGGAGGAAGGGAACAGACTTTTATGACTGTGGATGCAGGGCAATGGGCTCTCACGTTGTGGTAGACAAAATGATGCCCATTTCCCAACCAAAGATGTCCAGGTCCTAATCCCTGAAACCCGTGAATATGGTAGACTGCGTGGCAAAGGAGAATTCAGGTTACCGGTGAAATTAAGGTTGTTAATTACCTCGCATTAAAATAGGGAGAGGGGCTGGGTGTGGTGGCTCACACCTGTAATCCCGGCAGTTTAGGAGGCCAAGGCAGGCAGATCACTTGAGGTCAGGAGTTTGAGACCAGCCTCGCCAACATGGTGAAACCCCATCTCTACTAAAAATTAGCTGGCATGGTGGCATGTGCCTGTGGTCCCAGGTACTCAGGAGGCTGAGGCAGGAGAATCGCTTGAACCCTGGAGGCGGAAGTTGCAGTGAGCCAAGATCAAGCCACTGCACTCCAGTCTGGGCAACAAAGCAAAGCTCTGTCTCACAAATAAAATAAAAATAAATAGGGAGAGGACCCTGGTTATCTAGGTGGGCCAAATGAAATCACAAAGATCCCTAAAGGTAGAAAAAAAAAAGCAGGAGAAGAGTCCTGGTAAAATGTGACCACAAAAGAAAGACAGAGAGATGCAATCTTGCTGGCTTTGAAAAATGAAGAGGCCATAGCAGAGGAATGTGTCAGCCTCTAGCGTCATGGGAAAAGGCCAAGGAACGACCTTCCCCCAGAGCCTCCAGAAAGAAATGCCAACAACTACATTTTAGCCCAAGGAGAACCCTGTAGGACTTCTATCTTACAGAACTGAAAGACAATACATTTGTGTTGTTTAGGTGCTACACTGGTGATAATGTGTTACAGCGGCCAGCAGAAACTAATACACTTGGAAACAATGGCTGTAACGCATCCATCAGTCCACTGGTTTTCTAACCTGCAAGTGTTCAAAGTGTTGATTTACTTTAAAATAATTAAGCCAGGCTCTGGGGATTATAAAGACCAAAAAATTGTATCTATTATCATTATTACTCCCCCCATTGTTTTTATGTATATATTTATTATTTTACTTTTCAGCTGTTCTTATTTAATTGACAAGAATCAGAAACAAATTGAGATGGAATGGTCCACACAGGGCCCATGCTGAGACAGGCAGTGTGGCTGACGGATGAGACCATTGGTTAGCGATGTGTTTGTGTCTCTGTTGTGCCCCTTATTCACTGTCCTGCCAGGAGCCAGTTAGTGGCTCATCTGTGAAATGGGAATAAGAACAGTCCCAATATCTCACAGATCATTGTATTAATCTGTTTTCTTTCTCTTTTTTTTTTTTTGAGATGGAATCACCCAGGCTAGAGTGCAGTGGCATGATCTCGGCTCACTGAAACCTCCACCTTCCAGGTTCAAGCGATTCTCCTGCCTCAGGGTCCCAAATAGCTGGGATTACAGGCACACACCACCATACCCGGCTGTTTTGTATTTTTAGTAGAGGCAGGGTTTCACCATGTTGGCCAGGATGGTCTCAAACTCTTGACCTCAAGTGATCCATCTGCCTCGGCCTCCTAAAGTGCTGGGATTACAGGCATGAGCCACCGTGCCCAACCTGTATTAGTCCGTTTTTGCACTGCTATGAAGATACTACCCGAGACTGGGTAATGTATAAAGGAAAGAGGTTTATTGACTCACAGTTCCGCATGGCTAGGGAGGCCTCAGGAAACTTACAATCATGGCAGAAGGCAAAGCAGAAGCAAGCACCTTCTTCGCAAAGCAGCAGGAAAGAGAATGAAGGCCAGGGGAAACTTCCATTTATAAAACTATCAGATCTCACGAGAACTCACGTGCTATCACGAGAACAGCATGAGGGAAACTGCCACCACGGGCCAATCACCTCCTACCAGGTCCCTACCTGGCACGTAGGGATTATGGAGATTACAGTTCAAAATGAGATTTGGGTGGGGACACAGCCAAACCATACCAATCATCATGAGGATTAACAAAGAGGAAACACTGTGCATAAAACACCACGTGAGCACAACACCTGATACATAGCAGGTGCTTGATATGGGGAAGAAAATGACCCATGGGACTTAAGTGATTTTACAAACAGCACACAGTCAAAGAGCAAAGCCAGAAATATCATGCAATCTTCCATCCTCTAACACTCTTTCCCCAGCAATATCCTACATCTACTACCAAACCCCGCCATGTCTCAAACCACTGAACTTTGGCCCATATTGGCTAAACAGCAAAGACAATCCTCTTAATTTAACCCATTCTCATGGTAGTCTCTGTAAAGCTGCTTGAATATGATTAAGTATCAAATACTGTCATATCAGTAGAACTAAAATATACCAAGTAGTATCCCTAGTTTCCAGCCCAGCTCCAAATTTTTAAACGACAAACCTTTTTTTTTTTTTGGTAATATTTATTCATTGACTATTGATATTTAACTGTTTTCACAATGATAAAGTAGCTCATTAAGAAACAAATAAAGACATAAAATCAAAGTATGAAGCCAACTGAGGGTCAAACTGAATGGAGCGTTGCTGGGCATTAAGGTTACAAAGAAAGAAAGGCCTTGCCTTGCTTTTAGCAGGCTTAGCAACTTTTTCAGGGACCTGGGACACGAATATTCAAAAAAGAAAGTGCTAGGCAGTGTGGCTAAATGGCATGATTAGAAGGGACAGCATATTCAGAGGGAGGTGCAATCCCTGAGGGCTGAGGTCCAGGAAGAGACTTCGGGAGGAGATCAGACTTGGAGGATGACAGGGGTGGGAGTGCAGACAGCGACCACAGAGCTGACAGCAGCAGACTTCGATTGTGCACAGAATGCCAGCCACTGTTGCTTGGTGGTTTATCATCTAAACTCTCACAAAAGCCCTAAGAGGTAGGAACAATTACAAACCAACACCTTTTACAGATGAGATAATTGAAGTTCAGAGAGGTTCAGTACTTGGCTAGTGATCGCACAGGTAGGAATTAGCTTGAACTAGGACCCCTCGGTCTGATCTTGAAAGCACTCAAGAGGAGCTGCGGTGACTTTGGGTGACAAAGCACTGACAGGGAGATAGGGATCCTGAGACGTGAGGGTCCAGGGGGTCAGTCTGCAATGTGGAGCTGATGTGGACCCAGTCATGAGCCCAGCCCTAGGCAGCAGGGCATGGGCAGCAGGGGAGGCAAGGTAAGTCTGATGGGCCAGGTGCCCCTGCCCCAGTGGCTGGGAGGCGCAGACTCTGGAACACAGGTTACACCTCTCATTTCAGTGCTTAGAAGAGCAGAGGCAGCTGTACAGGGGAGGCGCGGGCCACAGCGTGACATGCTCACACCCCGGACAGGTCTGGAGACAGCCTCCTGAAACCGCCCTGGGGGCCCCAGAAGCCCTCAGGTCTCCAGGGCTTGTCACTCAGGCACCGAATACACTTAGCCTAATTGGATATTATTCCTTCTTCATGAAGCCAAGCAGGTTGTCACCTAGTTCCCTGGGTAAGACATTTGCAGCTTCATTTTGCAATTACATCTCCCTGGTATTTGTCATGGCACAGAAGTGAAATTTCTGTCTCTGGTCCCCAATGTCATCTTTTCCTTCTGTTTAAAATCTAGGTGCTATGCCAGTTCTTTTTTTAATCTGTAAGTTCTTTTCCACCCTCTCCCCCACAAAAATCCTGCAATATCTGACCAATTATTTTCTCAGTCACATTAAAAATAGATGCCATTCGCATTGCCACTATGGCAGTTGTGAGCGCTGCTCATAAGTATCCTGATCTTCAATTCTTTAGGGCACACAGTAGGACTGCACTTATCTTTCGAATTGGGGCATGACCATTGCCTTGCTTTCACCAATGGATTGTGGGGAGAAGCAAGATTTCTGAGTGGAAGTGCTTAAGCCAGACACTAATCCCCCATGCTCCCTTATATTAGGGAAAGAACAGAGGCACATGTAAGAGATGGTGCTGAGGTCAGCCTGGATCCCTGAAAGATTTTTTTTTTTTTTTTTTTTTTGAGATACAGTCTCGCTCTGTCACCCAGGCTAGAGTACAGTGGCATGATCTCAGCTCTCTGCAGCCTCTGCCTCCACGGTTCAAGCAATCCTTGTGCCTCAGTCTCCCGAGTAGCTGGGATTACAGGTGCACGTCACCATACCTGACTAATCTGTGTTATTAGTAGACATGGAGTTTCACCATATTGGCCAGGCTGGTCTCGAACTTCTGACCTAAAGTGATCCGCCCACCTCCCAAGTTGCTGGGATTACAGGTGTGAGGCATCGGGCCCAGCCAGATCCATGAATGACTTTAAAGCACAGCCCCTTACCTCCCATCTGTGGTCAGATATCACGAATGGGAAATGAATTCACCATGCTAAGCCACTGAGATCCGGGCGTGTTTGTTACAGCAGCACACTCCAGTGCAGCTGGCCTGAGAAAAGCCATTTTAAGCAGTTCAAGTTCCATCCTGTGTTCCATGTCTTTCTCAAGAGGTTGGCTTTTACTTTGCCTTCCAGCATTACCAGACTGTTCATGAGTTATCAAGGGCAGACCAGGCAGGCCTCCCAAGGGGCAATATCTATCCTAAATCTTGCGTCCTTTTTGGTTCCTCTCTATGCTGCATACCCTCTTTCGTGGACCTAATTCAGATTTGTAGAACAAGAAAATGTTTCTCACCACCTTGTCATGAAGGGGACCTAGGTGAACTCACCCACATTTCAGCTACAAAATTCAAATGCAGACACAGCCCATCTATCAGTCCTCATGGGACTTTGCAGAATCCAATATAAACTACAGAGGTAGTCAAAGAAGGGGTTGTTCCTCCATTTCCCCCTGGCAAATCACCACCATTCCTGGGGCCTGGATGCTTTAGGGATCACAGTAGGATTACACTTCCCTGTCCTTTTGAATTTGGGGATGGCCATTGACTTGCTTTCGCCAATGCAAATTGTTTCCTCTGAGGTTACATCTATTCCTACCAGCCTAGATTGATCAGCCTCTGCCCTCAGAGAAGAAATCAATCCCCCCTTTTCCATGGAGTGAGCTTTCCTTCTGTGACAGCACTAGACTGCCAAAGAAGCAGAGAGCTGAAATGCTCCCAGCAGCTCTACAGCTGAGGCCAGGTGCTAGCCTCTGGAATGAGGCTGGACTGGGCAGGGCAGTTCCCGGCCCTGCATTCCAAACAGGATGCTCACCTGCTTGCTGCTCCCACATGCCTTTCCCAAATACACCAAATAATAACAAAAGAAGATGTTCAAATAAATAGAGCTCCCATGATTATGTACCATGGTAGCAAATAAATAGAGCTACCAGGATGTTAACATGCATTATCTCCAGTGTCCAAAACAAACTCAGCTCAGAGAGGGTAGGGGCAGTTAATGACAGAGCCTGGATTTGAACCTCGTTCTTTCCACACCATATTCTGGTCCCTCCCACTGGTGCAACCTTCCTCCCTTCATGCATGTTCTTTGAGTTCTTCTCCCTGCTGGGAAGATCTTCTCCAATCCTAGCTGTGCTGCAAAGCCAGGTTCCCACTGCAAAGCCACTCCGTTATTCATTCTCACCCTGAACTCTTCCTTCTGGAACCACTTCTCTACGGTGTTGGTAACAGAGTTAGCACACTGATTCTAAGCACACAGTCCAGCAGCCTCTTTTTTCTATATTTCCAAGACATCAATGTAGTCTTGACAATGCAGCAGCAGCAGCAGCAGCAGGAGCAACAGCAACTGCCAAGGTCTGCAAGTGGCTTCAAGATGCCGGGGACTTTATTAAGCAGTTCCCAGGTGTGATCGCTCTCTCTTGCACTCATACACTCAGCTCAAAGGTCACCTCAGCAATGAAGTCTTCCCCAAGAACCTGACAAGATCAGTGCTCAGCACACAGTAGGCCCACAGCATGTATTTGATGTACAAGTGAACAAAAGGAAGAATGAATGAAAAGAGCTCTTCAAAGCCATGCCTCTGGACTCCTTGTGACGTGTGAGTCCCCTGCCACAGCCATAAGAAGTCTCCAGCGGTTCTACCATCGCCTTCTTGAGAAGTAACACCCACCCTAGACTCGTGGGAAATTGGCAGCGTGGGAATTAAACTCACAATGTCTGTTCTCTTCCACTGAGCTGCACTAGGGCCAGAACCCAAAATAAATTCCTTTCAGCCCTCTAGCCTCTCAGTAGGAATATCTGAAGTATCTTTAATCAAACTTTAGAGGCTGAAATTGCCCACAATTCTAAAAATGCCTCCAGTTACTATGGATTTATCAGTGAAGAGAATGAAATAAAGAAAATTTGTTTCATAGTTAAAGCCAAGGCCACTTTATCCCAGATGTACTTAAATCACTTAGCTCTTAACAGAATCTTTAACTATAAATATACTAAATTTGGTAGTAGGATAGATTAACTACAAAAGGAAATTAACACTGCCTTAGAGAATGTAGATAACATATTAAACCACAGATAGGCTACTTTGGAGAATTATAACTGGGTAGACCTAACATTTTTAAATGGATATTAGAGATGATGAAATGCCACTTGGCCACCCTCTGAAATGCAATTGAATTTACATTGATTAAGGAAAAACAGGGGAAATCTAATATTATATAATGCCTTACATTAAAAACTTTAAACAAGCCCCAAAGTGGCTCCTTAGGAAACAGGTTTTGGGTGACTAAGCAGTGTGTCATTAGCCCTCTGGTGAGAAAACGCAGGATTTAGTTCCTTATGAGAGACAGAGAAAGAGAGAGAGACAGAGAAAGAGAGAGAGAGTGTGTGTCTGTGTGTGTGCACGCGCGTGTGTGTGTCAGGTTTCAACTGTGGGTAAATTAGCACTTGCCTTCCAAAGAGACCAGCAGCAACTACAAAAGTTTGCAGGGCTTTGTCATTAGCCTGTTTGCATTCTCCAAAGCAAACTGACAGTCTCATGATGCAGGGCATTAAAAATCCTCAGTGGTATCGACTGCCTGAAGCCGATGCTTCCCTGTTAAATACAGCATGGCTCAATTAAGAGCTCTTCAATATACAATTTAATTTTTCTTTCATCTTGATCCACAGCCTGGCTCAAAATGAGGAATGCTAGAATAGATGTACTTTGAATATTGAAGCAAGTCTTTATAAATAAACCTATCACCCTTGTAATGATTTCTGTCATAACATGACAAAATAGATGAAGCTCGGCGTCTGGAACTTCAGCTCACACGTCATTTTTCCAACATCACCAGGACCCACAATTTTTTTTTTTCTTTTTGGCTTTTCTCGTACTTTTTTCCAGTTATCTCTGAATAACATTCTGCTGTTTAAGAAAAGTTTATCCTTTCTTCTTTTCATTCCCTGTGTGGCAATTCTTCAGAAAGAACGAAGAAAATTACTATTCTGCTACTTACATGTAAGAGAAAGAAGGTAACTTATAAATGAATTATGAAGGTCTTACCCTTGGAAAGACATACATATTTCATCATAAATGTGATCCATTACACTTATTCTACATACAGTATTTATATTTGTACATGATTATTCAAGGTTTCTTTTTTTTTTTTTTTAATCTCCGCAAGCCCATACTTTCAAAAGCAAATCCAACATTCTCCTTTAACCTGTAAGGCTCAGACTAGAGGATACAAAAGGTACTCCCAATTGACTCCACATGTATACTCTCTCTCTGGATGGAAGGTATTAGATTTACAAAGAATAGCAAGAATCATGGGATTTCTCAAAGGTGCACATATTATACAGAACAATGTTCAAATACCTGCATGAGCTTGCTATGAGTCAAGGAGGAAGACGTTTCACTTTGGGCCTAAGACAATTTCTTATATTGAAACATATTCATAAAAAACAGACTTGACAACAGTTAATGCCTTGGATAGAATTGTGTAGCTCTGACATGCATTTCTGACAGTTGGCTTGAGCTAGATGAAGAAGGAACAGGGCTCTCTCTCCCGAAGTGGATAAAGTATCAGTGGAGCAGCCTAATACCCATTCCCTTTCTGATCAAATCATTCCAGTTGGTCTTTTCGGGCTGCAGAGCTCCTTGCTGAGATCTCAGGTAACGTCACAGTCACATCACGACAACAAATGTAAACTTATTTAAAATTTACTGGTTTTACCCATTGTATTTGATTTTCATGTTATAATTTATAACCTATTTTAAAAATTCAAACAGCATTTCTTATTTTTCAACTTGATCACTCCCTATTTAGCATGAAATAGACATTACACATAAATATGCATATGTATATACATTCAAATACAAGCATTCCCAATAGGAATTGACAAAACCACCCACATTTTAAACACACTCCTTCCATTCCCATTCTTCTTTCCCCAGATGCTGCACTTAATATAATTTGGAAAGATCTAAAAAAAATAAATAAATAAATAAAAAGCTGTAAGACAATTTTTAATTGTCAGAGATGGAGCACTTAGAATTTATAGTAATTAACTAGTCATTATTTCAAATAAGAACATTAATTGGTATGTTCAGAAAATCTGCAGCACTGCAAAATTTAAAATAAACATTACAAAGATATCATTTACAACTAATCTATATTTACCATTGAAGTGAGCTTCAAACTATATTTCTTTCTATTATGCTTTTATTGGCTACAGCACACAGTAAATGGAGTGTGTTATGCACAGCTTCCTAAACAGCTAAATTTATAAAACCCAATTACATAAATTAATTAGGAATGAACGCATGCATTTATGCCTTTGTTTGCAACTGCAACATATTAAACATGACAAAATTAATAAAGACACCCTAAAAGAAAAAATAGTGCCACGTATTCATATTCCATAACAGGTTTTTATGAGATTTAATTTGATTTGTCTAGTCCTAAGGGTCGTGACTCTTAATAAATACGCAGTTTCTCACCGTTTCATATACATATGTAACGGTATGTTTTTATGACTCCTAAAGGACCAAGAACATATAAATTCAAGAGTATTTATTTCAAGATTCAGAGACAGAATGGCAAAGAATTACTCAAATGTTATTTCTGCCTTCGTTATCTCCTACATTGTTATCAAAGACAGCTTTTTGGTAATTAGAATGATTCGCCATCCCCTAGCTTTATTATAGAAAACGTCCAGTAAAACAAGCTTACTCTGAGCTCCACGAAGGAATAAAACATTGGCATATGATCAAGCTAGCCAGAAGAGCACTGCTGAGGCCAGATGGAGAGGCTCATGCCTGTAATACCAGCATTTTGGGAAGCCAAGGCGGGCGGATGACCTGAGGTCAGGAGTCCGAGACCAGCCTGGCCAACATGGCGAAACCCTGTCTCTACTAAAAATACAAAAATTAGCTGGGCGTGGTGGCAAATACCTGCAATCCCAGGTACTCAGGAGGCTGAGCTAGGAGGATTGCTTGAGCCCAGGAGGTTGATGCTGCAGTGAACCAAGATCACGCCACTGTACTCCAGCCTGAGCAAAAGAGACTCTAACTCAGAAACAGGAAAATAAAATAAAATAAAATAAAAAAGCATGGTTGATAACAGACCCTTTTTTTTTTTTTTTTTTGTAATAGGGTCTTCCTCTGTCACCCAGGCTGAAAATGCAGTGGCACAATCACAGCCCACTGCAGCCTCATCATCCCAGCAATGCACTGTTATCCTGTTACCGGATATAGCAGATGCTACATCTATTGTATCTTCAAACTAAAGAGACTCTGAAACAAGTCACCAAAAAAGAATACGTTCTGCTTCTCAATTAAAGGAGTGAAAATTAAAATGAGAAGCTACTTTAATCCTAACAAAGTAACAAAGATTACCAAAAAAAAAAAAAAGTAAGGGAGATAATACTTAGTGCTGACAAAGATGTAAAAAGACAAGCCCTCTTAGATAATGTTGGTAGAAAAACTACTTGATTCACTTCTGGTAAATATTTGGCAATATCTATCAGGGATATGAAAATTATGTATACACTTGAATCAAATAATTTTTAAGATTCTATGATACAGATATGTAATAATTTATGTAGAAGAATAGTCATCAAAGCCCACTATTTAAAAATGAGGAAACAGCATAAATATATACAAAAAGAAAACAAAATAATTTGTGGCATCTGCCTGGGATAGAGTAGGTCCATGTGGGTAACTAAGACCATCATATTTTTAGAAAGTGGGCAAATGCTCATTAAATAGTTTTAACTGGTAAAAATGAGCAATAGGTATTACCAGTAGACAATGTAGAATTAATCCCAATTCTCCCTTTCCTTAGCCCTCTGGCCCTGGGAAAATTACTTCACCTTTGCATGCCTGAGTCTCTTCATCTCCAAAATGAGGATAACAAGGAATCTATCTTGATGAAACACTATGCAGATTAAACTTTTTAATTCACATAAAACATTCAATTATCAGTAAGGGAGAGGTATCATTAGCTATTATCATTATCTCAATTTTGCAACACAGAAAAGACTAAAAGGGTCTGAAACCGTACTTTGTCACTTCTTTTAGTTGTGTGACCTTGGACGTATTCCTTAAATATTGCAGTTGTCTGACTAATCTAAAATATGTTAATAATTAACACTCTAGTCAAAAGGTAGTTCTGATGGTGAGAGAAGACATTCAGCCCAATATCTGAACCCTGGAGGTAATCAGTAATGATTTTCATAACTATTAATTGTATCTACAAAAGTATTCACCAAGAACCCCTTCAGTCTTAAACCAGAATTAAAAATAGAATAGGGTGAAATTCTAAATTTTTGATGGAAACACCAAAGGTAATATTTATAGATGGTTTCTCATTCCTACTCCAGGTAGTAGAGCAGCATCAGCTTAGAAACTTCTCTCAGTCTTTCTCCCGTCTTTTGAAGGTAAAGACCAAAATGGGGTCAACATTTAAAGTTCCTAATCTTAGAAACCCTAAAATACCAAGGTACTTTACCTTTACCTTTTTTTTCCTTCTAATTCTTCTCCTCCTCCTTTCTAATGGTTGTTCCTTTATTTTAACAACCAAAATACTTTTGCTGGGACATTTAACGAGAAATAAAGTATATTTCAATGACAGGCTCATTTCCAAAATTATTTATTTTCATTCTGGATTGATATTCCACCACCAATAACTTCAAAGAATTTAGCATAGCTGTTATTATATCATACTATATCTCAAAACCCTGAAATGGTTCCCAATAGAACATAGTATAAAAAATTTCAAACTCCTTAGCCTAGACATTCTAGATCCTACAAAGACTTCACCTGATTTCTTCTCTTCTTCCATTAATCGTCTATTGATAAACACAATGCAATGGTGAAACAAAATACCAGCAAGTTAATAATGGAGACAGGAAGGGAGGAAGGGAGGGAGGAAAGAAAGGGAGGGAGGAAAGAAAGGAAGGAACAAAAGAAAGAAAGAGAAGGAAGGAAAGGAAAGGAAGACAGGAGGAAGGAAGGGAGGATGGGAGGAAGGGAGGACGGAAGGAAGGAAGGAAGGAAGGACGGAAGGAAGGAAGGAAGGTAGGAAGGAAGGTGTGGGTAGAAGGATGGATGGCCAGATGGGTGAAGGATAGGTGGGTGGGGTGGGTAGATGAATAGATGGATAGAAGGAAGAAAACAACGAAGGAAGGATGCATGGATGGATAGATGAATGAACAGATGGATGTGTATGGATGTATGAAAGGGTAGATGAGTGGGTAGATGGATGGATGGAAGGGTGGATAATTGGAAAGGCAGATGGAAGTGTGTATGGATGGGTGGGTGAGTGGAAGGGTGGGTGGATTGGCAGATGGATGGATAGATTCATGGGTGGATGGATGGGTGGATAGATGAGTGGATGGATGGGGATGACTAGATGAATGTATGGAAGGGTGGATGGGTAGGTGGGCAGATGGGCAGATGAATGAAGAATAAGTGGTTGTGTGGATGGATAGATGGATGCAAGGACGGTTGGATGGATAGAAGAATGAAAGGATGTATGAACGAACAGATGGGCCAACTGACATATGGATACGTGGAGTTTTTCTATCCTAACTTATTGTTTGGTGGCATTTTTTCTGTTTGTCTACCTAACTCCCCATCTCTTTTCAACAGTAATAATTCTACTTGCAACTCTTCCACAAAGTCTTCCATGACCCCCACATTCCATCCCCATCACTGGAAAAGACTGCTATGTGCTCTGAACTTCCATAATTGTCATGTCATCCTGTCCAGCTCACCACAGAGTTCTTTAATATCCAACTCCTCTGCCTCCTGGATTTGAGCTTCTAGATGTCAGAACTGATTTAAGCCCCATGTTCATGTCTGCCATAAGAGTGTCTTCAACAAAACAGTTTATTCATTCATAATTATTTATTAACTGATTGGATATCCCAAATAACTTTTAATTGTTCTTTTCAACATCCACAAGGCAAGAATCTAGAATTTAAAATTCTCTATTCTCTGATCTTAGAAAATATGGTGGTCTAAATTTACCTAACTAATGGCAAGGAGGTAAGACATAAAAATCAACAGGGTCTAACTTTGCTTCCATCACAGACTTGCTATGCAATATGAGGCTCATCTTTTCTCTCCTCCCCTCATATTTCTCATCCCAGCACGCAGGTGTGTAATCAGGTATTTCTCAGGGCCTTCCTGCCTCTCCGATTGTGCAGTCCCATGATGCAGATGGCAACAGAATGCACCTACTATGCATCTAAGATTGTGTTTCTTGGATCTAAAAATCAAAACAACTGAACTCACAGAAATGGAGAGCACAAAAATGGTTACCAGAAGCTGGGAAGGGTAGTGGGGGGTTGATGAGGAGGTGGGGATGGTCAATGGGTACAAAAAAATACAAGGAATAAATAAGACCTACTATTTGACAACACAACAGGGTGACTATAGTCAATAATAACTTAAACTGTACATTTTTATATAACTAAAAGAGTGACTGGATTGCTTGTAACACAAAGGATAAATGTTTGAGGGGTTGGATACCCCATTCTTCATATGTGATTATTTCACATTGCATGCCTGTATCAAAACATCGGATGTACCCCACAAATATAAGCACCTACTATGTACCCATAAACATTAAAAATAAAAAAAATTTTAAAAAGAGATTAGGGTTTAAAAGAACAAAAAAAGGCTGGAGGGTCTGCCCACATCTGGTAATAAATAGCTTTTCACATTCTTGTTCTCTCCAAATAGGAAGCCAGCTGCTATGGCTCTCAAAGACATGCTCTTGCTACAGGTAGTACAAACTGTCCCGTCTCCGGGCAGACTGTGCCCTCACCACCTTCTCACCATTCCTGTCCCTGGAGTTGAGGGGATGGCTGACAACGTGTCAGTGGCCACACCGCCATGTCCAAGCAGACTATAGATACACACTTGTTACCCATCAACTCTCCAGAATTGGAAAGAATTCAAGGCAGCAAGCTTCCACACTCACTGTTAGCCCAGGCCCACTCTCAAAAGCCATGCACAGGGCTCTTTCCAGGGAAGGTCTCCTTTATGTAATCATACTATGAGAAAGGGAGGAGAGTAAAATGTGATTCATCTGTCACGACCACACCAGTGAGGAAAATAACTAGCACGCGCTTGCCCAAGACCTTCTTGAACATTGAGCCTCATTATTTTACCTGCTCCCCCATCCCTTCCGCATCTAGTTTTATGCTCTCACCTATCCATAAATTCCTCCCCAGTTCTCCTCCCTACCTGTGGTCGCAAGAATGTTAACTGACATCTCTTGATCTTGCCTTCATCTTGCAGACGGAGATACGGTCTTCTTGTCAACTAAAACAAGTTTGCCTAATTATATTATTGAATATGTTTTATTTCTGCCAAGAAAAAACATATCGAATATCTCCCCATAAAGACACAGAGAATTTTGCCTTTTCCGTCATAAACTTCTATCCAAATACACTCAAAATATTTATTATACAACCTAACAAATTTCTCTTCTCCATTGAAACATATTTCCCTTTTGAATGAACCTACCCATCATTAAACTTGCTTAATATTGATTTGTCCCAGAACATGAACCAGTGCTGCAGTTTCCCAGTCATCTTCCCCAGTCATCTACTTGGGGCCCCCCAAACCATTGCAGGATGGGCAGGCAAAGGTGGGTCTCTTGATTTTGCACTAAGTCCAACAGAACCACAGTGAGGTTAAATGAACTCCGCCAGGCTCTGCAGTTTCTCACCTGTTCCCAGGCCTCTTTCTTCCCCACCATCCAGCCTTATGGCCTTTACTTGACCTCCCCTTTCTAAAGACACCAGTTCAAGGATAGGCTGAGGCAGGATGTGATTGTGTTTTGTTTTCCCACTATAATCCAGACAGCCTAATTCTATTCCCTTTACTTCCATAGTTGGCAGACAGCCTGTGCAGGAACTGGTACTACTGAAACATGTTTTTATTTTCTGTTTTGACCTTCTCAAATCAGTTATAGTGCTGAGGACAAAATAATTGCTCATTTATTCACCTATGCTGTTCCAAGAACTATTCCAGGAATTCTTTTCTACATGGAGCATTTAAAAAGACAAAAAAAAAAAAACCCACCAGGCAATGAAAAAAACAAAAAATTGCAAATATAATGAGAGGTTGAGCTATTTTTTAAAGTGGGGACACAGTACAGAGACAGAGAACTGGGAGGACACTCTTTTAGACAGGGTATAAATACTGCTGACAAATGGATTCATTCTAAGTTCCTGGTACTCCAGTCGAATGAAATTTCTTTCCCAATGAAATTTTATTTTTAAAATGTTAAAAGCTGAAATACATGCACTTACAAAAATGTTCCCCAAACAGAAAACTGATCTGACAAACAGATCAACAACCAAGTCAATGAATGTGATGGTTACAACCGAGGTCTACATGGCTTTTTTGAGATTCAATTCTTGAAAAGGTGACCAACTTAGCTATGTTCCAACAACCTAAGGCTTAAAATGGATAAAGCCAGATCGACGGAATTTAAGAAACCTGACCAGCTACGTACCTGGAAAAGGAAGGGAACAGAAGGATGAGGCATGGGCCAAGGGTTTGGAGAACCACCCTTCATTCCTTCCTTTCTACCAGAGGCCTCATGGTCATGGCATGTTGCACCAGGACCAACAACTCTTCCACGTCAGTAATCTGAGCCCAGCCTAGAAAGGAAGATGGGACAACACTGTCCCCAAGACATTACTGGTCTGGAATCAACTAGGTTTGTGGGGAGTACAGGAGCCATGTCAAAATTGTTCCCTTATTTAGCAGGTTTTCAGCCAGATTGCAAGTCCAGGATGGAAGAAGCTAGTAAAAGTTTGGGAAAGGAAAGGGGTGGTTACAAGTAGAGTTTAAAGAGGAAAAATCAAAAACAAAAGGAAGGCTGGGTGTGGTGGATCACACCTATAATCCAGGATTACACTTTGGGAGGCCGAGGCGGGTGGACTGCCTGAGTTTAGGAGTTCGTGACCAGCCTGGGCAACATAGCAAAATCCCGTCTCTACTAAAAATACAAAAAATTAGCCAGGCATGGTGGCACGTGCCTGTAGTCCCAGCTACTCAGGGGGCTGAGGCAAGAGAATCACTTGAACCTGGGAGGCAGAGGTTGCAGTGAGTCAAGGTCACACCACTGCACTCCAGACTTGGTGACAAAGTGAGACTGTCTCAAACAATAAATAAATAAATAAATAAATAAATAAATAAATAAATAATCCAAGGAATGCCCAGTGAGGGGACTGGGGGTCTGGGAGAGGGGTAAAGATGAGCTTAAGGGTGACTCAGAAATAATCCCACAAACACAACCTGGTAGGCATGGCTGAGGTAGGACTCTCTTCCAGAAGGGACTAAATTGTTTTAGAAAACTATAAATATCTACTTCTCTCTTGCCTCTTTTTTCAACCTGCTACTCATTTATTTGGTTTTGCCAAACATTTATCATTTCAGGTCTTAGTTATCAACATTTTAGACTTAGAATACAGTCTTAGAATAATCAAGCCCAAATCATTAATACCTTCCGGTCATGCCTCCTCATGCTTTCAATATTCTCATAAGCTTAATAAGTTTTCAATACAACCTTAGCCTTTCCACATTCCCCACATAATAATGTTATATTAATTTGTCTTCTCAAAAAATAAGTGTCTTAACAGACAATCATTTTGGTTCTTAGTTGAAATTCCTTCCCTACTTCAACGATCACAGAAGAAAAGGAATACACTGCCACATTAATGAGTACATTTTAACACCTTAAGACAAAAACATTTTATTTAGGTGTTTCCAAATAGTACAGTCCCTTCTATCCAGGGTGGATTAATACGAGCATAGTAAAAGACCAGAAATGGTCATATTCTCTTCAGCTCTATGTTCCTTATAACTGCTTCCATGAGAGTAAAGAGACTTGCTATGTCTATTTAAAAGGCAGAAGTAAATGTTTACCTTTCAATCAAAAGCTTTTCTTCTGTTTGCCGTCTGCTGTGCACCCATACCCTCTCACAAATAAAAATGAAAGGAATTTTTAATTGCATGAATAGAATTTGGGAGTGATGCCTGTTTTCCCCTCCAGCACAGCCCATCGTGAATGCACACGTGCAAAGTGCTTCCACCCAGGGTCCAGCACATATAACCGAGTGGACGGGCCCAAGACAGAACTTGGTGACACTTTCTATAAACAGACAGGTTCACCTTGGGCAAAGGCACCACACTGTAAAATTAATCCAGCTCTACAGATAACAAAAATTCCCCAGGGCCTAAAACAAGGAAGTCAGATCTGCCAGTATGTGGATTAACTGATTTAAAAAAAAAAAAACTCAAGGGAAAGCACAGTAATAATGATGATATTAAAAATTTTTGTGATACTTTATGGTGTAATGGATGCTCTACTAAGCACCTGGACAAGACCAGTGTGAGCCCTCACAACATTTTACATGCTGGGAAACTGAGGCTCAGAGAAATCAGACATCTAAACCAAACTTTTTTTTATTCCTTTTCTCTCTTTTTTATTCCTTCCTCCTTTCTTTTCCTATTGTTGTAAGAGCGAATGCCCCAACCTTTATAGACATCCACTTAAAGAACTGTCAGCAGGGGGAAAGGAATTAAAACAAACCCAGACAACTAAGCAGTGAGTCACGTGAAAATCAGAAGTCGGGCGAGGAATTTTTAAGCTGCCTACTACGTGCAGAGGAGATCAGGGTCAGCGGCTGAGGCAACAGTCAGCAAACATTGCTCCTTCCAGTTTTACAGCTGACTCAATGTCTGGCCTTAGAAATCTCTTGGCGACACTCAGTAACTTAAAACAGGAGATATAAAGAAATGCATTATTTATTTCCTCCCTTGCCATTCCTACAGCTTTTGAAAGAAAATTAGGTTGCACATTGACTACCAGGTCCTTGGTGATTTCTACTGAAGCGATCACCTTTGTGGCTCCATACATAAATATTTTTCCTACTAGGAAATGGCTCTTCTTGCATACATTAGTGTTTTCCCTCATACCATTGATCACTCCATCCAACAGCCTGCTTAGCCTGTCAATGACTCATTGACAGTGAAATCTACAGACATAAATGCCATCAGCTGCTGGATTCTGACAAGAGAGAAGAGGGATCTTGGAGTCTGGAACTCAGCCTAAGAGAGACATTCACAAATGTGATTTTTTTTATGGGAAGGGGGTAGGATGTCATGTATATGTGACACAGACGTCTGAATAAAAGAAGATCATCTACGCAGGCTCAGAAATAACAGGTGAGTAGCACTAAGGAGATTTAGAACCTGTACCCTTTAAGCTGCTAGTGAGCGAATGGCATGCCACAGTGCTAGCATCTGGTAGAGCATAAAAAAGAGAAGAGCCCATGAGAACACTGGCTTTCCTGGGTAGTACAAAGGTCATGATGCCGGATCCGCAGAGCAGGAAATACAACACAGGGAAAGATTAGTTGACCCTTGGGTTAGAAATTTCTAGATGGCCCTAGTGATGAACATATTTATTGCTTCTCATATTTTACAGTCAATCCATAGATAATACATGGGAGTTTTTTCGTTGTTGTTCTTAGTTTGTTTGTTTGTTTGTTTGTTTGTTTGTTTGAGATGGAGTCTCGCTCTGTCACCCAGGCTGGAGTGCAGTGGTGCGATCTGGGCTCACTGCAACCTCCGCCTCCTGGGTTCAAGTGATTCTCCTGCCTCAGCCTCCCGAGTAGCTTGGATTACAGGCACGTGCCACCATGCCCGGCTAATTTTTTGTATTTTTAGTAGAAACGGGGTTTCACCGTGTTAGCCAGGATGGTCTCAATCTCCTGACCTGGTGATCCATCCACCTCAGCCTCCCAAAGTGGGATGCATGGGAGATTTAATTATGGCTACAGAGTGGAAGGTGAATGTTATGGACCATGATAAGGCAGAAGTATAAGTAGCAGAAGTTACGGGTGAAAGGGGAAAAGAAGAGGTAGAGGGATTGATCAGGGTACAAACAGCCTCTTCTTATGAGAAAGGGAGTAAAGAACTCCCAGAGCAAAGAACTGTCCAGAGCAATTTGAGCAAAAATGGAAACTTACATGTATATATACCATTACATATATGTATGCATGTGTGTGAATGCATATATATATATATAAAATGTTTACATATTGACATATGCGAAATATACAAAATCTGAAGTTACAAACATAATGGGAGGAAGGTGATACAACTAGGGAAGATGGTAAAAATGAGCTAAATCCATGCTCGTAACAGCAAAAGTCATTAGATAGTGCCTGAAATCAACAGCTGAAGAAGTGGCAGTTTAAGCACAATATTAAGACACAGGAAGCAGCCACGAGAGCATCAAAAACAGAAATTTCTCCTAGAAGTTGCCTTTGTTCATCCCTGCAGCCAACATCCAGAGAAACACTGGCATAGAGCCCATTCTCCATCAGTATTTATTGAAGGAACAAACAAGTGGACAGAGTGGAGGGTGTGAAGGGAAGGGTGAGAGGCCATTGCTTGCTATGGTTTGTCTCCTATAACACTGGATTTTTTTCCTACTGACATCAAATATTACCTTGCATGTGTATCGGATGCGGGGGATGGGGGAGGGTGTCGTTTTTAGTTTTGTTGGTTTCATTCTAATTCCTCTGGTAGGAATCCAGTTCCCAGGATCTTCTTTGAATGCTGGGGATGTCCTATGTAAAAATGCAAGATCTAGGAATCAGTCTGGAAGTAGCTGCATGACCAGACAAGCCTGGCAGAGACCCCCAGAGGCACCTGCCCCAGGAGCCAGACTCCTCAGACTGGAGACCTGGAGCGTAGATGCCTGCAGAGACTGGATGGCTTACCAACCGCTACCAGGAGACAGTGGCCACTTTTTAGTTAAACTACAGTTTTAGGGAAGAGGAGTGAAAACTGCCCTTTGCTCCACCATAACTACAAATTTGCTGTAAAAAGGAAAGAAAATGGAAGAAATTTAAAAAAAAAATAAAAGAAAAACTACCAGTACAGGGAAGGAGGAGGAGTATGTGACCTAGTCAGTTTCCAATGAGCAGTTAAAACATATGGGGGCTCTGTTTTCAAATTCTGCTTCTGCCAAGGTATCAGCAGCGTGGCCTCGGGCAAGTCGCTCACCTCCTCTCCTTGTCAGTATGTCTTGATTGCACTGCCATCTCCCTCATTTGTCAAGTGAAGACAATGACATCCTTTTCATGGGGTTATTAAAGGATGAAATCATATAATGTCTATAAACGTTTGGCATGCAATAAAGACGTGAAGTATTATTTCCCTTCTCCCCCTCTCCTTAGGATGAAAACTGGATAAACACACAGCCTTCTATCACAAAATGAGTTTATTCACAGATATTTCCTAAAAAGATGGGAGAAATGTTTCATGGTAACGTTTATTAAACTCAGATTCAAATTGACCTCAAAACATATGAAAAAAATTTTTAATCCCAAAGACATTTTGATGGACAGTCAAAAAAGTTACAAAATGTAAAGCTCAGTAGGTAATTAGCTGAATTCTGAAAAATCATATTATATCCATTATACTTGATGTGGTGTGGTGGGAGGCAACTAATTTACAGCATCATCCAGGAGGTGTGCTCATATTAAAGCTTGGTATAATATCGTATTAGAAACTGTGGTATATGGGAAAGAGTCAGGTGGCTTTGGAGTCAGATGGCCCTCAATCTGGGTGCCAGCAATGCCACTTGACAGCTGACGGACCCTGGCTGAGTTTCTTAGTATCGCCGAGCCTCAGTTTCCTTGCAGAAAAAAGGATCTGATATCACAGATGGCGCAGAGGTACCAAGGAATAAGGAATAATGGAGGTCAAGTGGCTGATACGAGTCTGGTGCAGAGCTGGCTCTCAACTCCCACTAACTGCTATTATTTGCAATGCAATATCACCTTCTCCTTATGCCTGAAATTATATATTAGACAAGTAATTCTCTCTTCTGTGTGGGAAGGAATTCACCAGGAAACAAGGAGATGAGAATCATGTTTTGTCTTCACTTAAAATGCTTAAACCAGGCAGTAGTCAGTGGGGATGATAAAATTGCCTTGTGGATCTTACCATGACTTTTGTCCAAAATGATCAGAGAGTACATTAAATCATTAGCAGAAACTTTGCTACCTGCTGATTTTACAATGCAGGCAATGAAATTCATTGCAGAAGCAAAATAGGGCCAATAATATAATTACAGCACTCTGCCTGTACAGTCAGAGCTAATGCTATTATTTGACATTGCAAGGCTGTGCTTTTCCCCAGAGTCTCAGTGGAGACAAGGTTCGCCCTAATTGGTTCCAAAGCACAACCTCCCCAACACAATCTTTCCTCAGGACCAGTAATGTTAATTTCCACACGACTGTAAATAGTATTTGCAAACAATACAAACATGGTAATAAGAGGCTAGGTGGGTAATTAATGTGGTTACAAAGTAGCTTATTTGCATTTTTATTTAAAAACGGCCTTCTTTAAAAAGCAGCTCAGATTTCTCTTTGCAAAAGGAGCCTTGGTTAAAGAGTACAGCAGTAATTACTCTCTTTAGGGGTTCTTTTATATGTCCTTCAGGGAATTAGAATGAAAAGATAAGCAGAATTATAAAGGAAATCATGTAAAATATGAAATGTACTATAAACACTTAGTAGTGTATTTACCAGAAGCTAGGCTTACCTTCTTCACTAATGGAATATTTTAAACAGCTTGCAATACATTCAAATTAATTGTAGATATGGCTAAAAGGTACAATCATCTAGTTAAACTTTTCTTCCTTAAAGGTAGATTATTTCAAGATTTGACAGGCCATCATAGTAAATTCCACTTGATCATCTGCAGAAAAGTGCTCTCAGTAAAACAAAGGGTTAAGTGGGGCCCATCATCGAGATAAGGCAAAGATTTGCATTCTTCTCTAATAGAAGGAAGCCAGAATGTTAGAGCAATACTTTCATCTTATCTTTTCTTAGCTTACATCTTGCACTCCCGGGCTCAAAAAATAGGAAGTGCGAAAATAAATTCAAAAGCCCAGTTGGAACGGAATTCAATCTTTTTCATTTGTCTCATATTCCACATGTTCAATCTTTTTTTTTTCTTTTTTTTTTTTTTTTTTTGAGGCAGAGTCTTGCTCTGTCACCCAGGCCGGAGTGCAGTGGTGCGATCTCAGCTCACGCCAACCTCTGTCTCCAGAGTTCAAGCAATTCTCCTGCCTCAGCCTCCCAACTAGCTGGGATTACAGATGCCCAGCACCATGTCTGGCTAATTTTTGTATTTTTAGTAGAGACAGGGTTTCGTCATGTTGCTCAGGCTGGTCTCAAACTCCTGACCTGGGGTGATTCGCCCACCTTAGCCTCCCAAAGTGCTGAGATTACAGGTGTGAGCCGCTCTTTTTTTTTCTTAGCACTTAGAAATCACTAATGTGTCCAGCCTGCATCTGCAATCTTAACATGTGGAAATTTCTGGAAGGTGGCCATGGTGTCAGGACCAACGGTACTTAAGACACCTGAGTTCATTCGGAAGCCATCCAATCATCACCCACTAACCAGTAGGAGGTGAGCCAGCTGCTGGGTCCCAGGGATGAAAAGTCACATCTCCCTCCCTCAAGAAGTTCATGGTCTTAGGGTAGAACTGCCAGGTGGAGGCATCTGTCAGGTTTAATGAAGGAGCAGGTTCCAGTCAGTCTGCCAGCACTGGGAAAAGCTTCACACAGGTCATAGTGCTCAAGCTGTCCCTCCCAGATGAGAGACTGAGATCTGAACAAGTGGAAGGGCTGGGCTCTCCAGGGTGAAGTACCAGCAGGCACCAAGGAACTGGGGATGGAACAGCTTGGCAGGACTGGGGAACCTCAGAGGGTGTAGCAGGGAAGCCCACTGGGGTCCCAGTTAGCAGAAGGCATAAAAGAAGTTGCAAACTCAGATGTCAGCAAGGCCACGTGTGCCTTCATTTTCTCCTTCAACAGATGTTTAAAAAGGACCTGCTATCGCGTCACACAGCACTGCTGTATAGCAGAACGCACATTCTACTGGAGGGAGACAGTCTAGAAACAAGAAATGGAACACGTAAGACAGTTACATAGAGCGTTAGTGGGTTCTAAGTGCTAAGAATAAAAAGAGTAGAGGAAGTTTAAAAGGATCGGGAGTTAAGAGGGTTGATGGTTAAACCAGGCAGGGATAACATCCAAAGGAGTAGAAGAGTTAAGGGTAGGGGTTTGGGGTTGGGGGTGATCACCTGTCCCAAAAAGAAGCAGCTGCTATTCAGTCCCAGATAATTATTGCCATGTCTTCCAATATTTTTAAGAGAGGCCAGAAATGTGAATTCTTGACATAAATCTTTTTTTTTTTTTTTTTTGAGATGGAGTCTCACTCTGTCGCCCAGCCTGGAGTGCAGTAGCATGATCTCAGCTCACTGCAACCTCTGCCTCCCAGGCTCAAGCAATTCTCCCACCTCAGCATCCCGAGTAGCTGGGAATACAGGTGCCCACCACCACGCCAGGCTAATTTTTGTATTTTTAGTAGAAACATGGTTCCACCATGTTGGCCAGGCTGGTCTTGAACTCCTGACCTCAGGTGATCCACCCGCCTCGGCCTCCCAAATTGCAGAGATTACAGGTGTGAGACACCACGCCCGGCCAATCTTATTTTTTAATTAAAAAACAGAAAGAAAAACCTATCACCTACCAAGCAGTTCCAATAAACCTGTCTGCAAAACATCACTGTAACAAACACCCTGACTCCAAAGAGACATATATTGTTTTAAAAAATTAAATTAAGTTGCTCACGCCTGTAATCCCAGCACTTTGGGAGGCCGAGGCGGACGGATCACGAGGTCAGGAGATCGAGACCATCCCGGCTACTTCAGTGAAACCCCGTCTCTACCAAAAATACAAAAAAATTAGCCGGGCTCGGTGGTGGGCGCCTGTAGTCCCAGCTACTTGGGAGGCTGAGGCAAGAGAATGGCAGGAACCCGGGAGGCGGAGCTTGCAGTGAGCCGAGATCACGCCACTGCACTCCAGCCTGGGCGACAGTGCGAGAGTCCGTCTCAAAAAATAAAAATAAAAAATAGAAAATAATAATAATAATAAAAATAAAAAATTGAAAATAATAATAATAATAATAAATAAAAATTAAATTAAGTTTCAAAAGGATATGTCTTCACTCTCATCCACCCTCCAACAATTCAAACAAACAAAAATCCCAAATTAGTTTTGGCTAAGTCTACCCTTCTTCTTGTAAGCATCTATACTCACATACCCATATGGTGTTGAAACCTTCTCACTTCCAGCCCCTAGCATCCCCTAAACAGCCAAAACATATTTTCCATAAGAATTCTAATGATATTTCAATGATATAAGACTAGATCTAAATAAGACCAGCTTCTTGGTATTGAAGCAGGCATTTCCTACTTGTGCCATTCATGTGTGGTTAATGGGGTGACTGATCACTGAAAAGACCACCGGTTTGATTCTCAGAAATAAGACTAGTTAATGTTTTCCTGACTCAGATGTGCCTTTCTTTTCTTTTTTCCCTTTTGAAATTTTCAACATGTATGTTCGTGGTTTTAGCTACTTCTGGGAGCTTGAGATAAAACATTAAACAAATTTGTGAAGTGCTATTTTACTGAAAGGTAAGTGGCAACCATATCAAGAAAACCATCTTTGGTCAAGTGAATTCTTTGTTCACAATTATCATTCCCTCCCTGCCTTTGCCTCACTTTCCTGTGGGCAGAATACATTGGTCTTGGCTGTTGGTCTTGGCTACTGCCATTGATATATGACAATATGACGCACACATGAGGTACAACAATGTATGAACAGAAGCCTCTGTGAGGTTTTGCCCTCTGCAGGCCCTGATGACATCTCCTACAGCCTGGGCCCTGCAAGGAGACGCTGTGAGAAGCTGAGCCCAGGAAAGCCCACCCGTGACTGTGGAGCCACGGCCAACCCTCAGCCACATGTGTTATGAGCAAACAAACACACATTTATTTTTGCAAGCCTTGAGAGTCTGGGATTGTTTGTTACTGCGGCAAAAGGTGGCCAATACGCCATCCTTGTCAATCGACTGAGAAAATTTCTAACCACAAAATTCAAGTCATAGCTTTATGTTTCACTTAAGTTACATAATTCAAAACATTCAACTATAACAGCACTAGACCTGTAACAAGTAAATTCTCACCAAACAAATAAAAACTTTTTTAAAAAAAGATTCTGTCAAAAAATAAACAAGGAAGAGACTATATCCACCATTATCTGTAACAATAAAGCTTCAACATTTCAAACGGTCACCAGTGAGACAATAACGGTAAGAAGACACCAGTAACATTACAAAGTATTTATTGTATGCCAGACACTATAATGTGTGCCACATATGTTCACGTATTTCCTCAACAATCCAGGGATATGGGTCCTATTTGTTTTTGTTTTCTTTCTTTTTTTTTTTTTTTTTTTTGAGACGGAGTCTCACTCTGTCACCTAGGCTGGAGTGCAGTGGTGCGATCTCGGCTCACTGCAACCTCCGCCTACTGGGTTCAAGTGATTCTCCTGCCTCAGCCTCCTGAGTAGCTTGGGACTACAGGCACGTGCCACCAAGCCTAATTTTTGAATTTTTAGTAGAGACGGAGTTTTGCCATGTTGGCCAGACTGGTCTCGAATTCCTGACCTCATGTGATCCACCCGCGTCAGCATCCCAAAGTGCTGGGATTACAGGCATGAGCCACCGTACCCGGCCTTCGTTTTCTTTTTTAATAATTTCAACTTTTATTTCAGATTAAGGGGGTACTTATGCAGATTTGTTACATGAGTATATTGCATTATGCTGAGGTTTGGGGTATGAATGATCCTGTCACCTAGATAGTAATAGGTCCTATTTTTGTCCCTCTTTTATAAACAAAGAAATAGAAACACAGAGAGGCTAACTAACTTGCCTAGAAAATAAATGGATAACCGCATCTTTGTCATTCTTTATATAATTCCAGGTAGTGCCTCATCCAATTTTAGTGTTCTCTGTGTGTCATACTTTCAATGTAATGAAAATAGATTAATTTAAAAATATTCCAAGTACAGGCATTCCATCCATCACTCCTGAGGAAAGTTACTCCTATGATCAAATATCCTGTAAATTCTGAGAACTGTTCTAATAATTATTCCAGTTCATTTTTCCACACAGCAGCGCCTCCCACTCTGCAATGCCATTCTCAAATCCCCTCTCAGATAAGAATCTCTTCCGAGGATCAAGAACCTGCCTTGTTCTAAATCCTCACCCAAAACCTTCCCCATGTGGGAAATCTATGTTAATTCCACCAAACTGGAGCTATAAAACAGCAATCATGTATAGGAGAGGGAAAAAAGACCGAAACTCATAAAAAGGAATTAACATATTCACACGGGATGCTATATATAATATGTACAAAACAGGTATCCAAGATTTTTTAAATGCAACTTCCTAAAACGTTGGGACCATACATTGATATATTGTGGCGGCATATTTTTCAAAGCCCAAACAAATATAGTAGAAACTCATTACGATGCTATTTTCTATTGGCAGATTTATGTTTTTTTACCTTTCCTACCTATGATCAAAGAAAAATTCCCAAGCCTTGTTGCTCCAACTTAGTAGCTCAATGGTCCAAAAGCAAGGTAGGGCTAAATCCCAGCCTGCACCCTGTTCACCAGGCTGGGTGCCCAGGTGGAGGAGCTGTGGGCCCCAAGAGGAGGGGGCATCTTTTCTTAATTCTCACAAAGGTGTGTGTGGCTGGCGGGCTTGGCCTTGGGAGGCTCCAGGGGCTCTGTGGTCTAGCGGTCCAGCTGGATCCAGTGGTCCAGCGGCATCATCTTGCCTGGTCTAGTCCTCAACACTGCGGTTGGAAAGAGGGCTCATAAAGTAGATTTTCTCTTAACAAGGGGATGGAGAATGACACAAGTCACCATCAAGCTGGTATGTGGACATTGTGGACCAGAGGTGCAAGACTCAAGTAAAGGTCCTTGAGAAAGTCACACAATGATCAGATGACTGATACCCTGGGTCCCAAAAAAACAACAAATGGGGATTGGCAGGATGATATAATGGGAACTAAAGTATAGCGAACCCATGACATGAAAAGCAGCCTGTCCAGCATTCTCCATTATCACAGCAGTCAACTTTACAACTTGATGAAGTATGCAGCGTCATCTCCAAGATTAATTATCTGGCTCAGGTTGGACATCCACATAGAAAATGAGCTGGGTTTCATACCAAGTGGTTTTTGACTCTGAAATCCAATACACTTTCCCCCTGCCATGCCAGTGTGATTACAGTCAGACCCTGAAAGGATGCAGGATCTGAGCCAATCACTCTACCTGGGGCCCAACTCACCCTACGAATATGTGTGCACAATAGAGTTGGCTGGAAGGGATGTGCACTGTAGCCATCATGGGGTCGGTCGGGGAGACACTCAGTACCCAGCAGGCATAGCCTTTGGAGACCAGAGAGTCACTAGGTATACTGGATAGGACTGATTTGGTTGCAAGTGACAGAAACTCAGCCAAAACTTGCTCCAGCACAAAGCGGGATTTATTAGTTCCACCTTATTTCAAGGTCGGGGTCAAGGTGGTCAAAAGAACTGTTTTGCTCTCTCTCTCATCTCAGATTGACGTCACCTTTCTTACTGTCTCCCTGTGGCAGGAAACTAAGCGCTAGCAGCCCATATAAACATCCCTGCACCTCCTAGGCCTTCAGATAAGAGATTGCCCCTTCTCCACAGGCTAGGGACTGGTCTGGCCTAAGCCAAGTGCTCATCTTAGCACCAACCATTTCAGCAAGGATGTAACAGACCATAACTGGCCCAAACCAGTTCATGCAAATTACCACCACCCCCCTCACTTTCATAGTTCCTAAGATGGAGCTATTAATACCAAGTGTGGACACATGTGCTGGACAAGATAACAGCTGCCACAATAGGAAAGGTTTGGGTGGGAAGTGAGTTCTTGAGGAAAAGTAAGAAGGATTTGAGCCGGGCGTGGTGGCTCATTCCTGTAATCCCAGCACTTTGGGAGGCCGAGGTGGGTGGATCACTTGAGGTCAGGAGTTCCGGTCTAACCTGACAAACATGGTGAAACCTCGTCTCTACTAAACATACAAAAATTAGCTGAGCGTGGTGGCAGGTGCCTGTAATCCCAGCTACTTAGGAGGTTGAGCCAGGAGAATCGCTTGAACTTGGGAGGCGGAGGTTGCAGTGAGCCAAGATCACGCCATTGCACTCCAGCCTGGGAGACACAGCAAGACTCCAACTCAAAAATAAATAAGTTAATTAATTAAATAAAATAAAAAAGAAGGATTTGTTTAGGTGCCATTATTATGATAGCCACTGGCTGTTAACTACTTGATCTCTTCTCTTTCTCAAAAATAGACTTCAGACCTCTTGTCCCAATGGTATATGCCCTCTGTGTGGTTTCACTTAAAACTGTCTTCAGTTGTCTCTGAAGGTGGACAAATGATCCAGCATTATTACAAAGACATACAGACTTTGACATACCTCATGGGCATACACCAGTAAAGACAGCGATGGAGACAAGGACAATCTCCATGTTACATCATCAGAGCACCAAAGTGCCCACGGCTACCAAGAGGCAGTGGGAAGTGAAACCCCTCGGGGCGGGACTACAGCAGGAAAGGGCTCCTAGGAGACCATCGTGGCACAGGTGAGCTGCAGCTCTGAAGATCTTGCTGTTAACTTGTCACAATGTGCCCCATGCCCACGCCACCTCTGGAATCTAGGTATTCCTAGTCTTGAGAAGCCACGCTTTCTCCAGTTTCTGGCTTGGCTCAGACCTGAACCCATGTCTTGCAACTCTACCCTCCAGATGAGCTGCACGTTCTCAGCCACAGCTTGAATCAAACACCAGCTTCAACAGGAAGGTTGGGCCTCAGGCATGACCTTGACTCTGCCTGCACCTCCAAATTTTACCTTCCTGCCCCCTTCCCCCATTCTCCTCTGCAGCCTCTATTCCCTTCCCCTTTTCCTTGTACCCTGCTTCAATAACTTTAAAGCAGAGTCTGATCTTCACCAATCTTTTCTGTTAGTCAAATGCAGAATTAAAACAGAGCATGTGTCATATCTTGTCAAACAGGGGTATTATTTCCAGTGATCCCAGGGAAAACCACTGATACGATTTCAAAAGGCCTGTCATTTCTCCCCAGTAGCCATGAAGGATCTTAACACCCATGGGTCTGTCAATACCTTTATGTAAGCCAGTGGTTTTCCAGCCTGGGTCATCTCATATGCCCCAGAGTTTAGTGTCTATCAAGTAACATTTGCTGTTATTTTTCCCTAATATTATCGTCTCGAAACTTCTAAATGATGGTCCTACTATTCTGGGATTTTTCAAGTAAAGCTGAGTCACTCCAATTCTAGAGCCTTAAAACTTTATTTTTTCCCAACTGAGGCAAACAATCTACTATTTTTTTTTTTTTTTTTTGAGACAGAGTCTCGCTCTGTCACCCAGGCTGGAGTGCAGTGGCACAATCCCAGCTCACTGCAATCTCCGCCTCCTGGGTTCACGCCATTGTCCTGCCTCAGCCTCCCGAGTAGCTGGGACTACAGGCACCCACCACCACATTGGCTAATTTTTTGTATTTTTAGTAAAGACGGGGTTTCACCGTGTTAGCCAGGATGGTCTCGATCTCCTGACCTCGTGATCTGCCCGCCTCGGCCTCCCAAAGTGCTGGGATTACAGGTGTGAGCTCCCGCGCCCGGCCAAGGCAAGCAATCTATTCTATGTTCAGATGTAAACTCTTCTCACCACTTTGATAAATATAACTGTATTGATTTAATACATATTGACAAGTACTAAATTTCATATAAATAGCTAGTTAGAAAACTATAGCAAGTACCTTTTAATCGATTGAATAAGAAACCACACAATCCCAAGTTCTCATAACTCTAGTAAGGAATTACAATGAATGAAGTGATGTTATAGTAATTAAATTCTTGGAATGCATCCATAATACCTAATGGAAATGGAAACCTTACTAGGTCTTAATGCCTGGGAAACACCTGTTACGTCACTGAAATCCCTAGAACCCACCGCATCTACCTTTCTCCTTTAAAATTGGGTGAGAAAGTAACTGCTTTCTAATGTGGCTTGAACCATTCTTGCCCTGCTGAAGTTAAGGTAAAGGAAGGACAACAGACATGGGTCCTGAAACCTGGAGAAAAGATTCCGCACTATTTTCTTCCCTTTGGCAGGTTAAGGAACCGATTTCTGTTACACAATGTCACACCTTCTAGTGAAACTGTTTCTGTAACCCTTCAAAGACTGAGCTCCTTTGCGTCTTTTTTTGGGGACAGAGTCTCGAAGTCTCAGAGTCTCACTCTGTGTGTGGACCAGGCTGGAGTGCAGTGGCGCGATCTCGGCTCATTGCAATCTCTGCCTCCGCGGTTCAAGCAATTCTCCTGCCTTAGCCTCCCAAGTAGGTGGGACTACGGGTGCACACCACCACGGCCAGCTAATTTTTTGTATTTTTAGTAGAGACTGGTTTTCACCATGTTGGTCTAGAACTCCCGACCTCAAGTGATCTGCCTGTGTCAGCCTCCCAAAGTGCTAGGATTACAGACATGAGCCACCGTGCTTGGCCTCAAAGACTAAGTTCCTTGAGTGCAGTCCTCTTTTCTTTGTGCCCACCTGGCACCTCTTGCAAAGTTTGGCATAACTCGGCCATGTGTGAAGGGTGGGTTGGATGGGCAAAAAGACAGACAAGGAACCAAGAGCATCATTTGGTACTAACTTGCCTAAGACAATTACCCTCAGTTAACCTGGTTAAGATATAACTCAAAGAATAAAAACTAAGGTAAAGGGTGTTTCTTTGGGGAGATGGGACAGTTCTGTATCCTGACTATGATGTTGGTAAACCAAATGTATATATGTTATAACTTTTCATAGAACTACACACACACAGAGAGAGCCGCACACAAATGAGTACATGCAAACACTAGCAGAACTCGGATAAAATCTGTAGTTAGTTAATATTATCATGCCAGTGTCAATTTCCCAGACTTGATTGTTATGCTGTGACTATCACTGGGGAAGCTGGGTTAAGGGTACCCAGAACCCTTGTGAAGAATACTATAGACTATTCTTCGCAACTTCTATGAGAATCTAAACTTATTTTAAAACAAAGCTTTTTATTTATTTTTCTTTTGAGACAGGGTCTCACTTTGTCACCCAGGCTGGAGTGCAGTGGCACGATCTTGGCTCACTGCAACCTCTGCCTCCCAAGTTCAAGCAATTCTCCTGCCTCAGCCTCCTCAGTAGCTGGGATTACAGGCACGTGCCACCACGCCCGGCTAACTTTTTGTATTTTGAGTAGAGACAGGGTTTCGCCATATTGGCCAGGCTGGTCTCAAACTCCTGACCACAAGTGATCCACCTGCCTCAGCCTCCCAAAGTGCTGACATTACAGGCATGAGGCACTGCATCTGGCATAAAATAAAGCTTTTTAAAAGACGAATGTAAAGAATAAAATTCCAACAAGTCAAAGGATATCAATTGATCAACTGTCAGGTTAAACTGTGAGTTCTAGCAATTAAGGATTTGTGACAAAAATACCAAATTGTACTTTTTTCCTCTCCAGTGGTTACCCTCTAGGTCGGCAATGTCTGATGAAAATAAAGGGTCACCTACATATTGTTAACCTTTCCAGGAGCCGTGTCAAAAAAAAAAAAAGGTAAAAAGAAACAGATTAAATGAACTTCAATGATATTTTATTTAACCTAGTATGTCTCAAATATTATTTCAGCATGGAACTAATATAAAAATGTTAATTAAGATTTTTTTATACTGTCTGAAACCTGGGAGTCATGTTATTTTATATCAACAGCTCATTTCAATCTGGACTAACTACCTTTCAAGCACTCAACTGCCACACATGGCCAGTGGCTACCATACTGAATGGGGCAGAGCTAGCCACCGCCTTTAAGTTGCTGTTAAAGTCACTTTGAGGCCGGGTGCTCTGACTCACACCTGTAATCCCAACGCTTTCGGAGGCCGAGGCGGGTGGATCACTTGAGGTCAAGAGTTCAAGACCAGCCTGGCCAACATGGTGAAACCCATCTCTACTAAAAATACAAAAATTAGCTGGGCGTGATGGTGGGTGCCTGTAATCCCAGCTACTCTGGAGGCTGAGACGGGAGAATCACTTGAACCTGGGAGATGGAGACTGCAGTGAGCTGAGATCACGCCACTGTACTCTAGCCTGGGTAACAGAGCGAGACTCCATGTAAAAATAAAAAATAAAATAAAAAGTCACTTTGAGAGCTTTTCATAATTGCGCCTTTTTATTTTCTTTGAATGAACGCATATCTCCAGCATTTCATGCCTACTTCATGGTGACAGGATGCACCACCCTGGGAAGTAATATATCTAAAGCTCTCTACCAATGAGCTTCTACATGTAAACTTACTTAAAAAAAAAAAAAAATCACAGTTCACAGTTCAACTTGAAAAAGTTCTGCGGCTTCGAGGATTTGTATGCACTGTGGTGTATTCTTGGGGAAAGCTGTGAATCCTTCCTATCAGATCATCTTCGAATGAAGACAGAGTCTCATCAATTTTAAACAGTGCGGTTACAGAGGCGGGAGGGTCTTTGACGCCTGTTCTATATTCTTCTGATTCCATGTTGCATTAAAAATAGAACATCAATTAAATAACAGCAAAAAGGCTTGACATGACCGTGGAAAGAAATCTTTGGCTATTCTCTGATAGTCCAGTTCTCGGCCTCCCTCTATGCACATATGGTGGGTTTGTACACACACACAGCACCCTACTACTGCCCACTCCTTGGCCCTGAGACTTGCTTTGGCCAATGGAATGTGAGCAGAGATGGCAGGAGTCACTTTTGAGCCAGAGCGAGGGTCAGCACATCCCTCTCTTCCTCTGTCACAACATCCAGCAGTGCAGGCTGCTCTGTGGGCCCCGGTGGCTGAGTGAGATCCCCATCTCACAGATCCCTCCAAGCAACTCATGATGAAAATACAGTTTGAGCAAGAAATAAACCTTTGTTGTTTCAAGCCCCAGAGATTTTGAGGTTGGTTGTTATTACAGCATAACTTAGACTGTCCCAACACATAATTCCATTGTTGATCCTGTACATGTGACATCAACGATTCTTTCCCAGACATCTCTCTGAGTATGAGGGCTTATCACATCTGCTATATAACCCAGACTTGCTTTTACGGTGGTTGCATTACCGACCATAAAAACTGTAACAGTGGAACTGTGTAAACAAACCGAACAGTGTTTTTACTGTAAAACATGAATGTAATATAAATATTTGTCTTTGCCTTCTCTCAGCATCTGTAATGAGAGCAGAAAATTCATGCCATATGTTTATAGTATAAACGGGGAAAAAATAGATCTCGGTGATTCATCCATGTGGGTGCCGGCTAAGCTGTTTAATATTTTTAATTCATCCATTTTCCTTCACATATAAATCCTCCACAAATCATAAAACGCTTATGATTGTCAGTCACTAAGTTCATGATTATTTCTACACAGGGGTCCTGGCAAAGGTGAATGTGAGCATGATGATAATGAGGTCATTTTCTCTGGCATCATGAGAAAACACCAAGCGAATCGCTACAGTCTGTCCCTTGCCTACCCCAGCCCACCCCATCCCCGTAAATTCAAATATGAAAACACTTCTCCAAACACTTCAAAATCCCTATCCTACCTCTGGCTGAAGTGCCACTGAACATTTGGGACCCTGACAGTTCCTGCTTTTTAAAAATCCTCCTACAGAGAAGCACCGAGCATGTTAAGTGGCTGCGGCTGCTGAGGACCTTCTGATATGGTGGAAGGAAGCATTACCGTGAGCACCGAGGTCTGTGCCAAGCATGGAATCCAGCTTCACACACAGAGAGCAACGGGGGAGGTTTTTATATTGGAGCTGCAATTGAGCCCTTGATGTGAAGTTGCTGAAGCCTGCCCAAAGTGTTTGTGCAGGCTTTTAGGATGCAAGCCGAAAGGCACAGAGAATGATTCAATTTTCTCCAAATTGGCTCACGGACCAGAGGTTTCTGTAAACGGTCACCATCCTACAAAATCCAACACTGCAGCCAGGATGCTTTGTTTGAAAATGACACAAATCTACTCAGGGGAGGCTCTGTGTGGCACTGAGGAGGCCAGTCCCTCGTGGGCACAAGAGTTGTTGATGGGAAGAAGGAAAGGTGGGGGCACCTCAATGAGTTAGAACCCAGGATGTGCAAGGCATGAAGGGGTGGTATTCAGGAGATTTCGGCTCAGTGAGTGGTACTTGGCAGGTGTTACTGAGCATGTGCCACTAACCAGGCACTGTTATCTCATTTAATCCTGACAAGCATCCTACGGTTCGGGGATGCAATACCTCCATTTCTTGTAGGAAGATAGAGAGGCATATGCAGGAACACCTTGTCTGAGATCCACAACACTGCTACAGAACGGCGCAGCCAGGATTCCAACCTCCACCGGGCTGATTCCAAAATCCATGTTCTCAACCACTAACTAGACCACCAAAGTCAAAGAAAACCTTTCACGCTCATAACCAACTGGTCCTATGCCACCCAAAAGTGATGAGAAATACAGGCATTGTATCTGCTCTTGCCCGAATATTCTTGAGCTTGGGCCATAATACAGGCCTTGCTTCCCTCCCCAGCCACACCGCCCCCAACACATACACACATAGACCCCTAGTGGGTGGTAGATATTATTATTACTATTAATTTACGTGTCTGTCTCCACACTTAGGGCAAGGACAACGTCTCGCATACCTATATGTGCTGAGAGTCCAGTGGGACGGCTGGTATAGAATAAAGGATCAAAACATGCTTGTTGACTAAATAAGGAGACCTACAGGCAAACAATCAATGCACTATGTGATCCGTGCTGTCATAGATGCATATTTAAAAACCAAAACTTGGACCATGAGTTCTTGGGAGGAAAAAACCTTTGCTTTCTTTCTTTCTTTTTTTTTTTTTTTTTGAGACAGATTCTCGCTCTGTCACCCAGGCTGAAGTGCAGTGGCGCAATCTCGGCTCACTGCAAGCTCTGCCTCCCAGGTTCATGCCATTCTCCTGCCTCAGCCTCCCAAGCAGCTGGCACTACAGGTACCCGCCACCATGCCCTGCTAATTTTTGTATTTTTAGTAGAGACGGGCTTTCACTTTGTTAGCCAGGATGGTCTCGATCTCCTGACCTCGTGATCCACCCACCTCGGCCTCCCAAAGTGCTGGGATTACAGGCGTGAGCCACCACACCCAGTGAGAACCTTTGCTTTCTTTATCACTGCCATATCACTGGTGCTCAGTGCTCTACCTGACCCAGAGAAGAAGGTTGACAGCGATGTGCTGAACAAAAGAAGGAAGGGAGGGCAGGAGACAGGAAAGAGAAGCCCAGGAAAGCTTTGTGGGAAAGATACCCTTGAACAGAGACTCACAGGATACAGAGGCAGATGTGGGGAGGAAAAGCTTAGCTGAGACCCTTCCAAGCAGAGGACATAGTCTGTGCCAAGATGCAGAGAGACAGGAAGGTTTAGCAACAGCAGTGAGTTTGATATGGTTGGAACAAGAAAGAGAATGGCCAGACAGGAGCCTAGACAGGTAGGCAGAGCCCCAAGCATTTCTTTTCTTTTCTTTGCCAGCACTTGGAAAGCACACGCTAGGTACCACCGCAAGTACTCGGGTACCATCATGAACATTTCACATTAGCACTTCAGTTCATCTTCACAACAATCTTGTGATCCAAATACTGTCATCATCCCCAAGTTACAGATGAGGAAACTGAGGCAATAAGAACAAGTGAAGGTCACATGGTTTTCGCAAGTGGCATAAACCGGATTTGAACTTGGGAAGGCTAAATTCCAGATGCGTTGCTTAGGCCCCCATAACACATTTTACAGCTCAATCCTTTCAGACTGATGACGTTAGCAAGTTTTTGCAGTCCTTCGTAAGTGGAGCCTGGTGCGGAAAAGGAACTCGCGGAGGCTAAAAGAGTCCTTTCCAAGGGCCATCATGTTGATGGGGTGGGCTATTTATTCTCCTTAAATAAAGACCTTCCATACCTCCAGTTTATCCACTTATACATCTAAAATATATACTATCTCTAAAAAAATCTATATTTAATTATACAGCATCAGTGAAATTTCACTCAGGGAACAATAATCCAACATAAATGAATGCTTCCAATAGAAAAAGCTGTAATTTAAAATAAATTCCTGTGTTCCTCAGAAAAAAACAAATTTACTCTCTTTATAGCAAGAAAAAAATATTATCTGGTATTAAGTAACCCCAGTCAATTAGAAAATTTCGTCAATAGCAAAGAACCAAATTACCACCCTAAATTCCTCCTCTCCCAGCGTAGATTTCACTGTGGATCCCAGCCACGGAGTGTGCCACCCGCTCCGGCCTTAGTTTCATTAAGGCTTAAAGTCAATTAAGCCACGAATTGGAACAATCATTCCTCCTTTGCAAAGTATTGATATTTTTTTCCTGGCCGCTTTAGGGGCTTTTCCAGAGCTCACGAAGAGATTTATGTTAGACAATTTCTTTCTGATTAAAACAAATCATAGCTCAACAATTCTAATTTCCTCCTTTCTAAGCAAGAAATGATCAGAGAACACTGAAAACAGTGATCAACACCCCCACACACACACCGTCACCACGATGCAAAGCCCAGCACTAAAAACCTCATAAAAACACCGCTAGACAGGTTCTCTCTCTCTCTCTCCTTCTGTCTCTCTCTGTCTTTCTGTCCCTCCTCCGTGTCTCCACCTCCCCTTCGTGTGTCTGCGTGTCTCTCTTTCTCTGTATGCCTGTCTCTCCTCTGTGTCTTTCTCTTTCAGTATACATTTATCTCGACAGGCTTCAGGACAATTACTTATGAAACAAAAAGGAAGAAGGATATTAGAAGCAAAGCCAACCCAAGCTGGGTTTTCAGCTTTAAGTAGTAGAAAACAAGAAGGTTTTTATACTTACCTCCAAAACCCTACCATCATCTCAGGCCTTTTAATTTTTAAAGCCTTTACTAACTTCGGATCAACCTTCTCTCTCTCGATGACACCCTCAAGCACAGTCCGGACGTCTGCTGGATTTACCCACTAGCACTCATGTATACACCTGCTCTGGGGTGCAGCTGGGTTTACCTGCTAGCCCTAACATATGCCCCCTACTCTCGTGTACAGCTGGATTTACCCACTAGTATTCATGTATACCCCATATCTCAGATGGAGCTGGATTTACCCACTGGCCCTAACATATACCCACAACTCTCCGGTGCGGCTGGGTTTACCCACTAGCCCTAACATATGCCCCAACTGCCAGGTGCAACTGGATTTACCCACAAGCCCTAACATATACCCCTACTCTCAGGTGCAGCTGGGTTTACCCACTAGCCCTAACATATGCCCCTTACTCTCCTGTGCAGCTGGATTTGCCCAATAGCACTCATGTATACCCCATATCTCGGGTGCAGCTGGGTTTACGCACTAGCCCTAACATATACCCCCTACTCTTGGGTGCAGCTGGATTTACCCAGTAGGGCTAACATATGCCCCCAACTCTTGGGTACAGCTGGATTTACCCATATGCCCCCTACTCTCAGGTGCAGCCTTTTAAGCTGTTCATTCTACCTAAAGGCCCAGGTTTCTGTCCCTCAAAATCAAGCTGGATTATGAGTCCACTCTGCATCACAGTCGGCTCCCACTGCTCCAGAATGACCAGGCAAGTTAGAGATTTTCCAAATCAGGATGGGTCATTTTCAAAGAACTGGAATAAAATACGTTTAACATAATAGACTGTAAATAAGGACTCTTTCTTCAACAAGCTACAAGGTAGATGATGAATTGGGGAGACTTCAGTAACATCAACATGAAACCAATTCACACAGCTCAGTACTTAGGAAAACACAACAAGTTATTTGCAACTTCTGCTGGTCTGCTTTCCAAAAACTAACCAGCCGATCTGTCCCCTCCTACAATGGCAGGATTACTGCTGCCCAAGTTATAACTCCCATGGCTCAGCTGTTTTACCCTCTCACTCACTCAGTAAATATTTACCAAATCCCTCCAATTGACCAGGCGCTATGCTACTCACTGGGGTTATACCAAGAGGAACAAGACAAGCAAGGCTTCCACATCCCTATGGTACGCACCTCTGTTGCTGTTTGAACCTAGACATCCCTGTGGCATTTCATCTCTCGGCTGTTTGTTCCCTAAGACTCAGTCTTTCATCTGAAAATAGGATTCATAATATTAGCTATCTCATAGTGTTGTCATAAAGATGAACTGAATTAATGCATTTAAAGTGCTTAGCACTGGAAAACAATGCTAGCTACTACTGTTATTATTATTATTATCATCATCATCACTACCATAAAAATAAGAATTTAATAAGCCATCCAATTAAGCATGAAGCGTTGGGGGCCATATTCCTGTTCTGCAGGCAGAATTAATTATTAACTATAATTAATTAATTGCCTAAGTTACCTTCTGTGGGCCTCAGTTTTCTTGTCTGTCAAGTGGGGAAAGTTAAGTTGGATGATCTCAGAAAGTCCTTTCCAATCTGAGAATGTTACCTTTTCACAACCACAATATACCCAAATGTAATCTGTTAATCCATAACTCTTTCCAGAAGGACAAATGACTTTACTAATTCATACCTCAATTTTTCACCCTATTAGGTTTGCACAAATTTGCTCACATCTTTGCTGTCCCTGCAAAGCAAAGGCTAAAAGTTATATAAAGCCCAATGGATCATACATGACTGAAAGAAACTTGATTTTTAACAGATTCTTTAAAGCACTGCAGAATTATTTCTGTGTTTCTGTCTCCCCAAAAATGTCTATGTTGGCAAGTCTTTGAGGATGCCACAAATGGTGACTCCACCCAGCCACCTGATTATCATCATGAACACCCCTGCCAAGTGCCCTGGCTTCTCCTCCAATGATACAAAATGGTCCACAGCCCCATGTAAACATTTGACCAGCTCTCGGTTATCCGCGTTTACAGACTAAACACGAGGTAAACCATCCCGAAGAGAAAGCAATTCTAAAATGATTACTTTTTTTTTTTTTTTGAGACGGAATCTCGCTCTGTCGCCCAGGCTGGAATGCAGTGGCACCACCTTGGCTCACTGCAACCTCTGCCTCCCAGGTTCAAGGGATTCTCCTGCCTCAGCTTCCTGAGCAGCTGGGATTATAGCCATGCGCCAAGACAACTGGCTAATTTTTGTATTTTTAGTAGACACAGTTTCACCATGTTTGCCAGGCTGGTCTCGAACTCCTAACCTCAAGTGATCCACCCGCCTCGGCCTCCCAAAGTGCTGGGATTACAGGCGTGAGCCACCGCACCTGGCCTGCTATCTATTTTTAAATGTCACTATGCGAATTCCGGGTATGAAAGGATGTGGTCTAGCACTGACATGTATTCCTACTCCTAAAGTGCCCATCACTACCCATAAGAGGAAGAATCCAGAAGGTTCCAGATGGTGGAGGAAATCAGATGAAAGACGCTCTAGAATAAAAGCGTAGCAGCCTGCTTGACAACAAGGTCTGTGGGGCCACAGTGACATTTCCAACTGTCCAATAAACAGAGACAATTTTGGGCTAGAGGCTGGCTGAGCTTTTGCGGGAATGAAAACAGCAACAACTTAAACAGGAAAAGTGCTTAGTAACTGCAGACAGCACAGAAGTGCTGGGACGGGGGACCAGTGAGGTTTGAATCTGCCCTAATCCCCTCTGTACCAAACCCAGCCAGGCCAGGCCACTTGCATGTGGCTGTCTTGCCTGCTCTCCGGGTATAATTATGAAGAGCTCCTCCCTTCACTGTCAGCACTTCCTGATTCAAACAGTAAAGTGTCTCATCACCCTCCTCCTAACACAGGGTTGCAGATAAGTAAACACATGTCTGTTTTCATGGAGTTTCTACAAGTGAGGAATGCTTTCTCTTATAATTTGTTAATGGTCCTCACAACAGGAACTATTGAAAGGGATGATTATTTTTAGCCTTTGAGGCTCCGTGGATGGACGTTAAAGTTCTTCCTTGAATGTCAGGAACTAAGCAAGTCTGTTCAGTCCCCGTCTCGTCCTTTTCTGCTCTTTGCGCCCAGGACCATGGCCAACAGGCCAACAGAGTCTCCAGACCCCGCACTCCCCTCGCTAATTCAGCCCAAATGTCTGTCTATCTCAGTCACTGAGTATGGACTGTATCACCACCACTCAGACTCAGCCAGTGATGGCTGCCAGGACCTAGAGAATAAAGTCTATTCTCCTAAGACTGGAATCCAAGGCCCCGAATGATCTGGCCTCATAGAGGAGCTGCCTGCCCTCTCCCCGACACCACACCCAAGCCTGACATCTCCATTCCCAGGACAAACTACTTACACTCTGTGGATGCTCTTCCTCCAGCTCCAGATGCACCCTTGCCATGGGGGCTGTTCACAGTCCACCAATACTTTCTCCTGCAACCATCCTGCTTTAAAGCACGTGGGGAGACCATCTTTCATGAGTCATGGGAGTATCACTCTTACCACACTACCCAGGCGCTGGCATCGATGACAGTTTAGGGGTATCACCTCATTAGCAAAATCCTTCTAGACTATCTTGTGTCACCCACTCTACCACCTAGCACGTAATAGATGTTGGATAAATTAAAATTGCCCAAAATTTTTAAATTTCAGCCAATTTTTAAAATAGCTTGAAAATTTGGGAGCTACTTGGTAAACTGGGTTGGGAAAACATTTGATTTTCATAAGCAAAGATAAAAATGTGTACCCGCCCTTTTATAAAAGAAAAAGCAAGCTGCATGAGAACTGTTGAGCCATGCTTCTCAACTTCTGCAGATATCAAAATCTCCTGGAGTAACTGCAAACCACAGATGGCTGGGCCCTACCTCCAGAGATTCTTACCTAGTAGGTCTGGGGTGGGGCCCAAGAATTTGCATTTCCAACAAGCTCTCAAGTGACACTGATGCTGCAGGTCAGGGACCATGCTTTGAGTAGCACCATGTACATATCTGCAGCATTAGAGACCACAAAGTTTAATCAATGAAACACCACGGAGACCACTGCAAATGCATCCTATCCTTCCCTGCCTTAAAAATAGCACCCTTCCTGCCCCTTCCTTTTTATTTTTATCTTCTTATTGCTTGCAATTTGATGTAGATTTTAAGCATCCTGTAATTCATCAACTAATTCTCTCCTGGCTACGCATTCCAAGTAATTAAAGTTCAGTAATAACTTATTCTTTCTGCTCCAGCACCTGCATTTCATTTGTTTATTTTCCCAGAGTCATAAATCTGAAGGGCTGTCAAAGTGCCATAATATTAGTGCAATAATCAAAGTTAATTAGTCCCTCTCAATAAACAACAACAAAGCCATTACAAAGATGCATTGAAGTTTCTCCCAGCTACCCGGTTTACAGGACGCATTGTAGTCGGAACAATTAGAATCTGAGAATTGCCGGTAAATAAGTGCATGGTTCCCCTGCCATTTAAAAGAAGACTGTGCTCTTCATTCACACTGATTCATTAACTCCAGGGAAGGCAAGGCAGGTCTTGGCTCCTGAGTCTGCACGCTCTCCAGCTGCCTAGCCTTACCAAGTGCATCCCAAGCTTCAATAATAAAAAGAGGGACAGGGGTTACAAAGAAATGAGTGGGGCCAGTCTCACTGCCAACTTTTAGTATCCCAATATCTTCAATAACTTTGGATTTATTATTTAGGGAATTTGAGAGACGTGAGTTTTAGCTGGGTTCTGATGAGAATGCAGCCAGTGGAACTCGGAGGGCAGGACCAGGGCCGGTGCATAGAAGACGCTCAGAGGAAGATTCTGCCTTCAATATGAGGGAGAACTTACTAATTAAGAGGTGTGCAGAAATGGGATGGGCAGCATGGGGAGAGAGGAACTTATGCCAAAGCGGGGTGATTCCTGATCAGGTATGTTTTAAAAGTGTTGGAGAGAGGTCAAACAAGGTGACCTGGGAGATGGATGCAACCCCGGGAACTTAGGATTCCTTGCACACAGTGGAGCTTCCTGGGTAAGTATACATGTCTTATCCTTAGAACTCACTGTCCAGTCTCTCTTAAGGATCCTTCTCCCCTTGAGGCCATGGATCCTGTGATAGTTATCTACCGCTACATCACAAATTCCCCCAGAGCATAGTGGCTTAAAACAGTAACCATTTGGTATCTTACCATATTTTGTGGGTCAAGGATTCAGAAGTGGCTTAGCTGCTGGGTGGTTCTGACTCAGGATCTCTCATGACATGAATCAGCCAGGGCCTCAGTCATCTGAAGGCTTGACTGGGCTGGAGGATTCCAAGGGGGATCATATACATGGCTGGTGGCCTCAATTCCTTGTTGCATGGGCCTCACCTCAGGTCTGCTTGAGTTTCCTCACAACATGGTGGCTGGTGAGTGATCCAAGAGAGTGAGCAAGAAGAAGCCACGAAGCCTTTAGGACCTACCTCAGGAGTCATACCCGGCCATTTCTGCCAAATTCTATTCATGGAGAGTGAGTCACTAAGTACAGCCCATATTCCAAGAGAGGAGAACTGGCCTCTACTTCTTGAAAGGAGAATTATCAAAGAATTTGTGGACAGACTTTAAAACAATCGCAGCCACTTCTAAGGCTTCCTTTTACAGGGTCTTCAGAACCTTGGGCATAGCTGCATCTTCCACCTAAGGGTCAGGGACTAGCTCCAGATGAACCCCCCTAGGAACACAGGGTAGGCTCTGACACCCCTACTTCTCTCCAGCATTAACTCCAGAACCTGTGGAAGGCCAGCTAGCTCCATACCAGGGCACTGACACTGAAGACATGATAGGCACCTTTCTGCCCTCTACGGATGGAAGGGGCCCCCTGCTCCTTAGCACAGCATACCTTAATGGTTAATAACCTTAGTCAGATTCTTATTATTATTATTATTATTATTATTATTATTACTATTATTTTTGAGACAGAGTCTTGCTCTGTCACCCAGATTGGAGTGCAGTGGCCTGATCTCGGCTCACTGCAACCTCCACCTCCCAGGTTAAAGCAATTCTCCTGCCTCAGCCTCCCCAGTAGCTGGGACTAAAGGCGCATGCCGCCACACCCAGCTAATTTTTGTATTTTCAGTAGAGACGGGGTTTCACCGTATTGCCCAGGCTGGTCGCCAGCTTTTGAGCTCAGGCAATCCGCCCGCCTTGGCCTCCCAAAGTGCTGGGATTACAGGTGTGAGCCACCACACCCGGCCACCTTAGTCAGATTATTAATTGACACATTGGTGGGAAGCTGAGGAAAGAAGTGGCTACTTCCCAGTGCTTTGATCATTTAAAAAAATTAAAAAGACATAGACTTTACAGCTGATGCCGGAATGAGTTAAGATTTTGGGGATATTTGGATGTAATAAATGTATTTAGCATGTCAGAAGAACATGAATTTTGGAGGGCTGGGGTAGAATGCTGTGAATTGAATGTTTGTGTCTGATATGGTTTGGCTGCGCCCCACCGAAATCTCAACTTGAATTATATCTCCCAGGATTCCCACATGTTGTGGGAGGGACCCGGGGGGAGGTAATTGAATCATGGGGGCCGGTCTTTCCCATGCTATTCTCATGATAGTGAATAAGTCTCAAGAGATCTGATGGGTTTATCAGGCAGTTTCTGCTTTTGCTTCTTCCTCATTTTTCTCTTGCTGACACCATATAAGAAGTGCCTTTCGCCTCCTACCATGATTCTGAAGCCTCCCCAGCCATGTGGAACTGTAAGTCCAGTTAAACCTCTTTTTCTTCCCAGTCGTGGGTGTGTCTTTATTAGAAGCATGAAAATGGACTAATACAGTGTCCCTCCAAAATTATTATGGTGAAACCCTAATTGCCCATGTGATGGTAGTTGGAGACAGGGCCTTTCAGAGGTGATTAGATGAGAGTGGAATCCTCATGAAGGGATTAGTGCCCTTACAAGACACATGAGACAGTGCGACCTCTCTCTCTCTCTCTCTCAATTCCTCTCAGCTCTCCACCATATGAGGACACAGCAAGAAACAGGCTACTTAAAAACCAGAAAGAGGGACCTCACTAAGAACTCAACAAGGTTGGCACCCTCGTCTCGGACTTCCAGCCTCTAGAACTGTAAGAATAAATATTTAAGCCACTCATTGTATGATATTTTTGTTATTAGCCCGAAGTAAGACAAAGAAGAAATATTGCTCCAACAAGATTTATGAGTATATTTTACAGATCTGCATTGGACAAGTTAGCTTTCCCTGCAACGACCATTTACTGAATCTTTACTATGTGCCAGAATCTGAGAGTCATATTAGCATCTGCAGGTAAATCAGCCAAGGTTCAAAGAGATGACTAAGGCCAGGCACGATGGCCCATGCCTGTAATCCCAGCACTTTGGGAGACCCAGGCAGGAGGATCGCCTGAGCAGAGGAATTCGAGACTAGCCTGGGCAACGTGGTGAAGCCCTTCCTCTACATTAAAAAAAAAAAAAAAAAAAATTAGCCAGGTGTGGTGGCATAAGCCTGTAGTCCCAGCTACTCAGGAGGCAGAGATGGGAGGATCACTTGAGCCCAGGAGGTCAAGGTTGCAGTGAACCATCATTGTGCCACTGAACACCAGCCTGGGTGACAGAGCAATACCCTATCTCAAAAAAAGAAAAGAGAGAGAGAGATGACCAGATTTGCCCAGGGACACCGAGTGAGTTAGTATTCACACTGGGATTTAACCCCAGATCTGTATGACTCCAAAGCTGGGGCTACCTCTATTCCACTGGGTTGCGTCTGCATATGTAAAAATTAGCTGCATTTTAAATATTTGTCTAAAATAAACCTTAACCTATCGCAGGGCGTGCTGCCCCAGCCTGAGACTGGCTGCTTCATCTACAGTTGTTTCTCTACTTGTCCTTGCGTAGGGAAGTTTTATCACCACAAGGACCGTTTCTCCTCTGTTTAATCTAACACCTGCTAGTCTGAGATTCTCTAAATGTCCCACAATAAATATGAAAAACAGTCTCAGGCATATTTTTCCCCTCTTAAATAATGGAGTCTAAATGCCAAGTGGCCAAAAGCAGGCCTTTCAGCCATTGGCGGCTGAACACTGTCTGAACATGAAATCCGTCTCTTCAAACTATGTCAAAATTGCTTAATAAGAACTCAGGGGACCCCACATTAATGAAAGGATGCATCTGCTTTGGGTTTCACATTATTGGGAGTGATGGTTCAGAGCCAGCCACCTATGCTTGACTTTCACTCTTTAAAACTCTGCAGTTAATCACAGCCCTCATTATACAAAGGTTACATGGATATAAAGTTTGAAAGATTCGGTTCAAGACTGCGAGCGGTGGCCAGGAAAAAAAAAAAAAAGGAGAAGACACAAAGACAATGATCAAAGAACAATGAATAACATTCAAGACTAAGTCGGTGCAAAATTTTCAGAATGAGAAATGAAACGGAAAACTTAGAGGATAAGTACCAAGCACAAGTTTTAGGTATTCTGGAGACAGGAAACTCAGAATATTTTAGCAACCGATTATGTCTATGAGGGGGATGAATAATTTATTATCTGATAAAGAATCTTCCCTGAGCCTGTGACAAGAAAGGTCAAATAGGCAACTGAAGTAGAACAGTAAATACACGATATACTACTCGAAAAGGAAGTCTGGAACGGAAGGCGAAGGAAAGAGCTTCCTTGGCCCATGTTCATCAACTCCCTCAGATTACAAGAAGCGCAGCGGATGTACTTTTTAGGTACCCTCATATTAGGAACCCAGAAGTATTCATACAAATAAATGCAAATAATGTATGAGTACAATACTTGTCTAAGTCCTTGAAAAAGGCCAATCTTCCGGCATCACCCACACACCAGCTGCAAATCTTGGATCCACCCCGTTATCTCCCAGCTGTGTGAGCCTGGGAAAGTCTATGCCTCTTCCAGCCTCTAAACTGCCTCATCTGCACAATGGGTTTCACACATAATATAAATACTTTACTGTTAAATGCTAAGCACAGTACCTAGTACAAAGACAAATAGGAATATCCAACCCCCCACCTGCAGGTGACAATAATAGGACATTTTGCAAACGCCCCAAAGAAGAACTTCAGAACTTTACGTTCCTTTGTGAGCATGCGCTTATTGACTTGAGCAAGTGGCTTATATAGTTCTTGCTGGTTTGCAGACTTGTTTATATCATCCTTTATTTATTGAAAATCCAATACTATACAGAAAAACAATTTGTAAAGCAAAGAAATGAGGAACAAATCTAATGGCTGATTTAGGATGCGCTCTTCCCGGTAATCTACAACTATTAATAATATTAATAGCTTTTATCTTTTTGTTTAGCTACAGATCGTTCAGAACAATGGAGATAAGCCCTGTGACTTGTGATGCGTTGACGAATGATCATCTTTTCCAAGCCAAGTCACCAGCTTAGACAGGCATGAGGCTCGTATTTTACCCGCCCCACATACCACATGCCTCCCCCCAACACATATATCATAAAAGAAGGCCAAGGCCTTCCATCCACAAAGGCAAATCATGGGACTTAAGCTTTTAGTGTCAAAGGAGATTGCATGGAATTCCCACAAACAGTGAAGCTATACCAGCTCATAAAGTCACTGAATTTTAAGGAGCCTAAAAGTAGGTGGAGTTTTGCAGAAGTCTTTAAAAGTGCGAGCAATTTACTCCTCAGCATCCTACCCATCGTTCCTTAATATCATGCCATGAAAACACAGGATGCGGCAGTTTCCCGGCAGGGAAAACAACAACAACAACAAAATGAAAACACAGGTGTCAGTATCTATGAAAAGCACAGCAAAATGTTGAGCCCATGAGCCTAATATAATGGTTGGTACTGAGTGCTCCCTATCTGAAAATAATGTTAAAGTCATTATTTCCGATGCTAATCAATGAGGCTGCAATCACATAATGCTGTCAGTACTATCCCTATCCCTTCACTCCCACAAAATAAATAGACCCGATATCAACTCTATTGAAAACCTGAATCATTACAGCACTTCAGCAGCAAACCGTGTGGTTGCAATCAACTGAGCATGCGCTCTCTCCCTAAAACATGCACATTCCATTACCTCTGGCTAATAAATCTTTTATTTTTACCCCTCATCTCTCTGCTTTCTCAATAATCATTTTGATATAAACCATTGCTTGCTGTTCCTGATGACTAATCCCTTAATCATCTTTCCAAAATATATGCAGAGTGTATTTCTTTGTAAATACAAAAGAAAAAGCAATCACATAAATAGTTAAGATGGCTTTTCAAATGACAGTTGAGTGCTAATATGAGCTACACTGGAAAATACTAATCAACAAACTAAATACACATCCATTAAAATGTAGGAGTCCAGACATATGAAGACAGAAAAAGAATTCATTGCAACTCCACTGAAATCAGGCTGATAAACATCTGCCCTAGAGCTCCTCTTTCAGCCAGTTGGAGAGGTTAAGAAAAGTAAGCATCACTTTGCACTTTCATGCGTGAAGAAAATATTATTATTGTTGTTATTAATAGCAGCAGCTAACATTTAATTGAGCACTTAATTTATTCCACAATGGGTTAAGACTTTATATACACAGAGTTGATGTGTTTAATAGAACCACCTGTATCTCTGAATAGAGATATTATGATGTGCATTTTACAGATGAAGAAACTGAGGTTTAAAGAAGTTAAGAAACTTGCCCAAGGTCATAAGATGTATCTGATTCTAATCTTTGCCACTATAATACAGCATGTTTTATAGCCGTGGTTATGAACTGGGGACGATTTGCACCCCCAAGAGACATCTGGCAATGCCTGGAGACATTTTGGTTGCCACAAACATACTTGGGTCACCCCTCCCATATGAGAGGGTAATAGACTCAAGACACATTCTGGGAAGTCAGGGGTGAGTCAAATAGTAACTCTAAGGGAGAGCCACCTGCCCCTCTTCCCATACCAGCCCTCTCTGACCAACCTGTGGCCATCTCAATGTCCAGCAGATGCTGATGTTTCACAACACTTATTGGGCCCCTCGCTATACTAATGGCCAGTCCCCAACAGAAGCTCTTCTGCACTCTCTGTTAAACAGATCTAGTGAGGGCCTGGCAGGCATGAGGAACATTGGTTACTCATAACAATCCCTCTCCTCTCTCTCAATCCACCGCCCCTGCCTCCCAGCCTCAGCCTCATCCCTTTTCCTCCTGCAAACAACGTAGGGAGATGGATGACATCAGGTCCATCTGCTCCCACTCTACCCTACCTCCTTCTTCCACAGGACCAGAGTTTTAGATCCCAAGTTCCGGGGATCTAAAATTTAGAAACTAAAATTTAGAAATCTAATAGAAACAGAAGAAGGAGGAACTCAGAGCCCCACTGGGGTCTTTCAAGAGCTCTACACTGGAATGTCGAGGTCTTGCTGTAGCTGTTCATGAAGTATGTTTTGATACCTAATAAGCTCTTGTTCTTTACATGCAGAGGTCCTGAGATCTCAGAGGTCCTGAGATCTCAAGACAGGGAGTGGGATATGCCAGACCCCGAGAAATAAAGCAACAGAAGCCCAACTCCAATAGATACTGGGTAAAGGAAAGAATAAACCATGGTAATGCAGGACTCAGACACACCTATCGTTGTCCCAGACTTAGAGAACTCACATGGATTCCTAACACATAGACACTGCTGTTAAATAAAAGAGAGTCCACTGCATCTTGAAAACAGGAAAACATCTTATTCCACCAGCCACACTGGCCTCTTGGAATACACAGGAAAACGATAGGTGCTTGTCTTAAGAGGTGAGGGCACCAGTGTATAATTCACATAAGGATGTGAATGAGGTAGATCACATCTGTGTGCTGTTCCACAACATAGGAACAAGCCCCACTGCCCCGTTTTCTTTATTTAAATATGAATGGGGGCTGATGTGCCTCCATCTCCTCCCTCTTTTTTTAATTATGCCAAATGGATTGGCCTTTTAAGACAGTGGTTTACTTCTGTACTGTCCATGTTATCCTGTTTTAATTGTTTTCATTTTTTCTCTTCTAACTTTGGAGCATCTAAAACATCTCAGCAGGAGGGCATTTTCCCATGAAATAATTAGTAGTCATAGTAATTACATATAGGTTCTTAATATACTTCTATATGGAATGTGTTTTCACTTAAGTTGTATTTTATTAAATAGCTCCTTCTTCCCAAAAGTAATTTGAGAGCTCTATAAAGGATATCTTGAATATAAAGAGACGACAGGGTAGATCAGAGTGGCTTCCTCTAAGAAATAGGATGGATCCTGAAATTAATCACTCAAACCGCAGCTAGAGAGTTTGAAAGCAAAATCTGCAAAGTATGAACATTGATACTAAACATGGTAAAAAGATGGGCCATGGGGTGGAGCAGACAGACTTGGAGTTTGGAAGCCAGATGGACCAAGCAAGGAGCCTGACTCTGAGCTCACCAGCTGTGCAATTCGGGTGAGTTCCTTCACCCTTCTGAGCCATCCCTTGGCTCGTCTGGAAAATGCAAAAAAAAAAAAAAGAAAAACACCAGGTTTTTGCATCCTCCTGGATGAGGGATATAAAGTGCCTGACACAGCATATGACAGGGATTTGATAAATGGGGGCTGTTAGCTGTCCCATTGTGGATGTGAGAATAGCATTCTGCTGGCTAAAAGGCAGACATGAATGTTCTAGAACATGGCGATCCCGGAATGTGCAGTGAAGGCAGGAAGAGGAAGAATGGGCAGGGAAGAACAAGTTGGGATGGAGGAATGAACTCTTATCTCCAGAAGCAGAGCTAAGAATGCCCACGGAGCCTTGGCACATGACAGCCTCCGCTGAGCCAAATGGCCCAAAGACTTCTGAATGAGCTTTTGCTGCAACAAAAAACTTTGGATCATTTTGAGAGCCTCCCGTGAGGCGCCAATATGTTGCAGTACCTTCCCGGCCCCGACACTGATGTGATTCATCGTAGGTAACATATGAATACGCTCAAGCTGGCCAGCAGCTTGAAAAATTGGAGTCTATCAAATTGACCTTGAGAAACACAGGAAGGTAATATTTAGTGACATACCAGATGAAATCCTTGCGCAGAGATGTGAGGTGAGGAAGGACCTGAAGGGAAGTAGACCAGCAAATATCAAGGGTCAAGGAGTTGGGGGATGATATAGAGACGAAGCCTAACAGATGTCACCAGAGCAAGAAGGCCTTACGACTTCACATCCTCTCTGCAGGGTATGAATGGTGCAATGGAATGAAATGGTAACTACAGCTTCTGGTGCAAAATTTGAGTTTCCATAATCATCATCTTGGGAAAATGAGGAACACAATATAATGGCATACAGAGAGAACAAGTGAAAAGATGAGAGATGATGAACAGGTTGAGTTTCTTCAGCCTACAACCTATCAAATCTAATTTTAAACATCTGGAGCCACGTGTATTAGTTTTGTTTCTGTTCCATTTTCCTTTTTCTGTGTCCCCGACGGTGAATGATTCTGAATAATTCTTAGTCTGGGATCACTGGTCTATCTCAAGGTACTACATGTTAGAGTAAAACTATAAAACAGCAAATTCTATCATCGGAAATTGACTCACAGGGACCCAATTAAGGCTCAAAATATAAGAAAGAAAGACTGAACAGTGGGTCTTTGACATCATCCATCCAACCTTTTTCCTTAAAGATGAGGAAACAGGCTCCAAATAGATCCAGAGGCTTACCCAAGGTCTCATCGCTAATTGGGGCAGGTCCAGGAATTTCTGCTCTAAGCATCAAACAATAATTAAAATAGGATAAATGCAGATGAATGTGTTCTCATATATATTGTGTTCTCAGAAAAGAAGAGGATAAATTTAATGATGCAAAAACAGTTGTGCTACAGCATTATCTTCCAAGACTGGTTTAAACATGAATGTCACTGTACAATCAGGTTACCATAGTGTCACTAGCGTCCCTGGAATTTTACCTTTCTAGTTTCAAATATTACATCAAATAGGCAGAGTTTTACAATTTTGACACGCCCTCCTGCTAGTCCCAAGAACACTGCAAGCCCTCAGCAGTTGTCTGTCTACACTGTCAGTGGGAATGGAAATTGGAGCAACAAGATAAGAAATGACTCGGGAGGTCGGGCACGGTGGCTCATGCCTGTAATCCCAGCACTTTGGGAGGCCTAGGTGTGTAGATCATGAGATCAGGAGGTCGAGACTATCCCGGCCAACATGGTGAAACTCCGTCTGTATTAAAAATACAAAAATTAGCTGGGCATGGTGACGCGTGCCTGTAGTCCCGGCTACTCGGGAGGCTGAGGCAGAAGAATTGCTTGAACGCAGGAGGTGAAAGTTGCAGTGAGTCGAGATTGTGCCACTGCACTCCAGCCTGGTGACAGAGTGAAACTCAGTCTCAAAAAAAAAATAAAAAAGAAAAAGAAAAAAAAGAAAAAAGAAAATGACTCGGGAACTGTTACCAAAATTTTAAATGCATATGCCCTTTGAATCAAGGAGTCCAGTGCTAAGATTCTGCCCCAGGCATTTACTCACAAATACGTAAATAAAGAATGCTCACAGCAGCATAGTTTAGGCCCAATATCAGATGATATCGTAAGAAAGACTGATGCAAGAAAGAGAGAACTGTGAAACACCATTGCTTGGAATAACAAATAGCAAAACAATGCAAACAACCTAAATGGCCACCAAAGGGAAGACTGGTTATAGCATAAGCACATGATGGAATATTATACAGCAGTTAAAACAATGAAGTAGATCTATATGCACTAATAAGAGATCTCCTGCAGTACTAAGTTTAAAAAAAAAAAAAGTACAGAACAGAATGTGAGTGTGTTTGCTGGTATATAGATAACCTTTTTCTGGAAGAATACATAATGTTTATCTTCCAAGAGAAGGACCAAGAACGACTTTCACATTTCATTTTTCACCTTCCCATTCTGCGTGTAGATTCAAATAAGATGCACGTATTCCCATTTGTACTCTTCTCAATACATCCCTAAAAATTGCTACTATCCCACCTACTAGAGGTTACTACTTTTTAACATTAGTCAGAAAGACAATAAAATGATCAGAAAAAGTAAGACTCTGTTTTCTTTTTTATTTAACCCAAAATAATAAGCTCAGTGAGCTCAAGATAAGGGCTCATTTCAAATATACTGAATTTCAAATATTTCATCATAAATACACTGAAAAAGCAGAAATAAATCTTCCTTTTCTTTATTTTCACTACTTTTCAGTCCAGAGTACCAAAAATTTTCTTAAGTACACTGTAGTCTATTTCTTCAAATGGCAAGAAATCTTTCACAGCATTCAAAAATGAAGACGGCCTCCACAGGGTGTACCCAGCCCCCTTCAGGCTCTGCTCCCAAACACGCTGCTCTATCTCCTCCTCCCCCTCCTCCCAGGGCCTCTGCACCTGCCATTCCCCTACCCCATCTGACCCTTCTCCACCCTCTTCAGGTCTTTCTTCAGATCTTAGTTCAATCACTTCTTCCTTGGGGACCCCAAAGGTCTCCCAACTCCCTGGCATCATTACTGATTCCTAGGACCACTCACTGCTTTTTCAAGTTTACATTAAGATCTGTGTTTTTTGACTAAATTTGTCTTCCACAATAGGCTGAAAGCTCTACAAAGACAGTGGCAACGTCTGTTGTCCTTAACAGTAGACCCCAGCACCCATCACAGAGGTGCACTTCATGAATATGTGAATGAATGAAAAGTGAATGAATGCAGTCTGGACTTCATTCTGAAATCCAGCGATGTTTCAAAAATCAAACAGCTCGCATCACTCTCTAGCTCAAACCCTCTAATGTCTTCCTCACCGCTATCTCAGAGTCTACCAGATACCCATCCCCCAACAGCACCTCTCCTACCCACTCCATTCATCTCCAGCCACACTAGCTTCCCTGATGATCCTTGAAATCTCCAGGCTTGTGCCTACCTCTGAGCCTTAGCATATGCTCTTCTCACTGCTAAGAGAATACTTCTCTTGACATCTGCATGGCTTACCCCTACTTCATTCAGGTCTCAGATCAAATGTCACAACTTTGGAAGGCTCCCTGCTGATGACTCCATCACACTCACGCTATCATTCCCCCCACCTTCCTCTGCTTTACAGTCCTTTATTTACTGACATTATGGCAAATATTAAACTTGATTATGGTCTATTTTTCCTACCTAGAAGGTAAGCCTATGAGGGCAGGGATTCTGTTTCGTTTAATACTATATCCTTGGTCCCAAGACTAAGGCAAGCCCTTAGTAAATATTTATGTAGACACGTATCAACATCAACTTCTACATAGACAGAGAAAAGTAAGAAATTAGAGATAGGGTTAAAGCCTCCTTCTTTCTAATCTTAACAACCATAAGCATAACAGTCTCCTAGTTGCAATCATGGGCGTTCACCACGTTTTATTTTTCTTAATAAATGAGTTAAAGGAAGAAACATTCTCAAACCCCTGACTAATAAAGCAGATGACACTGACAATGAACTACAAACAAATGCGTGAATAATAATGGACTTGCTCATGCTTTCATTCATAAGACAAACAAAGTGAAGATGACTTTAAAAATAAAGACATGATTCCAAGAGCAATAAACTTTACACACTCCACTGAAATCTCCATATGGTTAGCCCGGCATGTGTATTTGACAATTAAAAAAAACAACAACAGTCAAGCACTTACCCATTCTTCTAAAATGCGTGACACTGCTTCACTCGCCCTTGCCATGTTCCTGCAGGCCAAGATCACATGTGCACCATGGAGGGCAAAAGACTTGGCGGTTTCGAACCCTATGGTTTAAAGGAAAGTCAATGTTAGAAAACATAACATCAACACAGTGAGTCATGTTGAATGGCCTTTACCGGAGCACCACTTAAATTACCCCAAGTTCTCAACCAGGGGTGATTTTGATCCCCAGGGGACAGAAGCAAATGTCTGGAGACATTTTCAGTGGCCACAGTTGTGGGGTAGAGTCCTACTGGCATCTAGTGGGTAAACACCAGGCATTACAAAACATCTTACCATGAACAGGGCAGCCCCTGACAACATAGAACCATCTGGCCCGGACTGTCAACACTGTGATGGTGAGAAAACTTGTCCTAGGGATGCAGTGATTTCAAAGATGAAGACTGGGACATAGAAGAGTTCACGGCATGTCCAGCCATTTAACCATCAATAATGACCAGATCCTGTGCCCACGATAAGGACTTTATGCTCTACTCTATGGTAAGTGTCGCCAGCACCTCTGCTTCTACCAGTGTTACCTAGGTTTCTTAGCCCCATTTCCTACTGAGAACAATTAGAAAAGATGGACAAAATAACACACGTGCATACACACCCATATCTGTTTGAAGGCATCAGAAGGGCACTATGACTAAGAATTTTGGGGGCCAAGATCTGCAAAAACTGCAAGGCCAGCATTTGGCAGCTTTTTTCCTTCAAGGCATATTTCATTTCCAAACATAGTGGTTGGAAGCCTGAGAAGATGGGCTGAGCTTTTGGCAATTTTATAACAAGGAAAAAGACATAAATTTGAGCTCAGGACCCACCAGGAAAGGGCCACGGTAAACACACCAAACCTTGGGTCGGGATCCTAAAGAGTTATACCCTCGCTGTAATAACAAGAGACAGTCCAGCCTTCACAAGAGTGGAAACTCAGCTTCAGGCCATTTCAATTCCTAGTTTGATTAAAGTGATCAGTCCCTATCTATCCAATTTCCAGAAGCAAGAGAAAATGTTCTCTGGAGGAAGATACCATTATCTAGAGTCTCAAATTACCACTATGATTATTTCAAATACTCATATAAACTCTCAGACATTCAAACAAAATAGCTAAGCATACAAAAAGAAAAAACTTCACCAAAAGCCAGAGGGGAACAAATGGAAATAAATGCACAGGAGATCTGTCTAATCAAGTTATTCAGAAACAGTGATTAAAATAAGTCTGACTGACAAATTCAAGGAACAAAAAGGCAAGATGGAGAATTTTGCCAGGGAATTAGAAACAATAAAAAAATTCAAATAGATATTCTGAAACTTAAACAAAATAAGAGTAATAAGAGTAAAGAAGAATTCAGCATATAGTTTAACAGAATACAAGACACAGCTGACGACAAGATTGAGGAAACTACAAAATAAGTTAACAAAAAAATCCAAAGTGAAGCATAAAAAGAAAAAAATAACACAATAAAACAAAGCACAAAAGAGACATATGAAACACATTCTCCCAGGCTCTTACACATACATGTAATCTGAGTTCCAAAACAAGTGAAATAGACTAAGAAAAGCAATATTTAAAGACAGAATGGCTGATAATGTTACAAAATCAATGACGCATACACGGCCAAAAAAAGAAGTATCCTGAGCCATAAGCAGAAATATGTATGTGTATGTGTTGACATGTATATGTATAAATGTGTGTGTCTACATGTATGTGTGTGTGTGTATATATATATGTGCAAGCTACAAGCAGAAATGTACGTTTGTATATATATATATATTTATGTCTGTGTGAGCCGCAAACAGAAATATATATGTGAGTGTGTATCTGTATGTGTGTATGTGTGTGTAGATACACATATATACACATACATGTCAAAGCAAGGCACATCAGAGTAAAACTGCTAAAAACTGCAGATAGTTTTAGAAGTAGTTAGAGACCAGTAGCTACAAGACTGATAGTTATACCTCTCAGGAAAATGATGGAAGCCACAGCTGAAAAAAAATAAAACTTTCATCTTAGAATTCTATACCTAGTGAAAATATTTTTGAAAAATAAAGGCAGAGAACAAAAATTTTAAGCAAACGAAAGCTGCTTTTTGTTTGTCACCTACACTACACCTAGTGTCACGTATAGACCCACACTAGAGGAAACACTAAAGGATGCTCTTCAGGCAGGAGGAAAATGACCTTAGCTATAAACCCAGAGATGCAGAAAGTAACAAAGAGCAACATAAAGGGTAACGACATGTTAAGATCCAAATGGTAAGAGTGAAATCTGTGAGTTTTAAAATATATAGCAAAAATTACTATATCAATAATAATAACAATGCTTAACCTAGGAGGTGAGTAATGGAAGCAAAGTATCCTAAGGTTCTTGTCTTCTCCAGGAAGTGATATAATACTGATTTATATTAGATTTTAATAAGTCAAAGATGCAAGATGTAAATCTCTACAAATTTAAAAAGCTAATGGAGAAGAAAAGCAGAATGATAAAAAGGCAAGAAAGGAGAGAAGATGACTAGGTACAGTGGCCTGTAATTCTAGCACCGTGGGCGGCCAAAGCATGAGGATCACTTGTGACCAGCTTGGGCAACATAGCAAAACTCTGTCTCTACAAAAATTAAAATTAAAAAAGAAATAGCCAGGTGTGGTGGCAGGTACCGGTAGTCCCAGCTACTCAGAAGGCTGATGTCGAGGGATTGCCTGAGTCCAAGAGTTCAAGGGCACAGTCAGCTATGATTATGCCACTGCACTCCAGCCAGAGTGACAGAGCAAGGCCCTGTCTCAATTTAAATGGAAGAAAGAAAGGAAAGAGAAAGAAAGAGAGAGAGAGAGAGAAAGGAAAAAGGAAAAGAAAAAAGAGAAAGAAAGGATAGAAATAAGGGAAAGAGGAATATAGAATAACTTAACAGGAAGCCAATAATAAGGTGGTATATTTAAACCCAAACTCAAATATATCTGTCATTACATTAAATATAAATGGCCTAAAGATGGCAATTAAAAGAAAAAGTTTGTCAGACTGAAGAAAACATAAATATACATATACTGTCCTTAAAAAAGAATGTACATTATGTTTTATACCTTATTTAAACATAAGCATAAAAAAAGTAAAAGAATAGAAAAGGTATACTGTATAACACGGGCCAAAAGAAATCTGATATAGCTGTACTAATTTCAGAAAAAAAAGACTCTAAAGCAAGAAGCATTACAAGAGAAAGTGCTGAATATTTCACAATGGTAAATTTCAATCCACCAAGAATACATGACAATTCTAAATTTATATGTACTTAATAATAGAGCCTCTCATATATGTCAAAAATTGACAGAATTAGGACAATAAATAGACAAATTCACAATTATAATGGAAGATTTTAACATATCCCTCTTAGTAACAGATAAAATAAGCAGACAAACACAAAGTATATAGAAGACTTGAACAACTTAATTGATAAACTGAAAATAATTGAATATGATAAACACTGAAAGCAACAGCAAAATATACTCAAGTACTTCAAGAATACTTACCAAAACTGATGATTTGCAGGGGCAAAAGCAAGTCTCAATGAATTTCAAAAGATTAAAATTAGAAAGTATGCTCTTTGACCGCAATGGAATTAAATTACAAATCAATAACAAGATCCCAGAAAATTCTCATTTCTGGAAATATATGTATAAATAAATAAGACATTATGGCTCAAAAAATTACAATGAAAGTTAGAAATATTTTAAACTCGGTAATTACAAACACATATACAAACTTAAGGAGTATAGCTAAAGCCATGGTTAAAAGAAAATCTATAGCCTTAACTACATATATTAAAAAGAAGACCAGGCACAGTGGCTCATGGCTGTAATCCCAGGAATCGGGGTGGCCGAGGCGGGTGGATCGCTTGAGCCCAAGAGTTCGAGACCAGCCTGGGCAACATGGCAAAATTCCATCTCTACAAAAAATTAGTTGGGCGTGGTGGTGCACACCTGTGGTCCCAGCTACTCAGGAGGATGATCATGCCACTTCACTCCAGCCTGGGTGACAGAGTGAGATCTTGCTCCAAAAAAAAAGAAAGAAAGAAAAAATGATGATCTAAGCATCCAAGATGATCTAAGCATCCATTACATTAGGAAAATAACCCAGCAAATTAAGCCTAAAGAAAGCAGAACGATGGAAATAAAAGGAGAAAGGAGAAACTTATAAATCTAAAACAAACATAAAATACAGAGAAAAAAAGAAGCTAAAAGTCTGTCAATTGAAAAAACTAATAAAATTGATAAAGGGCTAGCAAGAATGACAGAGAGAGAGACAGAGACAGAAAGAGAGGGCTTGAACAACCAATATCAGGGATGAATAAAAGGACAACATTATGCCACATAAAAGCATAAGCAACAAAAGCAAAACTAGACAAGTGAGGTTACGTAAAACTAAAAAGCTTCTGCACGTTAAAGAAAACAATCAAGACACTGAAAGGGCAAGCTACAAAATAGTAAAAAATACTTGCAAACCTCATAACTGATAGTGTTCATATCCAAAATATATAAGGAACTCCTAAAACCCAATAGCAAAAAAAAAAAAAAAAAAAAAAACCACAGATTTTAAAAACAAGCAAAGGAACCAAATAGACAATTCTCCAAAGAAAACATACAAATAGCCAAGTGTATGAAAAGGGGCTCACTGTCACTAATTCTCAGGAAAATGCAAATTGAAACCACAGTGAGATGTCACCTCACACCTCTTAAGGTGGTTCTCATCATAAAATGAAAGATAACAAGTGTGGTTCAGGGTGTGGAAACAAGAGCCCCCTTATGCGTGAGAAACTTACATTCCTTAGTGGAATGTAAATTGGTGCAACCATTATGAAAAACAGTATGGAGGTTCCTCAAAAAACGAAACAAGAATTAAAAATTGCTGGATTATGATCCAGCAATCCTACTTCTGGATACATATCCAAAGGAACTCAAATCAGGATCACAACAATATGTCTGCCCTCTCATGTTCACTGCAGCATTATTCATACTAGCCAAGACATGGAAGCAGCCTAAATTTCTACTGATGAATGAATGGATAAAGGAAATGTGGAAGACACACACACAAACACACACACACACAAACACACACAATGGAATATTATTCAGCCTTAGGAATGAAGGAAATTCTGCTATTTGCAACAACATGGATGAACCTGAAGGACATTATGCTAAGTGAAATAAGCCAGACACAGAAGGACAAATACTACATGATACAATTTATATGAGGAATCTAAGACACTCAAACTCATAGAGGCAAAAAATAGAATGGTGTAGGCAAAGGGCTGAGGGGAGAGAGAAACAAGGAGGTATTAGCCAAAGGGTATGAAGTTTCAGGTACGCCAGATGGAAAAGCCCTAGAGATCTACCATATAGTACTGTGCTCATATTGTATCATGTACTTATAAAATATAATGGTTTCACAGGTATATACTTATCTCCAAACTTATCAAGTTCTATACATCAAATACGTAAGGCTTTTTGTACATCAATCATACCTCAATAAAGTTGTTTTTAAAAATGAAAAATAAAGAAAAGGACTACAGATCCTATGAACCCAAAGAAGATCTTAAGATATGGTGAACAACTTTATACCAATGAATTTACAATACAGGTAAAAAAGACAAATTCCTAGAAAAACACTACAAAAAAAGTTGCCACAAGAAGAAATGGAAAACTGAAAAAGTTCTGTATATTTAAAAAATATGAATCTATATTTTAAAGTCATCTCAAAAAAGGGGAAAGGAGAGGAGGGGAGGGGAGGGAGGGAGGAAAAAGAAGAGGCAGTCTAATCCAGAGCTTGAACACCAACCCATTGCTCTAAACTAAAAAATACCATATTTTGTAATCTGTGGTGGAAGACCCTATAGAGTACAGTACAATAACAAAGTAGTCAATTCTACTAGAGAAGGCAGCTATGCAATTCAGCCAAACCCATGTCAAATGGCCATAAATTATTGTTTACAAGATAATGTTAATATGCACGCAAAATCAGCATACCGTTATCTTCCTGACATCACCATGTGAAAGAGCCTAGTAAAGTTCATTCATTCATATCACTCCCACAGGCCTAATCTTCATAGAAAACAGTCTATTTATACAGAATACTTCTCAAGGAAAATCAGCATAGCACAGAGGAAAACTCAAGTTGGACACACTTGTGTTGCTGCCAGTTCTAAGCACGTACAAGCTGTGGGATCTAAGGTCACGCCTTGAACCCATGTGAAACTCAGTTATCGTTTCTGTAAAATGGGGAATAAGTGGTAAACATATATTGAGAGCCTAACATAATCATAGTAGGTGGAAAACAAATGTTAGTTGCCTGCTTTTTGCAAAATCCTTGGTGTCCTATGCCTCTTACCCAATTCGTACGACCTACCAAATCCAGCACAGTCACTATGACTAAAAAATTAAAACTTGCTCCTAGATGTGCTACCAATGGTAACCCGAGGGCTGAATGACTTTAATACCAACCAGAATTCAAAGAAATCAACCTCGGGCTCCACCATTCCGTTTGTCTGAATATGGACTCTGGAGCACAATTTAACCTCATTGCTGAGACAACCTGAAATTATTTCTTGAGATTTTGCCAAATCCCATATTCCAAAATACTTACTTATTACCTAAAGATGACCTCTGATACTTAAATCAGATGCTGAAATAATGCACAAAGGATTTCAAACCTGAAGTATTTAACACCTAAATCCATTTGACTCCCCTTGGGTGTGTGGGTAGTAAAAGGTTTTTGAAGCTGTATCTCCAACCTTTAAAGCAAGACGACAATAATCTCAAATTTACTCATTTTTACCTGTGATACCAATGTCACCCCTTATCACCAGTGAGCAAAAGACACCTAGATCATTTGGGGAAAATGAGAGAAGTAAAATGCCAGGTTTTGTAGCCCAGCTGGCTGGGGGCAGGCACCGAACAAAGTCTTGCTGACTGATCTGCCCCATCAATCAGGCTAATGAGATGCCAACAGCCATATGCAAGCAACACAGTGACCAAACACAACTGCATTTGGGAGCCCGGGACTTCACACACCCAGAAGATCTTGGACGGAATGGTGGACTGTGGGTCCCTTTGAAATTTCCAGGTCAAAGCAATGATCAGGAATATCTTTCTTCACAGTTTCATCACAGGGTATTAAAAGAAAAAAAAAAGATGTAAGAGAGTGGAAATGAGAGTAAACAATTCTTAGTCATTCAATAGCAGCTACGTTTTTAACAGATTGAGAAAGCATCGATATAACACAAGGCCAGGCAGGTTCCAGAACTTGATTGATTGACTGATTGACTGACTGAGACAGAGTCTCACTCTGTCACCCGGGCTGGAGTGCAGCGGTGCAATCTGCAACCTCTGCTCACTAGAACCTCCACCGCAGGGATTCAAGCGATTCTCGTGTCTCAGTCTCCCCAGCAACTGGGATTACAGGCGCGTGCCACCACACCCAGCTAATTTTTGTATTTTTAGTAGAGACGGGATTTCACCATGTTGGCCAGGCTGCTCTCGAACTCCTAACCTCAAATGACCCACCCACCTCGACCTCCCAAAGTGCTGGGATTACAGGCGTGAGCCACCACACCCAGTACAGAGCTTTATTTATCCAGTTTCTCAGGTAAGCTCCTTGAGCCTTACACCCTCCAATCTCCGTATTTCGCCAGACTAGCACCCAGTAGGATTCAATAAATATCTGCTGAAGAAACAAATGGTTCTTGCAGACTGCTAATAGGCTGCAGCTCTGGACTATTTTAAAACAATCCAGGCTGTTTCAAACTGCAACACGATGGCCCTCTTCCTTCCTTTATAATAATGAATAAATATTAAAATCCTGCAAAGATACTGCTCACTGTAGTTTTGAATGATGCTACCAAGAAATCTGTGGGGGAAAAGCACGCCGTTTTTCTATCAAATTTTATTTTCCCAAACAAACCTGTTAAGTCCTGCTATCTCACTTGACAAAATAACCCACGGCAAAGGACTTTTTATTACCAGAAAGGGCACATCTGACAAGACAGCAGCAACAGGCTACAGGCTCAAGCTTCCACCCTCTCTCCTTTAGAGAATTCCTGACTGTAGTTACGGGTAAGCCATCTGTCTCTGTGTCTTGTGAAATTACACTCTGGTTCTTACATCTTCCTTTATCTAAGCAATGCATTACCCGTTGCTAGTCTACTTTTAAAAGCTGCAATAGACAACTCCATTTTCTTACCCTTTACAATTGCCTTTGGAACAGAAACAAAGCGTGGCTATTTCAAAAGATGATAGTTTAACAGGAAGGACAATAACACTTTTATAGTAAACCATATCTCTAGAGTGTGGAGTTTTATATAAAAAAAGCTTAATAATGCTACCTACTGTTAAAGTCCTGGATAAAACCCAAGAGAATAACATCCCTCACTCTTGTAATACTGCAGCTGACGGCCAGTTTAATTAGCTAAATGTAGTAGTGCTAAGCCTATTCTGCACAGTGCCAAAGTTTGTGCAAAATAATGAAGGCAATGGTTTACTAAATTTAATAACCTGATTCATCTTATAAAAAATTAACTTTATGACAATGTTTAAATTGAACTAGCTTAACTGCATGGAGATGGCAAGAGTGTGTTCGGAAGAATATGTAAACCTAATAATACCAAGAAAATAAAGAAAGACGTTTTAAAGCAATGAACAGCATCAGTTTTTCTAGCACTTGTTACATCAGATGCAATCAGAAAAATGACGTGGCCATGGAGGCTTAATAGCTCACTGTCTTGGGTTTTAAGCTTTGAACACAAACATTCAAGTTCTATGAAATGGAAAAGGTGCAAAGTAATTTAAATACCTACTTATCTTATACTATCTTACATAGTTTTCACTCTTTAGAACAGAGGTCACAAACTGATGATCAGAGGACAAGTCAAGCCCACAGACCTGTTTTGTGTGGCCCATACTTTCTTCCCTTCCCTTCCTTCCTTCCCTTTCCCTTCCTTCCTTTTCTTTCCTTCCTTCCTCCCTCCCTTCCTCCTTCTCTCCTTTCTTTTCTCCTTTGCTCCTTCTTTCTCTCTCTCCCTTCCAACCTCTCTTCCTTCCTTCCTTCCTAATTTGAATTAGTTGCCAGCATTAAAACATTGGGGAGATCACAGGTCCAAAAGCTAGATGTGTAGCTTCTCTGAAAAAGCTTACACCACTGGGGGCCCAATCCCACGTGGTGACAGGTTAGCTGAGAAGCCACTGTCAGCTAGAGGTGGGGTTTGGGCTTTCTAGTTGGTCATGTTGACCATGATCATCACCCGTGCTGCTGGCATTACCCGCCAGGCCACTGCAGGCACTTGATGCTCAGTGCACATTATTCAGGAAACATCCTTGCTACAGACATGACTCAAGCCTTACCACAAAACACCCTCAGTCCATACGTTCACAACTCAATCACCGAATCTCAAAGAACATCTCCCACTGATCTGGTTGAGATTTTATTTAAACCATGTCAAACCCTACTATGTCAAGTGTGAGACTATTAGGATGCTAGCTATGCCTTGGAAAACCCCGCAGTAGCACTTGGCTTTGCGTGGACAGAGAAGCACAAGGGTAGCAGGCTCAGGGATCTGCAGGAGCTTGAACCCATGGTGCAAGCTCCCTTGCATTTCACAAATGTCACTGAGTGGCAGCAGAACCTCTGGGCCAAGAACTTTACTGGAAGGAGAGATAAAGACGAAACAGACAAGCAAAAAGGCAGGGTGCTTGGCAAAAAAAAAAAAAAAAAAAAAAAAAGATCAAGGATTGGGGAGCAACTCTGTGTAAATAAATCACATGAATACAACAGAGATGAAGCTCCATGAAGCAAGCGAAAACTGTGGGACTCCTCTGTAGGCAGCGGGAGCCTGTGGATTTAGGCAGGGAGTAAACACTATGAGTTATTATTCATATTATTATTTTATCCATTTACAGTACCTCCAGTGGTCACAATGGACTCGCTCAAGATACTGTGGCCTTGTGACCAGCCAGAAATGGACGAGGTGCCCTCTTATCCCGAGCAGCTCAAGGTATAAATTAGAAAATCATGTAGGAAGCAAAAAAAATCTACAAAGCCAGGGACTGCCTAAGTCTAGGTGTCCAAGGTGCCCTGTGGGCCACTGGTGAGCTTGGCAAGTTGTTTACCCAGACAGGGAACACAAAGGGAGAAATGGCTTGGGCATGGTGGTGGAGAGCATCGGAGCAGGCAGCCGCACACCATGAGACTCACTGGTAGGTTGGACAGGTGGGGACAGTCGCCCACAGAATCCTCAGGCACAAAAAACATGAAGGTGGGAACCCTGTCCCCTCAAATACTGACAAAGCTCCCACAGAGGTAGGAGCTAAGAAAAAGGCAGCTTCTTTCCCCGATGCCAGGAAGGTTCCTTCTGGTTTAAGTTTTTTAATTTTCTCCATATTGTGGATGTACTTGGGCAGTGTCCCCATTTACTGTAAATTATGGTTTTAATTATCATTTTTATTAAGACGCCCAAAGGAGTTGGGGCTTACAATACCCGTAATTTCTAATGGGTGGTTATTATTAATTTATAATTGTGAAACACTGGGGACAAATGTTACTTGTAACTGGGCACAATTAAAAGGCCACAGAGATGGTGATTTCCAGCCCCCTCCAGCCCCGCCCCACAAACATAGCACTAAAACGATCTTTAGGAACCAATCAACAAGTTGTAGAATCTTCCAGCACACATCCTCTCCCTCCCTGGAGATCTGCCATTATGCATAAAGCAAGAAGATAGGCCTAATGTCTTTCAGCTTGGGTTAGATTTGGGGACAATGCAAATGTGGGGACTGTTTTTGTATTAACAGACTACTATCTTTAAGGATGAGTTTCTCCTATATCCTCCTAAAAGTAGGAAGACCATACTTTCCAAACTAATCTGATTAATGTAAATGAAATTACAGTGACATGACATTGACGATGATCTTGAAATCCAACTCCCCCACAGGCATTTCCAGATGAAGTTCTAAGAAGTACACCACGCCTATATGCTCAATGCCACATCTGCAATGACTAGCTAATCCATACCTCTGTTTCTGTAGTTACTTTGATTACCTGAATGATCACATTTGCCTCCCAGGCCATTTCAATTACATAGTTCTGAGTTCCAAAGAGTTAGAGATCGTGCTTACTAAACACGATCCACAGCTGCCAAATCTTAAGAACTTACAAAACTACACAGGTCTCTCTAGAGAAAAATAAGTCATAGCCAGCCCTGCTTTTTAAAAGTATGTGTTATATACAGCAAGCAACAAATCCCTACAGAGCTTCCTAAATAGCCCTAATAACATAAATACATCTCAAATATATTAATCAAAAAACATACCAACTCAAGAAGTGGGAAACGGGTCAGTTCATGTGGAATATCTTTAAAATACACCAGGCGGCATCTGCATGCTTTGGGCAGTACAAGGCTGAGGCCGTAATGTTTTGTAAAGCTGTACAATAAATCCCAGTTGACTGCATGAGATCTCTCGAGAGGCAAGACTGACCCCAGGCTGGCTACTAGTGCTGCCACTGTGCTGGGTGAATAAGTTCTCATTTAACCTGCCAGTGACAGTCCTGGTTAGGAATGAGTGAGAAAAATGCCCAAAGATTACAATTAACATGGTCCTAGACAGGCACATGCAGACAGATTCTACAAGGGTAACTACATTGAGCGGCAGTCCTGTCGGTAAAGATGTGGGGCAACCAGGCAACTTCATAGATTAATGAGGGATGGGGGATAGGAAATGGCTTAACATATTTGGGGGCAGTTGGGACATAGCTATCAAATTTGAAGTGGACATGCTCTTTGACCCAGCCACAACCAGAAATTTATCCTACAAATAGACTTGCAAATATGTGGGAGGAATATTCAGTACGGCATTATCTACGACAGACTGCAATCAACCAAAATGTTTTATCAATTAGGTTATATAAATTATATTGCATGAATAGGACAAAATACTGTGTTACACCTAAAAAGAATGAGGAGAAATGATACGGAGATGCAAGGAAACATTTCCATGTTATAATTTTTTTTTTTTTTCTCTTGAGACGGAGTCTCGCTCTGTCGCCCAGGCTGGAGTGCAGTGGCGCGATCTCGGCTCACTTCAAGCTCCGCCTCCCGGGTTCACGCCACTCTCCTGCCTCAGCCTCCCGAGTAGCTGGGACTACAGGCGCCCGCCACCACACCCGGCTAATTTTTTGTATTTTTAGTAGAGACGGGGTTTCACCGTGTTAGCCAGGACGGTCTCCATCTCCTGACCTCGTGATCTGCCCGCCTCGGCCTCCCAAAGTGCTGGGATTACAGGCGTGAGCCACCGCGCCTGGCCTCCATGTTATAATATTAAGAAAAAAAGTCAAAGTACCGAACAGCGTGCACGTAAGACACAAAAGTGGTTAAACAGGTGCCAACATTGATTACTGCAGGAGAGAGTTACCGGTTGGGGGCAGGAAAACTTCTTGTGCATTTCATAATGTCGACGCTACTTCCATTTTTAACACATGCATACATGCCTGCTATAGGAAGAAACTAAAAATAACAAACCAAATGCTATCTAATTGATAATTCATGGGCCTTTATGAATTTTAATACAGAGCAATCAAGGCAAGTGAGAAAAAAAGGGAGGAGCCTATTCCTATTCCAAACAAGGTATTTCCTGAGCATCCTGATTTATACAAAGGATGCTGTAATGTCCAGGTAAGGAGGAGCACTTCAGAGTGTTACTCTTGGCTGGGTACCACGCCATGTGCTTTATGAAACACATTAACTAATTCTAAGGTATTCTCTACAGAAACCCTATAAAGTGTCATTGTCATTTCATGTAAGAGAAAAACCACTGATCCCCAATGTTAAGGAACTCACAAGATCAGAGGGCAAAAAAGGGGGAGGACCCCAATGGGCATGGTAGCCTGACTTCAAGCAGGTGTACCCCACCATCAGGCCCCCCACACTACCACAATCACCATGTGACTGTGGATTTGTGATATTGTGATATAATAAGAAATACATACTGGGTCTTCATCCAGGTTCCTGGCACAGAGCTCCTAAAATCCTTGAAATTGGCCAGGCATGGGGTCTCATGCCTGTAATCCTAGCACATTGGGAAGCTGAGGCAAGAGGATCACTTAAACCCAAGGGTTTGAGACCAGCCTGGACAACACAGTGAGATCCCATCTCTAAAAAAAAAAAAAAAATTGTGGAGCACAGTGCCATGCACCTGCAGTCCCAGTTACTCAAGAGGCTGAGGTGGGAGGATCACTTGAGCCCAGAAGTTGGAGGCTGCAGTGAGCTATGACTGCACCACTACACTCCAGCCTGGGTGGGTGACAGAGCGAGACCCTGTCTAAAAAAACAAAAACCTTTGAAATTTTCTGAGCAATGTGGGTGAGGGGAGAGTCTTTTATTATTCACAATTAGAGAGTTGTGAATAATTGATAACCCCCACATTCCCCGCCTTGGGGGAAGAGGAGGGGCTGGAGATTGACTTAATCACCAATGGCCAATGATTTAAGTAATCATGCCTAGGGTAACAAAACCTCTCTAAGAATCCTAAATGGAGAGGCACAGTGGCTCACACCTGTAATCTCAGCACTTTGGGAGGCCGAGGCAGGAGGATTGCTTGAGCTGAGGAGTTCAAGACCAGCCTGGGTGACATATTGAGACCTCGTCTCTAATAAACAAAACAAAAAAACTTAGCCAGGCATGGTGGTGTGCAACTGTAGTCCCAGCTACTCAGGAAGCTGAGGCAGGAGGATGGCTTTAGCCTGGGAGGTCCTGGCTGTAATGAGCCATGATTGCATAATTGCACCACTGCACTGCAGCCTGGGCAACAGAGCGAGACCCTATCTCAAAACAACAACAACAAAAACCTAAACGATAGGGTTTGGAGAGCTTCCAGATTGCTGAGCATGTGGTGCCTGGAGAGGGGCATGCCGGGAGGGGGTATGGAAGCTCCACATCCCCTCCGCATGCCTGGCCCTATGTACCGCTTCATCTGTACTCTTTGTAATATCCTTTATCATAAACAGGTAAACATAAGTAAATATTTCCCTGAGTTTTATGAGCCATTATAGCAAATTATCAAGCCTGAGGAGATGGTCGTGGGAACCCCAATTTGTAGCCAGTGAGTCAGAAGTGCACTTGACAATCTTGAACTTGCTACTGGCATTTGAAGTAGGGGATGATCCTGTAGGACTGAGCCCTCAACCATGGGGTCTGTGCTGACTCTGGGTCGTTAGTGTCAAAACTGAATTGTAGGACACCAAGCTGGGGTCCAGAAAATTGGAGAATTACGTAAAAGGAGGGAACACTCCACACATTTGTCATGGGAAGGGCTCTGTATGAGAGAAGAGGAAGACACAGTGTTTCCTTCCTTTAGGGTTAAGAGCACACACTAGAAGCAGCTCCTGGAGGCAGGAGAAACCAGCCTGGAATGCCCCCACCAGGCTCACACCCCACAGGGTCTTGACTGTCAGTCAAATACAAATCATGGGATTTGCCATCTATTCTCTGTGGATATTACGAGATATAGGCTTCTCATATGTGTACATGCTTGGCATGTGTATAATTTAAGCTAAACCTACTAAGCAGCTGTCCGGAAAGAGGGAGAAGTGGTCCAAATACCACCTGTTTCATCAACAGCCTACCAGTGCTCCCTTCGGTGTAATCCCATCAAGGCACAGAATTGAGGTCTCTTCAGCTACTGTATTACATAAACCTACCTGCTGTATGGAATCCATTCCCAGACAGTGATGCATTGGCAAATGTTCTTCTCTTTTACTTGATATTTCATCTTGGGGCTCAGAATTAACACTGTCCTTTGCTTTTACAAACATTTATCTGTAAGGGCTGTGAGATGGGATCACCAGTCCACAGGAATAAGTTTCTCTCTATGTTCTTCCAACATCAATAGTTTACAATTATAGACTTAATTTAACCCCACTTCTATACTTCCAACCAGTAAAAAATGATCTTTACACCATGACCGTTACAAGTTATACTCAATTTTTTTTCTTTAATTTCCAAAAGTCTTCACTGTCAAACTTTAAAGAACCAACTGTATTAACGTCCAACACAAAGGCCAGCCAGGCACAGTGGCTCAAAGTATAATCCCAGCACTTTAGGAGGCCAAGGCAGGAGGATCACTTGAGCTTAGGAATTCGAGGTTACAGTGAGCTACGATCCTGCCACTGCCCTCCAGCCTGAGTGATGGAGCAGATTCTGTCTCAAAAAAATAAAACATAAAGACCCTCTACCAATAAAAAGAAAGTAACACCGCATGAAATTTTTTGTAATCAAAATATACATGGCACTTTTTTTTTTTTTTTTTTTTTTTTTTTTGAGACGGAGTCTTGCTCTGTCGCCCAGGCTGGAGTGCAGTGGCGCAATCTCGGCTCACTGCAAGCTCCGCCTCCCAGGTTCACGCCATTCTCCTGCCTCAGCCTCCCGAGTAGCTGGGACTACAGGCGCCCGCCACCATGCCCAGCTAATTTTGTGTTATTTTTAGTAGAGACGGGGTTTCACCGTGTTAGCCAGGATGGTCTCGATCTCCTGACCTCGTGATCTACCCACCCTGGTCTCCCAAAGTGCTGGGATTACAGGCGTGAGCCACTCTGCCCAGCCAACATGGCACTTTTATAAACTTGTCTGAGAACCTTAGGAAGAAAAATAAAACAGCACAAAATAAAACATAAAAAATTTAGGCCTCCTGTTAAAAAAAAAAATGTAATGGAGCTTTTTAGAGGCAGAGACCTCTGTGTCTTTTAAAGGTTCTCAAGAAGACACAGCTCTTTTGCTCCCTTTCTTCTTAATACAAGAAAGTAACAATTGCTCCATAATTCCACCCCCTACACGTGCTGTCTGGCCCAAGTTCATGTTCTTCAGAGGGCAATCCTTTTGTTAACTAACCAATGACACACACAGGCATGCGCACACACGTGCACACACACACCCATGGTCTCACTTCGTATAATTCTGTACTCACACTCCTATCTACTAAGACAACCAAAGTGTTTCTGGTTGTTTAGAAGTAGAAAGATTTATCCTGAAGTTTGGCCTTTTTTATTTTGATGAATTAATTTATAGCCACTTCAAGAGAAGAAGGGAACCCAACTCTGAATTTGTAAGCACACTATATTCTATTACTGAACGTGTCTCATTGTTTTCACAGCTGGTACAGGATTTCCTTTCACCATTGAGGCCTCCGTTACTCTTTCTCGTCTGCTCGAGACAGGGTTCTTTATGATTTAGAGCAAGCAGGCCAGCCACCAGGATTCTACACGCACACACTCATCCAAAGAGACCCCGTTCCTTGACTTTCTTAATGACCAAAAGGGCTGTGATCCCTCTTGGCAACATAGTTTCCACCCCTGTCAATTAAGAAATGCTTAGGAGGGAATTGTTTAAAAAAGAAAAATTAAGAAAAAAAAAAAAAGACCTTCATTCCATTGCCAGCTCTCAGAAATGAAAAAGCCAGCCCCATCCTGCACTGTCCATGTGGACAATGTGCTACCTTTCTAATTCAAGCACCTTTTTTTTTTTTAAAAAAAAAAAAAAAAAAAAAGGAAGAAAGAAAAAGAAAAATTCAGATTGACCTTGGCTCTCACCATTAAAAAAGCGAAAAGTGGTATATTACTTTGCCTCTTGAAAAGACTAAAGTCTTTATGCTACCAAAGTCACGTGGAAGTGCTCAAAACACAATGTTGGGAAAATTCAGCAGTTTTTTGAGGCTCACTTTTAAAGTGTCCAAATTGACTTTTCATTCTCCATCGCTAGTAACTTTTTAAGACGCAACTTTTCAAAAATATGACTTAAATTCAGGCTTCGAAGCTACATCAACGGCCAGAGTTCCATTAACTCTGTGCTCTGTGGGCTCACCATCACCTTGCCTAAAATCAATGACTCCTCCAACTCCAAACCGGACATTTATTGTGATTGGTTAGGAAGTGGTACTCAAACATACAAAAAAGAGGCAAAATGTAAAAAACTTTAAAGCAAATTGAGTTTAATAGAAAAACACTAAATTAAAGGATAATCCTTACCTTGTAGTTGCTTTTTTAAAAGTATCTCTGATAATCAAAAAAAAAAGTATCTCTGATAATCTATGTAACCAGATCACTATCTTAGATATCTTTAAGATAATTACTTTTTAAAGTTTTGTAAAATCTAACAGTGGCTTGTGTGTGTTTGTTACTATTGTTGTTTTGGTCTTTAAAAAAATAATGCTGACACCATCTCAATTCACACTGATAACATTTAAAGCAAGCCCTAAGTTTCTGCTTCTGTGAGTTTTCTTGCAGTGGTCAAATATCCACAACAGTCCCGCGTGGAAGGCACGGGCAATGCTAGCTTTAAAACAAGGAAGTAAATTATACTCTTTACCTCACTTCTTTCACATGCCAGGATGCACGGAACAAAACACACCGAATCATTGCGAGTTTGACCTTTTTGGTTATAACATATTCAGTGATTACAGCACCCAGGTTCCCACAGGGCATACAATTGGTAAAAGAAATTCTCCATCACTTTTTACGCTATCTGAGAAGCCATCTGAGCTTGAATAAAATCAGACACTCAGAAGGGAGAGCTGGGAAGGAGTTCTTCATTTGATAACATTTTGTTTGGGGATACCATGATGAGGGACGGGTGAAATACACCAATTTTGAAATCTATACCTCTCAGGAAACGTGTAATCTAACCATCAGCTGTGATCAGGCACCTGCTTGTGTGAATGTGAGGGATGCACGGAGGAGCTTCCAGCTGAGGCTGATTTTACATGACTTCTGGAGACTCGACAGCTATAAATTTTTGTTTCATTCCCCTCACCCCGCTGCTGCTTCTGGGCCAAAAAGAGGGTCTTGGTAGGATCCCCAACATAGGTAATGTGAACATTGTGACTAGGATCAATTTAAATTCAAAAAAGAGAAACAGAGAGAGAAAGAGCTCTGAGTTGGTGAAGGCTTTGGAACCCTAACAGAGGATTCCAACCTGCACGGCTTGCCAGGCAGAGGGTCTTGTCAGCAGCGGGAGCCTAAGCACTTGGGAGGCAAGTACTCCCCAAAAGATCCCAACAGAGATTCTCCTTCCTAGAGTAAACAGCTTATGGAAGCATGCGCAACTAGAATTGTTATCTGGCTCAAAGCTGCCCCTAAGCACACACCATTTTAGCAAACACCATTTTAAAGTCCTTATCAGGGCAAGGGGGACTTGATTTTCTTCAGTGCTTTGAGACAGATAGGGAAAAGGAGATAAAATCAACATGAAACCAAACAATTTCTTGGAAGAGAAACAGATCAGGAATCTTACGATTCTCACGAGCTGAACTGCTCCCCTGCCATCCCAAACTCATACACTGAAGCCCTAACCCCCAACATGACTGCATCTGGAGATGGGGCCTTTATGGTCATAATTAAGGATAAATGAGGTCATAATGGGGGAGCCCTAATCCAATAGGACTGGTGTCCTTATGAAAAGGGGAAATCTGGACACAGCACACGGTGAGGAGACTATGTGAACACGAAGAAGCCTACTGAGATGGTTAATATTGAGTGTCAATGTGATTGGATTGAAGGATGCAAGGTGCTGTTCCTGGGTGTGTCTGTGCGGGTGTTTCCAAAGGAGGTTAACATTTAAGTCAGCGGATGAAGAGAGACAGACCCACCCTCAATTTGGGTTGGTACCATCTAATCAGCTGCCAGCGAGCCAAGAGAAAAGCAGGCAGGAGAAGATGGAACAACACACTTGCTGAGTCTTCCGGCCTTTATCTTTCTCCCATGCTGGATCCTTCCTGCCCTGGAACATCGGACTCCAAGTTCTTCAGCTTTTGGACTCTTGGACTTACACCAGTGGTTTGCCAGGGGCTCTTGGGGCCTTTGACCACAGCCTGAAGGCTACACTATCGGCTTCTCTATTTTTGAGGTTTGAGGACTCAAACTGGCTTCCTTGTCCCTCAGCTTGTGATTGTGGGAGTCAATACTCCTTAATAAACTCCCCTTCATAAATATTAATGCACCTATCCTATTCTGCCCCTCTAGAGAACCCTAATACACTCATCTACAAGCCAAGGAGAGAGGCCTGTAACAGGTATCTCCTCCCAGTCCTCAGAAGGAACCAACCCTGCCAACACCTTGACTTCAACCTTCTGGCCTACAGAACTATGAGACAATAAATTTTGTTGTTTAAGCTACCCAATTTGTGGTGCTTTGTTACAGCAGCTCTAGCAAACTAATAGACTTAACTTCTGTGAACCTCAATTTCCTCATCTGTGAAAGGGGAATAATAAGATGTACTCTTAAGAGCTGTTAGGAAAATTGAATAAAATAACTGCAGAGCTCTTGGCAAGCAGCAAATTCTTATTAAAAGAATTATTTCAAATTTTAATTATTAAAAGAATTATCTTTGCCATTAAAAGTAACGGCAGGCCAGGCACGGTGGCTCACGCCTGTAATCCCAGCACTTTGGTAGGCCAAGGTGGGCGGATTTCTTGAGGTCAGGAGTTTGAGACTGGCCTGGCCAATACAGCAAAACCCCACCTCTACTAAAAATACAAAAATCAGCCGGGCATGGTAGCGTGCACCTGTAATCCCAGCTATTGGGAGGCTGAGGCAGGAGAATTGCTTGAACCTGGGAGGCAGAGGTTGCAGTGAGCTCAGATCGCGCCACTGTACTCCAGCCTGGGCGACAGAGTAAAACTCCATCTCCAAAAAAAAAAAAAAATATATATATATATATATATATATGTGTGTGTGTGTGTATATATATATATATATATGTGTGTATATATATATATGTGTATATATATATATATATAGTAATGGCAAAAACCACGTTTGCACCACCCTAATAAAACATCAGGCTATCAGGCTATCCAGCTTATTAATTATTGCTACATTAGCTAAAAGGCTCTCCATGTGAGCTGTATCTCAGATTCTCCCATGGAAACCTAAAAATTTGTACTGAAGACTAAATAGAATAAATGAATCTTAACTTCTCCAGCTGTGCTATTCAACTATTAATCATTAGTGCCCCAGCCACTACCGAAAACTATTTAAAACAGCTTGTAATAGACAATTGCATACAACCCAGGGTTTTAAAATAACGCAATAATCAGTAGTAAGACTGACAAATTGCCTGAGCCAAGGGGCAGGTGGAAAATTTCTTACAGATGTGAATATTCTATTATCTTGACTGGGGTGGTGGTTTATGTGTGTGTACACACTTGTCAAGACCTTCATGTGTATGATTTAAATGTATGGGTTTTACAACATGTAAATTATGCTTCAAAAAGTTGATTTTTTTTTAAAGTGAAAATGTATCCCCGTGTTAAGAAAAAGAAAGCTGATCCGAAACGTGAAGTGAGCTGGTTACTTAAACATTTTAATGTTTAAAGTTCTGAGCTTCCTGGCAACCAAGGTAAGGAAACGAAATATAATACTTTATAATGTCCTCCTCATTAAACAACCACCACCAAAAAAAAAAAAAAAAAAACATACCAATTCTTTTAGAGGAATGAGCTTTGTTTTCTTAATAATTCTGAAAACTTATTAGAGGAATCCTTATATAGGAAACATGTTAACAGAATAAACCAGGGGTTGCCAAACTTTTTCTGTAAAGGGCAAGAGAATAAACATAAATACAGTAAATAAATGCAGTAAATATCTTGGGCTTTGCTGGCCATAGGGTCTCACAGCTACTCAATTCTGCTGTTATGATGTGAAAGCAGCCATGGGCGATATGTAAACGATGAGCACCCGTGTTCCAATAAAACCTGATTTACAAAAGTGGGCCTCGGGGGGCTGGATTTGGTCCACGTGCCACAATCTGACCCTTCGAATAGACAATATCCTTTTAACATTCGGTTCTAAACTGACCTGAAGCAAAACAAGAACTAAAGACGTGAAGATGACCTTGATCTGTAGATTTTCACTGCAAGAAAATGTGAATAATTATAACAGCAAGTTCAGAACCCATGTGGATGACAACCACAGAAAATTTAATTTTAGACAATTTACAAGTTTCTATGAAAGCAGATATAAAGAGAATCTCATTAAAACAAATATAAAACAAATTTTCTAAGTATTCAATATGCATCAAAATCTTATTACACAGTTTGTTTCACCCAGAATTTCATTCAGTGTGCTATAGCTACATTGGCTTTTCATTGCAAAGCTGGATGTTTAACTATAAACTACATCCTGCCTCTCCTTTTGTGTGTAAAACTGACAAATGTGTTGTTTTTGGATTCTAGAATTCTGGAGAAAGCCAACTTAAATGAATTAAGATGACTAATATGTTGATTCTGTTTCCAGTCCAACAAAATGTGAATGTAAGACTCCATGTCATATGATGCTATGTGTTTTAGTTCAAATTTAACATCGAATATTGAATAAGGCAGTTTCTAAGTAAATTACTAAGCTAAAAATATTCCTTCAACATAGCAAAAACTCTATCTTGTTTAAATAAGTGGAAATTTGAACATCTTTGCTCAGATCAGCCTAAATAAGAAATTAGAAAAACTGTAAACCTCCATTACAGTCAAGAGCATTGATTCCATCTTTCTGTGGAAAGTAGCACAATATTGTATATCAAGGAAAACGATTTATTTATTTAAAGTTATTCACCCACAATCATGATTTCACACAAAGTTCTTCCTAAATACAACACTTGCACAAGACGATGCTTTTCTGGCATACTTGAGGAATCACATCCAAGGTGAATGACCACTAAGATACCACAAATATAACTGTGAGAATGACAAGTGTTTTTGAACACCCAGCTACTAGGGAGTATCTAGCATTTCTAGTTCTTTTGCAGCTTGATAATGTTTTTACAAATGTTTTCATTGCATTAACTTAACATTTGGCTGAGGAGTTCCTGTGGCTATAACACACTGCTACACAGTTTTGTTTTAAGTAAACCAACATTAGTTTTTCATTACATAATAGGTGGGTAATTTCTATTTCCACAGAGGCAGTAACTATTTTGCTTTTTAAAAAGCTGTTGAAAGTGTTGCAAAGCCTCAACTCAATTCCATAAATATTGACCATGTTGCTTCCATAAATAAGACTCTTAGATGTTCACCTAATTCTAATAACAAATATTTCTAGTTTTCTTAAACTAATTATATTTATTGACTACCAAAGGAAGCATTTTAATAATTACCTTCATTGTGAAAATCAAATCTGTTATGAGATAATAAAATGAAGGAAATCAGTTAGGGAGCACCATCTTTAAAAAAAAAAAAAAAGAAATTTAAAATTTTATAAGGAAGAATTTAGAAATCCAGGGTCTAGAAATGGAAACTACATAGAATATATGTATTTTGCCCCTAGCTCTTAGATTCAACTATGACAGGCTGTCAGTAACTGAATTTTTTTTCCATTACCTGCCAGTTATTTAGGAAATTTCCATTGTTTAGCACCGTATAATTCTGAAATCAATACTACTTTATTAATTACACACTGATAAATTTCTATCCAAAAAAAACCATTACAATGAAAAAGTAACAAATATTTCTATGCATATTTTTATTCCTAATCCTATTCAATGAATTTTTATGAATAAACACACTCTCTAAAGCAAGTATGTGTATTTAATGGAAGTATGTCTACGTAACTGCTACTAATGATTACAATTCCCATAAAGTGTAGGGATTTCTTAATTCAGTGTCTATGAACAATCCTTTCCTCCCCTACAAAATTGTACACAAATGCCTGGCTAGGAATACATTTATTTTTCCCTTGTAGAATGGGCCAGAGGTTCCACTATATTCTCAAAGGAGTACAGGATGCAAAAAAAAAAAAAAAAAAAGAAGGGGGATGGTGGGGTTGACATCCAGTGGTCTAGAATCTTTTTATTTAAGCAGAGACCTGTGAAAACACTATTTGTTCCCTTTAAAGATAAACAGAAGTGTTGTATACTTGACAAAACAGACAGAGGCCCAGAACCTGTCCATTTGTACAATCATACCATCTCCGCAGTGGAAATGGACTTTAACCATCACAAACCCAAAGCCCTGCTCGGCATTTAAATTGCCTCTGCAACATCCTCACTAAGCAGCCACCAAGCTATGCTTAAACACCTTTGCAATTCGAACTCACTTGCTCAAGGCAGCTTGCTCTGTGATCCAAAAGCAGGCAATCCCCCCTTGGTTCCTAATGTCTGATGATAACGAGGCAAAAGAACAATTACTTCTGAAAATCATGCTCCATAAGAAAGTAAGCTGCACGTAGGCAGGAGCACTTTGTTCACTGCTGTAATCACCAGGTCCTAGAGCAGAGCTGAGTTACATACTAGACCCTCAGGAAATACCTATTTCTTTCGAATGACTTGTTGAATGATTGCTATGCATCTGGATAGCATCAATGATAAAAAGCAACATCTCTTTTATAGCACAGTTGCTATTGGTCTAATTGTGTCCCCCCAAAAAGATATGTTGAAGTCCTAAGCCCAGTACCTCAGAATGTCACCTTACTTGGAAACAGGGCCTTTGCAGAGGTCATCGAGTTAAACTGAGGGCATTAAGGTGGGCTCTCACCCAGTAAAACTGTCACCCTTAGAAGAAGAGGAGATCAGAAAACAGAGACAAACAGTAATAGAGGGAAGATGATGTGAAAAGATACAGGGAGAATGGCTTGTGCAGATGGAGGCAGAGACTGGAATTACCCTGCCACAGGCCAATGAACATCTAGGGCTACCAGAAGCTGAAAGAGGCAAGGAAGGGTCCTTCCCTACACATTTTAAAGGGAGTATGGCCCTACCAACACCTTGATTTCAGACTTCTAGCCTCTAGAACTTGGAAACAATAAATTTCTGTTGTCCCAAGCCACCCAGTTTATGGTACTTTGCTACAGCAGCCCCAGAAAACTAATACCACAGCAGAAAAGGCTAAAGCCCCAGAATTCATCAAACTGGGACTCATTTATAGTCCCATCAGAGAGCCTTTTAACTTTAAGGATACACTGTGGTAGATTCTGCTTACTCTTAAGAGACCTGAGCATGGTGCAGGGGGTGGACTGTATCGGGCACCTCTCATGCACCCCTTCAAATTCTCACAGCTCCATTTTACTCAAACCATTTTTACGCTCACCATGCAGTTTTCAACCAACTTGACACAAATGCAACCAGATGGCCTCACCTGGGGCTACAATATGGATCCCCCCATTTCCATCCTAGAGATTCTCTGACTCTGCAGCATGGGATGCCTACAAGAACCTGCTTGGCACTTGCACATGTGCAAACCCAAAATTCTGGGACATCAAAACTTATGGGACGCCCTTGTCCAACGGGGTCAGAAGCCGGTGGATAAATGCCCTTTATTCCGCAGGCAGACAGCTATGAGATGCATTTCCTAAAGTGCCTGGAGTTGAGCACTAGTTGCCTCTAGTAATGACTAACTAAAAAACACATTTTTATATTGCCTCTCCTTCCTTCCTGAATTCCCCATCCCTCTCTTTGTAATCACATCCCAAATTATGCATAAATATGTCTTTTTCTCTGGTTCTGTTTTTGGAGGAACCTAAGGTAAGACAAAGAACTCTTAAAACATTTTCAATACAGAAAACTTACTCTCTACTTTTATTTATTTATGTATTTAGAGACAGAGTCTCACTCTATCGCCTGGGCTGGAGTGCAGTGGCGCAATCTCAGCTCGCTGCAACCTCCGCCTCCTGGGTTCAAGCAATTCTCCTGCCTCAGCCTCCCGAGTAGCTGGGATTATAGGCGCCTGCCAGTACGCCCAACTAATTTTTTGTATTTTTAGTAGAGAAGGGGTTTCACCATGTTGGCCAGGCTGGTCTTGAACCCTTGACCTCATGATTCACCTGCCTTGGCCTCCCAAAGTACTGGGATTACAGGCATGAGCCAACAGTGCCAGACCTACTGTCTGCTTTTTATACAATGTGAATCATTAGAAAAGCAACACCCTCTCGCCAACCCCACCCCCGACAATTCTAATCAGTTAAATGCTGCCTCCTTGCAGATTTTGTCCATTGGTCCTGGTTCTGTCCCTTGAAGAAAGCTAGGATTATCTCTCTCCTAGATAGCTACTGAGAGAACTAATTTACATAAATCTTTTCTTCTACCAACTAACCAGCCATTCACTCTTCCTTTAAGGGTTGCTCCTAGGACATGACCCAATGACTTTGCCATCCTTTAGCCTGTCTATGCGCCACCCCTAAATGAACGTAATATTCTAGATACGGTCTGATTGGTGGGACTGTGTACCTTTCTTTACAACAAACCATGAAGGTTTCAACCACCCAGAGGTATAAACGGGTTGTCTGCATCAGAGGCCTCGTTGCAAATGTTAGGAGTTGCAAGAAACAGTTGCATGGGGGGAACATCTTTGAGCAGCTGTAGGTAATAGAGATGCCAAATGATGATTGCAATTCAGAAGCCCCATTTTGAGCACTTGCTCCCCACTCACATCCGTGGAGTGGCGCATTAAGCACTTCGCTGGGACTCTCCCGCAGCGTGCTGCACGTGGTTCTTGAAAGCTTGATTACGGTCTACAGCAGTTGGGTGATTGCTACTGAAGGCAGGCAGATGCCTGGTGACTTCTCAGGGTGGGCTGTCCCCAGTGTGTTTTATGACCATGCAGAAAGGAAAAATAAGGAATTTAAAAAATCTTCTTTCAAAAGATATGGATTCTTATCGGACTTTCATTCCTTAGTAAAGTTGCATTAAACCCAGAGACATTTATTCTTTAATTTTCCCTATTCTCTCATATGGAAGGTAGGAAGAATTTGCACTCAGGCCCCACTGAAAGATAAGTGCCAGATTCACTCCTGTCCTCCTTTCCCTTTTGGTTTTCACATCCTTATTCTGAGCTAACCACATCACGAGCACATCTTTACTGCTCAACTGAGTTCTCCTGAAGCATTATAAAAAACAAATCAGTTACATGTTTTAAATATCCGTTGGCAAGCATCATAGCATGGCTCTTAATCTGAGAAATAATTTTAATTAAACTAAAAAGAGGTAAGTCATTGAACACACAATAATTAAACAGCAGACTGTGCTGTCAGCAAAACTGGGCTGGCTCTTGCAGGATTATCAGAGGGACTGGCGTTGTCATGTGATGTTTTGTGACTCTTCTACAGTCCTACCATCAGCTCTCGTGAAGAGGATGCAGCGAGCCATTTAGACAGTTGGCCAAGAACAGTCTGCTAGACAACTTTCCTCATTGCATCCATTATAGAAGCTGATCAGAAGAATTCTCATTTTCCTTGAGCGAGGTTCTGTTTCCTTTGAACAATGGTTTGCTCACCCACTCTGTTCCTTTCACTTCCTCTTGTGCTGTTTGTGATATCCACACACTATGGATAAGATTTAGGTCTAAACGGATAAGGAAAAAGACCTGCTTTCATATATCAATTCTATTAAGAGTATGGATACTGCTCAAGTACAGCACATAGAGCCATAGCTTTGCAAAAAACTTTTATTATCTGTTGACAATTTTGCACACTACCTAAGAGCTGTCAAATAAAACAGGCCAATTTTTATCAAACTCCCAAAGTGGAACAGAGACCACAACAACTTTAGAATCCCTCAGCAGACTGTTTCAGGAATCTAAAACCCAAGCAAACCCTTTTTCCCTGTTTCATATGACGGTGCATCTTAACCCAGCTCCTTTTTACCTACAAAGAAAAACGGTAATTCCCTCTGTGGCGGCATATATATGAAGTCATCCATAAGAAGAAAATAAGAACTTGGTCCTAGACACAAAACAATACGTAAGGAAATTCCTCATGGACTAACACAAGCGGTCAGACACCACACTAGTTGCTTTCATTCCACCTTGTCGAATTCTCACAACTCTGTGATGCTGACGTCATGGTTCCCATTTTACAGATGAGGAAACTGAGACTCCGGGGTGAAAGATACTGTGCCAGGCCCCAGAATTGGCAAGCTGGAAAGCATAGACGTCAAAACAGCACGTCTAGTTATCGGAGGGTGAGGATTCACAATCCAAAAGAAAACTAGGGGGTGGACACACATTTACGTTGCAGTCTTATTTCCCAAGGCGTCATAATTTTCATCACTCTCTTATTGGTTGCAGGAGGAAAAAGGCATCTTCTCCATTTCAGATGTGTCTTTCTGGGTGAAGGGATCTCCATTTGCGTTAACATCCCTGACCCCCTCTGCCACTCACTTATTCCTGCTCAAGGGAGCTGATCCAACTTATGTTGTGAATGGTATGTGAATGGTAATTCCAGGATTGAGAACCGGGCACACGCAGCTCTGCCTCTCCTCTCCTCTTACAGAGAGCACACACCCTGCTCTCCTGCACTGTCTTGAACATGCTGCATGAATGGGGTCTGCCCTCTGCGAAGGTCTGGCCTGACCTAGCACTGACCCATTACCCTGTCTAATTGTGGTGGTCAGGATTAGAAAGCCCACCAGCTCACACAGCTATACATATTCTCCAGTATCAGCTTCATGAATGACTCAGGTGATGTTTTGGTCTTCCATTTGCCTAATGGGTGGTCTTACTGCTCAGTTAGGTAGTAACTTGGGAAAGGGAAACTGTGTTATTTGATAGACCTCTTAAAACCCAAACATCTCTTTACAGGTTAACGAACCAACCTGTGCTTAGATTTCTCTAGTGAGAGTAAAAAGCTCTACGTTCCTCAAGTCTCTGTAATTTAAGAATAACACGGCTACACATTTCATTTCAGTTTGAAACTCATAAACAGATGTGATATGACAGCACTTTATTAGGTTTTGTCCTCTAGATTTGAAAGAGCTCACAGGCCCCATGATGAAGACTAGATCCAGTAAGGTCTAAAGAGAGAGACATGACTCAATGAACACCAAAGCAGACACCCAGGAAACAGCATCCTTTGCTCACCCTGTCCTGGGAATCAAATAAGCCTGTTATGAATCTGAATGTATATTACAAGCAAATACTATTTTTCCAGCTACACGTTCTTCCTTGTTTCACTGTATCACAATAATTTTTTAAAAGCATAGGGATATCATGAAATCCCTTGCTTTGTAGAAGATTCCATTATAAGAGTAATCATTATTGAACCTTTTAGCCCAGATGTAATTTCTTACATGTTACAACAAGTTTGGCACGCATTGTGAATTTCAGCCAAGGTTGATAAAGTTCAATAACTTGGCTAACCAACCATGTGTACTACTCATTATAGAAGTAATAAATAGATTCATCAAAATGGACATGAAAAAGCCATAAGAAAATCGGATGCCATTTCCAGCCTGCCTCATAAAAGCACCTCTTGGACTTTAATATAATTTTATATATAGTTATCACAACTGCCCATCATTCAACACCAGGCATCTATAAAACAATCACCCACCCACATTTGCATGCTGAATAAATTCCAGCTACAAAGGTGAATTCTCTATTCTAGACGTCTCAAAAGTCACATAGAGGTACATGTGCTTATATGTTCAACTCCCAAAAGGACTGACAAGTAAAAAAGGAATCACAGATCGACATGTCATTTTCCCTGCTATTATCTTTTTGAGTCAGTTTTAGTGGAAGGTGTTTTTTTTGTTGTTTGTTGTTGTTGTTTTGTTTTTTTTTCAGTAATACTGTCAGTCTAATTATTCTCATAGCCTATTGGTAATTGAAAAATTTAGTAGAAAGAAAAGAAAGCCTGATTTAGATAAATGTCATGGATAGAAAAAAGAAATCTAAGTTCACAGAATGGAAGAATCTCCTATGATTAAATGTGCAGAAGTCAGTAAAGCTGGCTTCTATAATAATATCTAAACAACATTAACAAAATTGAATTTAGAAGATTTGAATTGAAGATAACTTCAGCAACTGTATAGTTAAAAATCCAGATTCTGCCTACTGTACGTCTTTTATGCTTCTAAAAGGAAACTCAGACTCTATTAGACATTCAAGGAAACTAAAGCTTCCCCTCCTTCTCAGAAAGAAATAGTCCCTCACACTTGGTAAACCACAGTAGAGCTCTAGTGTCAAGCTCTAAACTAAACATGAAAAGGCACGTGGTACATTTCAAACACTGTCATGTGAACACTTTGCTAGGTAAATAACGACTCTTGAGTTGTTGCACGTGGGTGAGTTTTCTCTGCATCCCAAGACGGGAAGCCTGAGGGTGGAATCTGCATCCTCTATTTCTCAGCAAGGCCCCATCTTCATTTACAGGAATGGTGGGAGTCAGGTTTGTCTGTATTGCAGGGACTGCATTGTTATGGCACTGGGATTTTTCAATGCGCAGGTGACACCCTTTCTATCTGTGCATTGCTTCTGCCCTCTCCCGTTCTCACTGTGCCATCAGCACCATTTGTCACCAGAAATGTCCCCAGGCTTCAGTGAAATGCTTTCTTCTGGATTTTCTCTCTTGCGTATCTATCCACAGTGGGATCACCATATGACAATATTACCAATATCCTCACACTCTCCTGGTTCTTTTCACATCTAACATGGAGAAAAACATAGATCAAGCTTTCTAAAACCAACGTTATACTCTTAACAACAAGGAAAATATCTCCTGCCATTAATTGCAAACAACACCTAAATGATCCCAAGTTTGGCCAAATATTGTGAGTTTTTCACTTGCCATAAGCAGCTCATAACAACAGTGGAGTGCTTTATTTTCTCAACAAGTTAACAAATGCCTGATGTTTCCAAGAGCTTAAATACTATAATGGCAGATATTGATGTACAGAAATTAAAGTAAAATATGAAACTAAACAGAGAATGAAGAGATAAGCCAGAGGTGTGCTCTGAATAAAAGAAGTAATGAAAAGGAAAAATTTCATACCAATTGTCATAATAAAAACAAAGGCTAAAGGCAACTAAGAGAAGAGGGGCTCAACGGTTCCCAAAAAGACTTACAGAATAGGTAAAATTCAGCAGGCATTGCGAAGTATTCACTGCACCCAAAAAAAAAAATAGTCTTTGCAAAGTCTGTACTATTGTTGACTGCAATGCCCACCATTAAAAATATGGTTAAATTTCTAAAGAAAGACTTCTGACAGCCATCCAGAAATGCTATCAATAATAGCAGATAGCTTTCTATCACATGGTTTTAAAATAAAGCCATCCTGCTAGCATGTTGACTCTAAAATCCAATGCTAATATTTGAGCAACTAGTAAAGTCAACATTAACAATGTTTGCCATTTCTTATTCGTCACAAGGGTTAGTTCTCCTAACCAACATGAGAAACACAGACACATAGAGCCGTACCATACAAAAGCAATTCTTTAAGGAAACAGTCTAGGTACATTGAAGAAAACACATCTTAGGGATAATACCTGTGCAAGAGGCACAAAATCTCTTAAGAAGATGGAAGGCATCTACAGTCCATTGACTGTAAATTTGGAATCACTTATTTCTAAATGTGACAACTCTCTAATATTTTTCTTCCCTTGCAAGCTCAGCTCAGCCTTGCAGGTATCTCCCTTGCTTTTGTGAGCTAGCTTCCCCAGGATTCTACTTCTACGCATGACATGCAGTCTGGAGGTTCTAGCAGTCTGATTTTTCTATTCATTGAAAGTCATGAGCATTTGTTCCTCAGGGGTTAATTTGAAATTATTTCAGGCCAGGCATGGTGGCTCATGTCTGTGATTCCACTACTTTGGGAGGCCGAGGCGGGTGGATCACCTGAGGTCAGGAGTTCCAGACCAGCCTGGCCAACATGGTGAAACCCCATCTCTACTAAAAATACAAAAATCAGCTAGGCATGGTGGCGTGAGCCTGTAATCCCAGCACTTTGGGAGGCCAAGGCGGGCAGATCACTTGAGGTTAGGAGTTCAAGACCAGCCTGGCCAACATGGTGAAACCCCGTCTCTAATAAAAATACAAAAATTAGCTGGACGTGGTGGCACACACCTGTTGTCCCAGCTAGTTGGGAAGCTGAAGCAGGAGAATCTCCTTTACCCAGGAGGTGGACCTTGCACTGAGCCGAGATTGAGCCACTGCACTCAAGCCTGGGTGACAGTGCAAGACTCCATCTTTCAAAAAAAGTAAAAATAAATAAAATTTTCACTTTCAGGTACTTCTCAGTTTAAACATAACACGCGGATAAGGTTTTTTAAAAAGCATCCTTTGAAAAGTTAAATATGATTAAATTCTTCAATCCAAACAAGACTAGCTTTATAACCAGTAATACACGGCATGTAGAAGTCACTCCCTCAAGGTTGATGGTGAGATCTTAATTTGGCTAACCCTTCCATTTTACATAATAAGAAGTAAAAAGTTTGCTTGGAATTTGTAGATCCAAATACCATCCAGAAACATGACCGCTTTCCCTGCAGCCTTGACAGAATGTAAAATCATAAGCTGAAGTGACGATTCTCTACTTCATGTTCAAATACTGTGCTTTGCAGCTGCCACCCCATTTGAGAAGCTGGGAAATGGAATGGAGCAAATAAGAATTATGGCAATTATAAAACCTCCCTGGTATAGATTGTCAGATTAATAACCAGCATTAGCAGAGCTCAGCTACACCATCAGCACGTGAGAATCGAAGAGCCCAGAGCTACAGGGCTAAGTCGTAACAGGAGCAAAGCAAAGAAGCCAACTAAAAGAAACCCAGCCAGAACTGTAAAAGAAATCTGCCCACAAAATAAAATGGGTAAGGCTGCCACTCAGACTAGCTACTCATTTTTAGCACATACCATCTCAAGAGTACATAAACTGCTCAGGTTATAAGCATGGACTGGACATCAAGATACTGGATGACCTTTTAAAAAATCATCACATGGCCGCATACGTATTAACAAAAGGCAAGCAATGGAAGCGTGATTAATATAAATTACAGAAGAAGCAATTAAACTTGACCACAGATACACACATTTGTTCAAGCTGATGGTGACTCTGCACTCACTCCATACCTACTGTAGATTTTGCTTTTCTTTATAGTTACTCAGAAGATGCATAATTGGAAATAAAGGTTAAGAAAAATCAAGGCCGGGCGTGGTGGCTCACGCCTGTAATCCCAGCACTTTGGGAGGCTGAGGTGGGCAGATCACGAGGTCAGGAGATCAAGACCATCCTTGCTAACACGGTGAAACCCCGTCTCTACTAAAAAATACAAAAAAATTAGCCGGGCGTGGTGGCGGGCACCTGTAGTCCCAGCTACTCGGGAGGCTGAGGCAGGAGAATGGCGTGAACCCGGGAGGTGGAGCTTGCAGTGAGCCAAGATAGCACCACTGCACTCCAGCCTGGGCGACAGAGTGAGACTCTGTCTCAAAAAAAAAAAAAAAGAAAAAGAAAAAGAAAAAAGAAAAATCAGAGACTAGTAGTAAGACTTAATGAGAGTGTCATTCAAAATAGCAAAAGTTCTTTTTAACTTATAAGAACATATTTGCTGTTAGATGTTTCCTCAAGTATGAAAAAAAAAAAATCCTTGCCAGGCGCGGTGGCTCACGCCTGTAATCCCAGCACTTTGGGAGGCCGACGTAGGAGGATCACGAGGTCAGGAGTTCAACACCGTCCTGGCCAACATGGTGAAACCCCATCTCTACTAAAAATACAAAAAAAATAGCTGGGCGTGGTGGCACACACACCTGTAATCCCAGCTACTCAGGAGGCTGAGGCAGGAGAATCGCTTGAACCTGGGACGTGGAGGTTGCAGTGAGCCAAGATCGGGCCATTGCACTCCATCCTGGGCGACAGAGTGAGACTCCATCTCAAAAAAGAAAAAAAAAACATTTTAGTATCCTGTACTTTTAAATACAAATAGAAATACAGAAATAATTAGAAACTACCCAGAGTTTCGCCAGATGTGGTGGCTCACACCTGTAATCCCAGTACTTTGGGAGGCTGAGGCAAGTGTACTGCTTGAGCCCACGAGTTCAAGACCAGCATGGGCAACATAGCAAGACCTCATCTCTATTAAAAATACAAAAGAAATTAGCCAGGAATGGTGGTGCATGCCTGTAGTCCAAGCTACTCAGGAGGCTGAGGTGAGAGGATCACTTGGCCCAGGAGGGAGAGGCTACAGTGAGCTATGATCACGCTGATGCACTGAAGCCTGGGTAACAGAGCAAGACCCTGTCTCACAAAAGCGAATCAATTTAAATGTTCTCTAGAAGCACAAAGATCAAGCTGCTGGTACAGTCACACACTGCATAACAACACATTGGTCAACAATGGAGTGCAGATACAACGGCGGTCCCATAAGATTACAACACTGTATTTTTACTGTACCACTTCTGTGTTTAGATACACAAATACTTACCATTGTGTTATGACTGCCTATAGTATTCAGTTCGGTACCATGCTATACAAGTTTGCAGCCTGGAAGCAACAGGCTATCCCATACAGCCTCTGTGTATAATGGGTTATACCACGTAGGATTTGTAAGTACATCCTATGAGGGTTGCACAACGATGACACTGCCTGACACACTTCTCAGATCATATCTCTGTCATTCAGTGAAGCTGACTGCATTTTGGTGTGTTTTGTATCCTCCACAAGGGCAGGGACCCTGCCTGTTTCTACACTGAAGTCTTAGCACCTGGTACTCAGTAGTCAATAAATGTTTGTTAATTGCACAAAAGACTGAATAAGGGCGTGGCAGTGGCTATGAGCCAGTGAGTCCAATATCATCACACAGTTTTCATTGCAGACTCTAAACCAAGCTCAAGCCTCTACAGGAAGCAGGCAGGTAAACTGACCATGGAAAATAGCCTGTGCCTGCCTACAGGGGGTCAGCCTATAGGAACAGCTCTGTTCAACCTCAGTGCAACTATGTTCCTTGATAGACATAAGCCATAGTCAGCTGAAGCTGCAGCAACAAAATATCATGGACCGAGTGGCTTAAATAGCAGACATTTCTTTAACACAGTTCTGGAGGCTTAAAGTCCAAGGTCAAGGTGGCAGCATGGTCACGTTCTTGGGGAGGGCCCTCCTACTAGTTACAGATGGCTGCCTTCCCACTGTGTTCTCACATTCACATAGCTTAAGGAAAGTTAGCTACCTTTCTATCCTCTTCTCATCAGGGCACAAATCTTACTTATGAGGGCTCCACCCTCATGATCTAATCACCTCCCAGAGGCCCCTGTATTAGTCTGTTTTCATGCTGCTATAAGGACATATCGAAGACTGGGAAATTTATAAAGGAAAGAGGTTTAATTGACTCACAGTTCCACGTGGCTGGGGAGACCTCAGGAAACTTACAATCATGGCAGGAGAGGAAGCAAACACGTCCTTCTTCACATGACAGCAGTAAGAGAAGTGCCAAGCAAAAGGGAAGAAAGCCCCTTATAAAACCATCAGATCTCATGAGAACTCACTCATTATCGTGAGAACAGCATGATTCAATTATCTCCCACCGGGTCCCTCCCACAAGACATGGGGATCATGGGAACTATAGTTCAAGATGAGATTTCAGTGGGGACACAACCATGTCCAAATACCATGACCTTAAGATTAGGGTTTCAACATAGGAATTTTTGGGGAAGACATAAACATTTAGTCTACAATACTCATTCTGATTTTTCAAAACTGTCATAAATCTACATTTAAGTAAAATATCCTGATTTTAGTATGCTGGCAAGTAGTCTGACAAAAAAAAAAAGAAAAAAAATCCCACTATAGACCATTTTTGTGTGGTCCATACAAAAAACATCTGGAGGCCAGATCCAGGCTCCAGGCCACCAACCAGTTCTTACCTCTGTCCTAAAGGCTGATTGGGAAGCTTTACCCTTGAGCTTATGGAAATAAGCAAACACAAAAATGTCCACCTCCCTTAATCACTATCACATGACAATGGACTGCACACACAACGGCAGTCCCATAAGATTACAACACTGTATTTTTACTGAACCATTTCTATGTTTAGATACACAAATACTTAACACTGTGTTATGACTGCCTATAATCTTAGGTTTGCAGCATAGAAGCACCGAGTTTGTGGTGGTCCATTATAGTAGCAACAGGACATTAATACACCTTCCCAATAATTAAGTAAACATGTAAGGAACATACAAGTGAGATGCAAACATGTGTACACTCGGGTAAGTCAATCACTAACAGCGTCGCGATGATGACACACCAACAAGACTAGCTTTCCCAAATCCCTCCCGGATCAGGCCAGCAGGAAATAAAAAAGAAACACTGGGCAAGTGGCGACGCTAACCCTGGGAGGAAAAAGGTCCTCGTGCACACAGGCTGACAGCTCCCAAGTCAGCTTTTCAGGCTGAAAGGATGGTATCCCTTGCCAAAAATCTGACTCCACACCCTGACTGAGATGTTCCCCATATGGATCTACTACAGAGCTCTCTACCTTGTCAAACACTCAATCTAGTAACTGTACGTGAACTTAGAATTGAAACTTCCTTTGCTAATAGATAAAGCTGTAACAGCATTTTTAATGCCATTTGGAATGTACTGATGATCTCTCAGCTGATAGAAGCTTCTCAAACCTAGCTGCTGAATTTAGAAGCCACAGCTGCCTTGCTGTATCACACAGCCACACAGTAAAATCAAAGGCAGTTGGAAGACATTATATTGCAAGATACAAAAAGTTTTGAGAGTTCATCCTTATAGCCAATGGTGGCTGACACAGCGGAGTCTCTCCATTTGAAAGAGATTGATTATTTTCATTCTTTTGCTTTGTGTGATCACCAGGAAAAAGAGTTTCTATAATCAAGATGTGGCCAGCAATTCTGTTGATGTTATATAAGCAAGGAGCATCCCGTTTGTGTCTGAATCCCCAATCAGTATCTAAATTCGTGCTGCACTGTGAGCAGAAGTAAGGACCTGGGCAGGTGAAACTTAAGGCAAGCAGGAAGAAATCGCATCACCCAAGAACTCGCAACATTTCCACCTGTGTAATCTCAACACAACTGCAACCCACAGAAGTTTCTGCCTCTGCAGGTTCCCTTCTTATTGAATCAAGTTTCTGCTCCTGAATATCTGGCTAGAGTCAGAGCCTGTCAACTTTAAATGAGATCGCATCATTAAAATTTTAGTCATCACCACCCAGTCAATTGCATGACATGCAACCCTGTTACCGGACATCCGGTTCACTTCGTAAACCCTGAAGAAGATATTTGCAGAAACCTCTCCCCATATCCTAACAACAACAAAAAAAAAAAGTCAAGAGCTCTTATTTTATTCTTTCCATTAAGGAATTAAATTACTCTCTTCCTCCATCTTCTTCCAACCCTAATCTTCCCTTTAGGAGTCTTTCTTCTATAACTATGATTTTTCCCCAAACGCCAGCAACCTTATATTCATACACTATTGGACTTCTTCATTACAGCATTTCACACATTGTTTTACTTGATCTGTACAAAACAGTATGTGACAGAGAAGTTATTATTCTCTTGAATTTACAAACGAGGAAATTAAGGCTCAGATGGTTAAGTGACTTGCCTTAAGTCACCCAAGTTAAGGACAATCTGTGTCAAATTACAGCTCTCTTCCTACCATGTCCAGTAGACGCCAATAAAACTGTCCTACCTTTTTAAGTGGCAATAAAACTATATTCAAACACTGACACTTTTTGGATATGATCAAAAAAATAGGACAGCAAAGTTGAGCATTTCTACTTAATACACCAGGCAGTCCTATAAACTATCACAAACTTGGGTGAACAAGTGTGCTAATGCAGAACTCTCAGTAAAAAAGATGTTACCATGATGCATGGTATAACGGTTTTAAAGAATAATAGTTTTCCTTCTCTTTTTCCCCCAAGTTTAATATATCCCTTTTTGTTCCTTGACTGTAACAAAAATAACCTCGTCTCGGTGGTTTTTTTTTTTTTCCGTTGATTATTCTTTTCTGGATGAAAGCTACTGACCTCCAGCCAAAAAAATTCTAAAATGTTTTCCTTCATACCAAAGACAAGCCAGTGTCTAAAGCAGTTATTTATACAGGTCATTTTAGGACAAATTCACAGAGATTATGGCAGCCTCTTGAGGATCTGGGAACCAGGAAGCTAGGAAAATACCAAACTAATTTCACTGGTAACTCGATCCTCTTGCCTCCCATTCCAGAAATGGCTACACGTTATTAAACGCCTGCAATGATGAGTAGACAATTCCCTGGGCACTCTGGAGTTCCCATCTTTAACAACTTTGCAAAGTAGGAGTACTGTCCATATTGCACAGAGGTGGAACAGGAGTTCTGAGAAGGAAAGTAACTTGCTCGGGTCATACAGATAGGAAGTGGTTATCCCAGGTTTCAAAACTAGGTCACGTCTGCTTCCAGAGTCAGTGTTCCTCTCCTACATCTTTCCAGATAGAAACTTGCTACCAATGAAGCTTGCCCTAACTGTCAGCGAAGCTATTTTCAGCAATGGTACAATTTCTCCACCTGAAAGCAGGCTCATCAAATGAGAGAATGCATAGAAAAGCTCTGAAGCGCTGTTACTGTCATTAATAGAAGATCTAGGGGAAATTTGCATAACCAAAGTAATCAAATCTTGCCTACTGTGTCATCTTGGGACTCCACCACCATTGCAAAGCCAGACAAGTTTAAGTTTTTTGGGGTATTCCCTCCTTAAATGCGGGTACCAAAGCAACAGTGCCTTTGATTTGAGTTGCAGCTGGCATAATAGACAAGATGTGTGCTTAAAAGATTTTAGTGAAGCAAACTGAGGAGTTAGGCCAATTTCTTTCTCTGTGAATTTCCTCTTGATCACAGGATTGAACAGGTACTTAAAGTAATAGACACTTTATAAATTAACTTCTAAGGGACATTTTGAAAATTAAATGATAGCACATGAGGCAAGCAATCAATTAGTAATCGATACATATCCAATAGTCATGCATATAAGATGAAAGGGCAATTCGTTAAAAAACAAATGGCCCGACATAAGAAAAGCCTATCAATCTTGCTAATCATCAGAGATAGGCAAATTTAAGTGATATTTTTTAAAAATTCTAATTCTCAAGTTTGGCAAGGATGCTGGGCAAAGGAGCATTCAAATTGGTACAATCTTCCAGGGCAGTTTGACAAAACAAATCAAGATATTAAGGTTGGGGAGCAAATCACTTCATTCAGCAATTCCACTTCCACAAAATAAAACTATAGAAGAGTCACGGATGGGTACAAACATTTAATTACAAAATGTGCTTCTCCATTCCACAGCTATTAAAAAGCTGGAAACCACCCGAATGTACCACACTGGGAGAAGAGCTGGAACCACATAATGGAATACTATGCAGCCATTTAAGATGTGGAGTATTTAACAACACAGAAAGATAATCACAATTTAAATAGAAAAATCACGAAAGAAGGGAAAACATGCTTACAATCATACATGCTAAATATTAATAGTATACTTCTAACTGGTAAGAATTGGGGTTTTTTTAAATCTTTTATTCTTATTTTTATTTTTCTTCGCTTTCTAAATTTTCCATAAGGAATACATGTTAATCACAATAACCTTTAAAATAATTACTTATATTAAATGAGAAGGCACATCAAGCTAATCTAGCCTAACACCTGGCATATACAGGCGCTTGATGAATGCTACTTCCCATTCCCCCAGACTTATTCCTTAATGTTTGTTTTACAATCATAATACCAAAGTGGTTTTGGTAAAGAAAGCTTCAGCTTTTAAAAAAAATTTGATTTGGTAGAGATGGGGTCTTGCTATGTTGCCCAGGCTGCTCTCGAACCCCTGAGCTCAAGCAATCCTCCTGCCTCAGCCTCCCAAAGGGCTGGGTTTACAGGCGTGAACCACCATGCCCACTCCTAAGCTTCAGCTTCTGAATCCAGGATCCAATGCAGTCTGGAAATGACATCTGCCTTGGCCCTCCCCGCAGATGCCACTCCCAGCACTTGACCGGGCACAGAGCGAGGCTTCACGGGTTTAAATAAATTGGTTGATTCCAAACTCAGGATTAACAAAATGAATGAGCTGCTTAGAAAGAGCTCATTCAGGAGTGTGCTGTTATTCCTCCCAACAGGATGGTGGCATGTACAGTGGAAGGGGCCCCAGGCACAGACTCAATTACCCTTTGATCTATCCTGCAGGCACCCGCCGCCCAAGACCTGTATGATCTCAAGCACGTTACCTCACCTCCCTTCTCTTTCCTTTCGACATTATCACAAGACAGCTGTAAGCACGGTGCTGAGAATTAAATATGACAAGTACGGAATCTTCATAAATTTTAAACGGCTATCAATGTAATACAACATGATAATCAATAAATACGAATCTGTAACAATTAAGTACATTGTAGAGGTAAGGGTAAAAATGAAAAACATTGTATTAGCTTTAACTTCAGTTTCTGTGCAACTACAGAAGAAATTTGATTCTGATTTTGTTCCTCTTTATATGAAATAAACTTCATACAAAAGGCTTAGCTCCGTTCATCTGGCTAGTTATCCTCCACCTAGGTAGAAATAGTAGAGACACTGAAATAGGTTTCCTCCCCGCCCCCATCTCTCTGTCTCAGATCTCCTCTTAGAGTCTAGTGAAGAAACCTTGTCTTGCTTTCAGAGAGCACCATATGACTATGGCTTCTAACATGAAGGCTCCAAAAATCACAAAAAGTAAAACCATCAAGCACAGCCTGGTGAGCAAATAACTCAAAGACTTAAAACAATTAGATTTAAACCTTGTCACACAATGCAACCCTTCCTATGCACCCCATTCAGTTAGGCTTGTGTAGACTGAGACCAGCTCTTCATGAAATGTACCGTTATTTATGAAGCCAAAGGGAGATCACAAATTTAGGCAAGAAACTAAAAGCGAGCTATTGGAACCTGCTTTTTGATCCATCTACTGGTGCCTTAATTTAAGACATCTTTCCAAGAAGGCCTCCTAGTGACCCCAACCTTATTTTGGAGAAGGCTGAGGATTCATATCTACTCATGTATAGGCTACAAAAGTCCAAGAAGGTCTGTGTCATACCAAACAGGCAACGGTCAAGGGGGTTTCAACTGTCAGCATCTTATTTATTATGAAGTCTATAATAATTCCCAGAATCGCCATCTAGTTTTAACAATTTATTAGATAAACAACGAACACACTCGTATATGAACAACCAAAATATCTTTACTCTGGTGAAATAGCTTTGCAATGTTACAAGTATATTCACAATGTTTTTCAGGCTCTTGCATTTTCAAAAGAGAAAAAGTTGCTGAAAAAAAAATTATATAAATAAAAGTATATAATATAGCATATTCGTTTTTGTCCCCATTTAAAAATTTGAAAATAAGCAGTTTTGTAAAGCCAAAGTGTATTCCTTTCTGGGCCAAATTTCTATTTGACAGCTGAAATATGCGATTAATGGGCTGCCTCAAACCATAATTACACAGCCAAAACAAAAATTACCCTCCCTAAGATTGTACATGGAGAACACTGGCTATCTGCTTCACATTAAGTAGCTGGTTTAATATGATCCCTCTTACTTAAGAAACATATACTGTACTGAGCCCAAAAGGACACGTTTTCTTCTACAGCAAGAATGTATCATTAATAAACAATTTAATTACAATAAATTATGTAACACTGGGTAAGGCTTGTAGCAGGGGGCAAGGGACACTATATTCTTAGAAAAAAACATAGGGTTGCGGGTGCAGTAGCTCACGCCTGTAATCGCAGCATTTTGGGAGGCCGAAACGGGTGGATCATGAGGTCAGGAGTTCAAGACCAGCCTGGCCAAGATGGTGAAACCCCATCTCTACTAAAAATACAAAAATTAGCCAGACGTGTTGGCAGGTGCCTGGACTCCCAGCTACTCGAGAGGCTGAGGCAGAAGAATTGCTTCAACCTGGGAGGCGAAGGTTGCAGTGAGCCAAGAATGCGCCACTGCACTCCAGCCTGGGCAACAGAGGAAGACTTCATCTCAAAAAAACAAAAAAAAAAAACAAAAAAAAAAAAAACAAAACAAAAAACAAAGAAAAAAACATAGGGTCACCAAGGCGTTCAAAATGAACCTTAAACAGAGGTATTAATACTTAAATATTACAATTTCCACTTAGGAAAAAAAAATCATATTATTGCTAGGCCAGCACACTCAAAAGCAATAATGTCATGAAAACACATGCCCTTGTGTGATTTGGCAGAACAGGCTGCTCCCTGAACACAATGGGCCTTTTTATTAAGTGGATCCCTTCATCCCTGGCATTTTATACAAACAAAACAAAAGAGAGAGAAAAAGAAACAAACACGACACTAGTAACAGTCTTCAGTTTGAACTTCATCACAGAGAATTAGAAGACCTAAAAGATATGTTAGAAAAGTAAAAGACATTATTTAACCAAAATGAAAGCAAGATGGACTGAGAGGAACAGAACTATATTGCAATGCTGCCTCTTTTGTTTAATTATATCAAAGGGCAACAGAGCCCTCTAGTGGAAAAAAATAAAAATATATAAAGATGGTTCTGCTTTTAGATTAAAGGAAATATGTACAACACCCCCGGGCATGGTGGCTAGTGTCTGTAATCCTAGCACTTTGGGAGGCCAAGGTGGGCGGATCACTTGAGTTCAGGAGTTCAAGACCAGCTTGGCCAACATGGTGAATCCCTGTCTCTACGAAAAATACAAAAATTAGCCGGACATAGTGGCTCACGCCTGTAATCCCAGCTATTCAGGAGGCTGAGGCAGGAGAATCACTTCAACCCGGGAGGCGGAGGTTGCAGTGAGCTGAGATCACGCCACTGCACTACAGCCTGGGTGACAGAGCAAGGCACCGTCTCAAAAAAAAAAAAAGAAAAAAAATGTAAAATAACATCTTCCATTACAATTTTTATTGTGCCACTCTATGATGTAAAAGCAAAAGATCAAATTATTTTAATTGGGTTTTAAGTAAAACAATTTCCAAGTTTTCAAGCTTTACGTAATGCTACAAAACCTCAAGTAGAACAAAAATCTATTATTAATTTTTTTAATTATGGGTTTGACCCACTTTGTCATTAAACAATAGTTTGTATGACTCTCATTTGTTATGCTGACACCATAAAAAAGTAATTAAAATCTAAACCTACATGCAGGCATGAAATTCAACTGATGGCCTCATGTGACAAAAAAGTTTCAGTTGAGATCTAATCAGGTTCACACTGACAGTAGCCCCCCCTTATCCTCGGGAGATGCGTTCCAAGACCCACAGTGATGCCTGAAAACTGGATAGTACCAAACCCTATGTATTCTATGCTTTCACCTATACATACATACCTAGGATAAATTTTAATTTATAAATTAGGCACAGTAAGAGATCAACAATAATAATAAAATAGAACTATAACAATGTACTGTATAAAAGTTATGTAAATGTGGTCTCTCACACTCTCTCTCTCTCAAAATTAGTATTTTCAGATGCCTGTTGACCTCAGGTAACTGAAACCTCAAAAAGTGAAACACGGGCCAGGCACAGCGGTTCACACCTGTAATCCCAGCATTTGGGGAGGTTGAGGCAAGCAGATTGCCTAATGTCAGGAGTTCAAGACCTGTATGGACAACATGGCAAAACCTTGTCTCTACTAAAAACATAAAATTAGTAGGGAGTGGTGGTGTGCACCTGTAATCCCAGCTACTCAGGAGGCTGAGACATGAGAATCACCAGGCCCTGGGAGACAAAGGTTGCAGTGAGCTGAGATCACGCCACTGTACTCCAGCCTGCGCAACAGAGTAATACTCTGACTCAAAAAAAAAAAAACTGAAACACCACGGATAAGGGGGGACTACTGTATACATGATTACAAATTTATTTTAAAAATATATATAACATACACACACCCCTATTATAAGCATTTTACATGAGATTACCAAATTATGAGATGATGCTCATTAGAATGTTTTAAATTGGTCTCTTCCTTTAGATATTTACTTCTCAAATACTTTGATCACGTGATTTCCATGTACACTCAATGTCCAATAATATCTCAGTGTAAAATGGTTAAGTCATAAGGTACTAATTCTCAATTTTTATATAATGTCATTTAAGGACTTTGTCTAACACTGTCAAGAATCTCCATAGTTTCTTAGAACAAAGTAACTTCAAAATAATTTTACTTACAATACCTGGGTATAATTTAGCATAAGATAATAGTAGGCACAAATGTTTTTAATTTAAAATGGAGTTCCAATGCCCAAAAGGTTATTTCGATTATTTCAGAATATTTTCCTTTCCTTAATGAGCACCAGGTTTTTAAAAAGATAAATGCCAAGATCCCACTAGTTTAAGTCTGGTCAACAATCAGAAAGGAAACTAATCAGGCATTTCAAGATCCCAAGTGCAATGATCTCATATGAGTGTGTTTTACCCATGAAAATGACTAAATGTAAGTTAGCTATGGCCCCAGATTTATGGGACCTTTTGGAATAACTAGAAAAAAAAAAACCATCAATGACATGCTTTAGGCTCAAAGGCAAAATTTAGTAACATTTAGGTATGGAAAAGAAAACAAAGAAGCAAAGGTGTAAAGGAAGCTGGCGTAGTCCATAATTGGGAAGTGTGGATTTAAAATCTTAGGAATGAATACCCTTCTCTACATGAAGAAAAAGTAATTTTCTTCTATTCACGTAGAACTGGTAAAATTTGCACAAGATATGAATTCATCGTGGTGACAATTTGTAGGATCAAAGAGTATGGCAACTACAGTTCACACTGTAATTTCAACACATGATTTAGAAACAAGACCCTAAGTTTTAAAAAGTAGGCTCTCTAAGCTAAGACAATCAATTTCAACATCACACTATAATTACATTTTGGGATTCCCTGCATGAAATTTTTTTTTTTTTTTTTTGAGACGGAGTCTCGCTCTGTCGCCCAGGCCGGACTGCGGACTGCAGTGGCGCAATCTCAGCTCACTGCAAGCTCCACTTCCCGGGTTCACGCCATTCTCCTGCCTCAGCCTCCCGAGTAGCTGGGACTACAGGCGCCCGCCACTGCGCCTGGCTAATTTTTTGTATTTTTAGTAGAGACGGGGTTTCACCTTGTTAGCCAGGATGGTCTCGATCTCCTGACCTCATGATCCACCCGCCTCGGCCTCTCAAAGTGCTGGGATTACAGGCGTGAGCCACCGCGCCCGGCTGAAATATTTATACCTTCATTTTGTTTCAAGGAAAACAAATTGAGGAGTGACCAATACCTTGAGCACGTACTTTTTATACCTCAAAATATATACATTTTGATATGTAAGTATGCATATATATAGGTCCATGTAATACACGTTAGAGAGGTGATTTTGTGACATAAGTACCAATAGAAAATGCAAGTGTCAGTCCCAAAATATATTTCACTGGTATTTACCAGTGTGGCCAGCTTGTATTTGTTTGCAGGAAAAAAAGTTTTGTTTCTGTTAATGGGTCCTTTGGCTCAAAAACTGTAACGAAGCTAGGCTATTCTAACTTTAAAGTTACAACACACATGATGCAGCCCAGCGTTCTAAAGGTTCGCAAGGTGAAAGAAACTTCATCTGGACCAAACTCTGAAAAAAATTTTAAAAATCAAGTTTTAGCCACTGCTGGTTTAGGACTGAAAGTTAAGAAGTTTTATCATCATTACCACAGAAGAGTAGACTGAAAATATCTAATTTGTTCATACTTGCTAATAGCATCTGGGCACAGTGGCTCACACCAGTAATCTCAGTACTTTGGGAGGCTAAGGTGGGAGGATCACTTGAACCCAGGAGTTTGAGACCAACACCTGAGCAACACAGTGAGACCCCATCTCAAACATTAAAAAAAAAAAAAAATTTAATGGATGTCTCACAAACCCTGGATGTCACTCCGTAAATATGATAATAAATCTGTCTGCTTACAGAAAATAATTTGCATGCGCTCCAACAAACATCTAGCTAATTAAGACAATGAACAGAGTAGGTGGTCCCACATTTAGGCATCCAACTAATCCCTCATTAGAAGGATCCTGCCTTTGATGAGCAACATGTCAGCCTGCAGGTAGCAGGGGGCAGCATTTTATACTAAAGTATTTATATGCATAGCCAAATTAGCTGACTGATAGGCTGTGTCTAAAAACGAAGCAGGGACCTTCCTCAATGCGAAATTCCCTCGCCTAAAAAAATTCCCTTTCCTAACACTTCCCAACATTTGCATGTAATGTTCACCGTGCTGAAGGCATTTCCGTTGCTTTTACCAAATCAGAGCCAACAAGCTGCTAACTCCAAAGAGTCGTAAAACACCTGGCCCTTCCTGCTCAGTCTATGTTGAACACAAACAGAAATGAATTCCTCCCTTGTCTCTACTGGTTAGCATTCAGGACTGCGGGGTTCCGGGCCTCTTGATCTCCTAGCGGAAGCTTTGGGTGAAGAGATGGCTTCCCCCTGGATACTGAGATGCTGATCTCCACAGAGAGAGGTCCACAAGCTACAGCTTTCAATCTACAAAGTTCTTCAGGTTCAGAAAGCTGGTTAAACAAAGGTCAAGGAGAGAAGAGTGTTAGTTTCTGAGGAGGCAACATTCTAATCCTTGCAGCTGCCTAAAAAAAAGGCGGGGGTTTCAGGCAACATCCCCAACAGTTACATACAATGTGCTGCCACAGTCTTCCTGGGGCCTGGGGCATTCCATTTGCCTAAATTTCATCTAAGCTGTGGCTAATTTAGAGAATGTTAGGGTGATATCACTTTCAATGAACTGGAGTATCTAACATAGCAGTCGGCACTTTTTTCTGGGAAAGGCCAAAGAGTAAATATTTACAGTTTTGCGAGCTAGATGATCTCTGCCACAACTGGGCGACTCTTCTGGTAACAAGCAAAGGGCCATATTATTTTGGGATAACTGAATATACACAAACAGTAGTTCAACATTATAGGAATGGGAATAAATGGGCATGGCTGTGTTCCAAAAAAAATTCTACTTACAAAATCAGGCAGTGGGTCAGAGTTAGCCCAGAGATGGCAGTTTGTTCATCTCCAATCCAGACAGTTGAATCCAGTCAGCAGCGGTAATACCTGCCTATAAACCTTAATTATAAAACCTAGGACTTCATGAACCCACAATGCTTTATTCTGACATTTCCTCCAAATCCTTTTATCTGTCAGAATCCCTGATTTTTTTTAGATGAATTAAGAATCCCTCCAATTGCCTTAGTAATATCAGTATCAAAAACTCAAAATACAGCTCCGTATCACTTACAGCTGCAGAGAGGAAAATGATGACAAGACAGAGTTTGCTTAGAGGCCACTTCAAAGGGGGCATGGCTCTAGTGCAACCCTAAAGTCTATCAAGGGAGGGATGTCCCCTTCTTTATCAGTGAGATCCTCACCAATGGCAATTCCAACAAAGCAGCGTCATATGGGGCATTAAAAAAAAAAAAGAAAGAAAGAAAGAAAGAAAGAACCACTGGAAATACTAGATTTGCAAATCGGCCTTTGTAAGGCAAATTAGATATCTATGTTTTTATTGTGGAGTCACCACTTTCAAAATAAATCCTGTTATGTTATGTTTCAGCCCACCCCGCCTTAGAGAAAACGGACATTCACAGGGTTAAAGATTTCACGGTTTATCCAAAGAAAACAGGCTCCCTTGAGTGGCCAAAGGAAAGGGAACACCAACACCATTAAAGCTTAGATAGAATATGACTCCTGAATGCCCCAGAAGTCTTGGAAGTAAAGATGCCCAATTCACTCACTCGGCATTCAGCTATTTCATTTTAAATGAGCGGAACTAAAGTAGTGATAGCAATTTATAAATTGGCATGTTTCATAGCTTAGTAGAAGGACTTTATCTAGAAGCCACAGCCTACTTGGGCAAGGACACTTTCTAAGGCAGCCACGCAGGATATAAAAGCTAACTTAGCAAAGCCATGTGCCTATCTGCAGCCTCTTCCTTTCTTCAGACCTGATACCACTGCTGCAGAGTGCAAGTGATTTGTGAGTTTTTGATTGCCTGGAACTTGCAGTACGATATTATTTCAAAAATTCAGAATAAAAATCTTCACCACTCACCTAGACGTATGCTTCCCAAGAGTGGAGGGGAATGGGGTGAGGTGACAGTGTTAAAGGCCATTCCTGCGGAAGGTGACAGCTGGGGAAAGAGCTGTGGGCACTTGAATAGGAAAGGCTGGTCTCCCTAAGACCTTGTGCGACATCTGTGCCATCCTGAGCGTTACAATTTGCCACAACCTCCAACTGGACCGCAGACACCTCCTGCAGTGTCCACAAAATGAATTATAGGTATCAGGAAGGAAGAGTCTTAGGGGGAAGTGGGAGCTGTGAAGAGGCACAAAGAGTTTCTGGCTTTACTCCAACATGTGAGGGCCATTCTCAGCAACCACAAATTTATTCTCAATGCTTCAGAATCTCCTCCTCTCCATCAAGACTTATGTATCTAACTAGATATCACCCTTTTAATATTCTGAACCAACTCTATCAGTCCTGGATTACAATGTCGCAGGTCTGCTGTTGCAAATCTTTGAAAGAGCATTAGCTCTATTCAAGAGTCTGCTATCTAATGTCACATGGAGCAGTTCGAACACTTAACACAAAAAACAATCAGTAGTCACATATCTTACTCATTACAGAAAAAGAGTCTAGCTAGAAGATTAAGAGAATAAGATCTTTAAAGTTTCTGGCTAACTTGTTAAATTGTTAAAAAGACATTTTTAAGCCCTTAAGTCCTTTTTTCTTAATTATTCCACAATTGTATGGGTCCATGCATTCACTGTAACAGTACTTAATATGATCAACAAAATGTATTCTTCTTAGATTGGGGATCCAGCCATTGTTTTAAATATTACGCCATCAGTTTTGACTTCAATGACAATTATATAAAATTTACTCCAATGCAGAAGTTCAGACAAGTGGATTGAACATATTTGGAGCCCAGGATGAGGTATGAGAGTTGATTTGAAATAAAATCCTTTCAATTCTTAAAAAAAAATTTCCATTTGCTTCTTTACCTTCATAGGCAAGTACAGTAAAAAAATTCTCCACTCGGATGGCAACCTGGTAGATTTCACACCTTGTACAACACAATAATTGACCCTTGAACAATGTATTTTTACCTCCTGTGCCTCCCTAATCATGCTAGAAAATATTTCTGCAGCTTCAAGGAATTGTTCAAAATTAAGAAAGAAGTGCAGATGGTTAATGGGTACAAAAAAGATAGAAAGAAAGAATAAGACCTACTATTTGATAGCACAACAAGTTGATTATAGTTAATAATAACTTAATTGCACATTGTAAAATATCTAAAAGGGTATAACTGAATTGTTTATCACTCAAAGGATAAATTCTTGAGGGGATGGATACCCCATTCTCCATGATGTGACTATTTCACATTGCATCCCTGTATCAAAACATCTCATGAACCCCATAAATATAGACACCTTTATATACCCACAAAAAATAAAAATAAAAACAAAATTAGGAAAGAGAAACAAATGAGTAGAGGAGGGCATCAAGGGGGCCGTGTGAGGGCTGCGGGGGACCAAAAGGACAGAGAGAACTTGACAGAAGACAGCCAAATGCAACGTTTCATATGTCGACAAATCTGAAGATGCATATCTAAACTCAAAGCAGGTGGTTCTCACTGATTCAGATACTTATGTAAATAGATCAAAGCAAAATCAGAATAAAATCCTATGAAGAGTTATGGTTTGCTCCCGCCTTGCTCCTGTCTCCTTAATGGCCCATCATATTGAAGCAAGGATACCCTCTTGAGCCATCTACCCATGATAGTCCCTGTGGGTAAACATTGGCAATTAAGAGGTGAAGACAGGAACTCATTCTCCAATTTTATAGAGAAATAAGATCCTGTGCCCAAAAGAAAATGATATGCTCAGTGACCAGTCGAAACCTGTAGTATCCTTTGTTCCAAAGACATAATACCTTGTTGTTCCCCGTATTCTATTACCAATCAATTTTGGTTTGAATAACCCAGGTAATTGGAATATGCCCATACACCATGCAGACCAGGTCAAAAACTCTTAGACGGAGCCTGTTGTCTCTCATCCCTGAATACCAAAATAGCCACAGTCTTTTGCTGAGTGTTCAGCTTTCAGAGACTTCAAGGTCAGCCCCTACACAGGCTTCCATGACAACATTAGGATTTAAAAAGAGGTAGTGATGTTAATGAAACGATATCTGAAAAGGATAAAAGTCATGTTTAAATCAGAGAACCACTAAACAAAATTCCATTATAGCTAGATCTAAGTGGATCTCATTATAGCAGTCCCAAAGATAAATAACTAAGTGAAGAGCCTACCTATTCCTGAATTAGCTCCAGTGACCACAACCACTTTGCCAGTGAAATCCCGGCCCTGGAGAATTTCCATGGCAGTGGTGCTGCCGTCGTATCTTTGCCGGGTGGTTGGCTTGGTCGGATTATCATCCACAGTAAACGCCAGTCTTGGGTCCAAGTAGGTGGTTCTTTTATTTATATGGCTGCCCAAAAGAGAAAGCAGTGAACCCACAGCAATGAACACAGGCATTTATAAATATAAGACAATCTTATACTTTAGGAAAACCCCATTTTTCATAGACCAAAATGCTTATTCCTTAAACCTGAAAGAACTGGGGCCCACTGAATCTATCTTCTGGCCTCCAGAAGGATCACATTTGTGCCAAAAAAAGATAGTCATCGAATCCTTTCCTTCAGAACTGCCTATAACATACGCTGTAACATACAATAACTATTGCCATGTATCCTTAGATCTCAAAAAAGGCTTCTTGAGAAGGTTTTGGGCTTTTATGTAATTCATGTAAATGTAGCTATAAGATCTGTCAGCCACTCTTTTCAGTAGATTTCAATTAAATCTCTTAGCCCTGTGCAAGGGCCTAAAGACGTAGAGAAGTAGAAAACTCAAAATGATAAAGTCTTAGTTGTAAATAAGAAACCTGCCAACTACCAAAATTCTAACGATTTTCATTTTAAGACTCTGCACTCATACCTCCTACGAGCACTCATTTTGATTTGGAATTGATCTAAATCTTGTAGAAATGGTATTAAAATATACTGGAGGCTGGGCACAGTGGCTCACGCCTGTAATCTCGGCAATTTGGGAGGCCAAGGCAAGAGGACCACTTGAGCCCAGGAGTTCAAGACCAGCCTGGGCAACATAGTTAGACCTCATCTCTACAAACACTAAACAAAATTTCAAGTGTGATAGCACACGCCTGTAGTCGCAGCTACTTGGGAGGCTGAGGTAGGAGGATGATCACGTGAGCCTAAGAGATCAAAGCTGCAGTGAGCCATGATTGTGCCACTGCACTCTAGCCTGGGTGACAGACCAAGACCCTGGGTAACCATTAAAAAAAAAAAAAAAAAAAAGGCACATATGGATGAAAAGAGTACTCCTTATAATAGAATTTACTTTTTATATCTTAAATGTATTCTTGGGATATGAGATAAAGACCTCAGAATATCTTAAAAACTATTAAGAAGCCTCTAAATATAGATGAAATTTCATATTTTAAAAGTATGTGTGTGTAAAATTAGTTTAAAATATATACTCATCTCCCTATAAGTACCAAGACTCAAGAGTAATAATCCAACCTTTATTCTAATTATTACCATCCTCATCCTCATTCTATTTATAACAACCTTAATTTGTGACCCCAATATTATACACACACAACAGAGCAGTTCTATGCTAGACTGGCTCAAACTGGCTTACAAGAGCCAAACGTGACTATCTCTTCCCAATTCCTCACTTCACCTTGGCAGCATGAAATCAGCTATGGCCAAAGTATTTATACTGTGGAAACAAACAGTGGCTTTTTTCCCCCTGAAGACCTGGTGCTAAACATTTACCAGCACCCCACTGCAACAGGCTCAGAAAAGTGAGAACTAGCCAGGGGAGCCAATTTCCAGGTTCCCCCCAAAGCCCTTGCTTACTCCTCTAGATTAGACCAGGAGCTGGCCAAATCTGGCCCACTGCCTGTTTCTGTAAATAAAGTTTTATTGGAACACAACAACGCCCATCACTTGTATATTGTGTATAGCTGCTTTAGCACTACAAAGGCAGAGTTGAATCATTGCAACAGAAACCATATGCCCTGCAAATCCTAAAACATATTATCTAGCCCTTTACAGGCAAAGGAGACAGCCCCTGCTCTAGACGGGAGGCTCTCAAGCTAGGGAACATCAGGATCCCCTGGATGACTATTAGAGCGCAGATTGCAAGCCCCACCCCAGTGCTGATTCAGTAGGTCTGGGGTGGGGGCCTGGGAATGTACATTTTTATTGAATTCCCAGGTGATATTAATGCTGCTGGTCCAGGAACCATGCCTGAGAACTGCTGCTCTTGGTTGATTAATACCCATTTCAGGGAGTAACTTTCCAAGCGTGAATGCAAAGGCAAAGACTGCACAGGAGAAAATTGATTTGACTACATAAAAAATTTAAGAAATTCAGTCAGGTGTGGTCGCTCATGCCTGTAATATGAATGCTTTGGGAAGTCAAGGCAGGAGGATCGCTGAAGGCCAGAAGTTCAAGACCAGCCTGGGCAACATACTGAGCCTCAGTCTCTACAAAAAAAAAGTCTTTAAAAATTAGCTGGGCATGGCAGCATGAGCCTGTAGTCCCAGCTCCTCAGAAGGCTGAGGCAGGAGGATCACTTGAGTCCAGGAGGTTGAGGCTGCAGCGAGCTGTGACTGTGTCACTGCACCTCAGCCCTGGATAAGAAGAGCAAGACCCAGTATAAAAAAAAAAAAAGAAAGAAAACTTGGAAAAAAAAAAAAAACATTTTCAACATTTTCAACATACAACCAATGCGTTGATACCCTTAATTAGTTGAGGAAAAAAAACTTTCACAAGTTAGGCAAAAAGCCTTTTAACAAATAATAGGCACTCCCACCTATCCAACTGCTAGACAGCCCCGTCTTCCTGGGGCTGCCTATGGTGGCCTGGGAGACTTCTCTCAAGCAAGCTTTGGCCTATTTGCTCTCAATATCAGTTTTGCACCAAAAGTTCACCAGGTTTGCTCAAAAAACACACATGTCATTTGAACTTGTTACTGTAACTACATTACCAGCAAGCTACTATTACACAAACTGATAACATGGGAGGTGAAAAATAGTGTCAGTGGTATCTATGAAAATGTGGTCGAATGCTTTGGAGAGCCTCAAAGACAAGCAGCTAAAAAAAAAGTTTTGGTTCAATCAACTACAGTGAAAATGCTAGAAAAATACCATAAAACTCCCAAATGATGTAGCAATCAGATTCTTTGAAAATACTGTGTTTGCTCAACCTTAAAGTTGTAGGGTCCAGCCCTACTGGGCTTAGCGGGTGTTCTCCCCGTGTGCAGAGACGAGGGATTGTAATAAATAAAGACACAAGACAAAGAGATAAGGAGAAAACAGCTGGGCCCAGGGTGGGGGCCACTACCACCAAGATGTGGAGACCGGTAGTGGCCCCGAACGGCTGGGCACGCTGATATTTATCGCATACAAGACAAGGGGGCAGGGTAAGGAGGGTGAATCTTCTAAGTGATTGACAAGGTGAAGCAAGTCACGTGATTACAGGATAGAGGGCCCTTCCCTTTTAGGTAGCCGAAGCAGAGAGAGAAGGCAGCATACGTCAGCATTTTCTTTTCTGCCCTTAAAAGAAAGATCAAAGACTTTAAAACTTTCACCATTTCTTCTACCACTATCTACTACGTACTTCAAAGAGGAACCAGGAGTACGGGAGGAGCATGAAAGCGGACAACGTACGTGACCATTGAAACACAGCACCACAGGGAGGGGTTTAGGCCTCCGGATGACTGTGGGCAGGCCTGGATAATACCCAGCCTTCCACAAGAAGCTGGTGGAGCAGAGTGTTCCCTGACTCCTCCAAGGAAAGGAGACTCCCTTTCGCGGTCTGCTAAGTAACGGGTGTCTTCCCAGACACTGGCGTTACCGCTTGACCAAGGAGCCCTCAAGCAGCCCTTATGCGGGTGTGACAGAAGGCTCACCTCTTGCCTTCTAGGTCACTTCTCACAATGTCCCTTTAGCACCTGAGCCTATACATGCCAGTTATTCCTAGGTTATGTTAGTAATGCCACAAAGAGTAATATTAAAAGCTAATGATTAATAGTGTTTATAGTAATGATTGATAATTGTCCATGATCATCTCCATATCTAACCTGTATTATGACTATTCTTATTCTAACTACTTTCTTTATTATACTGAAACAGTTTGTGCCTTCAGTCTCTTGCCTCGGCACCTAGGTACTCTTTCGCCCACATAAAATGAAAGTAGAAATTGTAGATGTTATGTTACAGGCATGCTTAGGGGAAGGAAGACCACACTGGATCCATGCAAGTGGACTCACACTCAGAGGAGGGCTGGCCCGACCCCTAAATGTTGGTGTACTTGAATCAAATACTGAAACGTTTATGTTACATTCATAACTTTAAAAAAAAAAAAAATTCCTGCTCAAATCAACTTCTATTAACCAACCAATCCTAATCCTGTCAAAGACTATTCAAGCTTCTAATTTAAATGTTGACAGTTGTGAAACATTAATTCTCCTCTTAACTACGGTGGTCAAGAGTACAGTCCCTGGAGCAGGTGCTGGGCTCAAAGCCTGGCTGTGCTACTTCTTTGCTGTGGGATCCTTAACAAGTCACTTACCCCCTCAAGTCTGTGTCACTGGCAGTAAGCTAGGGATAATAACAATACTACCTCTCAGGGCACTGTGGGGATCCAATGACCTAATGCTACAGATACAAGATGATTAGAATCAGGCCTGGCTCATGCTATATGTTGGACAGGTGGTTACTATTGCTGCGTGATACCGGAATTTATCCTAAAGACAGAATCAGAGAGGTGAAAAAGTCTTACAGATAAGGATGCTCAATACATTATTTATAATTATAGGTTCTCTATAACAGGAATTTAGCATTAATGTCCAATAGGCAATTTGATAAATTATAGTATATCTGTACAAAATAATAACTCTAGAGCTGCTAAATAGCATCTTTTTGAAAAATAGATATGGATACAAGAAAATGCTCATAATATATTACATGGAAAAAGCAGGTTACTAAACAGTCCACACAGTGCATTCCCTCTTTTTTTTTTTTTTTTTTTTTTGAGAAGGAGTCTCATTCTGTCACCCAGGCTGGAGTGCAGTGGCGCGATCTCAGCTCACTGCAACTTCCGCCTCCTGGGTTCAAGTGATTCTCCCGCCTTACCCTCCCGAGTAGCAGGGACCACAGGCACGTGCCACCACACCCAGCTCATTTTTATATTTTTAGTAGAGACGGAGTTTCACCATGTTGGCCAGAATGGTCTCGATCTCTTGACCTCAGGATCCACCCACTTCGACCTCCCAAAGTGCTGGGATTACAGGCATGAGCCACCATGCCTGGCCTCCCTACTTTTTTTTTTTAAGGATGCGTGTGCGGGGAAAATAGAAGAATAAATCTAGCGATGTTAAAAGTTCCAGCGATGTTAAAAGTAGTCACTTCTGCTAAGATTACAGATACACACTGTTATACTTTGTATTTTTCTACAGTTACTATGTATTACTTTTATAATTAAAAATTCCTATTAAAAAGCAAAACAGCTGAGAGTGGTTTCTTTGCAGACACTTACTCAACAAAAAACACTTGTCCGTTCTCATCAGTTTCTTGTTCCCATCCGTATGGCAAATCTGAAACACAAGAAAGACAGGTCTACAGGTGCCAGGGAGAAGTAAAGACCATCCCTGGGTCAGGAAGGGAAGGAGCCCTCCCAGCCCCGCCCCCAAGCCTGTCCCTCCCACCCAGCAGTTGTCACATCAACTGGCTTTCGTCACATGTTCCAACTGCGACAGCTGCAGAAGGCCCCTGATCCCACCCTGGGCTCCACATTTTTGCCTCTTGTTTTGAAGAAAACCTATTTTATTCCTGATCGCTCTATAAACCATACTGGTTGTGCCAATCCATGGGAATTCTCCCTTGAATGAGCTCAAAGAACATATGTATATGCAGGGCAGGCACCCAACGTCATTCATACGCTGACCTCATATGACATTAGAGGGCACGGCCATTTTTTTTCATGTGCACATGTTGATTCTTCAGCTGGATCCTAAACCTCTTAAGGGCAGGAACCTTCTCATATTTTTTTTTGAGATGGGGTCTCACTATGTTGCCTAGGCTCACCTCGAATTCCCAGGCACAAGTGATCCTCCCACCTCTGCCTCCCAAAGGGCTGGGATCACAAGCACAAGCCACCGTGCCTGTCCCTTTCTTATACTTCTATTCCGTGGATCATACATTATCTCAGAATCACCTAGAAGTCATGGTAATCTTTACGAAATTTCCAAATACTTATATATTTAATTCCATAGTATAGCCAAGAACAATTTTATAAACACTGCAACGATAGGAAAACATCATAAACTGTGAATCAAAGGCCTCAATTATTTTCTGGTTTTTGTTGTTGTTGTTGTCGCTATTTTTCAGACAGCATCTCACTCTGTCACCGAGGCTGGAGCGCAGTGGTGTGATCTTGGCTCACTGCAACCTCCAGCTCCTGGGTTTGAGCACTTCTCGTGCCTCAGCCTCCAAAGTAGCTGGAATTACAGGCGCATGCAACCATGCCCAGCTAATTTTTGTATTTTTAGAAGAGATGCGCTTTCAACATGTTGGCCAGGCTAGTCTCAAACTCCTGACCTCAGGTGATCCATCCGCCTCGGCCTCCCGAAGTGCTGGGATTACAGGCATGAGCCACCACATCTGGCCATTTTGGTACTTTAAGACCAGTAAGAAATCATCCTCACTCCACCCTATGATCTCATCATCTTCTTCTGCCAAATCCCATAAGCTCCTCAGAGTGGGAGTCTGGTTCTCTACCAGAGAGCCCTCCCTAAACACACAATAACCTGTCACCTCTCTGCCAGTGACATTTCCTCATCTACTTAATGCTTCCATCCAAGATCCTTAGACAACAACATACAAACCTCCTGCCACTCGTTTTCTTTTTCCAGTTTTTGGATGTTCCCACTGAGTCTTCTCCTCGGTGTGACTGTTAAAAAACAAAAAATCCACAGTAATAAGTAAAAATTAACTCTTCTAAAAAGTAATCAATTGTATTAAATTTTTTCTCTCCCAGATAGCCAGATATAAGAAGGAAGTAGGGGGAAGAAGGAGAAAGAGGACTGTGACCCCAGCTACGGGGTCAACTTTAGGAGGTTTGCTGAATCACTCAAAATATCTAGAGGCCGTCGGGAGCGGTGGCTCACACCTGTAATCCCAGCACTTTGGGAGCCCTAGGGGAGCAGATCACAAGGTCAGGAGATGGAGACCATCCTGGCCAACATGGTGAAACCCTGTCTCTACCAAAAATACAAAATTAGCTGGGGACAGTGGCACGTGCCTGTAGTCCCAGCTACTCGGGAGGCTGAGGCAGGAGAATCGCTTGAGCCAGGGAAGCAGAAGTTGCAGTGAGCCGAGATCACGCCGCTGCACTCCAGCCTGGCGACAGAGCAAGACTCTGTCTCAAAAATAAATAAATAAATAAATAAATCTAGAGGCATTTTGCTGTGTATTTGTTTTGGTTTTATTCCACGATGTAGGGACAAAATTCATAATATCTAATTTATATAATCTCTTAAAATGTTTATTTATTTGTGTTTCTTTTTAAAGAATCAGGGTCTCACTATGTTGCCCAGGCTGGACTGGAACTCCTGGACTCAAGTAACCCTCCTATTTCAGCCTCTTGAGTGGCTGGGACTAGAAGCCCGTGCCACCTTGCCCAGCTAAAATGTTTATTCTTTCCACAGATGTAACTTCAAAGTGTTTCATTAAGCACTGGTTCCTAACTGGTCCCAAGAGGTAGTTAAGAGATGCAGTAAGACCTTCCCATAGGGCATCTAGCTGTGCGCTGTGCACCTTTGGTCAAGTGACCCCACTCCTTAATCTCCATCCCCTCATCTGCAAAATGGAAATAATCCTAGCACTGGTCTCAGGGGCTACTATAAGAATATTGTACATCCAGGGTTTCGCATAGCACTTGGCATACAAAAAGCTCTGAGAAATGTAAGCTGTTATTCTGAACAAATCAGTTACACAAACTAGTCCTATTTTTGCGTCAAACTTAACATTTCATTTCAGACCACCACCCAAAGTTATAATTAAAAACATAGGTCAATAACTAGAAACACGTGTCACCAGGTAATAAGGTATCCAGGAAAACATACAATTATTTCAAAAGGGAAACAGCCAGGTGCTACAAGAGGTATTCGAAGGGTAGGCTGCGTTTCCTAAAAGTTCACCTACTCATGCCAACCCAGAAAGTTATATTATTTAATCAGCAACATCTAGATGATAAGATGTGAACATTCTTTCCCTATCAATTATTTTACAGAAAATAAATACAGAGAGCACGAATTTTCTAAAAAATTCTACAACTTGCAAGCAAGGTCTTTTCATGAACTGCTGGCTTCTGGTCTGTTTGACAAAGTCTTGGCAGCTGGGTCTCTGTCATAGTGCAGGAATGCCTCACTCAGCACGCTGAAGACCTGAGCAGCCCATGCTAGCTGAGTCCAGCCAGTCTCCTCAGGGCTACTGCCACCTCACAGAGCTGCTGAAAAGGCGAGACACATGACACCTGTGACAGTGCTTGGAGAACGATTAAAACCTTGTACCAGCTACGGTATCAGTAGCAAGGACAAACTCCTACTTTGTACATCAACCACCATCCAATATCACTTGCAAAAAAAAGCAGCTCTGTGGCCGGGCGCGGTGGCTCATGTCTGTAATCCCAGTACTTCAGGAGGGCAAGGCAGGCGGATTACCTGAGGTCAGGAGTTCGCGACCAGCCTGAACAACATGGAGAAACCCTGTCTCTACTAAAAATACAAAATTAGCCTGGCGTGGTGGCACATGCCTGTAATCCCAGCTACTCGGGAAGCTGAGGCAGGAGAATTGCTTCAACCCGGCAGGCAGAGGCTGCGGTGAGCTGAGATCGTGCACTCCAGCCTGGGCAACAATTGTGAAACTCCATCTCAAAAAAAAAAAAAAAAAACAAAAAAAAACCGTTCTGACTCTCTGGCTCTCTAGTAAGGATAACCCGCTCTCTGCTGGCACAGTGGGAATATTGGTATACCAACTCCTGCTTCTCCTTCAAAATGAATGGCAACAGCAATCAGATAAACCAAGCATTGGCAATAACATGAAACCTTCCAGCCCCTTGCAGAGCTGTGTCTCAAGCTTCTTCAAGAAAGTTAAGAGATGGACTTGCATTTTCCTTGCCTGCCATTAAAAGCAGTCTTTATCTCATAGGCACACATCAAATGTGCTTGAAGCCTGGCTCCAAAAAACTCTGCCCTCAAGAATCCATGGAGTGGCGGGGTACGGTGGCTCACGCCTGTAATCCCAGCACTTTGGGAGGCCGAGGCGGGAGGATCGCTAGAGCCCAGGAGATCGAGACCAGCCTAGGCAACATGGCAAAACCCCATCTCTACTAAAAATACAAAAATTAGACAGACATGGTGGCACATGCCTGTAATCCCAGCTACTTGAGTGGCTGAGGCATGAGAATTTCCTGAACCTGGGAGGTGGAGGTTGCAGTGAGCCAAAATCACGCCACTGCAGTCCAGCCTGGGCGAAAAAGCAAGACTCAACCTAAAAATAAAAAATAAAAAAATCCACAAAATGACCCTTAACAGTGGAAGCTGAGCCTTGTTGGCAGGCAGGCTGGCATAGAAAGAGCCTCCCAGCCCTTAGAAGGTGAAGCTGGGCCCTCAGACATGTAGCCTCATGCCTGGCCCACAGCAGGCGCACAAATGTAAACAAACAGAATGAATACTTTCCAAAGGAACTACAAAACTCACTCAGAACAGTTTTTATTTATTCAGAAAGACATTTAAAAAACAAAACAAACTCTGTCAACCTACGTTCTTGACTTTCACAGAACATGCCTGAATCAGGGTTTCTTATTCTCACTGCTGGTGGCACTTGGGGCTGGATCATTCTTTTTTTTTTTTTTGAGACAGAGTCTCACTCTGTCACCCAGGCTGCAGTACAGTGGTGCAATCTCAGCTCACTGCAACCTCTGCCTCCCAGGTTCAAGCAATTCTCCCGCCTCAGCCTGAGTAGCTAGGATTACAGGCACCTGCCACCATGCCGGGATAATTTTTGTATTTTTAGTAGAGATGGGGTTTCACCATGTTGGCCAGGCAGGTCTCGAACTCCTGACCTCAACTGATCCACCTGCCTCGGCCTCCCAAAGTGCTGGGATTACAGGCGTGAACCACTGCACCCGGCCTGCATCATTCTTTGTTGCGGGGCTGCCTTGGGCACCACTGGCCTCTGCCCATCAGATGCCAATACCCCAGTCCCATAGCTGTGGCAACAGAAAGCATCTCCAGACATTGCCAGCCGTCCCCTGCAGGACACAACCATCCCTGGGGAAGAATCCGGAACCAGCTGAAGCAGAGAGAGTAATTTGGTCGTGAAGATTCTGAAGCCCAACTGCCAAGGTTTTCTGGGTCTCCCATTTGCCAGCCACTCTGCCCTTGAAGAAGTCATTTAATCCCATGCCTCAGTTTCCTCAACAGTTTAGATGGGGACAATAACAGCACTTACTTCTTGGGGTTATAGAGAACCGAGTGAGTTAACACGGGAAGAACTAAGAACTGTACCTTTCAATAGAAGACTTTTTTTTAATAAATATAAAAATTAATTAAAAGATGTTCTTTTTAATTATAACCTTAAATGACTTTTTAATGAAGAGAAAATTAGAACACATGTCCCCTAAGCATTCTCCTATTCTCCTTTAAATAGAAGCCGTCTTTGATTTTTTATTCTTTCAACGAGCTTGTCATTTAAAAAGATAATTAAGAGTAATCTAAACTTAAACCAAAGGATTCAAATTTAAGTGAACATCATATTATGTGAATACCACACTTCCACGTATGGGGTGTTTTCTGTTAATTTTTTTTTAGACAAGGTCTCATTCTGTGGCCCAGGCTAGAGTACAGTGATGCAATCATAGCCCACTGCAGCCTCGAGCTCCTGGGCTCAGGCGATCCTCCCACCTTGGCCTCCCACCATGGCCAGCCTATGGGTGTGTGTGTGTGTGTGTATGTGCGTGCATGCGTGCGTGCGTGCGTGTGTTTTTTGAGCACAGTGTAAGTTAGCAGGGAGATCTAGAGTTGACAGTGAGGACAGCCAGTGTGTGTGTGTGTGTGTGTGTGTGTGTGTGTGTGTGTGTTTTGAGCACAGTGTAAGTTAGCAGGGAGATCTAGACTTCACGGTGAGGACAGCCAGCCCTGTGGACACAGGCACCATTGAGGCCTCTGACTGCCAAAAGGCCTGAGCTTCATAAGAGGCACGGGGAAGGGCAAACAAGGACGGCTCTGACACTGAGACCTTGTCCCTCACTTCCCATCTCCCATGAAGGGGCTGCTCTGAGACTGTGAGGGGAGAGGGGTAGAAGAAAGGCCCACCAGCTCTCTTGGGTTCCCGGTCTACCTCGACCTCACCCCTGGGAGCCCACCCTGGTGGGCTTTGGAGTGCTAGGACATGTGTGCCTTTGAGGCACACAAGTGAACCGTGAGGCAGGTGGGAAAGCAGGAGAGGCCGACAGCACCCACACAAGACCGGGTTCCACCAGACCCCGAGGTCTCAGTGGGAGCTACAGCCTCTATCCCTGGCCATGGCCCTGCTACAGTAGGAGAAACAATATGGAAAAGAAATGACTCAAAGAGCAGCCTCCTAGAAAGAACAACCACAAAGTTTCCCAAACCCCAAGAGAAAAACAAGTGTCACTTCCAGAGTCAGGAATGAAAAGGGGTTGGAGCCAGCGCAAAAATTAAAACTGAAAAGAAAAGAAGGGCCAGGATGCTCACAGATCAGGAGAGATCAAGGGAATGTCGGGTTAGGATGGATCAGAGGCATCCTAAGCTAACACCCAAAGAATTTCAGCCTTTCAACCCTGATCCAGAGAACTGAGGGCCAGCAGGGACGGACACAAGGTCCAGAGAGTGAGCCCTCCAGCTGAGAGCCAGCCAAGCCCTGGCATCTCAGCTGGTGTATACAATAAATAGCTAATGCACGGGGGGCTGAACAACTAGGTGATGGGTTGACAAGTGCAGCAAGTCACCATGGCACAGGTTTACTTATGTAACAAACCTGCACATCCTGCACATGTATCCCGGAATTTAAAGTTAAATTAAATTAAAAAAAAAAAAAAAAAAAAAACAGCGGAGCCAGAGAGGCCAGCTTGAGATTTAAGACACTAGTCGGGAGGGCTGGAGGAAAGGCGTTTGGAAACCATGTATGCACCCGAGTCCCCTGGCCAGGGGCCACTCAGGAAGAAAGCAGATGGGAGAAAGGCCAGGCAGCAGGAAGGCAGGCGCAGGGGGCACGCAGGAGCAAGGGAGCCCCAGGGCCCTAGCGCCAGGCTCCAGGGCAAGCCTGCAGGGAAGCAGAAGCACCTCTGGGGCTGAGTGGCAAAGGAGGAGACGCCCCACAGAGCCAGAGGCAGAGGTGGGCTTAGGAAGCCGGAAGCGGGTCATGTGCATCTTTGTACTCTGGGGCCCAGTGCACCACCCACCCACCCACAGAAGCCTGCGGCTGACCCTCCCAAGGTGATTCATTTACTCATCCCACAGGGGCTCATCTTATGGCTTCTGGGTGCCAAGCACTGGGGACACTCAGATGAACAAGCTGCCCCATGACATCTGCAACCTGGGCAAGGGAGACAGGGCCAACAAGGAGGAGTACACAGCCAAGGCTAAGCACGAAGAAGCAGAGAAACAAGGTGACTAGTACAAGGTCGAGGGGACACCCACAGTTAAGAAGGTCTCTTGGGCAGTGACATGTAAGCTCAGCTCTGAAGGATGAGAAGGAGCCTTTCCCCAACAGATGTACAGGTGAGAGGAACAGCAAGTGCCCGCTCAGGAGCTTGCCTCCGTCCCTGCAAAGGCTACTGGAGCTCTGCTGCTGGAAATGTCCCTTTAATTCTCCAGAGCCAGAAATTCTTCCAGAATTCACAAGCTGAATGAATGCCACTCTCTGGCTCTGCCAACAGAGCCCAAGCTTCTCGGCAAGGCACAGAAATCCTTGAAATGGGTCCTCCCTTCCCTGCCTTAACCTTCACATTCCTGGACCCTCACAAAGATCACAGGCCCCTGGACAGGCCATGCAGGGGGTCTCTCCTCTCACTGTTCCCTCTACCTAGACTGCCCTCCTGCCCCACCCACCTCTACTTGAGCTCAAAACACCGCTCTGGGCTTGGCACAGTGCCTCAGGCCTGTGATTCCAGTGCTTCGGGAGGGAGGCTGGCTTGAGTTCAGGAGTTCAAACCAGCCTGGGCAACATGGTGAGACCCCATTTCTACAAAACATGTAATAATTAGCTGGGTGTGGAGGCACACACCTGTGGTCCCGGGTACTCAACAGGCTGATGCGGGAGGATCGCTTGAGCCCAGGAAGTGAAGGTTACTGTGAGGGTGCCACCATATTCCCTCACGACCCCCCCAACTACCTACACACACCTCATGCCAGACACACTACTTCCTGGTATACACACTGCGTGGGGACGCTCCTACACATGTCACTGTGCCCTAATAAGATTGGGTCCTAAGGATGACAACTGGCTCTTATTTGCCTCGGTATAACCAGTGCCAGCCAAAGGCCTGTCACATAATACCTGTGTGTGTCTTGAATGAACTCATCAGAACTTGGTTGTTTTTCCTCTACCTTGCCACCAAAGGCAGCAGTGGTTCACATCCTTGCATAGATTAGAATCACCTGGGAGGGAAGATTTTACAACCTACCAAGGGAGAGGGGAGGGGCCAAACCAATTAAATCAGAAATTCTGGGCTGACGCAGTGGCTCCTGTCTGTAATGCCAACACTTTGGGGGGCCGAGGTGGGCGGATCACTTGAGGCCAGGAGTTGGAGACCAGCCGGGCCAACAGCGCGAAATTAGCCAGGCCTGGTGGCGGGCGCCTGTAATCCCAGCTATTCGGGAGGCTGAGACACGAGAATCGCTTGAACTCGGCATGCAGAGGTTGCAGTGAACCGAGATCGCACCACGGCACTCCAGTTTGGGCGACGGAGCGAGACCCTGTCTTTAAAAAAAAAAAAAAAAAGGCCGGGAGCGGTAGCTCACGCCTGTAATCCCAGCACTTTGAGAGGCCGAGGCGGGAGGATCACGAGGTCAGGAGATCGAGACCATCCTGGCTAACACGGTGAAACCCCGTCTCTACTAAAAACACAAAAACTTAGCCGGGCGTGGTGGCGGGCGCCTGTAGTCCCAGCTACTCGGGAGGCTGAGGCAGGAGAATGGCGTGAACCCGGGAGGCGGAGGCTGCAGTGAGCCGAGATCGCGCCGCTGCACTCCAGCCTGGGCGACAGAGCAAGACTCCGTCTCAAAAGAAAAAAAAAAAAGAAAAACCCTCTGGAAGTGGGGCCCAGAAAAAGGCTCTTACAAAAAAAGTTTCCCAGATGCTGAAAATCAGATTTACATCCATGTTTCTCAAAACCAGGTGATATTCCACCTCACCTGGAAAGCTTAAAAAAAGAGACTCCCAAAGTTGAGAGTCGGCTACAGTAGGTTCTCTATGGAGACCCAAAACGTGTATTTAGGACATTTCCTAGGTGATTCTAAGGTGCCGATATAAGAGGCACTGTCGTATCTTAAGAGCAATCAAGGAACGACAGTTAAGGAACAGAGAGTACCTACTAGACACGGTGCTATGTGCTTTACGCACAGTGCCTGAACTGACCCTCGTATCAACCCATTTTACAGGTGAAAAAACCAAGATTAAACGTTATTTCAATGGCCCAAGGTCACACAGTTAAAGATGAAGGCTCTGCTGGGGTTTCCAAAACTTTCCCAGGAAATGATAGTGAAGCTATCTAGGACTGCTACTAAAAAATACTCCTGGCTAGGCGCAGTGGCTCACGCCTGTAATCTCAATTCTGGAGGCTGAGGCAGGTGGCCTGCTTGAGCCCAGTAGTTCGAGACCAGCCTGGGCAACATGGTGCGACCCTAGTCTCTACAAATACTTAAAAAATTAGTCGGGCATAGTAGTGCACGCTTGTAGTCCCAGCCACTCAAGAGGCTGAGATGAGAGGATTGTCTGAACCCAGTAGGTAGAGGCTACAGTGGGCTATGATGGCACCCCTGCACTCCAGCCTGGATGACTGAGCAATACCGGTCTGGACAAAACAAAACAAAACACAACAAAACTCCTATCCCTGCAACCCAGAGCCTGCAGGAGGGAGCTGAGCATGTGCGCTTTTTAAAACATCTTTATTTTTTGGCGGGGATGAGGCCGCTTTGCCCTCGCCGCGCCGCGCAGTGCTGCATCCTGAACAGCAGAGGGCGCGCCGGGAAGCCACCAGGTGACCCCCGCTGGACCCGAGGCCCACCAAGGGGGCCGGCCCCTACTGGGAACCCTGGACCCTTTTCCCTGAAGCTCCTTAACAGTTACTTTCACTTTGCACCGCACGCGCTGCGCTGGAGTGCGCGTCCTCCCCGCGCAGGTGGCGTCCGTGGGCTGTGCAGGGTCCCAGGTGCGTCCGCGGCCCCACTGCGGCCCCCTTACTTGGCGTAGTAAACCCAGCCGTCCTTGGTGGTTCTCTCCTCCCAGCCCGGAGGCAGCTCGTCCTCACTGTCCGTGTCGTCCAGCCCCGCGTAGCGCAGCGCTGCCATGGCTGACTGTGGAGGCACCTGGCCCCCCTATCGCCCGCTGCCGGGTCCACTCGCTCAGGAACTCACTCCCGCTCCAAACGAGACCCGCGCGCGTCGGGGCCCGACCGCTCACGCCTGCGCACTGCGCCCTCCAGGGGCCGCTCCGCCGACCACGAAGCTGAAATCCAGTCTCCGCAATATCGCGACGGCCGGCGTCAAAGGGGCAGGGCCTGGAGAGGAAGGCGGTGAAAGTGCCTAAGAGATCGCGCTGCCGCCGGGCTAGACAGCAAAGCCGGAGAGCGCTCCGAGGCGCTAGAGATAGAGCGGAGCCTTGTCAGCCTCCCCGCCGCAGGGAAGGGGCGTGCGCATCCAGTTTCGGGCCAGGACTCCGCCCGTTGCTGGGCGACCCGTAATCACTTCCGCGTTGTTCTGGCCAATCCTGCAGGAGCCCGGCAATTGGATATGGGAAATGTAGTCCAGGTGGCGCCTGACCAAAAAGCGGCGCCCGACTAAAAAGCGGCGCCCATGCTGTTGTCCTGGGCTTCTGTCTCTCCTTGCCTTGGGGTCTCGTGAAAGTCCGTGATCACAAACCTTCCAGGGCTTGCCAGCATTCGTGCTGATTCACAACCTTTGTTTTGCATATGAACACAATGTTAAAATATAACCTGGAGAACTTAAAACTGCTGATTCCTGATTTCCTGGTTTTAGAGAACTTTCTTTCAGCCAAAACACATAATAGAGACTGTGATAATAGAGACTGTTGTTTAATAGAGACTCATGATAATAGAGACTGATGATAATAGAGACTGATTGATAATAGAGACTGTTGATAATAGAGACTGATGTTTACGGAGCACTTAATGTGCGGTCCAGGCCAGAAATGCACAGACATCACATGTAGCTGACACCTTTGTGTAGTGGGCACAACTCAGACAGGGTAGCTAGGCCGGGCTCAGTGGCTCATGCCTGTAATCCAAACACATTAGGAGGCTGAGGCAGGAGGATCACTTGAGGCCAGGAGTTTGAGAACAGCCTGGGCAACATCGCAAGACCCCTGTCTTTACCAAAAATAATTATTTTTTTAGTTTGCCGGGCGTGGTAGTGCACATCGGTAGTCCCAGCTACTCATTGAGGCTGAAGGGGGAGGATCACTTGAGCCCAAGAAGTCGAGGCTGCAGTGAGCTATGATCGGGCCACTGCACTCCAGCATGGACGACAGAGAGAGCTGCTGTCTTTAAAAAACTGCCTCACCTTTAGAGAATTTCCTTTAGTAAGTCTGGAATAGGTCCAGAATCTGGAAAGAAAGGGAGGGAGGGAGGGAGGGAGGGAGGAAGGAAGGAAGGAAGGAAGGAAGGAAGGAAGGAAGGAAGGAAGGAAGGAAGGAAGGAAAATAAAAGAAAGAAAGGATAGCTAATTACCTGAAGAGGCACAGGAAGAGAGGAGAGCCGGGGGATTCCTGGCAGTTGAGATCGCATCACTCCACTACAGTTATTGACTCATTTGTGTAGTCCCGACTAAACTGACAAAGCACACCCGGGACTTCTTTCTATTGCCAGCACTTGGTAAATGCTTCAACCTACAAATTTATTAAATGAACAAATGAATGAATGATGTGATTCCTTAGGTTTGGTTCTCTGTGAATCAATCTAATTAAAAACAAAATCCTGTATTTACAAGGTACACTCAAGTCCTCTTGGACCACCAAAAGATATCCTATAAATGTTCTGTATCCAAAACCTCAAACATATCTTCAGCTTGTGCCTAAGGAGTTTTCAGAACATTCCCTGTTTGGCACTTGCTCCCCAGCCCCATGTTATAGGGAAATCTACTGACCGTGATTTCTCAGGCCTAGGTCCCAAAGAATGCAAGCCTCCATCAGAATAATTACATATATTTGATTCTTCTGAGAGAGCAAAAAAATAAAATTGAAAATAAGGAATTTTAAAAGTATGTATTTTAATGGGCAGTGTATGGGAGGGGCAGCTGCTTTTTGTCTTCATGTTCTGAAATGGATGATTGCTTAGGATTCCTGCTCTACGTACTCATTAGCGGAGACACCTGCCTTTCTACATTTGACCAACCAAAAACAAGCTTAACAAAGCACTGTTTTGTTTCAACAGGCCTGCTGACTCATATTAAACCTATCGTAAGATTTTTTTTCCAAATCCACCTGTGTTTAAATCTGCTACCATTGGATTGGGCGTAGTGGCTCACAACTGTAATCCCAGCACTATGGGAGGCCAAGGCAGGAGAATTGCTTGAGCCCAGGAGTTCAAGACCAGCCTGGGCAATATAGTGAGACCCCCCCCCCCCCCCCGCCGACCCCCACCACCCCATCTCTACAAAAAATTTAAAAGTTAGCCAGTGTGGTGGTGCATGTCTGTAGTCTCAGCTATTCGGGAGGCTGAGGTCGGAGGATTACTCTAGTAATCCTAGTATTTACTCCTAGGCTCTAGCATAGGAGTTCAAGGGTACAGAGAGCCATGATTGTACCACTGCACTCCAGCCTGGGTGACAGAGTAAGATTCTGTCTTAACAACAACAACAAAAAAAGATAAATAAAAATAAATCTGCTACCACTAATCTGTTGCTCCACTGCTCCCCTCAATTTAGCCCCTTTCCCCTCTCACCTAAGCCTACTTATTCCTTTGCTATTTGTAAGAAATTCAGTCATAAGATCCCCTGATTGTGGGGAGAGGAAGGAATGAGGTCAAACTGATTAGCCTCAGTTTCTCCATTCATTATCTTTGACTCTGTTCAGTTTCACAAGGACTGTCTGCTTAGGTTTATCTTGGTTTCCTCTGCCCAGAGCTTCTGCTGGCATCTGTTACCTGTAACTTGGCATCAGCCCACAGCTAGTGATATACCATGGTGTTCCCCAAACTGGGTAACGGTCCCCCTGGAAGAAGTTTAAACTTCAGGGTCTATCCTGTGCTGATCCTACCACTTTGGAAATTCCCTCTAAGGCTTCTCCCACTGCTGACACCAGGGTTTCTCAACCTCGACATTACCGATACTTGGAGCCAGATCATTCTTTGTGGTGGGGCTGTACAGTAGGATGTTTAGCAGCATCTCTGGCCTCTACCCACTAGATGCGAGTAGTAGATGCCCCTCTCCTAGTTGTAACAACCAAAAATGTCTCCAGAAGTTGCCCGTCTTCTCCCAGTGGAGAATCTATACTGACAATAAGTTAGTAAATGAGTCACTTATGAATCACAGGAGTTCTGCTGAGATTCATTTCAGTCATTGAGGAGCCTGCTCCTGTCAGGAGGTTCACATGGTGGTCCTGGGATGCTGGTGGCTCCAGCACAGGCTCTGATTACTGAGTTCTGTAACATGGTCTGGATGCCTCCCACCTTGCCAGCCCCTCTGCAGGTCAGAGACATCCTGTGGAAATCTGGCCGGCTGGTCCAGGCTCCAGTAATGGCGGGAATGGTTATCATGATCACATTTTCTTCTCCATTTTTTTTTTTTTTTTTGAGACAGAGTCTCACTCGGTCACCAGGCTGGAGAGCAGTGGCACAATCTTGGCTCACTGCAATCTCCACCTCCCGGGTTCAAGTGATTCTCCTGCCTCAGCCTCCCAAGTAGCTGGGACTATAGGTGAGCGTCACCACACTCAGCTAATTTTTGTAATTTTAGTAGAGACGGGGTTTCCCCATCATCTTGGCCAGGCTGGTCTTGAACTCCTGACCTTGTGATCCACCCGCCCTGGCCTCCCAAAGTGCTGGAATTACAAACATGAGCCACCACTCCCGGCCTCTTCTCCCTTTCTTATAACTTATTTGTTGGGTTCTATGAGGTTAAAGAAGTAAGACATGCAAGTGTTGGGAACTTTTTCCTCTTGAGGTTTGTCTCCTCCCTCCCATGGGCTACATTTTCTGCTCTCTCCTTACTGGCTTCCTCTGTTTACTCAGTTTCTGTCCCCCTGAACTTTAGCTTTGACTTTGCTCTGATGAGGATCTATCAGCAGGCAAGCCCTACTTAACTTGGTGAGGATTAGATTTTAATCGGTTTGAGAAGGCTTATGTTTGGGAATGAGCCAATGTTCTCCAAATGTTACCCTAAGAAAGCCTTAAGAATAGTTTGTTTTAAACAATCCCATTAAAAAGTGGGCAAAGGACATGAACAGACACTTCTCAAGACATTCATGCAGCCAAGAAACATATGAAAAAAAGCTCAACATCAGTGATCATTAGAGATATGCAAATCAAAACCACATTGAGATACCATCTCATGCCAATCAGAAGGGCAATTATTAAAAAGTCAAAAAACAGCAGATGCTGGCAATGTTGTGGAGAAAAAGAAACACTTTTACACCCTTTGTGAGAGTGTAAATTAGTTTAACCGTTGTGGAAGACAGTGTGGCAATTCCTCAAAGACCTAGAGGCAGAAATACCATTTGACCCAGCAATTCCATTACTTGGTATATACCCAAAGTAACAGAAATCATTCTATTATAAAGATACATGGACGCATATGTTCATTGCAGCACTATTCACAATAACAAAGACATAGAATAACCCAAATGCCCATCGATGATAGACTGGATAAAGAAAATGTGGTACATATACCCCATGGAATACTATGTAGCCATGAAAAGGAACAAGATTATGTCCTTAGCAGGCACACGTATGGAGGTGGAAGCCACTGTCCTCTGCAAACTAACACATGAACAGAAAACCAAACACCACATTGATATGGTTTGGCTGTGTCTCCACTCAAATCTCAACTTGAATTTTATCTCCCAAAATTCCCACATGTTGTGAGAGGGACCCAGCAGGAGGTAACTGAATCATGAGAGCTGGTCTTTCCCATGCTATTCTCGTGAAGTGAGTAAGTCTCATGAGATATGATGGGTTTATCAGGGGTTTCCACTTTTGCTTCGTCCTCATTTTCTCTTGCCACCACCATGGAAGAAGTGCCTTTCACCTCCCGCCATGATTCTGAGGCCTCCTCAGCCATGTGGAGTAAGTCTAATTAAATCTCTTTTTAAATTGTAAGTCCAATTAAACCTCTTTTTCTTCCCAGTCTCGGGTAGGTCTTTATCAGCAGCATGAAAACAGACTAGACATGTTCTCTATCTGGTAGCTGACTGATGAAAACACACGGACACATGGAGGAGAATAACCTACAATGGGGCCTGTCAGAGGGAGGCAGGAGGGGAGGAAGAGCATCAGGAAGAATAGCTAATGGACTCTGGGCTTAATACCTAGGTAATGGGAAGATCTGTGTAGCAAACCACCATGGCACGCATGTACCTGTGTAAAAAACCTGCACATCCTGCACATATACTCCTGAAATTAAAGTAAAAGTTGAAGAAAAAAAAACAAAACAAAAGAATGGTTTGTTTTTGTAAAGACAAATGAATCACATTGATTATTAGCAAGGAGGTTAAAAAAAAAACAGCAATGTCTAGTTACACAACTGCACACCAGATGGCCCTATCCACCCACGATTTTAAAGGCTAAAGCCCAGCTCCTAACAAGGGTCTCTACATTTAAACTTTCTTTTCTTTTTGACTGATTACTTCTGCAATAACTGACAATTTACGCACATAAGATTGATCAGATTTTACTGAACACAATTTGGCATTACTCAAAAGAAATGTATGCAGGAGGCACAAAGTTTTAGTGCAACATTCCTGGAGCCACATTTTATTAGTTTATTATCATTACCCTGAAGATGATCGTTTCCTTCCCCTCCCAACCTCAAATACACAAACACCCCGACAACTCTGCAAACCTGATTTAACTTAAATTGCCATTCCTTGGAAAATTAAGCCTGATGCTTTGGTGCAAAACTCAATGTACCAATGAGATCTGGGAGGCATCCTAGCTCTTCGGATAATTTCTCATTGAGAAGTAACCAATAAGGAAGAATGTTGAACAGCAGTCTTATGGAAAACTCTTCTAATCAATGCGTCCTTATTTAGGAAGATATGTTTGTATTTCATCTATTCATTCAAACACACAAATGAAAAAAAAAAGCTGTCTCTGATATATATATAGAGAGAGACTCCTTATATCCAGAAATAACAGTGAATTAGCAGAAGGTCAACAGTCAACCCAAAGAACTGTGGATTGAAGGTTCTAAGACAAATTTAAACCAAGACCTGTAAGGTATGCTGAAACAGGGAGAGTTCCCATGTTAGTTTCCTGTAATTTATCTTTTGAACCCAACTTATGTCACAAACTGTGACAGTGGCCAAGCCCTTCAACTTCCCTTAGTTTCATTGTCTGAAAAATGAAAATAATAGTAATGCCCACCTCACAGCCGTGTTACGATATTAAATAAGTCAACACATGTCATCATATATATGATGGGGTCTGATCAGGAAAATAAGCCAGGATTAACATTTGGATTTTTTTTTTTTTTTTAAGAGACAGGGTCTTGGTCTGTTTCCCAGGCTGGAGTGCAGTGATGCAATCATAGCTCACTGTAACCTCGAACTCCTTGGCTCAAGCGGTCCTCCTGACTGAGCCTCTCAAAGCACTGCCATTACAGGCATGAGCTCCCAACACCAGCAAACATTTCGAATTTGACAGAGGGAATTCATTACACAGGGTATGGAACAGCTGAGAAGACAAATTCGGGCTAATGATGCAAGTGAGAGATGAGCCAGAATGGAAAGTCATTTCCAGGACACAGGCTGGAGGGACGAAGAGGAGCTATGACAGAAGCTAGGGAGCCAGAGGCAAGAAGGGGGCTATGTGGAGTCCTAATTAGGAAAAAGGAGTCAGGCTGGCAGGACCAGGGGAAAGCAAAGAGGAAGCTATAGATCGGCCTTTCTTTACGGCCCCAGACACATGGCCCTCCTGCACAGATAACGCACACAGCACACAAGTTTCCTGCTTGTCATCTAACTCTTCAATTTATCAAACACTTCGGCTGACAGAAGAATGCAAGTTAGCTCCCTGCTACCTTGGCGTTATCCATCAGCCCAAGAATCATTTTAAAACTATATAAAATCTCCAACAAGCCTTTGTATCCTTGCCGTCAGCTCCTCTTCTGCTGATTCTGCCCATTGCAACCTTGCAACAGATTTTCCTACTGCCTTTAATAAATCCGCCTTTCTTTACCTACAACTGTCTTGGTTCATTCTTTTACACCCACGACACCAGCCCACATAGTCACTGCTCATCCACGACAGGCTGCCCTGAGGCGACTGGACCCTGGAGAAAGAATAATTGCTGCAGGAAAACCCTGCAGAGGTCATGGGGAGAAGAATAGCTGGCTCCCTGAAGTCACCTGCCAGGGCTTCTCATCGGATGAAACCACTCAGAAGCCAGAGGGCTTTGGGCACCTGGGAAGAATCTCCTCTCCAGAAGAAAGGGAGGGAATGGATCTGAGAGCAACAGGAGGAAACAGTAGCTCTCCAGCATCAGCACTTAGGACACTCCAAGTGTTAGCTACAGCTGCAGAAGCCTGTGATGGGGTCAGGAGGGGAAGTGGTAAGATCACTCTGAGCCCCTTAAGTAGGGTGACCATATAACTTTATATTCCTAATGGAGACACATTGGAGAGAGCAAGAGGGTGTTATTAAGAATTACTCTGAGAAACCTCTAGGATATATAGCCAAGCACCTGTCTAGCCAAGGGAGCCTTTCAAGCAAGGGAGTGACACAATCAAATTTGCTTATTTAATTATTTATTTATTTATTTATTTATTTATATATTTATTTATTTGAGACGGATTTTCACCCTTGTTGCCCCTGCTGGAGTGCAGTGGCGCAATCTCGGCTCACTGCAACCTCTGCCTCCTGGGTTCAAGCTATTCTCCTGCCTCAGCCCCCCAAGTAGCTGGGATTACAGGCACGCACCACCATGCCCGGCTCATGTTTTGTATTTTTAGTAGAAACGGGGTTTCACCATGTTGGCCAGGCTGGTCTCGAACCCCTGACCTCAGGTGATCCGCCCACCTCGGCCTCCAAAAGTTTTGGGATTACAGGCATGAGCTACCTTGCAGGCCCAAATTTACATTTTTTAAGCCCTCCAGCAAATGGGTGGGGAATGCATTGACAGGGAATTAATCCAGTCAAGCTGCTCTCAGAACTAACAGTGATTTAATTTGGGTGATAGAGTGGCAACATGGCCAATGGGGGTAGGGTAGGAGAGGAGGATGTAGTTGCCTGGGAGTTGGTAACCTAGGATGCCAACAGAGGCACAGTTAAAACAATGACGTCAGAACTTTGCAAATGTCTGAGGGGCCTCAGTGCCTCCTTAGCAATTGCTCTGTTTCCACCTCTTCCCTGCACACCCCTGGTTCAGCCCAGTGTCAGGTCCCACTGATACTGACATAGGAGTTAAAAAGTAATTACTTAGGCAGATAGTGAGGGTATGGGAACCATTGATAAGGTTTTCCTTTTGATGAAAAGCAGTCTCCAAATCATTTTCTTTTCTAACAAAGAGCAGCCTGTAAAATCGAGCTGCAAACATGGGCAAGCAAGCTAGAAGCTTGCACAAGTGAATGCTGGCAGCTGTGCCAATAGGAAAAGGCTACGTGGGACTAGGCGTGTTCAAAACGGTAGCTCCATCTTCTTTTTTCCTTTCAAACCATGTGTGCAGTAGGGAGCAGACAACATGGTGCTGACCAAGTGGAAAGCCTATCTGCTTAATAAGATTAGAGTGGAGTGGCCAGTCTTCCCCATGCAATATGTAAACGTCACACCTGTGACACGAGAACAACTACACAATCTGTAGGCCCTACATAAATCAGACACTGCCTCCTCAAGCCTATCTATAAAATCCATGCCTGGCTAATTTTTTTTGTAGAGATTGGGTCTTGCTACGTTGCTCAGGCCAGTCTCAAACTCCTGGCCTCAAGCAATCCTGCCACGTCAGCCTCCCAAAGTGCTGGAACTGCCGGCATGAGCCACCATGCTCATCCACATGGCCTTTATTTTTATGAACAAGTGGAGACATGGAGGGATTAAGTAACTTGCCCAGGGTGACCCAGTAAATGTCAGAGCTGGTATTTGAACATCTGCTGTCAACCACTATGCAATGTAGCCTCTTTGTACTCCTGCATTTTCACCTTTATGAGTTCATTTCCCCATCCCTCTGTCTCTGTGCATCCGTCCATCTGTCCATCACCACCCTATTCACCCAGTCCACTCATTTGTGTCTCCACATATCCAGACTGTCATTAATGTCTTGAATGGTGACTTTAGCTTTATTTTAACATTGCTTCATACAAGGCAGCAAACACATATGAGAAATTTACAATGTAAATTGCAGAAGCCAGAATATTTTAAACTATTAAGCTAAAATTAATTTAAGCAATGAGAGTTTAATATTTGGTTCAATAGGGGAAAAAATAATGGATTCTAAAACATTCCCCTATTTCATTATGTCTGCCTGTTAATGCCTTATCTAGGTTTACACGTGTCCATTTCTTATTTTTCAGCTGGCATTAAAGGGGATCTGGTGAACTTCCAATTTCTTTGGTCAAGCAGTTGACAGAGTAAAAGAGACTTGGCCTTGGAGGTCAGTTCATCTACCAGTATTAATTAAATGTCAGTTATATGCAGGTATTGAGGAAAGACTGTTCTACTCCAGTTTATTCCATGAACCAGCCACACACCCTGGCCAGCCGGCAGCCACACTCTCTCTTGCTGAGACACTACTATTTCTCCTGTTATTCTATAAACATGAAAACCTCTTCTTTTGTAGTTCCTGCACTCTGGGTAGTAAGTTCCAACCACGTACCTGCCTTGTCATAAGCTCTGTTCATAATCAACCTTTCATCAAATGTGGGTTTTATTCCCTAAAACAGTAACAGGAAAGAGAAATACTATAGCTGTGGGCCAAGTCCAGTTGGTGACGTGAGTCCTCACACTAGTGTTCTTCTGGTTGCTTAGCTCAGTCCATTGACTTCGCTCTGCCAAAAGTTCCTGTACTGTGGTAGGCAGAATAAAGGCCTCCAGTGATGTGCAAATCCTAGCCCTCAGAACCTGTGAATGCATTACATTACATGGCAAAGGGGAATTAAGGTTGCAGATGAAATTAAAGTTACTAATTAGGGAGGAAGATTGAGGCCGGGTGCAATAGCTCCCTCTTGTCATCCCAAACCCTCGGAGGCCAAGGCTAGAGGATCATTGAGGCTGCCAAGAGTCTGAGTCCAGCCTGGCCATCATAGTGAGACCACTTTCTCTACAAACAATACAAAAACCAGCCAGGCATGGTGGCCCACGCCTACAATCCTAGCTGTTTCTAAGGCCAGAGGATTGTTTAAGGCCAGAAATTCGAGGCTGCAGTAAGCTGTGATCACTGCACTCTAGCCTTGGTGACACAGTGAGACCTGGTCTTGAAAAATAAATTAATTAATTGAATAAAATAAACAGGAACATTGGAAAGGGTGGGTGGATCTGCGGGGACGATTGTCGCAGAGCCTCCCAGAGCATTCATCTCTGGCCTGCTGGACAGCACCGGGGGCAGGCAGAAGTCAAGCACACCCCAGAAGTGAGGGTCCCTGACCCAGGTGAACAGTGGCTCTCATAAGACAATCGCTATCCCCCGACCTCATAGCAACAGCAATGCTGGAGAACCCTGTGGCTAGGCCCGGTGCCATGAGCCAGGCTCCTTATGTACCAAGTCCAGTAGCCTCTTCCTCTGTCCCTTCGGCTTTCCATTTTTTGGGTTTTGTTTTTTGTTTTTGAGACACGGTCTTGCTCTGTCGCCCAGGCTGGAGTGCAGTGGCACGGTCTCAGCTCACTGCAACCTCTGCCTCCCAGGCTCAAGTGATTCTCATGCCTCAGCCTCTGTAGTAGGCTGAGTAGCTGGAATTACAGGTCTACACCACCACACCTGGATAATTTTTTGTATTGTTAGTAGAGACAGGATTTCACGATGTTGGCCAGGTTGGTCTCGAACTCCTGGCCTCAAGCGATCCACCCACCTCAGCCTCCCAAAAGGTTGAGATTACAGGTGTGAACCACCGTGCTGGCCATTTTGGGGAATTTTTATTGCTATTAAGCTGATGGGACTTACAGTATTTTTACACTGACTCTATGCATAGGCCCTTTCATAAAGCTAGACTATGCCTTTGGTGCAGCCTTTTTTTTTTTTTTAAAAAAAAAGGGGAGATTATTCTGGATTATCCAAGGGAGTCCAGTGTAATCACAGGGGTCTTTAAAAATGAAAGAGGAAGGCAGAGGGGAGGTCAGAGTGCTGCAGTGTGACAGGGGCCTGACGCACTATTGCTGGCCTTGAAGACAGAAGGAGGGGGCCTTGAGCCATGGAATCCGAACGGGAAGCCTCTGGAAGGTGAAAAAGGCAGAGAACCAGATTCTGCCCCAGAGTCCCCAGAAAGGCACCTCCTGTCTGACTCCATGATTTTAACCCAGCTTCAGGCTTCTGAGCCACAAACTGTGAGATAATGTGTGTTGTTTAAGCCACCCAGTTTGCAGTCATTTGTCACAGCAGCAATAGAAAATGAACACACATAGCTATAAAGAAATGGGGTTTTATTATTTAACAAATCCTCATGTAGCACGCACTACATGCCAGGCATGATAATAGGCCGTTTACCAATATTAACTCACTTCATCCTTACAACCACCTATGAGAAGACACCGTTTATTAGCAACCCAAGTTTCATAGATGAGGAAACTGAGGCACAAGAAACTTAAGTTAACTTGCCCAAGGCCACGTGGCAAGCGAAAGCTAACAGTGGCTGGGTTTAGAATACAAATAAGGGCACTAGCCCTGAACTCATCCTGTCAACTTGGTGCCCTGAGCGCTGCCTCTCCCAGACAGTGGAGCCCCAGCTCTGGTCCTCTGACGGGTGCCAAGAGATTTTCACTACTCCATGGGAAAGTGAGAAAAATTAGAAAAAAGAAATGGCTCATGCCTGTAATCCCAGCACTTTGGGAGGCCGAGGCAGGTGGATCACTTGAGGTCAGGAGTTCGAGACCAACCTGGTCAACAGGGCGAAACCCCATCTCTACTAAAAAATACACAAATTAGCCGGACGTGGTGGCACACACCTGTAGTCCCAGCTACTCGGGAGGCTGAGGCATGAGAATCACTTGAACCTGGGAGGCAGAGGTTGTAGTGAGCCAAGATTGCGCCCCTGCACTGCAGTCTGGGTGGAAGAATGAGACTCCATCTCAAAAAAGAAAAAGAAAAAAGAAATGAAAATTTCTTAAGCTAAATATATTCTACTTAAAGTACTGTCCTTTTATTTTCTGAGATCATATCTGTCCTACTTTTATTGCTTTCTGATGATTTTTTTCTCTCATCCCAGCATGTGTTATTAAGAAAATGTTTAGACCTAGGCACGGTGACTCACGCCGGTAATCCCAGTGCTTTGGGAGGCCGCAGTGGGCAGATCACCTGAGGTCAGGAGTTCGAGACCAGCCTAGCCAACATGGCAAAACCCCATCTCTACTAAAAATACAAAAATTAGCCAGGCATGGTAGCGGACGCCTATAATCCCAGCTACTCGTAGGCTGAGGAAGGAGAATTGTTTGAACTTGAGGGTGGAGGTTGCAGTGAGCTGAGATCGTGCCACTTCACTCTAGCCTGGGTGGAAGAGTGACACTCCGTCTCAAAAAAAAAAAAAAAGAAAGAAAGAAAGAAAATGTTTAGCCATCCAGAAAAGTTGAGAGAAGAGTACAACGAATGCGCAAATACTCCTGCCCCCATATTTGCTTTATTATGTATATAGTAGAGTTGGGGGTCTTGTTATGTTGCTCAGGCTTGTCTCATATTCCTGGCCTCAAGCAATCCTCCCACCTCGGCCTCCCAAAGTGCTGGATTAAGAGGTGTAAGTCAGCTTACTCAGCCCATATTTGCTGTAAAGAGCCCATTCTGTTGTGTGAGCTCAGCTAGATGAAAATGCATTGCCAGCGTCATGACAATTGACCTATGAATACATCAGCAGGTCTCTCCTAAGAGTGAGGTTATTATTCTCCATATCCCCAATGCCATTTTCATACCTAAGAAAATGACTGATATCTCCATTATGTCAATTAATTGTACCTAAACTATTATTTTGGGTTTTTAAAATTGAGATACAATTCACATACCATAAAATTCACCACCCCCTCAAAGTGTACAATTCAGTGGTATTTAGTATATCTATAGAGTTCTGTAATCATCACCACTATCTAATTTTAGAATATTTTCATCACCCCAAAAAGAAACCTATTAGTACTCTCTCTTCATTCTCCATAGCCCCTAATCCCTGGCAACCATTAATTGACTTCCTATCTGTATGAATCTACCTGCTCTGGGCATTTCCTATAAATTGAATCAAATAACAAGTAGTCTTTTGTGCCTGGTTTCTTTCACTTAGCACAACGTTTTTGAGGTTCATTCATACTGTAGCAGGGATCAATACTTTGTCCTTTTTATGACAGAATAATATTCCGTTATATGGATGTGCCACATTTTATTTATTCATTCATCACTTGATGAACTTTTAGGTTGATTTCACTTTTTTGGTTATTATGAGTAATGCAGCTATGCACATTTTTGTGTAGGCATGTGTTTTCTTTTCTATTCTTTTTTGGTAGAGACAAGGTCTCCCTATGTTGCCCAGGCTGATCTCAAACTCATGAGTTCAAGAAATCCTCCTGCCTCAGCCTCTCAAACTGCTAAGATGACAGGGAGGAGCCACCACTCTCAGCTGACATGTGTTTTCATTTCTCATAGCTAGGAGTAGAGTTGCTGGGTCATATGGTAACTCTACACTTCACTTTTTGTAAAATGTCTTTTATAGCTTTGTCCCCCTCTGAGCACCAACTCATTCAAGGTCCATGCATTGCACTTGGTCGCTTGTCTCTTTGGTCTCATTTATTCTAGAGATTTGCCCCCCCCCCAAATCTTTTTCCCTGTGACAATGACATCTAAAGGTTCCAGGTCATGCCGTCTTACAGAATGTGCGCCAAAGATTCTTCTGATTATTTCCTCATGGCCCTATTTAAATTGCTCCTCTGTCTCTATGTCTTCTGTAACCTGGAGGTAAGACCAGAAGCTTTATTAGATTCTTGGCAAAAATTGTTCTCAGGTAATGTGTAGTATTTTCTACTGTTTTGGTGTTAAAATGTTTTACCTTTTATGGAAGGTGATAGTGATGGCAGGGTATTGATTTGTTTTCTCACTTTTATTTTATTACTTTTATTATTATTTTGGATAATAATAATACCCAGGCTGGAGGGCACTGGTATGACTGTGGCTTACTGCAGCCTCAACCTCCAGGGCTCAAGCGATCCTCCTACCTCAGCCGTCTGAGTAGCTGGAACTACAGGAGTACACCACCACATCTGGCTAATTTTTAAATTTTTCATAGAGACACGGTCTTGCTATGTTGTCCAGGCTGGTCTTGAACTCCTGAGCTCAAGTGATCCTCCTGCCTGGGTGTCCCAAAGTGCTGGGATTACAGGTGTGAGCCACCATGACAGGCCAGTGTTTTTGTTTTTTTTTTTTAAATGGTCTTTCTTGACACATTGATAAAGTTGATAATCTCGCTATAAAACTCATTAAAAACAATGCACAAATAACGATAAAAACAACAAACCAAAGCTTTTCTCTATTGCGTGAAATCTGAAAGATTGGGATTCATTAAACTAGGTAGCTTGTAAACCTAGCACCTATGATAGGCTGTGAAATGGGTTCCCTGAAGCATAACAGGGAGAGCCTGATTTTGTTTTATCATGAAAGTCCCCAGGACTAAGTAATAAAGCACATTTTCTCCTGGGCCACACTTAGGCCCTCTCCCTTGGTGAGTGCATTCATTGCTGTGACTTCTGGAAATTAGGCCTCTAAGTTTGGAAACTTCACTGGAAACTTCACTGAAGCCCCAAGCTTCAAAGTAGCCGTAGCATATAATGGCTAACTTGCTGGCATTGGTAAAATGGCATTTCAGTCCAACTTCATTCCTGTCTGCAGGGAAAAAAATCACCCTCCCGTGGGGGCAGGTATGTTGGACCCAAGCACTCAAAAATTGCAGCAACAAGTCCATTCTGTCTAAAGTCTTTTTTTTTTAATTGAGACGGAGTCTTGCTCTGTCACCCAGGCTGGAGTGCAGTGGAGCAATCTCAGCTCACTGCAACCTCCGCCTCTCAGGTTCAAGTGATTCTCCTGCCTCAGCCTCCCCTTCCCGAGTAGATAGGATTACAGACACCTGCCACCATGCCTGGCTAATTTTTTTTTTTTTTTTTAGTAGAGACAGGCTTTCACCATCTTGGCCAGGCTGGTCTCGAACTCCTGACGTCAAGTGATCCACCCGCCTCAGCCTCCCAAAGTGCTGGGATTACAGGCGTGAAATACTGTAAAGTCTTTCATTGTCTGTTTAGAGTGTCTTATTTTGGCTGCCGAAGTTTTGAAGATGCCGCTCTGATCCATTGCTGTTATAATCTTGCAAGTAAGTTCTTCCAAAGAGTCCAGGGCCTGGAGCCCAAGATTCACCCCAGATTTTGACAGACATGCACATGCAAAGGTACCAGAAAGTGGGTGAAGGGAAAAAAGGAAAGGAAGTGATGACTACAAAGCACTCAGCACAGCACCAGGCACAGAGTAAGCACTCAGTACCTGTTAGCTATCGTCATTGTTGTTGGTGATTAAAGCTGGGCTGGCAGAACCTTAAGACTCAAAAATGAGGCACCACTCTGATGTTAGATCTGACTTTAAAGTATATGCATAACTGTATGGAACGTTTTCCAAGCATTATCAGATACACCATCATCAGGAGTAGATAGAGGTGGGTATTAAAAGCCTTGCTCTATAGAAGCAATAACTGAGGCTTAGTTTAGCAAATAGCAAAGACTTAGCAAATGGTAAAGCAGAGACTCAATCCAAATTCTCTCAATTCTAAAGTCTGCAAGTCTGCATTTTTGGGGGTTTGTTTGTTTTTTGGGGTTTTGTTTGTTTGTTTGTTTGTTTTTGGAGACAGGATCTCACACTGTTGCCCAAGCTGGAGTACACTGGCACAAAAACAGCTCACTGCAGCCTCAAACTCCTGGGCTCAAGCTATCCTCCTGCCTCGGTCTCCTGAGTAACTGGGACTACAGGAGTACACCACCACACCTGGCTAATTTTTAAATTTTTTGTAGAGACAGAGTCTTACCTTGTTGGCCAGGCTGGTCTTGAACTCCTGGCCTCAAGTAATTGTCCTGCCTCAGCCTCCCAAAGTGTTAGGATTACAGGGATAAGCCACCTCACTGGCCTGTGCAGTATTTTTAATCACCTCGCTGTACTGCTTCCCATGTTTGGCACAAGAAATCTGAACTTACCAACCAAATGAATTGTGTTTTCTCTGCATGTGTGGAATCTGCAAACAGCTTTGTGGTTCACTCCTTTAGAAAGTAAAGAATAACATTCTCCCCCTCATATTCCTAGCCTTGCTTCTCACCCTCACCAGCAGCTTCTCCATAAAGCCTTGTCTCACTTGGCAACTTGATCAGAGTAAACTACTTAAAATGCAAATCTGAACAGCCATTCCCTTACATAAAAATGTTTTCTTGAGAATGTAAAGAAACCCGTGGTGGCTTCTGGATTGCAAAACATTCCAGAGTAGCCGCAGCAAGTAACAAAAGGAAGCATTCTGCCATATTCACTTTAAAGTTTGTATTTGTACATGAATTATGTATTCTAAAAGAAATAATTATTAAATAAATACATAAATCAAATTTTTTTGGATCTCCTATCCCAGCCTTTACTACCACATGGTATCGAGGTCAGGTTCTTTAGCCTAATGTTTTATGAACTGGTCCCTATTATGTTTATGGCTTCATTTACGTCCTTCCCCTTTTTGGACTTGAAACTCTTAGTAATACACAAGTATACATACACAGTTGCCTGCTTCTTGCCTCTGCCTGTAATGCCATTTCTTTTTTCCTTTTAATGGATAATTCCTATTCATCCTTCTGCACTCTCTACTTTTGTATATATGTGTGTTATAGACCTATTTGGCAGCTGGTAACATTTATGGTTTCTTTCTCAAAAGGATGTCCTTAATTGCATAATGTAAAACACACAGTTACAAAGACAAGTACATTGAAATATAATTACTAAACTATTAAAAACAAAATTATATACAAATATCTGTAATTCATTAATTATGCATTAAATATCAAGATCTGGTGTGAGGTCTAACATCACTCTAATGTTTTTTATTTTAATTTCTGGGATATATATGCAGAATGTGCAGGTTTATTACATAGGTATACATGTGCCATGGTGGTTTGCTGCACCTATCATCCCATCATCTAGGTTTTAAGCTCCGCATGCATTAGGTATTTGTCCTAATCCTCTCCCTCCCCTTGTCCCCCATCCCCCAACAGGCCACAGTGTGTGATGTTCCCCTCCCTGTGTCCAGGTGCTGTCATTGTTCAACTCCCACTTGTGAGTGAGAACAATAAGTCTGACAATCACTATAATTTTTGTTAATTTTTTTTTTTTTTTTTTTTTTTTTTTTTTTTTTTTTTTTTTAGAGATAGGGTCTTTCTCTCTCACCTAGGCTGGAGTACAGTGGTATAATCATAGCTCACTGCAGCCTCAAACTCTTGGGTTCAAGCGATCCTCCTGCCTCAGCCTCCTGAGTGGCTGAGACTACAGGCATGTGCCACCATGCCTGGCTAGTTTTTAATTTTTTGTAGAAACGACAGTCTCACTACATTGCCCAGGCTGGTCTCAAACTCTTGGCTTCAAATGATCCTACTCCCTTGGCCACCAAAAGTGCTGGGAAAACAGGCACGAGCCACTGTACCCAGCCTCATAATTTTGATTAATGTAAGCAATATTTCATGATATCTACAATAACAGTAATTAAATTTTTTTTTTGTAAAGACGGGGTCTTACCATGTTGACCACACATGAATGCAAAACAGTGGAAATTTCTGCTGGTGACAAAGTCACAGGTATTACTAACAACACTGGCATGGGTTCTTACGTTGATAATTGAAAGAATGTTACTTTTCAATATAGGTATGTGAAAATGAAGCTGTAATCCTACCTCCCCTGACTCAAGTTCACAGACTCCTTGAGTTCTGTCCATGGAGCCCAGGTTATAAATCGTCGTTCCTGACTTAGCTGTTTCAGGCATCACCCCTTCTAGAAAGTCTTCCCTGAACCACCAGATAGAGCCAGTTGACCTCTGTGGTAGCCACCCTCCAAGGTGGCCCCAGTGATTCCTGCCACCTGATATTTTCCCTCTTATATAGTCCCTCCCACCAAAAATAGGGCCAACCCCTGTAATGACACAATGTGACTTGCAATCCTACCTTACGGAAGACATGTGGCTTCTGCCTTGTTCTCTTTTGGGTCACGTGCTGTGAGGAAAACTAGCTGCCATGTCAGGAGGACACCCAGGCAGCAGGTCCACAGGACGAGGAACTGAGGTCTCCTGCCGGTGGCCACATCAGCTTGCTAGCTAGGAGTGAGCTGTCTTAGATCCTCCAGCTCTGATCAAACCTTCAGGTGCTTGCAGTCAAGGCTGATAACTTCATTAGAGACCCTGAGCCAGACCATCCTACTAAGCCATCCTGAATTCCTGTGGTTCAGAAACTGTGTGAGACAATCAATATTCATTGCTATTTTAGGTTTGGGGGTCATTTGTTACACAGCAATCACTAATTGCAATAACTAACACATCTTTTTCTTTGTGTTTGCATAGGTAGATCACATGCTTTCCTCTAGCATAGCATTTAGTACATAGTAGTGTAATTGTCAAGGCACGCCTCTTTGTCTTCCCCTTATTGCAAGAACAATCACATTAATGACTGTGTCCAACTACGCTCATCCTGCAATCTTTAGAATCAAGTATGAAAGTCAGCATGGACCTTTGTTCACTGTGGACATTAATAAAAGTTTATTAAACATCAAAGAATTGGCAGCCACTGTTCTCCTCCCATACCTCAATAACAGCTGCTTTCTGGACATGTAATAAGGCTTGAATCAATGAATACTGCCATTATTAAATATTAGTATAGTCATTGTGGGCTCTCTGTATCTTCATTTTGTCATCTAATGGGCTAATAGTCCCTAATGAATGATAAAATCTAACATTTATTGAACATTTACTTTGTTGCAAGCACTTGCTAGAAATTATGTCATTCTACCAGTCACCCTATGAAGTAACCAAAATTATTATCCCTACTTTACAGTTGAGGCTAAGAGGTAAAACTTGCTTCCGAATCAGAGAAGTGGCAGTACTGCCCCGAAACCTACTTTCTTCTGACTCTTCATGACAGTACTATGTACTTCACAGGCTCCAAAAGAGATTTTGTGAACTTGTAAACTGCAAAATGCTGTTTCCAAACAAAGGATCCTTACTGCCCTTTGCTAGTGTGCCGTAGGTACTCTTAGAGGCCTGCAAAAGGGTAAAGAGATGAAAAGAGATTAGCATCTGGGAGAGAACTTATGCTGCCTGGGCTTATATACAGTACCTCATTGCATATCCCAGCCACCATTTAGAGAGGCTCTCCCGCCTCCATTATGCTGACAAGCACATCAAGAATGAAGGAGATGAAATTACACGGTTGTGGTTCTTCCCACAGCTAATCTTGGAGCTAGCATCCTAGTAAGAGCTGGCCACAGTGCTAGGTGTTTCAGACTGAAAAGCTAAGAACATTTCTAGCATTTGTTTAATAAAGGTAAATTAATTAGGATCTGGTTAGCCATAAAACTAGATATTAAAATAGCTTACTAAACCTAGATAACCTCTATCCCTAATAGAGATTAATATCTTGAATAAAAGACATGTGATTATAAAAACCTAGAAGAGAAGGGTCTACTCTTTTTTGAGACAGGGTCTCCCTCTGTTGGCCAGGCTGGAGGGCAGTGGTGCAATCATAGCTCACTACAGCCTCGAACTCCTGGCTTCAAGTGATCTTTCTGCCTCATCCTCCCAAGTAGCTGGGACTGATGGAAGACAGGTGAGCCCCAAATTGGGGCTTAGCCTGCAAGAGTTCTTGGCTTCACCCAAGAAAGAATTTAAGGGTAAGCTGTTAGTAGAGTAGAAGAAAACAGTTTACTGAAGCAGCAGTGTTATAGCTCCGGCAGTGTTGCAGCTCTGTGACTGCCCCTGCAGAGCAGGACTATGCCATAGGCAGAAAGTAGCAGCTCAGGGCAGTTCTGCATTCATATTTATACCTACTTTTAATTGCATGCAGATTAAGAAGCAGTTTATGCAGAAATTTCTAGGGAAAGGGTAGTAACTTCTGGGTCATTGGGTTGTTGCCATGGAAAGGGAAACTCACAGGCATTGCCATGGCAATGGTAAACTGACATGGCACACTGGTGGGCATGTCTTATGGAAAGCTGCTTCTACCCCCTCCCTGATTTAGCTAGTCCTCAATTTGGTCCAGTGTTCGAGCCCACCTCTAGAGTTGAGTGCCACCTCATGCCTTAGGACTACAGGCATGAGACACCATGCCCGGCTAAGAGAAGTGTCTTCAAAGTGAAGTACATACCTGTCTCACCCCACCTTTCCTCTTTACTAGAAAATGGACATGATGTACGGAACTTGTGCAACTATGATCCAATGAAACTTCTTTGCTTTATAAATTACCCAGTCTCAGGTATTTCTTTATAGCAGTATGAGAATGGACTAATGTGTGCCCTGACATAGGAATTAATTCACCATTAGTCCAATTCATTCAAGGCAACCCATTCCTCCTGGCCCTAGTCAAGACCTGAGCCTAGTCAAGGCTCAGCACAAATACAGCTTCCCCTGGAAGCCTTCACAGGCCCTCCAGAACCTTTGCTATGGTTTATTTATTACCCTATATGTCTCCTTATAGCATTTATCTTTATTTTAGTTGAAAAAAAATATTTTAAGTGTGTTAGTCATTTAATGTCTGTTTCACCCAACAGAATGTTAGTGACTTTAGACAGGGACCATGTCTTAGTCATCACTGTAATCCCCAGTACCTAGTAAATTGCCTGGCAAATAATAGGTGCTTAGTGAATATTTGCTGAGTGAATGACAGCTTTCTGAAGAGAAGTTTGAAATGATGCAGATACTCTATCACCTGGCATGTTCTGCTCGGAGATGCTGGTTAGCAAGCTGCAACTATAAGTGGCTTATACAGTTAAGACAAAAGTATTTCTTATAATCAGAACTCCTGACTTAGAGTGGTTTCAGGGCTGGTTAATTCCAGAACCCAGGCTCTTTTCTTTTTTTTTTTTTTCTACACAGGGCCCTGCTCTGTCATTCAGGCTGGACTGCCATGCCATGATGACTGTTCACTGCAACCTCAAACTCCTGGGCTCAAGTGATCCTCCTGCCTCAGCCTCCCAAGTAGCTGAGACTACAGGCATGCAGCACCATGCCTGGCTAATCCAGGCTCTTTTAATCTTTTCATTCTGCTATTCTCTTCAGGGCATCAGCTGGCTCCACTCATGGTTCCTAATATACTGACCTTAATTCCAAGGTGAGAAGATTATATCCAGGAGCAGAAAAACATTCCTTCCTTGTGCCCTTGCTCAAGAATGAAAGAAATCTCCCTGTACACCCTTCATTGGCCAGAATTTTGCAACACACTCATCCTTGATCATTGGCAAGGGCGATGGCATTCTGATGATCACTTTAGACTAAACCAGACTCAGTATTGAGTCCAGGAAGGAGCCCAGTTTTACCGCTTCCCTGGCCCATGAATGCAGTCATGACTGCATTGGCACAAAAGATGCTGGGTGTGTGTGCATGCGTGTGCCTGTGTGTTTGCTGATGCTGGGGTGAGAAGAGGAGTTTTATAAGCACCCAAGAATGCCTGCCATCCACCCTCACTGTGCATCAATAGGCTAGTAACATGCAGAAACTCATTAGAAGAAATATTGGCATCCAAATACTGTGTGTAGCCATGGAAGAAAAGTGCAATTTGCCTTAAAAACATTCCTATTTTTCAGGGTCATTCAGATGGCAATGGAGTGCTGATTAAATCCACTGAAGTCAGTAATTCACTGCAGACAAAAAATAAAAAAAAGGGGCCTCATAGTTACTTTCACTGTAATTCAAATATTAATGCCCTCATTTTCAGAAATTTAAAAGAAGTCAGATTACACAGATTTAGTGACTAATATAAAAACCAAAAGAAGGTGAACATTACAAGATACCAAGTCAAAATATTTACCATATAACAACAATAATAGCAGCAAGTAACATTACGTACATAGTGTTTATTTTGTGTTTCAGTGCCAGGCACTGGTAGTGGTATACTGGCATTATTTTACCTGATCACAAATACAAGGAATTCACAGGCTGCCTTGATGGTTTTAAAAATCTTTTTATAGAGCAACTGGAATATTTATATTCAATAGGCAAGAAGAGAGAAATATGTAATATATAGTACTAGAATATAACAATAATACAATAAGTATAATATATTGAGCCATTTGAAAGAACTAGGTGCAGTGGCTCACGCCTATAATCCCAGCACTTTGGGAGGCCAAGGTGGGTGGATCACCTGAGGTCAGGAGTTTGAAAGCAGCCTGGCCAACATGGTGAAACCCCATCTGTACTAAAAATACAAAAAGTAGCTGGGCATGGTGGCGGGCACCTGTAATCCCAGCTACTTGGGAGGCTGAGGCACAAGAATCGCTTGAACACGAGAGGTGGTGGTTGCAGTGAGCTGAGATCGTGCCATTGCACTCCAGCCTGGGTGACAGAATGAGACTCCATCTCAAAAAAAAAAAAAAAAAAGAACTAGATTGAGCATGGAGGTTCATATCTATCATGCCTGTAATCTAGCACTTGGGAGGCAAAGGTGGGTGGATCGCTTGAGTCTGAGAGTTTGAGATCAGCCTGGGCAACATGACAAATACCCATCTCTACAAAAATTATAAAAATTATTCAGGCATGGCGGTTCCCACATGTAGTCTAAGCTACTTGAGAGGCTGAGACGGGAGGATCACTTGAGCCCAGGAGGCAGAGGTTGCAGTGAGCCCTGACTGTACTACTGCACTCTAGCCTGGCTAATGGAGGGAGTCTCTGTCTTAAAAAGAAAAAAGAACCAATTTTTTTTATTGATTAAGGAAAGTTAGGGCATTAATAAATGTGAAAACCTTAGATGACACCAAAAAGTGTCAATTTTTGTTTGTTTGTTTTTGAGACAGAGTTTTGCTCTTGTCACCCAGGCTGGTGTGCAATGGCACAATCTTGGCTCACTGCAACTTCCACCTCCTGGATTCAAGCGATTCTCCTGCCTCAGCCTCCCAAGTAGCTGGGACTACAGGGGCCTGTCATCACGCCTGGCTAATTTTTGCATTTTTGGTAGAGACGGGGTTTCACCATGTTGGCCAGGCTGGTCCCGAACTCCTAACCTCAGGTGATCCACCCGCCTCAGCCTCCCAAAGTGCTGGGATTACAGGCGTGAGCCACTGCGCCCAGCTTAAAAGTGCCAATTGTTATTTAGAGTGAGGCAATGGTCAGCAGATCAAGGTAACCATTGGACCAGTTAGTGTCCTCTTCAATGTCACATCCCTGCCTGCCCTGCCTCTGGGGTAAGGCTGCCCCTCCAGCACTATGCAGTGTGGCAGCCCGTGAGAGGCCAGTCTTCTCCAGACTTCCCTGTTGGGAAATGGCACCACCATACTCCGAGCTCCAAATGCTACACACCCAGCAGCCAAGCTTGACCCTGTTGATTCTGTCCCAAAATGCATGAATCCCATGCATGAATATTGGGTGTTGTCTGGGAGCGTTGGCCCACATTTACTGCCTCTGGAACCCAGCATGGTGGAACGGCTGCTCTTTCAAGTGATGCTGGTTGCTAATTGCCATGGCATAAAGAAAGAGAGCTCTGGAGGGTCTCACAATGGTGATTAAATGACCTGTCGCTTCTATTCACAAAGCATTGGTGAGAGCAAGTTTCATAGCCCTACCCAACCACAAGGGGCCAAGGAAGCACAATCCTATGAAGGGACCAGAAGGCAGGCAGTTGGAACTATTCAGGAAACAGCACCAATCACCAGCTCCCCAGCCCTCTCACCATTTCAAATACCTTTGTCACCCTATTTATTTCTTTCATAGGAAACCACTATGAGAAATATCACTAACATCTTATTCATCATTTGCAGTTTTATTGTCTGTCTTCCCCTCTAGAATTGAATCTCCAACATGACACTGCTCGTCTGTCTTGTTTGTCATTATGTCTTCAGTACCCAGTGCAGTGCCTGCCACACGCTGGGAGCTCGTTCATTTACTCATTCATTCATACTACCAAATTATTGAACATATTAGTGTCCTTGAGTTAGCCTCACAAAGTGTCACAAATTGGGCAGCTTACAACTAATTTATTTTCTCATAGTTCTGAAAGTCAAAAGTCAGTCGGAAGTTAAGGTATCAACAAGGCCACACTCTGCTCCCTCTGAAGGCTCTAGAAGGTAATCTTTCCTTGCCTCTTACAGCCTCTGGTGGCTCCCAGGCTCATTGCCGCATCACCCCAATCTCTGCTTCCATCTTCAATGGCTTTTCCTTTCTGTTGCTTAAAAAGATACTTGTCATTAGATTGAAGGCCTACTCAGGTAATCCAGGGTGATATCATCTAAGATTCTTAACATAATTATATCTTCAAAGACCTTTTTTTTCCCCCAAGTAAGATCACATTCACAGGTTCTAGGGCTTAGGATGTGGACATGCATTTTGGGGGGGGCCACCATTCAACTCACTGTAAGCACCTACTATGTGCCACACACCATTCTAAGTGCTGAGATGACCACAGTGAACGATATGAATACAAATCCCTGACCTTATAGAGCTGAAACATTAGTGGGTGATTCAGAAAGCAGGCACAATAAACACGAGAAGTCTACACTGTGTTGGGAAATGAGTTCTATGGAAAACAATAAGGAAAGAAGGGGAGGTAGGGAGTTTAAGAGACAGGCTTCTAAATGTAAATACAGGGGGCAAGGGAAGGCTTCGATGGGAAGGTGATATTCGAGTAGACCCTGGAGAAAGGTGAGCTTGAAGATGATTTGTCACATAAACAAACAAAAGATTGACTCTTGAACTGCGAGTAGCACATTCTTTCTCCTTCTGGTTTTACAGTCATTATCTTGCTCTGATTAATACAAATCGTGAATCTTGAAAAAGCCCCTTCTCCTGCTTCAGGTGAGGTGTTAGGTTATTAAATGAGATAACACTGTACTGGTCCCTTTAGACTTCCAGCAACCCTGTAAGGACGATGAACTCCCAAGAAGCAAGAACCAAGCTGAGATCTTCTGACTGCATCAGTGGTTTTCAAAGCACAGTCTCCTGACCCCACAACATCAGCATCACCCTGGAGCTTGTTAGAAATGCAATTCTGGGCCAGGCACAGTGGCTCACACCTGTAATCCCAGCACTTTGGGGGGCCAGGATGGGAAGATCATTTGAGGCCAGGAGTTCAAGACCAGCCTAGGCAACAAAGTGAGACCTTGTCTCTACTTTAAAAACAAGACAATTAGCTGGGTGTGGTAGCATGTGCCTATAGTCCTAGCTACTTGGGAGACTGAGGCAGGGGGATGGCATGAGCCCAGGAGTTCGAGGCTGCAGTTAGCTATGATTATACCACTGCACTCCAGCCTAGACAAGAGAGTGAATACTCTCTCTTAAAAAAACAGTGCAATTTTGGGGACCTCACTCAAGACCTGCTGAAGCCCATTCCAGAAACTCTGCCTTTTTATACACCAATTTGTCCCTGTGAGTCTGACCCCAAATTCCCAGAAAGTCTTGGACACTCAATCCAAATCCTACCTCCTTTCCTACCACCTCTAGCCAAGAATCTGAGACATATTTATCTCAGACAGGTCCCCAAGTAGTAGGCCAAAGCCAGCTTGCCCTAGCCCTGAAGTCCTGAATGGTAGACTGCTCACCAGGGGGAAATAAAGATTTTTAAATTAAGCATCTCCTTAGTAAGAATCTTCCTTGAAATAATAGGCTGCTAGATCCTAGCAACATCCGAATTAGAGAATCACATTAGAGAATCTCATTAGAGAATCACAACATGCAGGAAAAAGGTTTTCACCTCTCTGTCTTCAGAGGCCATCCACTGCCTTTCTCATTTACTCATCAGCTAGTATTAGCTGAGTACCATGCTTATGAAGTTCCAGACACTGTTCAGTCCTAAAAATGGACACTGAACCAAACATACACAATCCCTATGATTTTGGAGTTTGCAGCCCAGAGAAGTAGACAGATAATTCATCAGATAGACAAACACATCACCAGATTGTGAAATGTGCTATGAAGAAATGAACAGGGTTCAGAGGTGGAGAACAACCTGAGGACTTTATTTTTTTTAATTATCCAAAGCAGTGGTTTTATTTATGACCTCTTTTTCTATTTTTAATTTTCATGGGTACATAGTAGGTGTATGTATTTATGAGATGTTTTGGTACAGGCATGCAGTGTGAAATAAGTGCATCATAGACAATGGAGTATCCATTCGCTCAAGCATTTATCCTTTGAGTTACACACAAGCCAGTTAAATTCTTTGAGTTGTTTTAAAATGTACAGTTACTATTGACTATCATTGCCTTGTTGTGCTATCAAATGGTCAGTCTTATTTGTTTTATTTTTTTTTCATACCCATTAACCATCACCACCTTCATCCTAGCCCCCGAGTCCTCTTCTTAGCCTCTGGTAATTATCCTTGGAGAGGCTTTTTAGAGCAGGTGGTTCAGGAAGGCCCTACTCACTGATGTCCTGTTGTTTGCTGCAAGAACACATGAATGAATGAGTGAATGGTTCTTCACTTTATTCTCACACACATTTCAAGTGGTCTGCTTTTCCAGTTTTTATTTTTCCTTTATCTGGTTTCTGAGAATCACTTATTTGAGAAGCACAGGGCAATGGATGTCCCCACTTCAGCTATAATGGTGTTAACTCAGGCATCCCTCCTTGAACTGGCGGATCAATGACCAGTGCAGAGGGGAACTCAACTGCTTTGATGATCCCTGTTAAACATACACACACACGCAAACACACACGCAAAGAGAGAGAGAGAGAGAGAGAGAGAGAGAGAGAGAGATTTAGAGAGAGACCGAGTGAGTTATTCCGGCATAAAAAGAGAAATGTGGATTCATTTTGGTTGAAAAAAATTACTTTGCAATAATTTGTTTTTATTTTCCTATAACTCCTGCTGTTTCAATGTGACTTTTAAAAAAAAAAAAACATATATATGCTTAGTGGAAAGGGCAACTTTCCCAACTTATCTTAACGGGTGTCCCTGAGTCACAGTTAGCAGTAGACAGTTCAGCCTTTTTCACGAAGCACTGCTTTCAAGGTTAGCCTACCTGGGTTATATCCCTGAGTCAACATTTAATCAGCAGCATGGCTGTAGGCAATTTAACCTTTCACCGCCTTAGTGTCTTCAGGTGTAGAATACTACCACCTGCTAAGTAGGGTAATTTAAATTGCATATGTAAAGTACACCGCGGTTTCCTGGGGGTGATATTCATTCTACTTCTCCTAACTCCTTCAGGTAGGCTTTGCACTACCTGGGGCACCAAAGGCCACAAAAGCAATCAAGGCAGCAAATGGCCACAACTGCCAGCAAAACAGGTCTATTCATCAAAACCCACAGGGCAAGAAAATGACTGCCTTGTCCCAGTTCCCAGTTCTAGGGTTCCTTCTATGCGGCTCTGACTCTAGGTAGAACTGGTGAGAAAAACTATTTTATTTTATCCTATTTTGAGACAGGGTTTTGCTCTTGTTGCCCAGGCTGGAGTGCAATGTCACGATCCGGGCTCACTGCAACCTCCGCCTCCCAGGTTCAAGCAATTATCCTGCCACAGCCTCCCAAGTAGCTGGGGTTAGAGGTGCCCGCCACCATGCCCAGCTAATGTTTTGTATTTTTGTAGAGACGGGATTTCACCACGTTAGTCAGGCTGGTCTCGACTTCCTGACCTCAGGTGATCCACCCACCTCGACCTCCCAAAGTGCTGGGATTACAGGCATGAGCCACTGCGTCCGGCCGAGAAAAACTATTCTTGAAAATGCCTTGCCTTGCTTATTTACCTTGCCTGCATCTGCGAAGACAATGAGTCTAAATTAGCTTCCTGGGAAGCTTGATGCAACCAGCTTTTGTTTTTTTGTCTTGTTTTGTATTTTTAAGAGACCAGGTTTGGCTCCGTCATCCAGTTTGGAGTGCTGGAGTGCAGTGGCATAATCACAGCTACAGCTCTCTGCAGCCTCGACTTCTGGAACTTAAGTGATCCTTCCATTTCTGGAGTAACTGGGATTACAGGCACGAACCACCATGCCCACCTAATTAATTTTTTTTTTAGAGACAGGGTCTGGAGTTCCAGGCTGGTCTGGAACTCTGGGCCTCAAGCAATCCTCCCAAGTTACTGGGATTACATGTGTGAACCACCATGCCTGGCTGCAACCAGTTTTAATTACAGCAATGACTTCCTCATTTTTTCTTGAATAAATCTCCCCCCAGCCCAAATCCCTCTTGGCTCCTCAGGCAAAGCTAACAAGACCATGTATTGCTCCATCGGTAGTTCTGCTGCCTCATTTGCAGGTGGACAATTTTCTTCTCTTTTTTTTTTTTAAAACAAAGTCTCACTTTGTTGCCCAGGCTGGAGTGCAGTGGTGTGATCTGGGCTCACTGCAACCTCCGCCTATCAGGTTCAAGCGGTATCTTCTGCCTCAGGCTACCAAGTAGCTGAGATTACAGGAATGCACCACCATGTCTGGCTAATTTTTGTATTTTTAGTAGAGACAGGGCTTCATCATGTTGGCCGGGCTGGTCTCGAACTCCTGACCTGAAGTGATCTGCCCACCTCGGCCTCCCAAAGTGCTAGGATTACAGTAGTGAGTCACTGCCCCTGGCGTAGATGGACTTTTCATTCATATAGTAGGAAGATGAGGATGGGCCCCCTATACAAGGCAGTTTATCTCAGTTGAACCCTCTGCTGTTGTTGGATGATTTTGAACTGTATTCTTCGTTCATCTTAATCTTCTTTTCTCGAGATTTAAACAACTTGAATTGTCAAAAACCAAAATTACAACAAATTTAAAGATCTCAACTGACTTGATGATTCTAGGATAGGGCAATAGTTCGTTCCATAAAACAGAATTAGTGTTCCAGTGAGCCAAGCAGAGGAGGCTGGCCTTGTAAGACACAGTAACGGTGCAGAAAACAGAAACCAAGAACAGAGTGTGTACAGAGTGCATTCATTACTTTTCAAAGTTACTTTTTCTTGAAAACCACGTACAAGAAGACAGAACAATAGAAAAATTAAAGATTTAAACGGGCCTGTTTGGGCAATTGGCTATTTTTCCTTCTCCTGATTTCTAGAAAGGTCAGACAAAAACTTAGTTTAGGTTTGGTGACACGAAACTTTAACATGCGTGACTCCATTTTGATTTTTAATCAGTTCCGTTGGGGCCTTGTGCAGGAGCTTAGTCCAAAACAATGGTCTCCTATAATTTTTATCTAACGGAAGTCTCCTCCATATTATTGTAGCAGAATGCAGGTCCAGGTGCTCGCCATTTGCAGAGTTCAATTAACAAGAGCAAGCTCTGGTAGAAAGAAAGTGACTTTATTAACCAAAACTATTGAAGGGGAAGCAGCTGGACTCCTATCCAAAGTAACTGCTTCAGTTGTGGTTGAGTGGGAAGGCATGGGTTTTAAAAAGGGAAAACTTGATAAGGAAGGCATGCAAGAATTGGGCTGAGTACAATGTCCTCGTGTCTTGTTCTGGTGGCCACCTTGGGTCCCAGTCCACCTGGACATCAGGCTGACGTCATCTCAACAATGGCCGGGTTGTTAATTCGCCACCTTGAAGCCATCTCTGGAACTGTGCAACTGGGTCTCCAGGCTTGGTCTGTTTCAAGATTAGCTCCTAGAACTTCTAAGAAGACACATAATTAGATACTAGCATACAGTTAGATAAATGTGAAGAGAGTGAGAATGGGAGGTCCGTGGAGTCTATTTCAAGGATAAGGAAAGGCTGGGCGCGGTGACTCACGCCTGTAATCCCAGCACTTTGGGAGGCCGAGGCGGGCGGATCACGAGGTCAGGAGATCGAAATCATCCTGGGTAACACAGTGAATCCCCCTCTCTACTAAAAATACAAAAAATTAGCCGGGCGTGGTGGCGGGCGCCTGTAGTCCCAGCTAGTCGGGAGGATGAGGCAGGAGAATGGCGTGACTTCTGGGAGGCGGAGCTTGCAGTGAGCCAAGATCATGCCACTGCCCTCCAGCCTGGGCGATGAGCGATACTCCGTCTCAAAAAAAAAAAAAAAAAAAAGATAAGGAAAGGCTTCTGCAGTTTGCCTCAAGCTTATATCTTGAAATCCAAGAGAAAGGAAAAATAAAAATGTTTAATGCATTTTGAAGCTAAGTTGTCCAACTACATTATGTCTATTTTCCCAAATACCTTTTCCTGCACTATGTATTGATTCATTGTATTCATTTTAATACCTAAGCCCTTACACTACATTACAATAGTTAACCTTTTCATCAATATTATCCAATGCTTGGCACAGAATAGAACACTAAGCAGAAAGTAACCATTGTCATTATTACTATTGGGACTATCATTATACATGTAAAAAGACTCTTCCTGTGTTCAAACTGTAGACAAGATTGAATGACAAGAGGTTGTCTTTACACCAATATTTAATATTTGAGTCTCCAGAGTCACCATATTACAACCAGGAGAATTAAAACATGATATGAAATTGCTCAGTAATGAATTTATCACCTATAAAATACCCATAAAACATAACTTTGTTATTGACAGTAACTTCTGATTTATCCCTGCCCATTATCAATATATTTTTGATTGTCCTAACTGATAGTCAACATCTAGCAATACAATGCAAGTACAGTCAATGTAAATAGATTGCAAAGCCGAAGTGCAAATCTTTCCAAAAGCATGGGCTTTCATAAAATCAGTTTGGGTGATTTCAGAGAACTGCTTCAATTATAGGCAAAGGAACTCACAGAAGAAAACTAGTTAACAAATGAGTTGGATAAAGGACGACGATGGACACTTAAATATATTTGGATTAAAGGGTTAGAAAAGAGTCACTGTCAAAAATTCATGAAGTTCTTGACTATTCTTTTGTCAACAGGACCCTCTTTGTGATGTTAATGTTCAAGTCAATTGTGAAGAGTAAGGTCTGTAAAGCTGTCACACAATTTTGTAGAAAAAATTAACCATTTCCTCCAAAAAATTAACATTTTATTCATTTTTTATTCTAAGATTTAGTGAAGTTGCTATTATGAACTACATTTGGATAAATATAAAATAAACTTACTCTCATAATTTATAGCTACAGCTTTTCATCTATTCATAATAAAATTTTGATCACATTTTAGTAGGGTGTAAGGCCTTACTTTAAGAGAACAAGTAATTTTACGATAATGAAGATCTCTAGTATGTTAAAATGATGGTGCTGCTGGGCATGGTGGCTCAAGCCTGTAATCCCAGCACTTTGGGAGGCTGAGGACAGGCAGATCACTTAAGGTCAGGAGCTCCAGACCAGCTTGGCCAACATGGCGAAACCCCATCTCTACTAAAAAAATACAAAAATTAGCCAGCCATGCTGGTAGTGCATTCCTGTAATCCCAGCTACTTATGAGGCTGAGGCAGGAGAATCATTTGAATCCAGGAGGCGGAGGTTGCAATGAGATTGCACTCCAGCCTGGGTGACAGAGTGAGACTCCATCCCAATAAAAATAAAATAAAATGATCATGAGGATTGTCTGGAAATGTGGTTGATGCTTTGTAATATGATGCCAAGTGTTAAAAAATGGGCACCAAAGACTATAAAAAATTATAATCATGTAAAAATATTTATATATTTGAATAAGAACTAAAGACAAAAATTAAGATGTATGTTAGTGTGGGAGAATTAAAGATAATTTCCTTCCTTCCTTTTCTTCCCCCCAGTATACTTTATTCTTAATAACTTTTGGCTAAATAAACAGTAAGCTCAGAAGAATAATCCAATATGTATTTGAGCCATTTAGTCTGGAATCTTAGCAATGCTGCATGTTCATTAAGGACATCCCTGACTTAATTCTCAAAGGGTATAAATGACAGCCTCCAATGTGGCCTCCAGTGACCCTACCCCCTGGTATTCATGCCCTTGAAATCCCCTCTTCTTGCATGTGGGCTGGACTGACATTCTTATGTGAAGAACATGGAGAAGAAATGGGATAGTACATCCAAGATTAGGTCATAAAAAGTCTGTGGCAGCTACTCGGGAGGCTGAGGCAGGAGAATTGCTTGCACCCAGGAGGTGGAGGTTGCAGTGAGCTGAGACCACGCCACTGCACTCAAGCCTGGGCTATAAGAGCAAAATTCTGTCTCAAAAAAAAGTCCGTGGCTTCAATCTTGGGGGCTCTGCCTCTCTGGCTTTTTGCTCAGTTACTCTGAAAAAAGCCAGGTGTCACACTGTAAGCTGTCCTACAGAGAGGCCCATGTCACAAAGAACTTATGTCTTCTGCCAAGAGCCACATGAGTGAGCTTGGAAACTGAGTCACACTCTGCACATTCATGTACACAAGGGCTCCAGTTAAGCCTTGAGATGACTAAAGCCCTTGCCAACACCTTTATTGCCACCTTGTGAGAGGCCCAGAGCCAGAAGCAGTTTTTTTCTCATATACTAAGCACATACAACTTTAATCAACACCCTCCAGAAAAAGTACCAAATGTACAAGTCAAAAAAAGTAGTTGACACAAGCTTAACTAATATCAGCTGCTTTTGTATACAGCTGTATACCCTCAAAAAAGCTATCCTATATGCATATACAAAAGTTGTTTACATAGGTCTGTACAGAACATTAATGAAAAGGCAAAGAAAACAGTGACATCATAAATGCTATTTTAAGCTACTAATTTGTGGGGGCCATTTGTTACACGACAATCAATAACACATATAAAAATTTATATTCAAATCTCTGGAAGTTTGTCCTTTAAGAGGACATGAAATTTACTTGATTTACTAATACCGTGCCTAGAAACATTTTTAACATCTCTGGATTGAGAGTTACAGAACCGCTTTTTAGAAATAAAGAAAAACAAGAAGTTGGAGTGTATCATCAAGGAAGGGATTATTAGCTAAACGATTCGGGTGGCCTCTAGGAGCTGAAAAAGGCAAGGAAGGCCAGGCACAGTGGCTCAGGCTTGTAATCCCAGCACTTTGGAGGCTGAGGTTGGGGGTCACCTGAGATCAGGAGTTTGAGTCGAGCCTGGCCAACATGGTGAAACCCTGTCTATACTAAAAATATAAAAATTAGCTGGGTGTGGTGGCATGCACCTGTAATCCCAGCTACTTGGGAGGCTGAGGCATGACAATCTCTTGAACCCAGGAGGTGGAGGTTACAGTGAGCCAAGATGGCGCCACTGCACCCCAGCCTGGGTGACAGAGTGAGACTCTGTCTCAAAAACAAAAACAAAATAAAAAGGCAAGGAAACAAATTCTCCCCTCAGAATTTCAGAAGGAACCAACCTCACTGACACCTTGATTTTAGCCCAAGGAGACCAACTTTGGACATCTGACCTCCCAAACCATAAGATAATAACTTTGTGTTGTGTGACATCAGTGAGTTTGTGGCAAGTTGTGACAGCAGTGATGGGAAGCAAATAATAAAGCTGATTAAGCTTTAACAGGGCAACAGTTTCCTCATCCATAAAATGAGGATATTAACAGTGGCTGCCTCCCAGGGCTCATGTGAGGATACGGAGTCAATGTGCTTGTAGTTCATAGATGGCTCCTGCACGAGCTCTGAGGGCGTGAACTCCATTCCAGGCCTTTTTCTAGTCAATGGGCTGTGGTCTTCCTCCATCAGTGTCCCATAGGAAAAAATAGCCCTCCAGAAAATTATTGCAGTGGCTATTTTCTCATTCTTCCCAAAGATGGCACAGTGATGATACCTTAGATACATAGAGAAGAAGTTAATTCATTTCATACTTTGGGATGTAAGAGTTAAAGTAAGAGGAGAGAAACATGAAAAGTGACTTAACAGTCAAAGACAGGTTTACTCTCCAAAACCAAAGAACTCTTCATGCCCTCCTCAGCAGGAACTAGCCAGAAAGAACACACTATCCCTCATCCTTTTTATAACTATAGGGACTGGATTGACAGAGCAGGGGCGTCGCCATTTTGGACAAACTCTGCCATTTTAAGTTTCTCTTGACTAAAAAAAAAAAAAAAAGCCTAAATCTAGCCCCAAAACATCAGCCTAATGGCTAATGTCAGCATAACCAGAAACATTCCAGCCCTAAGATAAACCCTCCTCCAACCAGAAATATGCCAACCCCAAGACAGCCTCCCCTCTGACCAGTGACATTCCAACGCTGTAATAAACTTTCCCTCACATAGAAACATTCTGAACCTACGATAAGCTCCCCACTTCCTAAACCCTTAAATATCCTTAGTCTGTAAAAGGGAATGTTCCTGACCAAAATTGGACAGAAGCCCTGTTTATCTTGGAGAATAAACCTGTTTTTAACTGTTAAGCCGCTTTTCGTGTTTCTTTCCTCTTTCTCTAACTCTTATAAGGGGTATAGGGGTTTATTCTCTCACTAATACCATTTGAGAAGGGTTGGATAGAAGATGTGGAGATGAACAAGGTGCCCTGTTCTAATATGCCCACAGTTAAAGAGGTACAGGTGGAGTATTTCTAATTGGAAATGCTTGGGACTAGAAGGGTTTCAGATTTTTTTTTTATTTTGGAATATTTGCATATATATAATGAGATATTGCGGGGATGGGACCCAAGTCTAAACATGAAATATATTTAGGTCTCATATATACTTTATACACATAGCCTGAAGCTAATTTTATAGAATATTTTAAATAATTTTGTGCATGACACACATACGATCCATCATAGGAGGTCACCTATGGAATTTTTCACTTATGGCATCGTGCTGGCACTCAAAAAGTTTTAGAGTTTGGAGCATTTTGGATGTAGGGATGCTCAACCTGTAACATAACTAACTGAACAGTTTGATTAAAGAAAAAAAGAAGGCTGGGTGAGGTGGCTCATGCCTGTAATCTCAGCACTTGGGGAGGTCAAAGTATGGGAATTGCTCGCACCCAGGAGTTTGAGCCCAACCTGGGCAACATAATGAGACCTCTGTTTCTATCAAAAGGGAAAAAAAATGACTTCCAAATTGCTGGGGCCCCAAAGCTCATGGAGGTGGGGCGATGGAGCGGATTCTAGATTCTAGGCTCCACCCCACTCTGAATGAATCAGTCTCCAAGGGAGGGTTCTGATACATTGAAAAATGATTTTTACCTTGAGATGCTTAACTGAAGTCTGCTGGGGCTAAAGGACAACCTTTTCCCCGCCCACAAGGCCTAGGGTATATAAAGGGTAATTCAAAGGGGCTTGTTTCATACAACTTTGAATTAAAAAAGAGGGGATCAAGGGTACATTAAGGGGGATGTGCCACAGATAGGAGATGTGTTTTCCTTTAAGATTGTTCCTGAGAATACTAACTTGAGTGTTTAGAAAGAATACTTAGAAGGAAAGTGATAATGTAAAACTACGAACTAGCTAACTACAAACAGCTACAAGAAGTTCTGCTGCAGAAAACAAATGCAAATTTGCAGTAGGCTCAATAAGGGCAAAGGGAATTGAGGAGAGTGGAAAATACTTGCTGTTTTCTTTGCTTCTTTGACTTATTTTTTGGTTGGTTGTAAGTGGGAAAACTTGAATCTGTCTTCCCACTCCCTTTGTCTGCAGGTTCACCTTTAGCTTGGAAGGAATAAAAAACTCGCCAAAATTTCCTAAGTTGTAGAATAGAAATAGTCACCTCCAAAGATCATTAGAACAATCAAGAACAAACATTTCACAAACCTAGTAATAGGTAGACAATGCAGGGTTTATCTTACCTCTCTTCTCTACTTTTCTTTCCTGAAGGTTAAAAACTGCCCAAACTTAAACTGTGCCAGCTACACTGAAATACTGAGCAGTACGAAATTACCTAGTAGCAATGTTAGGGGAGAAGGGGATATTCCAGGAGAACTCCAGAAAAGTCAGCAAGCTTGTTCCCAATGTCTGGCCATGGAAGATCGGAGCAGAAGACTTACTTGAAATGGTTCCTATGATACTGTTTTTCTTCAGGAAGTGTACTTAGATTCTATTCAGTGTGGTTATGAACCAGCAGGATTTGCATCACCTGGGCAGCTAGTTAGAAATACAAATTTTAAATTAGCTGGGCCTGGTGGTGCATGCTGATAGTCTCAGCTACCTAGGAAGTTGATGTGGGATGATTGCTTGAACCTGGGAGGTTGAGGCTGTAGTGAACCAAGATTCTCCACTGTGGAGTTACCTTTTTTTTTCCTTTGTCTGTTGACAAAGGTTCTTTCTTTGACCAAGCTTTAACCGGGCTTCTCTAAACCTTTTCCACCTACATCAAACAACATCATAGAGGATTGTTTGAAAGAATACTTAGAACGAATTTTTTGACTTTTGGGCTTCCATTTTCACCTCTGCATTGTCCAATTTGGGCAGGAATCCTGCTATGTCAGTTTGCCAGAATCCCCCATCCTGGAAATCTGATCTGGTCTTTGCTCCTCCGCTATCCCCAGGTGATACCTATTCTGATCTGCTTGCAGCAAGAATTCTGTTAGGTTTATGCAGAATACTCTTACCCTGAATGGTTTTTTCCCCCTTTTTTTTCTTTTTTTTTTGAGATGAAGTCTCGCTCTGTTGCCCATGCTGCAGTGCAGTGGTGTGATCTCGGCTCATTGCAACCTCCACTTCCTGGGTTCATGCAAGTCTCGTGCCTCAGCTTCTCAAGTAACTGGGATTACAGGTGTTTGACACCACGCCAGGCTAACCTTTGTATTTTTAGTAGAGACAGGGTTTCACCATGTTGGCCAGGCTGGTCTTGAGCTCCTGACTTCAAGTAAGCCACTCACCTCTGCCTCCCGAAGTGCTGGGATTACAGGCATCAGCCACTGTGCCCAGCTGACCCTAGATATTTTCTGTTAGTAATTTCTCATCCTCTGATTCCCTCACCCTCAAGGAGTCAAGGGATAGATCCTTAGCTATAAATCCCCACTTTTTTTCTTCTTGTATTAGGAGTTGAGCTCAACCTTCATTGCAAAACCCCATTGCTGTGGTTTCTATACCTACTGCAATGGTCCTATATAAAGTCTGCTTTCCTGTTCTTTAACAAGTGTCAAGAATTTTTTTTCTTTAACATATGCTGTAGCTTTTAAAAGGAAGTTACTGTGCATGGTCCACACTTGAGTGCGGAGTCATGTGACTTTCAGAGTGAAATAGATACATATATTACCTGGAATTGGTCTAGTTATTCTTAAATATACTTTTGTTTCTATTACAACTCCTTCAACATCATAGAGGATTGTTTTTTGGATGAAAGAATGAGAAAATGTTATTGGAGTTAGCATTTTCTGTCATGTATGTATTTCTCCTAATCCACAATACATAAGGGACTTCTTTGAACTGTGGAAGCCTTATGAGGCTGTAGGCCTTCACGGGCAGAAACCACGCTTAGCTGCCTTTGTGTGATAGGGTTGGGCAAATTTGAAAATATGGAATGTGCCATTTTACTTGGGTTTTTTTTGGCATTTCAACCCAAGTTTGATTCTCAATTTTCTAGTTTCAATATTCTTATAAAACATGACAGTTACATAATAGTATAGAATCTTACTGTTATGTAAGAAACTACCACAGGGGAAACTGAAGATCACAAAAAGAGGAGGGTTGCAATCAGAAAAAAATGTTAAAAAGCTCCTTAGGGGGGTAATGGAAAAAAAATGTTTGAGAAACATTGCTCTCAGATGATGGGTAACATGGGAGGGCCTAGGAGAGTCTGCTTAAAATAGATTGCCAAGACTGAGGTGTTCAAGAACATCAGATCTAGTCCTGTTTGCCTATTTGAGAGATGAGAAAACATCCAGAAAGATGTTGACGTTTCCATTCAGCAAATTTGTGGCAGGCCTAGTACAAGAGGTGAGAGTTTCTGAGACCAAGAACTAGTTCTCCTTCCAATTTACTCTTCAGCTGCAATCGAGCATATACCAAATGGCCCCAGGCTGGAGTGCAATGGCAGGATCTCGGCTCACCGCAACCTCCGCCTCCCAGGTTCAAGTGATTCTCCTGCCTCACCCTCCTTAGTAGCTGGGATTACAGGCATTTGCCACCATGCCTGGCTAATTTGGTATTTTTAGTAGAGGCGGGGTTTCTCCATGTTGGACAAGCTGGTCTCAAACTCCCAACCTCAGGTGATCCGCCTGCCTTGGCCTCCCAAAGTGCTGGGATTATAGGCATAAGCCATCACACCCGGCCTACTGCTGAGTAGTTTTTGATAAAAAAAAAAAAAAACCTCTGTGCTTTTTTTCTCAGCTGAGGCTGAGACCAGAGCGTGGTGGCACATGCCTGTAATCCCAGCTACTCGGAAGGCTGAGGCAGGAGAATTGCTTGAACCTGGGAGGCAGAGGTTGCAGTGAGCAGAGATCACAGCATTGTACTCCAGCCTGGGCAACAAGAGCGAAACTCTCTCAAAATTATCAAAAAAACAACTATGTTGTCATATTAGAACTGCTTTACTAATAAACCCAAATGGTCAGTGACTAAGAAAAGTTTTCTTGTCTATGAATAAACCATGCAATAGAGCAAGCATATATATAAGAGCAGAGGGAGAAAAATAGAATCCCCGAAATACCTAGAATTTTAACTGAGCAGTACATTGACGTGCAGTATGGATCGTTAAATACAAGTGAGGAAAAGCCCCAGATCTCCCTCAATAATAAACAGAATGAAACAAAGGCAGTCATCTGGGCTTCCATGTAGACCCAAGGTTGGCGATCCATGGTCCGTAGGTCAAATCTGCCTGCTCCCTGTTTTAGTAAAGCTTTTGGAACTGAGCCACAATTATTTGCTTGCATATTATCTATGTTTGCTTTAGCCCTGCAACTCCCTCTTGGAAGGAGATAGCCTCTACTGCTTAAGAAATGGAATATAATCAGACCCTTTCTGATTTCAGGATTTTAAAAGGAAAAGCTGGCCGGGCACAGTGGCTCATGCCTGTAATCCCAGTATTTTGGGAGGTTGTGGCAGGTGGATCACAAGGTCAGGAGTTTCAAGACCAGCCTGGCCAAGATGGTTGAAACCCTGTCTCTACTAAAAATACAAAAATTAGCCGGGCGTGGTGGCAGGTGCTTGTAATTCCAGCTACTCAGGAGGCTGAAGCGGGAGAATTGCTTGAACCTGGGAGGCAGAGGTTGTATGGAATGAGACCACTACTTCTCCTGTTGTCCTTCCCAGCTTCTCCACAGCCTCCCCTTTTCCCTAGTTTATAAGACCAGGAGAAAAGGGAGAAAGCAAAAAGTTGGAAAGAAACAGAAGTAAGATAAATAGCTAGGTGACCTTGGCGCCACCACCTGGCCCTGGTGGTTAAAATAATATTAACCCCTGACCAAAACTACTGGTGTTATCTGTAAATTCCAGACATCGTATGAGAAAGCACTGTAAAACTCTTTGTTCTGTTAGCTGATGTATGTAGCCCCCAGTCACGTTTCCCACGCTTGCTTGATGTATCATGACCCTTTCACATGGACCCCTTAAAGTTGTAAGCATTTAAAAAGGCCAGTGATTTCTTTTTTGAGGAGCTCTGCTCTTAAGACGCGAGTCTGCGGACGATCCCGGCCAAATGATAAACCTCTTCCTTCTTTAATCCGGTGTCTGAGGAGTTTTGTCTGCGACTCATCCTGCTACATTTCTTGGTTCCTTGACCGGGAAGCGAGGTGATTAACGGTCGGTTGAGGCAGCCCCTTAGGCGGCTTAGGCATACCCTGTGGAGCATCCCTGTGGGGGACTCCGGCCAGCTTGAGCGACGTGGATCCTGAGAGCGCTCCGGGGTAGGCAATTGCCCGGGTGGAACACCTCGTCAGAGCAGTGCGTGGCAGGCCCCCGTGGAGGATCAACGCAGTGGCTGAACACCGGGAAGGAACGGGCACTTGGAGTCCGGACATCTGAAACTTGGTAAGAACGGTCTTTGGAACTTGCCCACTCCATTTGAGTGGAAGCGTGGCCTGATCACCCACGGCGTGCCTGTACCGGCACTTTGGTTTTTGTTTTTGACTTGACTTGAATTGCTTGATACTTTGGTTTTGGTTTTGACCTGGCTTGGATTTCTGGATACTCTGATTTTGGTTTTGATTTTGGTTTGGTGTAAACTGAAAAAGTGTGTGTGTGCCCTTTTTACCCGTTCTTTGTTCTGTGGTGTGCGTGTGGTGTGAGCTTGGTGTTTTGTCTCGAGGAAACATGGGTCAGACACAAAGTAAGCCTACTCCGCTAGGAACTATGTAGAAAAATTTTAAGAAGGGATTTAATGGAGACTATGGGGTTACTATGACACCAGGGAAACTTAGAACTTTGTATGAAATAGATTGGCCAACATTAGAAGTGGGTTGGCCATCAGAAGGAAGCCTGGACAGGTCCCTTGTTTCTAAGGTATGGCACAAGGTAACTGGTAAGTCAAGACACTTAGACCAGTTCCCATACATAGACACTTGGTTGCAGCTGGTGCTAGACCCCCCACAGTGGTTAAGAGGGCAGGCAGCAGCAGTGGTAGTAGCAAAGGGACAGATAGCCAAGGAAAGATCCCCTTTCTCCCACCGAGGGAAATCAACTCCTGAAGTTCTGTTCGACCCAGCATCAGAAGATCCATTGCAGGAGATGGCACCAGTGATCCCAGTCGTGCCCTCCCCTTATCAGGGAGAGAGGCTCCTCACTTTTGAGCCCACAGTGCTTGCACCTCCGCAAGACAAACATATCCCTAGGCCACCCAGAGTAGACAAGAGAGGAGGTGAAACCTCTGGAGAAACCCCTCCCTTGGCAGCTCGTTTAAGACCCAAAACTGGGATACAAATGCCCCTGAGAGAGCAGCGGTATACTGGGATAGATGAGGATGGTCACATGGTGGAGAGGCGTGTTTTTGTGTACCAGCCCTTCACCTCTGCCGACCTTCTCAACTGGCAAAACAATACCCCGTCCTATACTGAAAAGCCACAAGCTCTAACTGATTTGCTCCAAACTATTATCCAGACCCATAACCCCACTTGGGCTGATTGCCACCAGTTGCTCATGTTCCTCTTTAACACAGGTGAAATGCAGAGAGTGCTCCAAGCAGCAACTAAGTGTCTAGAGGAACGTGCACCGGCTGATTACCAAAACCCCTAAGAGTATGTAAGGACCCAGTTACCAGGAACCGACCCCCAGTGGGACCCAAATGAAAGAGAGGATATGCAAAGGCTAAACCGATATAGGGAAGCTCTCTTGTAAAAGGATTAAACTCAAAATCCCATATTCGGTTGATTTTATGTTGATGGTCTACAGGCTTTAGCTATGTAGGGGGCTCTCTGGAGACCAAAGAAAATCTAGTCTATAGTGCTCATGTTTAAGGTGATGGAGACTCCCAAAGACAGTTGTCTCAAGGACTTTTGTCAAGACAAATGTGGAAGCCAGACTGACAACCGTCGTTTTCTTTGGGCTATGTAAATGTCTGTGGTTTCTAGACAGCTTGTGAGGCTGAAAACGTGACACTTCAAAAAGATATTTCAGATACAGTGGGTGAGCTAAGTAAATGTTTTGCAATGAAAGGTTTGGCTCTCTTTTGTCCGGCTTGAGAGTGGCTAATGTATATGCCATCTCTGTTTGGACAACTCTGGTTATCGCCTAATGTGTGTGAGATGACAGATGGGTTTCTAGAAGAGAGGATAATGGATTCTTTGATCGATTTCATTTGAAATGATCAATGTTTGTCCAAAGATGGAGCACTTCTGGGTTAGTGCCAAGGCATGTTCACTGCATTACACAAATTGATTAGAGAAGTCATAGTCCCTCACACTTGCTAAGCTGACGATTCAGCCTGTCAAGGTGCCATTGTGCAGTCGGGTGGGAAGGTCACCTTGGCCATAAATCCTGGAAGCCACCTGGCTGAGAGCTCTCTGTAAACAGCTTTCCAGAGGCAGAACTGACTGGTCATTAATGAGCTACTACTCAACCTTCCATCTTAGAATGGAGTGGATGAATAAAATGGAATAGGAAATACCCTCTGGTAGGCATAGTGGCTCACACCTATAATCCCAGCACTTTGGGAGGCTGAGGCAGGAGGGATCACTTGAGGCTAGGAATTAGAGGCTAGCCTGGGCAATATAGCAAGACCTCACCTCTATAAATAAAAATTTAGGCAGGTGTGGTGTACACCTGTGGTCCCAGCTACTCTGGAGGCCTAGGTGGGAGGATCCTTGAGCCTGGATGATCAAGGCTGCAGTGTGTGACAAAGTGAGACTCTGTCTCAAAATAATAAGACAGCAGCATGGCAAGCATACAAATCTTGGTACTTTGGGAGTTTGGATCTCCTTAGAAGGACACAGCTGAGTCTCCAAAATCAATGTAATTGAACAATTTGCACCTGTTTTACCAGAAGTCCATAATGGGCTGAGGAACGTCTGTTACGGCTACAAGATTTAGACCGAGAGCTTAAATGGATAAAAATAGGGGATTATAAACTGGAGTTTACAATGCCCCTAAAACTGTGTGAAGTAGTTTGTGTATGTGCCTATGTGTGTGCCTTATGGATGAGAGTGCAAGCTTCCCTGATGGGCTTTGTATTATAATTCCACAAAATAGAGAATTAGTATAAAAACCTCCCTTTTTTCACTCATATCTCCACTTCTTGATTTCTTCCTGATTTTAAGTGGTCCTGGGTTGATACCTAACATCAGTCAGGGGACTCTGTTGCTACGCGTGGATGGAAAAATGAAAAATCCTGATCCAGGTCGTCGTCGCGGCACTAGTGGAAGCAAGGCCTGGGGCTCGGTGGAAGGCGCAGGAGTTGTGGGTTGGGTGGGATCCACAGAACTGACAAGGGCATTTCAGCTCCTCTCCCTCATGCCTGGGAACCTTGGAGCCAAGCCCTCTCAGCCACTGTCATCATGACCAAAGGCTGTTAGCAAGGGCGGGAGCCTCTGACAGGCAGGAGACAATGAACTGGACCTGAGCCTGGACAACCTGAATGAAGGCCCTTAAGGAGCTGGCTGCCCTTCCAAAGGCCCCCATGCTGGATCTGTTCTGAAATAAATCTGGGGCTCTACTGTTGAATTTCCATGGCCTTACATGCCTGGTGAGGCTAGATTAAGAATGAGCTGCAGGAGGTGGGAGGATCGCTTGAGGCCAGGAGTTGGAGACAGCCTGGGCAACAGTGAGACCCTGTCTCTACCAAAAAAAAAAAAAAAAAAAAAAAATGGCTGGGCGTGGTGTGTACCTGTGGTCCCAGCTACTTGGGAGGCTAAGCGGGAGGATGGCTTGAGCCTAGGAGGTCAAGGCTGCAGTGAGCCCTGATTGTGCCACTGTACTCAAGCCTGGATGACAGACCCTGTCTTGGGGGCAGGGCACAGAGAGGAAGAAAAAAATGGGCTGTAACGGTTGCCCACAGACTTGAGCCATTTGGTCAACATCTAGCACCTGGTTCTCCTCAGCAAGCTGGCCACCCTGCCTGTCTGCTTTGCTTAGCTCAAGAACCTGAAGTGTCTGGACCTGTAGGATAACTCCCTGGATCCTCTCCTGGCCAAGGTGGCAAGTGATTGCTTGGATAAGAGGCAATGTAAGCAGCACGCATACGAGGCGTCACAAGATGTGAAGGCCGTGCAGGTGGGTTAGAAGCAGGAGAGGCATCAGAAGTAGGAGAGGCAGAGAAACCTGAGGCCAAGCAGCGAGCTAAGGAACCTCAGGAGGGGGAAAGAAGGATACCTTCAAAGCAGTTAAGTGGATCAGGAGAAGAAACTCAAGAAGGAAACAAACCAGGGCCCGAAATCCAAGTCCCACTCCTGCTCCCACAAGCCACCACCCGGGACTCAATGTCCTGTCTCTGCTGAAGCTACTGCTACTGTCTTGTGTGGCCAGTGGGCTGGTTGCTCATGGGTGAGAGAGCTGCAGCCTCTCTGCGCCAGTGTGAATGCCATCTATGACAATGCAGTTGCAAGGTCTACGTCACCACAAGATCTTCCAGTGGGGTCTTCCAGACCGACTCTCAACAGTGAGCTTGTCCTCAGCACTGCTGCCTGCCAGCCTGGGAGTTTGGATTCTTAGGGAATTGAATTCTTCTGGATGCAACCTTTTTGTAGCATTAGACCTTACCCACCATCACCAAATGACTGCTGATTGGCATTTGAGACCTTCTCCTTGTAGGAATTATTTCTTAGGGTTACCTGTTTTGGAATGAGGAGAAATGGTCATCGGGGTGTCGGGACGACAGTTACCTGCATGCCTAATGGAATAAGCTTGGGCATGGGGAGAGAAAAAACAGCCTTTTCTAGCTATACAAAGTTGTGTAAAGGCATGGGCCATTTCTACTAAAAGGTCAGCTGTCACTACGCGTGTACTTTTTTTTTGAGAAAGGTTCTCTGTCACCAAGGCTGGAGTGCAGTGGCAAAATCAAAGCTTACTGCATCCTTGACCTTCTGGGCTCAAGTGATCCTCCTACCTCAGCCTCCCTGGTAACTGGGACCACAGGCATGTGCCACCACACCCAGCTAATTTTTAAATTTTTTGTAGAGACAGGGTCTCCCTATGTTGCCCACGCTGGTCTCAAACTCCTGACCTCTGGTGATCTGCCTGCCTCGGCCTCCCAAAATACTGGGATCACAGGCATGAGCTACCGTGCCCAGCCTAGGAGGAAGTGTTATCGGGGGACCTGGGGAAAACTCAGCAAAACTAGCCTAAATAGTGGTGGGGATGGGGAGGGATGTACCTATTTTCTTTCAGGACCTCAGAAATTTAAGCATTTTAGTGGCCATACAAAATGTCTGGCTATGAAAGGGACTTCATGACCATCCAATCCAATATAATAATTGCAGTCAGAGAAACTGAGGCCTTCCATGACTTGCCTGTGGTCTCCCAGCTAGTCTGAGGCAAAACTGGATTTCCACTCTGTTATTTGTTCTTCCTTTACATTACGTTGCCTCCTTTATAATGTCCTGAGAGAATAAAACTCTCACCAGAACTATGTCTCAGCCAAAGTATAGAATCATTCATGGCAGACAGATTAATGACTCAGATAGAAATCTCATGCCATCAGGTCTTGGGCAGCTCCCATAGAGTCCTGCTGCAACTTTTGTGCCTTCCGTAAAGTGGCAACACTCTAGGCTCCTTGCCTCAATTTTAGAGCATTAACTCCCTAATTGCTAGTGAGCAAAGGGGCAGATCTCTGCAAAGCTACATTGTCTATAACAGCTCTATTTGTACATGGTGTGACTAAGTACCTCAAAAGTAACCTGCTTTTGCAGGTTTTTAAGGATCAGCTGCATAATACACTGAGGTTTAGAATTGATTCCAGATCACAACTGAGGGGAATGAATGGAAACAGAGGAAATGAAGGGAAAAAAGCAGCATTGTGGAGCTGAATAGTGGTGCATCCACCAGGACTAGTACTGATAAGGACGACACTGTCCATTCTCTTGTCTGCTAGATTAAGCATTTTTCTTGCCTCCTTTGCTTCATCTTTTCACAACTGGATGGAGGGATCAGAAACAACTATGTCATGGTCCTCATTCCTGAAAACTCCCCATTGCAAGCTCCTTGCCTCTGCCTGGAGGGAGAAAGAACCTGTTATAGCTCAGAGATGAAGAGGGCAGGGTCTAGCCTTTTAGCCCTAGTGGCCCATTTGGATAGGACTGCCACTCATGACTCTCCTGATACTGGAAGAAAGGACTTTGTTAATCTTCTCCCTCAAGGATAGCTCTGCTGCATAGGCCCACACCCTGCTCAGAATCACTACACTTTAGTCTTCCTCCAAGCTCCAGAGCCGTTGGTACAAATGCTTTACTGAAACTAAATATGTAAGATTAAGACATACGGAAGATAGCATAGTCGTCACATCCTGTTCCTTGGTTAGCTGAGGCAGCTCAGTGGCTGAGCCTAGTCAAGCCAACCCACAGGTTCATTCACGACTTCAAGATTAGATGCCGATTCTTTTGGATTTCTACAATTATTAAATACACGTCTGAGTGGGGGGAAAAACATCCGGATCCATCGTAAGACCATGCATCTAGCTATTGGATGACACCTTGGTAATTCATCTTCTCTGCTCATCTGAGAGGGGGGCATTATGCTGAGATCTTTTTCCTTGTCTTAAAATAGTTGTTTTGACCCATCTGCAAATATTTATATAATGTATTATACTAGGCTATGTGTGAGATCTGTGGGGCATACAAAAAATAAAAGTAATCTGTAACCTCAATGGGCCTACAGTCCTTCTGAGGCGTAAATAGAAAGCAGGCCAGGTGTGGTGGTTCACGGCTGTAATCCCACCACTTTGGGAGGCCAAGACGGGCAGATCACCTGAGGTCAGGAGTTAGAGACCAGCTGGTCAACAGGGTGAACCTCCCATCTCTACTAAAAATAAAAAAAATTAGCTGAATGTGATGGTGGGCACCTGTAATGCCAGCTACTCGGGAGGCTGAGGCAGGAGAATCGATTAAACCAGGGAGGCAGAAGTTGCAGTGAGCCAAGATCACGCCACTGCACTCCAACCTGGGTGACATAGTGAGACTCCATCTCAAGAGAAAGCAAACACTTTGGGTGTTTTCTTTGTGGCAGGCTCTTATAACCATACATTCCCCTATCTGCCAATCAGCAATCTGAGGTTACGATTGTCCGTCTCCACCGACAATTTTGAAATCACAACACTAAAGCTTATCTTTGATCTCATAGAAATTAAGTGGTGAAGACAGGGAGGGGGGAACAAGACACACTAGGGCCTGTTGGGTGTTGGGGCAAGGAGAGCATCAGGTTAAATAGCTGCATGTGGGGCATAATACCTAGGTGACTGGTTGACAGGTGCAGCAAACCACCAAGGCACACATTTACCTATGTAACAAACCTGCACGTTCTACACATCTATCCCAGAACTTAAAATATATAATGTGGTAAAGCGTACTTAATAAGTGCCATGGATGTTCTTGTTCTTGTTCATACATTGAGGTTGTTCATTCCTCTTAAGGAATTCTCAGTAAACCCTGAAAGTCCTTTTAACTTTAAACGTGAGAGAGGAGGACTCTTTCCATCCCAGGGGCAGAAATAACAGGAGGATGAGAAAGAGGGAACTGAGCAAGGACCTTCTGCTTTTCCCCTCCTGCTGGCTATTCCACTTGTTTTAGAAGAAAAGGTTAATTCTGAGTAGCATGGTAGAATCGTTTTCGAGAAGAATACTAATACTCTAGATATTTCCTTTTTTTTTTTTGGAAGGAAACTGAAGCTGAAAGAAAGGGACTGTGGGTGCCATCCATACAATTTGTGACTAATGTGTACCTTGCCAGTCTGCTCTCATGTTGACATGTGCCCAAAGCAGTTCTGTCATGCTGCCTCTTTTTCTAGAATGTCAAGCCTTGATCACGCTGATGATTTACTGTGTTAATAACACATGCTGTGTTTGTGGGAATAAAATTTCTACCTTCTGCGTATGTGTCCACCTGTTGGGTTATACTGAGAACGCTCCAAAAGAAAGGGCCTGGATGGGGACAGCTCAGAAAAGGTCACCCCAAAACTCAGTGCCATGAAGGAGACCAGTGCTAACTGAACATCTGCTTGGGTAAAACACTGCATTTGACACATCTACATCTCTCATTCCATTTAATTTTCAACAATAATCCTCTGAGCTTAGTACAAGTATACACAATTTTCAGGGAGGATACTAAGTTTCTGAGAAGACACTCACCTAATCTCACCTGGCCGCTAGTTATTGATGGAGCCCATATGTGAACTCAGCCAATTCTTACTCTTTTCCTCTATGGCAGGCTCCCTGCCAGTGTTTGTCATGGCAGGTCAGCACACGGGATACTGGATCTGAGAATCTGATCTCCAGGGATCTTCCCCTTATTCTGTTCCCCTTGGAGGATTCAGCAGATACCTGGAGTGGAGGATAAACGGAGGGGGAGTCATTGTCTTCACATTTGGGAATATGTGCTCATATGAAATGATGCAAAGGAGGACAAAAATAGTTGGCCAGGGGGGGTGGCTCATGCCTGTAATCCTAGTACTTTGGGAGGCTGAGGCAGGTTGATCACCTGAGGTCAGGAGTTGGAGACCAGCCTGACCAACAAGGTGAAACCCCGTCTCTACTAAAAATAAAAAAAATAGCTGGGCGTGGTGGCAGACGCCTGTAGTCCCAGCTACTTGGGAGGCTGAGGCAGGAGAATTGCTTGAACCCGGGATGCGGGCAGAGGTTGCAATGAGCCAAGATCATGCCACTGCACTCCAGCCTGGGAGATGGAGTGAGACTGTCTCCAAAAAAAAAAAAAATTGTTAGCATTCACTTCATTGCATACATGTATACAATGACTAAGGTATCTATGAGCTTTCTTATTCAATCCTCCCAATAACACAGAAAGGTAAGTACCGTGACAATTCTTACCTGTAGATAAGAAGCTGAGCACTGGAGAAATTAACTAGTCCCAGTCTTCTAGTTAACTACTAAGTAAAGGATCCTTGATTCATACCCAGCTCTGAGTTCTGAGCATTAATTACTTTGTTGCATTGCATCTGGTGTTGAGTGATTATTCTGTCCCCATCAACAACTGGTAGGCCACAGAAACCTTTTATTTATGGGCAGTTCAGGCAAGTAAATTTCATCACCTAATGAGACAGCTTTTTTATTTAGAGAGCTGTCAACCTGAGATAACCTCCCTCTCTGGTTTGGTGGTGGTTACTCATTTATTCAGAGCTGCTATTAATTTTAATTATTTGTTTGACCTTTGACCACCATAAAGTTCATCTGATTAAAAAAATTCTTTCTTAACACAAAAAATTGCTAATAAATACCAAAAGCTCTAGGTCAACAAAGACAGGCATGCTTGATTAAATATCCATGGAGCTTATAAAATATCTGCCTAGGCCGTTGGCATTTGTAAAGAGACATTTATGACTCCAACACAATCTTTGCTATCATTGGGCTATGGCTAACATATCAATCTTGACCATCAGCTTTGACTTTTCCTCTGGAAAAATAACATAAGCTTTCTACATTTTCTACATTTCTGGCACCATACAGAATTCATGCATTTTAAGATACGCACACTTTCTCAGCAAATGAGGCTTTTAAGAAGCTGAAATAATATAAATTCTGCATACTTTAAAATCCATAAAGCAACAGAAACTCTCCACAGGGGACAGGGAAAGGGAGGCTTCAAAGCAGGAGGAATGTACATTAAACATAAAAGAGAGTTTCCTCTCTCTGAGGGTGAAGGACAATGTTTGCCAAGAATGTTCTTCTTTGAAGATGACTGTGAATAGAGCCGGTTTCTTTGCAGTAGTTTTTGGATTCAGGGAAAGAGTCTTTTGAATTTTTAAATTTTCATTCCATGTATTCTTAAATCTCTTGACTGATCTCTTAGTCTTTTGTGATGGTGGATGAATTGTTAGGCAAAAGTAACTTGGTGGAAAATATCTGAAAAAACTGAAAGGAGAAAGAAAGTGTTAAGTTGTTCTGCTTTTGGTGAGAATTCCCCAACGTGTGAAGATTACTTTTTGTTCTACTGTCCTGATGTTGAGTATCCAGTCATAATCCACTCCTTGCATTGTAGTTTGGGATGCAAGCTGGTCTCTGGGTAACAGATCCATTTAACTGGCAAATGCAAAAGTTAAGATGAGTCCTCCACTTAATGCAACTTTTTTCTCTGTTGCCAACCCCCTTTCTTTGGATTTATGAAGGATGCATTCTAGCTCTTATATTTTTTAATAAGGTAGGCTGAAACTTAATGGAAATAGTGCATTACTGAAATGCTAAGCTCTCAAATCAGTAGGATGTGTCTGACAAGCACCAAAGTATTAAAATAAGTTGGCGCATTGACGTCCAGTTACATATATAAAACGTGGTTCTTGATTTAAAAATTATGGACCAAGAAGCAGCTTCTCTGCTCCTTCTGGAATCTCCACTTGGTTCAGCCTGCCTACCTCCACTCTGCCTCCACTATGTCCATCAAGGTGACCCAGAAGTCCTACAAGGTGTCCACCTCTGACCCCTGGGCCTTCAGCAGCCTCTCCTACACAAGTGGGCCCGGTGCCCCCATCAGCTTCTCTAGCTTCTCCCGAGTGGGCAGCAGCAGCTTCCGGGGTGGCCAGGGTGGAGGCTATGCTGGGGCCAGTGGAATGGGAGGCATCACCATCATCACAGTCAACCAGAGCCTACTGAGCCCCCTTAACCTGGAGGTGGACCCCAACATCCAGGCCGTGCACACCCAGGAGAAGGAGCAGGTCAAGACTCTCAACAAGTTTGCTTCCTTCATAGAGAAGGTACGGTTCCTGGAGCAGCAGAACAAGATGCTTGGAGACCAAGTGGAGCCTCCTGCAGCAGCAGCAGATGGCTTGGAGCAACATGGACAAACATGTTCGAGAGCTACATCAATAACCTTAGGTGGCAGCTGGAGACTCTGGGCCAGGAGAAGCTGAAGCTGGAGGCAGAGTTTGGCAACATGAAGGGGCTGGTGGAGAACTTCAAGAACAAGTATGAGGATGAGATCAATAAGCGTACAGAGGTGGGGAATGAATTTGTCCTCATCAAGAAGGATGTGGATGAAGCTTACATGAACAAGGTAGAGCTGGAGTCTTGCCTGGAAGTCCTGACTGACGAGATCAACTTCTTCAGTCAGCTATATGAAGAGGACATCCAGGAGCTGCAGTCCCAGATATCGGACACGTTTGTGGTGCTGTCCATGGACAACAGCCGCACCCTGGACATGGACAGCATCATCACTGAGGTCAGGGCGCAGTATGAGGAGATCGCCAACTGCAGCCAGGCTGAGGCTGTGAGACCATGTACCAGATCAAGTATGAGGAGCTGCAGGCGCTGGCTGGGAAGCACGGGGGTGACCTGTGGCGTTCGAAGACAGATCTCTGAGATGAACGGGAACATCAGCCGGCTCCAGGCTGAGATTGAGGGCCTCAAAGGCCAGAGGGCTTCCCTGGAGGCCACCCTCGCAGATGCCGAGCAGTGTGGGGAGCTGGCCGTTAAGGATGCCAACGCCAAGCTGTCCAAGCTGGGAGGCTGCCCCACAGCCGGCCAAGCGGGACATGGCACGGCAGCTGCGTATCAGGGGCTGATAAACTTCAAGCTGGCCCTGGACGTCGAGATAGCCACCTACAGGAAGCTGCTGGAGGGTGAGGAGAGCCGGCTGGAGTCTGGGATGCGTAACATGAGTATCCATTCGAAGACCACCAGTGGCTATGTAAGTGGTCTGAGCTCGGCCTAGGGGGGCCTCACAAGCTACTGCCTGAGCTCCAGCTTTGGTTCTGGCGCCGGCTCCAGCTCCACCAAGGCCGTGGTTGTGAAGAAGCTTGAGACCCGTGATGGGAAGCTGGTGTCCGAGTCCTGACATCTGCCAAAGTGAACAGCTGCGATAGCCCCTCCCAGCCTGCCCGTCCTGAGGCTGCGCCAGAGCCCAGAAGCGAGGCTGCTGTGCAGGAGAGCTGGGCGAACGGGAGACCCACCTGAGGCTCAGCCCTAGCCCTAAGCCCACCTGCAGGGGAGTTTACTATCTGGGGACCCCCCTTGCCCATGCCTCCAGCTACAAAACAATTCAATTGGGCTTTTTTTTTTCTTTTGGCTAAAATAAAACTTGAGCTAGCTCTGCCAAAAATAATAATAATAATAATAATAATAATAATAATAATAATAATAATAGTGTTTGCTCCTTGTAGAAAGTGTAGAAAAATAAGAAAAAAATTTCACCCACATTATGTCGCCCATAGGGTAACACTTATTAACCATTTAATGCAGTTTTTTTTCCTTTTTTTTTTTTTTTTTTTTTTGAGAGTCTCGCTCTATTGCCCAGGCTAGAGTACAATGGTGCAATCTTGGCTCACTGCAACCTCTGCCTCCCAGGTTCAAGCTATTCTCCTGCCTCACCCTCCCAACTAGCTGGGATTATAGGCACCCACCACCGCACCTGGCTAAGTTTTGTATTTTTAGTAGAGATAGGTTTCTGCATGTTGGCTAGGCTGGTCTTGGACTCCTGACCTCAGGTGATCCAATGCAGTTCCTTTCAATCACCTGTGTTTGTTAATGGCTGCATGTTTAAAAATCTGGAATAGGCTTAATGTGCTGGAAACTTAATATTTGTAGTATGAGGACAAAATAACTTATGCAGTTCATTTGACCGCAGTTTGTTTTTGATTACTGTGAAAGCTCTGAAAGTTACAGCTATAAGCAACCTTAACCTGTTTTGCAAGTTACTCTTGCTTGTTACTTGATTTCTGGGGGGATGTTTTGTCTTTGACTTTGAGAATCTGCTCTCTAGACTTACATAAATATGACAGCTTGTGTTACTAATGTTAATAGATTAGTTAGGTAATATGGTTAGTTTTAATAGGTAAAACACAACCCAAAGAGCACTGTCTGTGGTCTTAGGCAGATCTGGACTCCAGTCCTGGCCCTGCAGCTTCAAACCTGTGCAGCCTTAAGCAAATCACCAAGCTCAAATCTCTTTGATCCTTAATTTCCTCATCACTAAAATGAGAGTAAAAACCTACATCATATGGTTATTGTGAGATAAAAATAGGTGCATATTCAAAGAAAATCACCAGATAAACTTGAATTGTCGTCACACAGCGTGACTTAGAATTTTTCTAAAAAATCAACACGTATCATAATATGTAAGTTTTTGTAAGTGAAAAAGCCATACTGTTAAAAGGTTAAATGGTACCTGGCCTTCTATTTTTCCTTCAAATGATACCATGCTAAAAGACAAATAATAAATTAAGAGTGTTCACTTTTTGAAGGGTAACTATAGGGCTGATTTAGGTTGCTCATTCTGGCTAAATCTACACCTTGGAAAATTACTGTCATTTTAATTTTCTTCCCATTGTTCTTGGAGTACTCGGGAAATTTATCATCTCTTCTCAGAGCCACCTGATACTTCATTTTTGAGCAAGTGCTTCTAAAATGATGAAGGCGTTTTTTATCTCCAGTTTTTAGAAACCAGTTTGCAGCTGGTGGTAATTTTAATTTTCTAAGTACCTCTTATGAGCAAAAAACTTTGTAATGCCTTTCTGCCTACATTATCTCACGAAACGGTCACAAAAACTTTAATGAAACAGGAATATTCCACTTTCTACATGTTTTTGTTTTTTTATTTTTGAGACTGGGTCTTGCTCTGTCACCCAGGCTGGAGTGCAGTGGTGAGATCTCGGCTCACTGCAGCCTCCACCTCCTGACCTCAAGTGGTCCTTCTGCCTTGGTCTCCCTGAGTGCTGCTGTTATAGGTGGGAGCCACTGTTCCCCGGCCTCTAGATGTTCTTAAATATTGCCAGCAATTTACAGATGAGGAAACCAAGTCAACAGATGAGTTGTTTTGATTCCTGGCAAAAAGCTGGATCGGTATCTCTGGCTTTTTTTCCCCATTACAGAGAGGGAGGCAAGACGGTCATTCCATCGGTTGTCACTGAGTTCCTGTCATCGGCTGCACTGGGGAGCGCGAGGCTAAAAGGGGGCAGTGAGTTCCCTTGGGTTCCTCCTCACCTGGGTGCCCAGGAGCAGATGGAAGCCAGGCCGCTTCCCTTTCCTTTCCAGGAGGCCGAGCATGTGCTGCTGGAGGACACTTTACGCGGGCGAAAAAGTGGCCCCGCTCAATCAGCCCTTTATGTTGTCCAAGTCCACCCGCAGCGGCCCGGGGAAGCCAGCGCTGCAGCAGCTCCGCTCGCGGCCAACACTTCAGCACCTGGCCCTAGCGGACAGCGCCAAGCGTGGCTGCAGGCCTGGAGGCCCAGCGCCCACCCCAGGCACCGCCCTGCCAGGGCCGCCGAGGGTACTTGGTCGCCTGGAACGTCCCAAGCAGCAGCACTGCCCTCAGCAGCCGGGTGCCGCGACCGGAGCCAGCGCCTCGCCGCTGTCCGGCCCCTTCGTCTCCGCGCCCATTGCCCGGCCTGTCCTTCCCTGGCCTGCCTTGAGCTATCTCCCCAGGATCCCGCGCTGTAGCCGCTCCCCGGGGCAGCATTCCATCCCTCGGGCCCGGACACGCTGCCTATCTGGGCCATTGAAATGTCCAAACACATAAACAAGTTTGAGAAGGGGTTGCTGTAAAGGTACCCTTCCTCCAGGCTGAGGGCTCTAGCCGCCCTTGGAGTCTATCCTTGATGGCTCGTCTTGAGACCTTTTAAAACTCCATTGTTGTGCTCCCTACTTTATTTAAAAGTATGTTTCGGGAGGCTGAGGCACGAGAATCGCTTGAACCCAGGAGGCGGAGGTTGCAGTGAGCCAAGATCAGGCCACTGCACTCCAGCGACGGAGGAAGACTGTCTCAAAAAAAAAAAAAAAAAAAAAAAAGTTACCAATCATAAGCCACTACTTTTTTTTTTGTTTTTTTTTTTTTTTTTTTTTTTTGAGACGGAATCTTGCTCTATTCCCAGGCTGGAGTGCAGTGGCACGATCTCGGCTCACTGCAACCTCCACCTCCCAGGTTCAAGCCATTCTCCTGCCTAAGCCTCCCGAGTAGCTGGGATTACAGGCGTAGCCCACCATGCCCCGCTACTTTTAGTAGAGATGGGGTTTCACCATGTTGGCCAGGATGGTCTCGAACTCTTGCCCTTGTGATCCGCCCACCTCGGCCTCCCAAAGTGCTGGGATTACAGGCGTGAGCCGCCACGCCCAGCCTATTACTGGTAACATTTAATGCTGATATCCATTGTCATATATGTCTGTGTTTAGTGTATTCCCAGTTGAATTTGCACAAGGCTTTTCGAAAGCAATTTCGCACCATGAAACAAAGAGTCTGTGGTAAATATTCTTTGATACTATAATTTCACTTCTGGAAGTCTAACAGCGGAGAAAAATCTAAAGTTGAAAAGTCAACCACACACAAAAATCACACAGATGTTCCTTTAAAAACTAATTATAAAGACTTATTACAGCATGATATGCAAAACTAGAAAAATGAAAAACATTTTTACTTATTTAAATAATGATTTTGTTTTTTTTGACAGGGTCTTGTTCTGTAGCCCAGGCTGGAGTGTAGAGGTGGAATCATGGCTCATTTCAGCCTCAATTCCCTGGGCTCAGGTGATCCTCCTGCCTCAATCTCTTGTATAGCAAGGACTACAGGCATGGGCCACCACATCTGGTTTATTTGTTTATTTTTTGTAGACACAGGGTCTTGTTAATGTTGCCCAGGCTGGTCTTGAACTCTTGGCTTTAAGTGATTAAGTGATCCCCTCTCACCTTGGCCTCCAAAGTGTGGGATTGTAGGTATGAGCCACCACACCTGGTGTCTTTTGTTTTTTTTTTCTCTTGACCTCTGCTATTGAAAGCCAACTAAACATTTGTATTTAGAATGTTTAAATAAAACTTCAACCATAAATGGATTCAAAACATGGAAATCATGCATGTGCTGAATGGATTTGTATATTGGAATATTATGGAACCAGGGAAAGTACATTATAAAAATGATAAAAAGTGCTTATTTTATAAGTAAAATAAAGCAGGACATAAATTTTTAGTACAGTTGATGTAATCTCTGCAACTTTTATGGGCGATGGCAGAATTATTTAGACAGTACTGGATACATGTGCTCAATAAATAGTAATTGGATAAATGAAAAGACAGGTGAAGGGTAGTTCCTAACATGTTTTTTCTACTTATAATTTTCTGTAGCAAGATATGTTGGTTTTATAGGAAACAACACTTTTTTTAAAGATGTCATGTCTAGAAACTTTGTTCATAAATTGTATTTTCAAATCTTGACTTTATTTTATTTGAGACAGGGTCTCACTGTCACTCAGGCTAGTGCAGTGGCATGATCACAGCTCATTGCAGCCTTGACTTCCTGGGCTCCAGCGACTCTCCCACCTCAGCCTTTTGAATAGCTGAGACCACAGGCCTGTGCCACCATGCCTGGCAAACTTTTGTATTTTTTTGTAGAGACAGGGTCTGGTTATGTTGCCCAGGTTGGTGTTAAACTTCTCAGATCAAGCAATCCACCCGCCCCCAGCTCCCATAAGTGCTGGGATTACAGGGCTGAGCCACTGCCCCTGGCTTCAAATCTTATCTCACAGTTCTGTGAGTGATGGTTTAATTCCCACTGATAGATGAGGAAGTGCGGGCCCAACACCTTATTCTTATGTGAAATCAGATTGTAAGTGCCGAGTCTAGGTCTTCTGACTCCAAGTCCCTTGACATTTCCTGACATTGAACTCGGCTGGTATGTTCCAGGCTCTGGTTTGGGAGACAGGAATCAAAATTGCAGTCCCTGCCCTGTCCCTGGCTTGCTGGGTGATTTGGGGGTAAGCCACTTTCCTTTGTGTCCCTTCCTTTCTTGGGCTCTTGACCTGGTGGTTTATAAAATCAATCTTTCCCACTGTTTCTTTCAGTGGAGAGAGGACTCTCTTAGGATGTTGGATATCCTGTCTAACGTTGCTCCCCTAGTCACTTTATCACTCATCTCCTTGTTTTTTCTTTCGTCATTTTCATCCTGTCAATTTATTATGTCCCTTTACCATGTCAACCTCTTGTTGACATTTTGTCATATTTTCAGAAATGGTATTTATTTCTTTGCTTATTATATATTTTACCTATCTAGATATAAGCTTTGTGAGGACACAAGTCCTCTCTGACTTTTGCTCATCTGTACCTCCAAAATCTAGCACAGGGTTGGACTCACTCATGGTTAGCTCGGTAAGATACTTGTGGATGAAACTGCAGGAATGGAAGTGTATGTATGATAAAGATAAGATGAGCTCACTTCTCCCACAACATCCCCTACTACTACTACTGGGGTTACCCCCATTAGTCTTGTCAGGAAATAAAATGCTAGAGCAGTAGTTCTTGGCTGGGTGATTTTTGCTATCCCAGATGACATTTGGCAATATCTGGAGCTATTTTTGGTTGTCACCATTGGGACATGCTACCGGCATCCAGTGGTCAGAGGCCAGGGAGGTTGCTAAGCTTCATACAATGCACAGGATGGCCCCAATCCACTCCAGCTCCTGATAAAGAATCCACAGATCCTAAATATCAGTAGTGCCAAGATTGAGAAACCCTGTGCTAGAGAGATTGAATGAGGTTAGTTTGCTTATCTGTTTTAAAGTTTTCATTTGGGTGATTGTTTTGAAATAATTTCAAGGATACAGAAAAGTTGCAAGAATAATATAAAAAATGACCTTCTCCCAGATTCTCCAATTGGTATCTTACCATATTACATTATCATTTTCTCCATATATGTAATTATTTTTTCTTTCTGAACTATTTAAGGCCAAGTTGCAGACATGATGTTTTGTTACTTCTATATAACTCAGTGTGCATTTCCTAAAAGGTTTTACATAAACACAGCACAATTACCAATTATGATGACCCAATGTCATTATCTAATTTAAAACCTTATTCATATTTCACATATTATCCCAACTGTGTGTGAAGCAAGTGTTTTATTCCTCTTGTATTTGGGATGATGGTGGAGCTTGAGTCCCTGGCTCTAACCCATCCCAGTGTTATTTAACAAGAATTAAAGCTTTATGCCGGGCGCGGTGGCTCACGCCTGTAATCTGAGCACTTTGGAAATCTGAGGTGGGCAGATCCCAAGGTCAGGAGTTCAAGACCAGTTTGCCAACATGGTGAAACCCCATCTTTACTAAAAATACAAAAAATAAGCTGGGTGTGGTGGTGTACTTCTGTAATCCCAGTTACTCCGGAGGCTGAGGCAGGAGAATTGCTTTAACCTGGGAGTTGGAGGTTGCAGTGAGCCAAGATCATGCCATTGCACTATCCAGTCTGGATGACAGAGGCGAGATTCCATCTCAAAAACAAACAAACAAACTTCTCCTGGAGCCAAACACTGATGATGAACTCCTGCAACTCACCAACTTTGTTGGGTTGAGTTTGGCCTTTGGATAACACCCCGAGTGATATCTTTAGACAGAGTCTGGACCTATTAGTGGAATTTTCTGCAGTGAGGATGGTACCAAGCCTCCTTCTGGCTTCCAGCTGAAGTGTCAAATCCTACTTCAGTACGACACACATCCTTGACAAATGGGAAGCTTCATGATAATGACTTATAATAGGAACTAATATCTCCCAAATTGAGGATTCTTTAACGAGCATTAACCTGAGCAATAACAGAAATCCTTCAAAAGGCTTTTTAGATTTTCTCTCTGCCTTGCTTCCATAATCTTTCTTGACATTTCAAATGAATTCTACCTGAAATCCATGAACCAACCTTGAATAGAAAGGCTTATAAGTGAATATTATTTGTCAGATACTAGATACTTGTTATTATTTAGTCTACTAGGGCTTAAAATTTCATAAGACTTATTGGATGTTCTTTTGTTCCTTCCCTTTTCAGCTTTCCTTTGATTCTCTGCTGCAGCACATAATTTTTTTCCTCTATCCTAAGAGGACCAGTGTCAGGCACGTTTCAGGTGCTACATAAATGGTGGCTATTATAAGTGATGTTGCTAGAACTGAAGCCAATGTATTAGTTCCCTGGGGCTGTTGTAACAAATCACCATACACAGGGTGGCTTAAAAATAACCGACAATACATCCTGGTTAACACGGTGAAACCCCGTCTCTACTAAAAACATAAAAAATTAGCCTGGCATGGTGGTGGGCGCCTGTAGTCCCAGCTACTTGGGAGGCTGAGGCAGGAGAATGGCGTGAATCCGGGAGGCGGAGCTTGCAGTGAGCCAAGATCGCGCCACTGCACTCCAGCCTGGGTGACAGAGTGAGACTCCGTCTCAAAAAAAAAAAAAAAAAAAAAGACTATAGCTGGGTGTGGTGGCTCACATGGAGAAGAAAGGCAAATGACGATGGAGCAGAGGCTAGGGTGATGTAGCACCAAGCCAAGGCACCTCAAGGATCGCCAGTGACCACCAGAAGCCAGGAGAGAGCCATATCTGAGTCTCTTCTCCTTTTCTTATAAGAACATCAATCATTGGACTTAGAGTCCATCCTAATCCAATATGACCTGATTTTAACACATTGCATTTGTGTCATAGCCCCTCAAATTCCTATGTTGAAGTCCTGATCCCTGTACCTCAAAATGTGTACAGTCATGGGCTGCATAACGACATTTCAATCAATGATGGACCGCATATATGACTGTGGCTGCATAAGATTATAATACCATATTTTTATTGTACCTTTCCTACATTTAGTTATGTTTAGATACACAAATACTTAGCATTGTGTTACAATTGCCTGCAGGATTTAGTACAGCAACACACTGCACAGGTTTGTAGCTTAGGAGCACTAGGCTACACCACATGGCCTAGGTGTGTAGTAGGCTATACCACTTAGGTTTGTGTAAGGACACTCTATGATGTTTGCACAACAAAAACATTGCCTAATGCCACATTTCTCAGAATATAACCCTGTAGTTAAGTGATCCATGACTGTACTTGGAGATAGGGCCTTGAAAGAGGTATTTAGGGTGAAATGAGATCACAGGGGTAGACCCTAACCCAATATAACTTATGCCCTTATAAGAAGAGATTAGAACACAGACACACATAGAAAAGACTTTGAAGACACCAGAAGATGGCCATCTATAAGCTGAGAAGGGAGCCCCTTAGAAGGAACCAACCCTGCTGACGCTTTGATCTTGGACTTACAGCCTCCAGAACTGTGATAAAGTATATTTCTGTTTAAAGCACCCAGTCTGTGTTACATTATTATGAAAGTCCTAGCAAACTAATGCAGTCTGCAAAGACCCTATTTCTGCCTGGGTGTGGTGGTTCATGCCTGTAATCCCAGCACTTTGGGAGGTTGAGATGGGAGGATCCCTTGGGTTCAGGGGTTTGAGGCATCATAGTGAGTTCTTGCCTATATAAAAATTTTAAAAATTAGCTGAGCCCCAAAAGTTGAGGCTGCAGTGAGCTGTGATTGTGCCACTGCCCTCCAGCCTGGGTGACAAAGTAAGACCTTGCCTCTAAAAAAAGACTCTATTTCCAAATAAAATGATATTTGGAGGTTCTGGATAGAAAATGAATTTTGGGTATCTCTGTTAAACCCACTGTACACAGTATAAGTGAAAGACTGCAGTGAGAAATAAGGCTAGAGGGATAGTCTAAGACCAGATTGTGGACAGCCTTGAATGCCAGGGTTAGGGTGTCTGGCCTTTTTTCTAGGTGTACCAAACTCTGCCAAACTGAGGATGAACATGTGAGAAGCATGGAGAGGAATGACAATGAATAGATGGGGAAGGTTTGTTGTAATTCCTAAATCATCTCATCCTTTGAGCATCCATGGTGTGTCAGAGTTAGGGAACTGGTGACCTTGAATTGGTGGGAAAGGCTTTCAGGGTGTGTATAACCCCAAGGGGTTATGAATGTGTTCTCCTATGCCAATCCTGATGACCAAGTGCTGGCTGCTGGAATTCCACCCCTGACAAGGACTGTATAATGAATTCAGGATGTCTGCTGTGGACAAAGGAGTGGGAAATTGGGGTTGCTACAGTTTGTTAGTTCCCTTTAAAACACTTGTTGAAATTTGGTTTTCATTGTAACAGTATGGAAGGTGAGAACTTTAAGAGGTGATTAGGCCATGAGAGCTCTGCCCTCATGAGTGGAATTAGTGCCATTACAAAAGGGTGAGTTCAGCTCCCTGCTCTCTCTCTCTCTCTCTCTCATGCACTTCCTTATTCTCCTGCCTTCCCCCCATGGGATGATGCAACAATAAGACCCTTTCCGGATACCAGCTTCTTGGTCTTGAACTCCCCAGCCTCCAGAAATGTGAGCTGATAAATTTCTGCTCTTTACAATTTACACAGTGTCTGCTATTCTATTACTGCAGCACAAACACACAAAGACAGATGCCCAGGTGCCATGTATTTGAGATCCCTAGTTTGGTTCTTTAACCCATTGAATTGGTTGCTGAATGTCTGCCATAGCTTGTTCAGAGTCCAATTATTGTGATTAGACCAACTACTTTTGTTTATAACCGTTTTGGAAATCAAAGCTTTAAAAATATTCTGTTGAGTGTTCTATTGAAGTCTCATCCAAGTACTTCATTGATTTTTTTTTCTTTTTTTAATCCGAACAGAGTAGCCAGATGATACCAAGTTAGAGGCAGTAATGTGTAAAATCGCTTTCATGAAGATGTTTTGGTTTATTTCCTTCAGTTCAGGGAGTAGAGCCCAGAAAGCTCTCACTTTACAGAGGCTTTGATCTTCCCATCTCAGTTTAGCTATTGGCTGTTGAGTCCTGCATTTGTTAGCCATTCATCACCAATAACGTATCCCATGATAATACAGTAGCTTTTGGCTCCTCTGGGTACAGTTTTGATGCAGTTTTTGGTTCTTGTTATTGTTTTTAATAAAGAAACCAAACTTCAGAAGAATGCAAAGTATTTAGGTATGGAGGTAAATAATTTGTTTTGAGTGAAAACAGAAGTTTCTTTTAAAGCTTTGTGTTCTCTGATAAAATAACTTGATCAAATTATTTAATTCATTAATTTAATGAGACTTAACATCATGATTGGAACCTGGGGCATAGAGAATAGTGCTTGCACTTAACCCTTGAAAAGAGGAAATATGTTAGCGCATTAACTCATTTATTCCATCAACAGTTAAATATTGAGCCTCTACCAAAAGTCATATTTCTCTGGAAATACAATCAAAAAACAATTTTTCTAGTTCTGAGCCCTTGGAGTTTATAGTCTAATAAGAGAAATAAATATAAATGTAACATCACATCTGAAAAATTGAAACAGACAGGAGGTGTTTGTGCTATGGGAATTTACAAGGGGATTTGATTCTGGAAGAGCCTGTTACTTAAAAACTTTCTATTCTTATTAAGGCTAATCTTGTTTGGGGTGGCAAAATATACAACAATATTTCCTTTTCCAGACTTTCATAGGGTTAGGGCATCCATATAGCAGAGTTCTGACCAACAAAACAAACTGCAGTCTCCTGGAGGATGTTGGTCAAAAGAGGGGCAAACCAGGCTGGTGGTGCTATTCTACGTGTCTTTATACCTTGAATGTGGATGTGATGTCTGGAGTTGCAGAAGACAACTTAGGATTATAAGAAAAGGCCCACAGAATAGCAGAAACATCATTCCTGGCCTTACTGATTTTCTGAAACAAAGAATGCTGCAATTCCTCACTTTCAGACTTCTTGTTATGTAATAGTAATAATTCCTATTTGCTTAATCCACTGTTAGTCATGTCTTATTTACTTGCAGCCAAGCACATTCTTAAGTGCTGTGAAGGGAGTCCAGAGAAAGTTTCCCTGAAGTCTTGATTAGCTAAAGTTTGAAGAATGAGCAAGGTTTAAGCAGACGAAGGAAGAGTTTCTCTGCAAATATTTGTGACAGGGGAGATTGGTGCCCACAAAGGGTGGCAGTACAAACGTAAAGGGAAGAGAGAATGGAGAGGGATGAAGGGCAAGACCTTGCAGCATTTCCAGGCCACATTAAAGTTTTGTTTTTAAGAAACTTGGAAAGCCATTGAAAGGTTTGAATTAGGGGAGGATAATATGATAATACTTGTCCATTGTTAGACAAATGCAATAAGGGCTGTGAGTTATATAAGGTATTATGAATGCACAGAGGAAGAAATATGTCTTGCAGGAGGGCAGAAAAGGTCACCATTGTGTTGAATATTAAATAAAGAGAAGAAAGTCACCAGAAACACAATGATAAGAAAGAGTTCTAGACAGAGGAAAGAGAAATATGATCAGAGTGCTGCTGGTGTAAATTAATGGTGCATTTAAGTTCCCATGAGTAGCATAGTTTGTCTCAAGTGTAGGGCTCCTCCATGAAAGGAATGGAAGGTGAATTTTAAAATGTAGGAATAGGCAAGATCATCAATCCTCTGAAACAAAGCCTGAGTTATAGTTAGGATGACAGTATAATTTATTACCCAAACTGGGAAACTTTCAGAGTGAAAAAGGGTGCTATAAATTTTTAAACAATTGTCATTCATCAGCACTCTCCAGGGCAAATTGGAATGTAATCCATGGTCACTCTACTTGGGTAGATTAAATATATTGGACAACTGGAATAATTGGCTTTTAATAAGATAAAATTTGCACATACCATCTCCCCTTAAAAATGCATGTCCCACTTCTAGAAAGCTATCACAGATGCTAAGAACCTGCCTTTGGAGTTGCATGTAATAATTCCAATTTATACAGTTAAACAGTTAAACTGACTTCCAGCTTTTGAAGCTTTGAACTCGGCTTCCATTTACCAAATATGAGATGCGTTTCTACTGCTATCTACCTATCTCCATGAACCCATTTTCTCTTTCAATTGGAATACAGGTCTTTCTAGTCTCATTTCTCTTCATGGCTTATGTTAATCAGAATTCTTTTGATTGCAAGTGACAGAAACCCAACTGTGGGAGACATGCTGATCACCACCAAGTATTCGAGCTCTCTACCTCCTGGGCACATGGCTGAACTGCACTTGCAGGTATCTCTCAGAGTGGAAATGTTTACTATTTCTGTATCAGATCATTTAATGGCTGCTGTGAGTCTCTCCAAAACTCTTTTCCTCTGCTGTAGAGAATGACAGTAGTTGCTTCTCCATCCGCTGGTTTCTAGAATGAGCACAATGCCGAGAAGAGCCCCTTTTTAATGCACGAAGAATATGAACATGAAGGGACAGTAGTAACCTTTGCTGTTTGAAGCCACTCAGGTTTTGAGATTGTTACTGCATCATAACCTAGCCTATCTTGGCTAATATGCCAACTGAAACTAGCACAAATGAAAAGGAAGAATTGTATTCTGTAGTTTGGAGGCATTGTGGGGCAGCTCACAGAATGTACAGAAATAGAACCCGGGCCTTAGGGGATTGAAATGATGGACTAAGAACTATCAGAACACACACATTTTCTCCCTGTTGTTTTCTTTCCCTTCCCTCTCCTTCCGTTTTTGTCCCCTTATTTCTCATCACTGCTTATCTTTGTTTTGCTTCATTCTGCACATTGCACTCATCTAGAAAGAAAGAATTCTGCCAGAAGCCCTAAATTTACTTTGTCCTTATTGAACATGTCCAGGGGAAAGTGTTCCATTGCTCCCAGTTTCCAGGTGACAACCACTGGAAAATAATCTGATTGGCTCTGTGTGGGCTGCGGATACCTCCCTGAACCACCCACACTGAGAGGAGAAGTGTCAGCTTTGCTTGCTGGCATGTGTGCACATGTTTTTGACTATTGTATATTCACTTTATAGTTCCTTAGCAGAATTTTATTTAAACTATTTTCCATTTTGTGGGTGTCAGTTTAGAAAAAAATTAGATAGTAATCCATCTGCTTAATGCCATGTGTAATTATAGATCCTAATATTGTCTTCACAGACCCCCGCAGGTAGTCTTGCTCTCTTGCGTGATATGACTGACTTTTTCTGTCTCTCCATATTACCTATTACCGTTAGTAGATAGCCTTTGAATTTCTTGCACCAGATTAAATAAGATACTGAGCTTACTAAAATTTGATGTTATTTATTGCATCCTCCAAATACTAAATTTTGGGGGTTTCATTTGTTAGATGTGCCTTTTTTGGTGATGTTATGGAAGTTCTTGCTAATCTGAGAGAAGAAAATATTTTATATTTCTATTTGTTTAATTTATTTATTTTGTTACTGTCTTTTGAGATGGGGCCTCACTATGTTGCCCGGGCTAGACTGCAGTGGCTATTTATGGGTGTAAGCATAGTGCACTGCAGCCTCAAATTCTTGGCCTCCAGTAATAGAACTTTATTTTTAGATAAGAAATGCTGCCCAGAAATAAATGAGAGTTATATAAGATCTAGCACAGTACCTGAAATGTGAGGAGAATGCACTTACTTACCAGTGTCTACCTATTGCATTAGGGTCGTTATCTTTAGGAAGACTATGGTTATGTTGGAGTACAGAGTTGGCCAAAATCAACCAGATAAGTGGGAAAGAGAAAGAAGCCATTGAGCCTTGCAATAAGCCAGTTCTTCACAATACTAATTGAGCCTGAGTCTGTTATAGGTGTTTCCTTTAGCTTACTGATTTTTCTTGTTATCTCACTTAATGACGGGCATGGAAGCATTTTGGTAAGTAGAAAATTGCTGTCTGTATTGTTCCTTACTCAGAAGAACTGTAAATCTTACCCTTTTGTGCTAGCAAGCAGCAGAACTACAATTAATCAGAGATGGTGTCTGGGCAAGTAGCTGAAACTTTAGAACCTTGCTACTCATGCTGTGGTCTGTGGTCTAGACTTTTGGTGTGCACTGGGAGCTTGTTGGAATCGGCCCAGCCCCATGGGATCTGTGGTTTAGCAAGGGCCTCAGGTGATCTGCAAGCATTTAAAATTGGGAGAAGCACTGCTCTGAAGATTAGAATCAGCTTCCTGGTAAGGTTTGGGGAGAAGCACTGCTCTGAAGATTAGAATCAGCTTCCTGGTAAGGTCTGGGGAGAAGCACTGCTCTGAAGATTAGAATCAGCTTCCTGGTAAGGTTTGGGGAGAAGCACTGCTCTGAAGATTAGAATCAGCTTCCTGGTAAGGTTTGGGGAGAAGCACTGCTCTGAAGATTAGAATCAGCTTCCTGGTAAGGTTTGGGGAGCCTAGACTGTTTGGGCTTCGAATGTAACTGACATCTTTGGGAAGACGGGAAACGCCTACCTTCCTGAAGATGTCAGTTATATTCGAAGTTTTATCACCTGACACTTACATGATACAATGTTCACATCCTCTGACCATGACCTTGTAGGGGAGACATTGCTAATTCTTTATGTCATTGTTTCCACCAGGCTTCAGGATGCTTCTCTATCCTCTAGTCCAGACAGCTTTTATGGAAGCATAAGAGTTGGCCTGAGGCTGGGAGCATGGGCTTATGCCTGTAATCCCAGAGCTTTGGAAGGCTGAGGCAGGAAGATCGCCTGAGACCAGGAGTTCTAGACCAGCCTGGGCAACATGGCAAGACCCCTGTCTCTACAAAAGTAAAAATTAGCTGGGCATGATGGCACACACCTGTCGTCCCTGCTACTTTGAGCCCAGGTGGTTGAGGCTGCAATGAGCCATGTTTGTGCCATTGCACTGCAGCCTGGGTGACAAAGCAAGACCCTGCGTCAAAAAAAAAAAAAAAAAAAAAAAAGTTGGCGTGAGAGTTAAGAACAATTTATCATTCCTGCCTGAAGACCATTTGTTTGCTAGAGAGTACCCAACAGGCAAAACAGACCAAAGAGAAGTCTAGGTTAGGGAATCTTGTGGGTGTGGCTTTCATCTGCTTTGTTGGCTAAGTAACAAAGTCGAGGTCATGAGTTAGACCCAGGAACAAACCAGGTAATCTTTTAATCCATTCCTTCCAGTTTTGCTGTTTCCCATCATCTGTGCTTTGTCTTGCTAACTGATCTTGATATTCGCTAACCCTCATCTTGATGTCACTAACCTTCATCTATTCCTTTGCATTAACTTACTCTCTTGGTCTTCTTGAGGCACTTTGGGAAGGATTGCCTTATTTAATGGATCATCTTCAAATGTTGTCTTTTTTTTTTTTTTCAATAGGGTCTCACTCTGTCTGTTGCCCTGGCTGGAGTCAAGTGGTACAATCATGGCTCCTTGCAGCCTCAAACTCCTGGGCTCAAGCAATCCCCCTGCCTCAGCCTCCCAAGTAGCTGGGACTACAGTCATGTGCCATCACACTTGGCTAGTTTTTAAATTTTTTTTGTAGAGACCATGTCTTGCTGTGTTGCCCAGGCTGGTCTTGAACTCCTGACCTCAAGTAATCCTCCTGCCTCAGTCTCTGATGTCGTTGGGATTAGGGGCTTGAACCACCATGCTCAGTAACATTGGTTGTCTTTGTCTTTATTTGGGCCCTTGCAAAGGGGGAAGGAAAAACACCTTCTGTGAAGTAGCCTCAGACTGAATGCTTCTCAAGGTCAGCTGTTAGTCCAGATTGTTACTTCACCTAAGGAAATTGAGATACTGGATTAGAATCCACTCCCATTGCCTTTCTGAATGGGCTTTACCTTTTATTGCTCCCCATGGGTAGTAAGTATACAGGATCTGAGTCAGCTTGTTAAGTTCCAGTGACAGTTCCACTATTTCCTGGCCTGTGACTTAGGACAACTTAACTCTCTTTTTTTTCTTCTTCTGTAATATGAAATGATTCTAGAGCCTAATTCTCCAGGTTAAATTCCCAGGGTTGTTCCTCAAGATAAATGATAATTATATAAGATCTAGCATAGTACCTGAAATGTGAAGAGAATGCACTTACTCACCAGTGTCCACCCGTTTCATTATGGTCATTACCTTTACGAAGACTGTGGTTACGTTGGAAGTAGGGAGTTGGCCAAGATCAACCAGATATAATTGCAGCTACATTTTTTGCTGTTTTGAGACAAGGTCTTGCTCTGTCATCCACGCTGCAGTGTCGTGGCACAATCTGAGCTCATTGTAGCCTCAGCTTCCTGAGTTCAAGAAATCCTCCCAGCTCAGTCTCCCGAGTAGCTGGGATCACAGGTATGCCTTACCACACCTGGCTAATTTTGGTACTTTGTGTAGAGACAGGGTTTCGCCCTGTTGCCCAGGTTGGTCTTGAACACTTGAGCTCAAGTGATACGCCCACCTCAGCTTCCCAAAAAGCTGGGATTATAGGTGTGAGCCACTGCGCCCAGCCTCTGCAGCTAAAATTTTTTAAAAGTTTCCCTCCTCTAGCCAGACCATACCTCTTCATTGCCAGGTAAAATTGTTCTCTGAGTATATCCGAATCACCAGTTTGATTAAATTCAGGGTAATTCCCCTCAAACTCTGCCAAGTTTAATATAAACCAACATATTTTGAATAACTGTAATTAACACTCGAACACATTTTCTATTGATCAGAATTCAGGCTTTATTATTGAGCAATGAAAACAGCTAAAACTTAATTCCAAGCATGTGTAGTTAAAGTTTGCAAAGTGGGATATTGTTCACAAAACACATTCAATGTTTAAACACTATTTATTTGAAGAACAAAATATATTTAAAATTGTTTGCTTCTAAAAAGCCCATTTCCCTCCAAGTCTAAACTTTGTAATTTGATATTAAGCAATGAAGTTATTTTGTACAATCTAGTTAAACAAGCAGAATAGCACTAGGCAGAATAAAAAATTGCACAGACGTATGCAATTTTCCAAGATAGCATTCTTTAAATTCAGTTTTCAGCTTCCAAAGATTGGTTGCCCATAATAGACTTAAACATATAATGATGGCTAAAAAAAATAAGTATACGAAAATGTAAAAAAGGAAATGTAAGTCCACTCTCAATCTCATAAAAGGTGAGAGTAAGGATGCTAAAGCAAAATAAATGTAGGTTCTTTTTTTCTGTTTCCGTTTATCATGCAATCTGCTTCTTTGATATGCCTTAGGGTTACCCATTTAAGTTAGAGGTTGTAATGCAATGGTGGGAATGAAAATTGATCAAATATACACCTTGTCATTTCATTTCAAATTGCGGCTGGAAACTTCCAAAAAAAGGGTAGGCATGAAGAAAAAAAAAAAATCAAATCAGAACCTCTTCAGGGGTTTGTGTTCTGATATGGCAGACAAGATACAAGTCCCACCAGGAGATGGAGCAATTCAAAATAAGGGTAATGGGCTGACAAGGTATTATTGCCAGCATGGGACAGAATGAGCAACAGGCTGAAAAGTTTTTGGATTATATAGCACCTAGAGTCTCTGATGTAGGGAATTTTTGTTAGTCAAACATACGCTAAACTTCCAAGGGAAAATCTTTCAGGTAGCCTAAGCTTGCTTTTCTAGAGTGATGAGTTGCATTGCTACTGTGATTTTTTGAAAACAAACTGGGTTTGTACAAGTGAGAAAGACTAGAGAGAAAGATTTTAGTCTGTTTAGCAGAAGCCATTTTATCTGCGTGCACATGGATCAATATTTCTGATCCCCTATACCCCAGGAAGGGCAAAATCCCAAAGAAATGTGTTAGCAAAATTGGCTGATGCTATCATATTGCTATGGACATTGATCTTGTGTTGCAATTTTTTAATAAGTAAAAATTATGATTTTTACTTGATCTTAGAGATCATGAACCTATAAGTTATGATGAATCTTGCTTGGAGGACACATTGGAGAAAGACCTATTGAGGGATGGTGAACTCGCATATGTATCTCTTGCTGCTGCGACAGGCCTCATCACTCCACTTGCCCTGAGCTGATTGGGAGAACAGGACACAGTTTTCTCGCTTGCCACCGTTAGGCTGTGCACGGTCCCAGTTGAGGAAGGAGATAGCGATTCCGTTGACGTCAACAAACTTGCCTTCCGTGACCATGTCATTGATGCCCAGCCAAAAGTCATTGACACCTGGCAGGCTCCTTTTACCATAGTCTTGGAGGGCGTTGATTTCGTCGGAGTTCCTGGGGATAACCAGGATTCCTCCTTTGGAAATGCAGTCTTCATTGGCCTCATGGAAATGCTTCAAACCTTCTGAAGCAAGGTAGCATTTCTTGTGAACTTTAGTGCCTCGGAGACAGACTGTGAAGATGTGAAGTGTAACATATTAAGATGCATTTTGAGTGTATTATGACTAGGGCTGGACCTGGCAAATAGCAATAAGTATTTGTGGAATGAAGTATGATAATGATGAGACAACAGTTAAAATTTTCTATGTGCCGGACAACATGCTAAGCATTTTACATAAATTAAGTTACATAATCCTGACAACCCCATGAAGTTGTATTTTATTACCCCTATTTTTACATATCAGGATATTTAGGCTTAGAGAAGTTGTTACTTGTAACACCTTAGCATTTTTTTTTTTTTTTTTTTGAGTTGGAGTCTCGCTCTGTCGCCCAGGCTGGAGTGCAGTGGCGCCATCTCGGCTCACTGCAAGCTCCGCCTCCCGGATTCACGCCATTCTCCCGTCTCAGGCTCCCGAGTAGCTGGGACTACAGGTGCCTGCCACCACACTCGGCTAATTTTTTGTATTTTTAGTAGAGACGGGATTTCACCGTGTTAGCCAGGATGGTCTCGATCTCCTGACCTCATGATCCGCCTGCCTCGGCCTCCCAAAGTGCTTGGATTACAGGCGTGAGCCACTGCGCCTAGCCACATTTTTTTAAATGAAGTAATTTTTGCAGCATGTGAGATCACAGCTACCCAAATGCAGGTCTGCCCTATCCCAAGACATGGCCTTAAACTTCATGCTGTTCTGATATATACATGCTTGCTACTCTGTGTTGGATTTCTTTGGGAGTTTTGGAACTAGATGGTATTTAATATTTATTTTTAAAAATATTTGTTTAAAAAAAAAATGCTTGGCGTGGTGGCTCACACTTATAATCCCAGCACTTAGGGAGGCAGAAGCGGGTGGATCACAAGGTCAAGAGTTCAAGACCAGTCTGGCCAACATAGTGAAACCCCGTCTGTACTAAAAATACAAAAAATTAGCTGGATGTGGTGGTGTGTGCCTATAATCCCAGCTACTCAGGAGGCTGAAGCAGGAGAATCGTGCGAACCTGGGAGGCAGAGGTTGCAGTGAGCCGAGATTGCGCCATTGTACTCCAGCCCGGGCAACAGTGCAAGACTCTGTCTCAAAAATCAATCAATCAATCAATCAATTAAATTCTAGTTTTGCATGTGGAGAGACAGGGATTTTCTTAAGCAGATAACTGAGCCTTGGTAATATTGTTTAGATTATTCAGGATAAACTGAGCATAAAGATAGTTTTAGGCCGTAGCACTGGAGAGTCAGGCCTCAGAGCCCATAGTGCCTGGGTTTAGGTCTCATCTCTGACATTTAACTAGCTGTGTATCTCTTGAACAAATTACTTACCTTCTTTGTGCCTCATTTTCCTCATCTGTAAAATTAGGATCATAATAGCTTAAGTTGCTGGAGGATTAATGGATTTGTGTTTATAAAGAATTTCTAGTACCTGACTGTGGGTAAAGGATGAACCAAACTCACCTTCTGCATAAGCATTTGACTGTCTTTTAACTTTCTAATTCTGTTCCCCCGGAAGCCTGATAAAGGGAGTATGTCACCCTTGTTACTAGGCAACATTGCTTGTGGTAAAAATGACCCCAGGTTGGTAACATGCATCTGGTCTGGGAGTTATAAATACTTGATGGAAAGCCGTAACTTCAGTCTTCCCTGAAGGCAGTAACTTGTAATGAGGCAGGTCTCTTGTGAGGAACCTCAACACCTTGCTTTTGAAATTGCTACAAAGGATATTAGCTCCTTGGGGGATGAGCCTTGTAAACCAGGGCTGTTCCCAAACCTGCCCACATGGCTCACTTCCTCACCCCTTGGAGAATAGCTCCTGGGCAGTAGCGCATGTGGCTGCATAACTGTGGGGAGGAACGCTGGCGCTGCCCTGTTGGCAAGCTGCGGTTCTAACCCATGTCCTTCCAGCATCTTAGGCTGGGTGTGGCCCGAGAGAGTCCTGGTGGCCTGATAGGCACTTAGCTATCATCCAATAAATGCTAATCATTTTAGTCATTTCATACTGGCTTCATTCTGTTTCACTACTCTTTAGAGAATAAGTATGGACTGACTTTTCAAATTTATTCCTGAACTACTTATTTTTATTTCTATACCACCCATATATAGGAGAATGGGATTGTAAATGAAGCTGATTTCCTAAAACAATCATCTCCCGGCATTGGGGCCCTCTTATTGGCCACATTATTGATTTGTCAATGTTTCTTTTAAAAAGACGTCCCCCAGAAATTGACCCAGAAATTTTCCTGTCTCCTTTGGGACAAGGCACTGAGAAGGTCTGCACCTTACCTGTCTGCAGGGCTTGAATTTCCTTCAAGGCATTGACTTCTGTCCAGAGCTTTTCAATTTGAGTCTTCAGATCTCCATCCTTGTCTGGGGAAAATTTTAGGGTGGGATGGGGTAGGTGGATGAAAAGCGTATGATTAAAATAAAATCAAGCTTTGGAATGTAGGACCCAAGGCAATAGTGGTTTTGGTGAACCTGAGCCCAGTGTATACAAAAAATAATGCGTGAAAATAACTTGGGGCTGGCGAAGTGGCTCACGCCTGTAATCCCAGCACTTGGGGAGGCCAAGGCGGGTGGACCACTTGAGGCCAGGAGTTCGAGACCAGCCTGGCCAACATAGCAAAACCCTGTCTCTACTAAAAGTATAAAAATTAGCTGGGCATGGTGTTGAATGCCTGTAATTCCAGCTATTTGGGAAGCTGAGGCATGAGAACTGCTTCAACTTGGGAGGCAGAGGTTGCAGTGAGCAAAGATCATTCCACTGCACTCCAGCCTTGGTGAGGGAGTGAAACTCTGTCTGAAAAAAAACCAAACAAACAAAAAAACAATGAATGAAGGAAAGAAGGAAGGAAAAAAAGAAAAAGAAAATAACTTGGACAGGAAGATTCTTAAGAGCTTCATGGCAATCATAATACTAGAAGGTCCTTCTGTGAGATGAGGCTCCTTCTGTCTCTCCAGTCACATCCTGTGACTCTAGGCTTGTTGACTTTCAGGGTCATCTGAGAATGAGCTCAATCTCATCTTCCCTGTGTGTTCCTTCTGCTAGGATCACTCTTGCTCCAGCGCTTTCCTGTATTCTTAGCAAGCTTAAATATCTCCTCTTCTGAGAAGGCTTTCCTGGTTATACTATAATTTAGTATCCCTTCTGCTAATCTGTCTTTGAAACTTATTTTTCTTCATTCTCTAGTCTCAGTTCACATTTTATTTTATTCCATATTTTATAGAGTATTCTGTATATTTTCTTTTCTCTATTTTACTTTATTTCATCTGTCTTATTATTCTTGGTTCTTCTGATGCTTAACATGATACTTGGTACATAATAGGTGTTCATAATATTGTCTAGTGAATACACACTTTATGGTATACAAAATTGTTTTCACTTGCTCTTCAAACATAGCTATGAAGGGAGAAAAATTGGATTCCCACTGAAGAATGAGGACAAGTCCAATGAGAGTGTCTCAAAAGATACATGGCAGAATTCATACTCTGACTGATTTGGGTCCCCAGGTCCCCTGTCCCCAGTGTTCCGACTCAACACATGCCTCAGGTATGGTGGCTACTAGCAGGGTTAAGTGCTAAAGGTTCATATAGAAATACGTCTATATTAGGTATTAGCAACTTAAGTCTTGTATGTTCCTGGATGAGGCTAAAGGATCTTTATAGCTGTCCTTGACCAATCTTGGCTATAAGTAAGTGGCAGAAAACAAGAAGCCTTGGATAAATTGAAATTTCAGGTGTAATAAGGATTCTCTTAGAGATTGGCAGCTTGTGAGGTCTTCAAAAGCAGGAATTATAAATCATAACAAAAATTATTAAAAGCTTCCACATACTGTTTGTCAGAGATCAATTCTTTCAGTAGTGCTTTGAGAGAGACACAATCATTGTCTCCATTCTGCAGAAGAAAGAGTCCCGGAAAGCTGAATTCACCTGCTGAAGGTCACCCAGCTAGTAAAGTGAAGAATTGGGATTTAAATTTGCCCAGCTCCAGGCCTGTTCTCATTTCATCCCTCTTACCTGCTTCTGCACAGTGATTGCCTCTACCTTCTTGGTCCCGAGCACATGGCCCCAGACAGAGAAGATACTTAAAGCTTGGTATGAACTGTTCCCAGCTGCTTCTTTGTGGGGATTCCATGGAGGAAGTCTATGTTCTGTACTGGATTTTTCAGGACAGTCTAAAATTCACATGTGCTAATTCACTGTCCCCTTAAACATGTGCTTCATAAGCCAGATGTTTCCTCATTTGGGTTAGGAAGCTGTCTTCTGGAATATCCAGGGGTGGCCCCTGCCTCTGTTTTACTTAATGCTACACATCAGTTCTCAAAGCATCCCATGGCTCAGCTCAGAAATACTATAACCTAAAGATTTTTACCTGTGTGACCATTTAATCCAGAAAAAATGTAAGGGTGCATTCAGAATGCAAATTCATCAGCTGGTGGGGGCCGGGCTTGCAAAGACTGCTGAACACTTTCTTCCAAGGTATAAGCTGTCACCTCTAAAAATGTCATCCCCCATCCCTCTCAGCTTCCTGCTCCATTCTCCTTAAATAAGTGGCCTCTACTGGGAGATTGTAAACATTGTAATTAACATGAAGACACATGAATTGATATTAGGCTCCTGGGAGATGGTTATGAAATTCATTGTCCAGGGACTTGGCTGTAGCTTCCATCCTTTGTAGCTGATATAGATGTCTTTTATGTACAACAAACAAAGGGAATATGTGGAACAACTACTGAGCTGGAAAAGTCATATTTTATTCATGAATGCAACACATAAATTGAGACCTATGAAGCAAGTACCAGAGAGATCTTGTGTTTGAAGCTAAATTCTTCGGTTGCTATTTTGAGTCCCCCAGAAGGCTCCCTTTCATTTTACTGTTGCTCTCCAGAGGTAGACACAGTGTAGAAACACAAAAGTCATTCCCAGAAGACATGGCCAGTAAAACCATTATATGATGTTGGACTGTCAAAATACATAGGAATGGGCACTCCCATACACAGAAGATGGGAAGATGGATTGGTGTTATCATTTGGAGGGACAATTAGAAAGTATAATTAACCTGCAATTTTACTTCTGGAAATGTCTCATAACATCCTAACATGGGGAGCAGTATGTGTGCAAAGCAGTTACTTGGGGCTATTGAATCAAAAAGAGATGTATTGGGAGAGATCAGATTAAGTGATGACCCATCCAAACAATGGAATATTATGCAGCTGTTAAAATGAATAAAGTATTGCTTACACTGGTAACTATCCAAGGTTTAATAGATGAAATAAATTTATTTGCCTAGCCAAACATTCTGCATAGCCAATTCTTATTTTGTTAAAAATATGTATTTTAATTGTGCATTTTAAAAACTCTGGGAATAGGCTGGGTATGATGGCTCATGCCTGCAATCCCATCACCTGAGGTCAGGAGTTTGAGACTAGCCTGGCCAACATGGTGAAACCCCATCTATACTAAAAAAGATGTATGTACAAATATCAGCTGGGCATGGTGGCGAGCACCTGTAGTCCCAGCTACTTGAGAGGCTGAGGTACTAGAATTGTTTGAACCTGGTGGGTAGAGGTTGCAGTGAGCCGAGATCACACCACTGCACTCCAGCCTGGGTGGCAGAGTGAGACTCTGTCTCAAAACAAACAATCCTACAAAAAACAAAACACAAAACTTCTGGGAATAGTATTACCTGATAGTTAATAGTGGATAATTTTGTGGTGAGGATTGGGAGAGAGAAGATGGCTTTCACTTTTGATCTCTTTAACACTGGTATTATTATATTTCAAGGTACTTAAACTATTTTAAAAGTATATGGATGGGTGGGGATATAATTGCTTGATCGGTTTAGGTTTATTGCTTCACCTACTGTAGAATCTACTTTCTAGGACCTAATGGCAAAAAGTAGCAAAAACTATACTGGGGGAATGACATTTAAGAGGTGTGTACCTAGTCAGTTTTGTTTTGTTTTGTTTTTAAATAAAAGCATGTGCATGCACATGTGGTTATGACAGAGGCAGTGGGGAAGAAGGGGGTAAAGAAGTGGGAAAGAAGGTAGGGAGAGAGAAGAGAGTGGGAGGAGGAAGGGGAGGGAGGCCCCTGGAAAACCTGGATGTGACCTAAGCTGCGATTACTTCAGAAACACCCACACAGCACCCACATGCACACTCAGTCATGTTCAGACCCTCTTCACACATTCCTACTGGGTGATCGCCACTCTCACGAGGAGTGCCACTCCATCCAGCAGTGAAGAAACGCTGGCTACAGAAATGTACCATGTCACCCAGTATCTTCTCTCTCCCCTCTCCTTTCGATACCATCTTCAGCAATATGTTTCATCTACTCATGAGAAATATTTTAATCTTTCACCGAAAGAAGTACAGTATTTCTTAAGGAAAAAAGATTCCACTTAAGAAACCTTGCACTAGCCGGGCGCGGTGGCTCACGCCTGTAATTCCAGCACTTTGGGAGGCCGAGGCTGACGAATCACGAGGTCAGGAGATCGAGACCATCCTGGCTAACACGGCGAAACCTCGTCTCTACTAAAAATACAAAAAATTAGTCGAGCGTGGTGGCAGGCGCCTGTAGTCCTAGCTACTTGGGAGGCTGAGGCAGGAGAATGGCGTGAACCCAGGAGGTGGAGCTTGTAGTGAGCCAAGATTGTGTCACTGCCCTCCAGCCTGGGCGACAGAGCGAGACTCTGTCTCAGAAAAAAAAAAAAAAAAGAAACCTTGCACCAGACCTAAATTTTGTAAATAAATGTCCCTGAAAAAATGGTACTTTATAATCCTTAAAGCACAAGACCCCTTTTTACCCACCAGCCATCTGTCATGTGAAATAGACTGTAACCTTGCTGAAATTTGTGTATGTGTGTGTTGTTACTAATGGAGTGAAAATAAGGAAATAGTCATAATCTGAAATATCCTGAAATGAAAATGATGCAGAGGATGTGATAAAACATGACCCTCTGTCTTGTTTTTTTCTTTTGCTTAGGTTTCAACGTATTGCAAACACCTCGCTATCATCATTGTTCTTTTCAATTTCTTTAACCTGTTAACCCAATTCAAGTCACTCAAAATTTGAGGTTCCTGGGAGATTCAGTTTTGCATCACAATGCCTTCAAATACTAGATGACTTTGCATATTGACTTTTTTAAGTTGGAGAGATTCAATGTCTCTGACATGAAAAAGTTTAAATATATGGTATAGGTTGTCCTTATGCTGCCAAGGATATGGAAATACAGCTAATGATAACTAATGACAAAACAGGAAGTCACCATTACCAAAATCTCTATCCTCTGCTACACATTGAATAAGATTATAGTTATCTTAAAATATAACTGAATTGAGTTACTCAATATCTACTAGTGAAACAGTGTGCTCAGTTAATACATTCTTCTTGCCCCATATTAATAACACCAGATTTTCAGAAATCCACTTGAGCTTCCTCTGAAGCACATTCTATTTAAGCCCACCTAACAAAAAATATACAACACAGAATTCTTTTACTATCAAATTTTTTCCCTGTTGTTTTTTTTTAAAACCCAGCAGCCTGGTTTCTTTAAAATAAACTATCCCAGAGCATTACAAGTTCACTTAATCCCCTGAAATGCCATATAGGGATGATGGCATGGTGCCATCACCGAAGATAGTCTCCTGGAGGAGTTTGAAAATTAACATTGTCCAGCACCTCCCCACACTGTCTAAGCCTAGAATTTTGCTTGATTGAGAAGCCCCATTACCTCTCACTCGACGTTTGCTGTGCTTCCTGGCTTTTAATCTGGATGTGTGGCTGGTGGTCTGGTCCAGGAGTAAGGTGATCACCAGGATGCAAATTACAAGTCCATTCTTTGCCATGGCTCTGGGGCAAGCCTGCTGAGCCATGTTGCCAGCCCCCTTAGAGCAGCTATGGAAGGAGACTACACAGCTACATCTTGCTCTGGGATGCCTGGGGCTGGCTTATAAAAGTGAGCTTCGGAGGTTGGCTGGAATCCTGCTGACGGAATGTTTGAATGCCTCTGCTGGCCACAGCATAAGGTGGCCTCTTGTTCTTGTGCCTCATGTTAGGCTTTCTATTTATTTAATTTCTGCTGCATTTCCTAGTGATTTGCCTTTTTGGAGTGTGTCAAACTTAACTACAGGTTTAGCCTGCTTTCTTTTTTTAAATTTAAACTCTGAGAAGATTGGGGTCTTTGTGAAAAATTCTTTGATTTGGAACTCTGAAATTCACTAAATGTTCTGGAAAATGGATTCAATTTAGTTTTCAGGGCAAAAAAAAAATTGGAGAAAAAGGAAAGTTACTGCGTGTGTGTGTGTGTGTGGTGCCACAGCACCATTCAAGCCAGTGTGTCTACTCATACTCATGTGTCTGCGCAGCTCAAGTGTAGCTTGGAAGTAGTTTTCTCAGTGGGATTTATGGAGATTGCGGAAATAGATACTCGATGATAAAATATAGGGCTTTCCTCCATTAGGATTTTGTAGACTCATCAAGAATTACTTCCTTGGGGCTGCATGTGGTGGCTCACACCTGTAGTCCCAGTGGGAGGCCGAAGTGGGTGGATCCCTTGAGGTCAGGAGTTCGAGAAGAGCACGGGCAACATGGCGAAACACCATCTCTACAAAAAAATAAAAAAATTCATCAGGCATGGTGGCACACATTTGTAATGCCAGCTACCTGGGAGGTTGAGGTGTGAGAATCACCTGAGCCCCAGGAGTTCGAGATCACTGCCCTCCAGCCCGGGCAAATTACTTTCTTGGGAAAATGTACCTTACAGTGAAAAGAAAATTTTAAAAAGTGAATTATTTCCATTAGAATAAGAATTAATGTAATAGATCAATAGCTATTTTTTCAGGTCCTCACCAATCATTTTTCCTTGAACACATTAAACAACACTTTCAAGTGCATGATGTAATAGCACAGAAACCTAGTGAGAGACTCGCCGGGCGTGGTGGCTCACGCCTGTAATCCCGGCACTTTGGGACGCTGAGGTGTGTGGATCACTTGAGGTCAGGAGTTCGAGACCAGCCTGGCCAACATGAGGAAACCCTGTCTCTACTAAAAAACGCAAAAAGATTAGTTGGGCGTGGTGGCAGGAGTCTGTAGTCCCAGCTACTCTGGAGGCTGAGGCAGGAGAATCGCTTGAACTCACAAGGCAGAAGTTGCAGTGAGCCGGGATTTTGTCACAGCACTCCAGCCTGGGCGACGGAGCCAGACTCCTTCTCAAATAAAAAATAAAAATAAAATTAATGTAATGAGAAACTCAATTATTCCTACCTTTAACCATAGGCTTTAAGGGCAAGTTTTCGGGACCTGATAGGCTTTTGCATCAAAAGCAATGGACTTGCATTACAGGAATAGCCGAGAGGGAGGAATTTAGACCCAGGGAAAGGCCTTCCTGCATTCCACATGCTTATTTGGCTGACCAGGTGCAAATGGAGGGCAGTGGTTGCAGATTTGGAAGGTCTGAAGGACCAAGTTCATTTTGCCTTTGTTTTTTCTTTGAGACAATACAGAAAGAATCAAGGAATGAGTGCTTCCTTCTGAATCTTAATGAGAAAAACCACAGTCTATTTCATCTTCATTTCCTCCAAGTTAAAGCCATTTTGTAACCTACCAATATAGTAAGACCATAGTAAGACCACTGATGTAGGAAAGTCTGACATGATTCAGCAAAGTAACTGTACAATTAAAGATCTGACCTCCGGTGTTGACTCTTTGTACCAACATGGGCAGTTAATGCATGGGCATTTGAGAACATTGTGAAGACAGGCTGAGCTCAGTTCACAACCTACCGCTTAGCTGTGTGATCTCAGGCAAGTCAATAAACCTCTATAAGGCTTCTCTCATCTTAACAGTGGGGGCTAGGAATGCTTATTTTACAGGGCTGTTGGAAAGATTAAATGAGATAATGGCTATGAAGCACTTAGCGCAATGTCCAGTATTTAATAATAAGATCCTTACCATTAATTACAATGGTACATACAATTTATGGAATGCCATCTTTTTAGTCTTCACAGCAAGCCTGTGGGATAAGTAATAATATTATCTCCATTTTAAAGGTGATTGAGCCTCAAAAGTTAAGTGGTTTTTGTCTAACATCACTAAGATCTCAAGGAACTGAGTAGAAATTACAATCCAGTTTTGATTAACTCCAGAAGACCTGGGCTGTGAAAATGTGCTTTGGTTTGAACAGGGGAAAAGATCAATGATTTACACCTGATCTTACAATTGATCAAAAATTTTCTTTGCCATCTTCCTAAATCCTTTTAAAAAAATTTCAAGTTATGGGCCAGGTGTGGTGGCTCGTGCCTATAATCTTAGCACTTTGGGAGGCCGAGGCAGGAGGACTGCTTGAGCCCAGGACTTTGAGACCACCCTGGGCAATATGATGAGATCCTATCTCTACAAAAAACAGAAAAAATTAGCCGGGTGCGGTGGCACGTGCTCGTGGTCCCAGCTTGCTTAGGAGGCTGAAGTAGGAGGATGACTTGAGCCCAGGAAGTTGAGGCTACCATAGCCTCAACCGTGGTGGCCCATGTTTGCACAACTACACTCCAGCATGGGCAACAAATCAAGACTTTGTCTCAAAACACAAAATATCTTGAATTAATGTTGTGTATTTGTCACAACTGCTGAATGAATACTGATGTTAGTATTAACTGAAGTCCACAGGTTACATTAGGGTTCATTTTGGTAGTATTCGTCCTGTGGGTTTGGACAAAGGTATAGTGTTGTACTGAATAGTTTCACTGAAACTATTAGCTATTAACTATTCACTGGGATATTTAACCCCTGCTTTTTGTTCTAATTAAATATTTGAGAATTCACCTCTTCCTCACTTCCGGTGCCTGGTGCTCCTCAGAGCTCTCCTTTGGCTGCTCTAATTCCCCTATACTCTCTCCCTAGAAGACCTTAATTCTTCTCATGGCTTCAGAGTGCTGTCTGTGGCTCCCGCATCAGCCTCCCCAACCTGGAGCTCCTCCCTTCAGTCTCATATTTCCAGTTGTCCATGTGACACTTAGAATTCAATGTCTCAGACATTTCTAACCCATGATAGTCAAATATTGAATTCTAGCTGCTTCTCTCACTAATGACCTATGAACTTAAGTCTCATTCCTCCAGAGTCTCCCTTGTCATAGTTAATGTCTCCACCCACTCAATGGGCCAATTCAGAAACATGGGAGGCATTTATGAGGCCCCTGTCCTTGCCCTCAACACCCTTCCCCACGACCTTGTCAGCAGCAAGTGCCCCCACATACGTGTTGATTCGTGACCTTTGTTCTTCACTCCTGCCATCATCATCCCATTCCAAGTCAAGAGCTCTTGTCCTAACCCATCCCAACTCAGCCCCTTTCCAATTCAAATGGATGCACCACGCATCACTAATGAAATTGTCACTCACCTACTTGAAACCCTCCAGAATTTTCCATTGCATTTAAAATGAAACCCACATTGCTTATCATGATTGCTGAGGCCCTTTTACCTGGTTCTTCCTGGTGACTTGTTCCAGTTGCAAAGACCGTTTGCCATTTCTAAATCCTATCTAAGTCTCTTCCCACACCCCCACTGTGCTTTCTCTCATGGGTTTTCTGTCAGTCCACTCCATGCCTTCCCAAACTTGATATCTCGGTGTGTGCTGTTTTGTATAAGGCCAACTCCACCTTGTCCTTCAGGTCTGAACTCACATGCTACCTCCACAGAGAAGCCTTCTCAATGTGCATAATCTAGAAAGGTCCTGCCCTGTGGTTCTCCATCAAAGTACCCTGCTTCCTTGATAGGCTTCATCACAATTTGCTTCTCATTTAAAGACTTACCTACTTAATTGATTTACTTGCTGGATGCTGGTCTGTAAACTCCTGCAGGGCAGGGGCTATGTCAGGTTAGTTCAACCATGCATGTGATATGACACATGGCACATAGTATTTGCTCAATAATTATTTTTGAATGTGTGGCTGAACAGCTTTGCTTTTGCTTCCTTCTCTTCCCACCGCCTCTCTAAGGCAACAAGGCATTTGGCCAACCAAGGAAAACAGCAACGCAACCCATGGAAGAGTAAAGAGACTGAGACTCATCTGTTGTACCAGCACTTGGAGTCACACTAAGAAATCATCACACTCGGCACTGGAGAAGCTCTGCTTGTCTTGTGGATTCTTGGCCCTGAGGCCAGACAGGGACAGAAGCTGTCCTTTAACTTGTCTTCCTCCTGTAGGAATTCCAACTCCAGCTTATCCCTCTTCAGGGAAAAAGCAGAGAAAATGAAATAAACTAAATGGCTGACAGGATTGGCTAGGAGAAGAGGAAGTGGGATGAGGGTCTGTGGATAGTGATGGACCTCAGAACATTCTCACGTGAAGGTTTTTCTCCCTGTCACAAATGCTGACGGACATCAGACATGGCCTTCCCATTTAGGTGAGGCTCTCCCCCTCATATCTTATCAGGAAATGCACGTGGGATGGCAGAGACCTGAAAAAAAAAATCACATCAAAAAAAAAAAAAAAAAGAAATCACACACATCAAAGATAACAGGGTGGGGTGACCCCTGCCCCACCTTGTCTTTGGGGAAGGCAGATCTCACTGTTTCATTGGAGGCTGAACAATTCCTTTTTTGTAGAGCAGGATGATGTCACCAGCTTGTCTCCTGGGCTGGACCTGGGGTTCTGAAAGGACTGTTTAAGAAGAAACACCACATTTATAGCCAGGGATAGACGCTATAAAAATATTGCTTTTAGACAAAAAGCGTTTTGATGATGATTTTAAAACTGTCACCAGGGTTTCATTTTCTTTAATAAATGGCTGTTTGCAACACATTCACTGACCACCCTGTGCCATTGGTGTGTTTATTCCACTGGATGCTATTTTAAAATTGCTCTAAGCTGTTTTCCAGAGTCTTGAATTCTAATAAACAAATCTATCCGGCCTGATGGTTATTTCTCCATGAATACTCAAGGCCAAACATGTTTAAAGGCTGTGTTCAAAGGTTCCAGGGTAGCATTTAAAGGAAGCGATAGGACTGCACTTGGATATAGCACAGGCAACCTGAAATGTTTATAGGAAAGGTCGGTTTCTGTATACGTGCAAAGCTGCCTTTGGCTTTCTACTTCCGTTTCTACTCTGGCTACTGTGGCTATTACTTGTAGCTGGCTATTACTTGTTAAAGAATTTACAGAAAGGGATGGTGACAGGTTTTAGGGAAGAGGATTAAGAGACTGCTAAATTGGAGCAGTGCCGCATATAGGCCAAGAACAAGAACTCTTGATAGTTTGGGATTAAAGTCTCAGATCTGTTGTTTATTGCTTTTGCCTCAGGGGTTGGACTTCCTCATGTCTCTGAACCTTGATGTTCCGATCGATTTTTGCAGACCGTTGAGGAAGCCAGAGCATGTGTCTACAAGACAGACGCATCTCATTACAGTAGGTGAACAATCAAAGGGTGTCTGGGTTTCCTGCACTACCATCATACAGGTACACAACCCATCATACTTGCATAAGGTTCTCAGACTTGCCACTGCCCTGGCCCCAGTCTCGCAGATTTGGTTCCATGTGCACCCATGGTAAACACGCTTCTACTAGAGAACTTCTAAAACATGCAGTTATTTTATATTACCCCCCACCCTTAGCCAAATATTTGGCCTTAGAGATGCACATTGTCTTATTCTCTTCTGATCTTCTAGACTAGTGCTGTACAATAGAATTACTGGATGACCACATGTGGCCAGCGGCTGCCATACTTGATAGCATAGTTCTAGTGTCTAGCAAATGGACTAATGTTTAGGGGGGCATTTTGTAAATGGGTATTATATAAAATTGTTCAACCAAGAGGTTTTACAGTCAATAGATAGGTGACTTAGATTCAATTCGTCTTATCCTAGGCACTGTGCTAGATTTTAAATGTAAATCTAGTAAGGAAGATATAAATATCCTTGTCTTATAGAAGATGAGACCCAGGCTTAGTGAATTTTCTTAGACTTCTCAACTTCTAAGAGTTGGTCAGACTTGAGTCTCCCATATTGGGGCTTGGCTGGGGGTGCGGCCCACCTGGTGGTGAAGGGATATGGGGCTTTTTGGGCTTACCTAGGAGGTCATTGTGAAATTTCTGGTAAAGTCAGGGCAGCAAGATTAGAACAACAGAATCTCAAGTTAAGGAAAGACTTGCAGTCATCAAATTCGCGTTGATACTTGCATCCCTGATGCAACAACAGCTGGCAAGTCTCTGAACATTGTCCATGATGGAAAATTGACTACCTAGAAGCAAGGCTGCTAGTTTTACTGCTAGAACATTGTGTCTTACCCAGAAGGCATTCCTCCTTCTCTTCTGCCTCCTTTACTGTCTTATTATGACCAGCCCTCTCTCTTGAAAACCTGTAAGGAAAGATACAGCCCCCAATTTAATTCACGAAGTTCCCCTGACATTGCTGTACTTGACTTGCTCTGTTTCCACCACTTCCACCATTACTGTAAGCTCTTTGGGTTCTCGCTGCTTAGGTTACAGCTGCCTCTGACTGGTTCCCTCTGGTTCTACTCTGTGCACATGGTTGTCACCTCTCTAAGCTGGTGTCTAATGTGTGATTTCATCTTATACCAGCTCCCTTCCCTCTTCTAGGACCCAGTGTTCTCCTGGCTCCTTCCCATCAGACATGATGCTGAGGCCACTGTACTCTTGGCCCCACACAACCAGACACCTCACTTCTATACTTCCCAAAGCAACTTGCAGTCGTGGAAAAATGCACAAATGACATCTCACAGACCTGGAGTTGAACTGTGGTGCTCTCGTTTGCCAGCTCTGTGATTTGGGCAAGCTCACCAACCTCTCTGAGCCTCATATTCCTCTATCTTGGGGATCATAAAGACTGTTTACCAGCAACGATGGGGAGATTAAACAGATGCCCTGAGAACAGTTAGGATAATGGCTGATATCCATTAGAGATATTTAATATGTGGAATTACTACTAATGATTATCATGGTTAAAATAATATCTTAGTTCTTACCAACTTGACCCTGAAGTCCATTCCTCTCCATGCATCCAGCCTGTCCCCATCTGGTTGTCCCCTCTACCTTGTCCTCCAGCACTCACTGCAGTGAACAGTCCATTTTTAAAGGAAGGCAAGCATTTGGTTGATCTGTTTTTCCTAGGTGTACTGACATATAAAATTTATTGTGATTTTTGCCTGATCCTGCTGCCAGATACTCCAAGAATACAAAAAAAGCCAGTATTCCTCTCCCTTTCACCAAAAGCAAGGGCAGCCCAGAGTGGAAAAATCTTCCTAATTCCTCTCTGTGGCCTTCCCAAGTTTAGACTTGGTAGAAACAGTTTTTGGCCTTCAGGTGACAACAACAGTGTTCTTGTTCTTCCTCAGAATTCAGAGGCTTGCTGACTCTAACTGTGCTTGAAGCAAGATGACTGCAGGTTGCAGAGTGAACCATTGGGAAAGTTTGCCTTTTTGGGGATGAACTGATTTTCCAACCCTGATGCTGGCGGAAATTGAGTGATGGAACTAAGGTCATCTGGTGCTCTCCTTGAGCTGCTTAATAAACAGTAAAGCTATTCCTTTCTATTTAAATGACATAAAAAGGAATTGATTTTTAGTCACCTTTCCAGGAAGTGCTTCCTGAACCTGAAAACCTGCATGGAGAAATTGAAGAAATTGTTCTTAAAGGGTAAACCAAGGAAATTGTGTCCAAGATCCCTGTTTCTCACAAAAAATAAGAAAAGGAACCAGGTAATTAGATGGATTGTTCGTTCAAGGCATTATGTACACTTCTTTTGGTTCTGAGGTTAATAAAGACAAAGAAGAGAAAAAGGCCAGGCACAGTGGCTCATGCCTGTAATCCCAGCACTATGGGAGGCCCCCTTGAGGCTAGGAGTTCGAGACCAGCCATGGCCAACATGGCAAAACCCCATCTCTATTAAAAATACAAAAATTAGCCAGCCATGGTGGTATGCACCTGTAATCCCAGCTCCTCAGGAGGCTGAGACACGAGAATTGCTTGCACCCGGGAGGTGGAGGTTGCAGTGAGCCAAGGTTGTGCCACTGTACTCCAGCCTGGGTGACACAGCAAGACTGTTTCCAAAAGAAAAGGGAAGGCAACAGATGGGAAGAAGGATGGAAGGGTAGAAAAAATTTGGTATTGCACAAGTTGGTCTTAAGGATTTCACTGGACATGCAGCTGTATTTGTTTAGTTGATGACTGGAAATGTTGGGTATGTGAATGAGGTAGAAAGAGTTGCATTGGGGAATCAAGTATTTGTTAATAGAGGATTAATATACTAATAGTGGAAACCTTGATGATGGATATGAAGCCAGGACACATGTGGAGAGATAAAGTAGGCTCAGAGACAAATCTCTGGGGATTCAGGTATTTGAGAGGTGAGTAAAGGCAGCCAGAAAAGATTTAGCGGTCAAGAAAGCTAGAAAAAAACTGCATTTCCCTCTACTGATTCAAGAAACAGTTTTTTTGAACATAAGATGAAAGTTTTTCGGGTGGATGGAGGAGACGGAACTGGCAAATATATCAAAGAAATAAAATAGAAAAAAAAAATAAACCTTGGTTTTGGGACTTAGAAAGTGACTTCCAATAACTTCTCTAGTGCATTAGATGTGAAAGCCAGATTGCACTGAGGAAAATAGCAAGTAGATCTTAAAGAGTTGACTTTAAAATGATAAACCTATGATACAGGAAAACATCTTTATGACATAGGAGTAGAGAAGACTTTGTGAAACAACCTATGAAGAGGAAAACCCATAAAAGAAAAACTGAGAAATTTCCCCATATCAAAATTAAAATACTTGACATGACAGAAGTTTTTATAAAGTTAAAACCAAAAAAGAAAACCCATAGGAGAAAATATTAGCAATGTAACATAAAAGGAATTATTATTCAGAGTATACAAGGAACTCTTTTTTTTTTTTTTTTTTTTTTTTTTTTTTTGGAGACACAGTCTGACTCTGTCACCCAGGCTGTAGTGCAGTGGCACGATCTTGGCTCACTGCAACCTCTGCCTCCTGGGTTCACGCCATTCTACTGCCTCAACCTCTTGAGTAGCTGGTACTACAGGTGCCCGTCACCACGCCTGGCTAATTTTTTGAATTTTTAGTAGAGACAGGTTTCACCGTGTTAGCCAGGATGGTCTCAATCTCCTGACCTCATGATCTGCCCGCCTCGGCCTCCCAAAGTGCTGGGATTACAGGCGTGAGCCGCCATGCCCGGCTGGGAAAGGATTTTTTTTTTTTTAATGGGCAAGAATATAAATAGGCAATACACAAAAGACAGTATCAAAATGGGTTTAAAAAAAACTATGGTAAGATCTTGATAACAAGTAGGAAATCTGTGTTAAAACAGTAGCTCCATAATTTTGTCTCAATCTTTTGGTGGTGGTGATTGTGGTGAGTTTGATTATATTGAGTACTGAGGACATAGGACAACCATTTTCATCCATGTTGGGGCAAATGTAAATTAGTGTGGCTACTTTGAAGTCTAACAATAAAACCAAAAAATGTGTATGCTTATCCTCTACTATGTCTATCTAGGTGTTTCTGGCAGAGAAACATTTTCACATGCACACATACAAAAAGGCATGTATAAGGGTGGTTATTGCAACATGGATTAAAATATGAAGAAGCTGGAAACAACTTACATATCCATCAGTAGGGAATGGCTCAATATCCGTTGGTATTTTCCTACTGTGGAAAACTCTGAAGCCATTACAAAGAAGTGGGAAGATCTAGATGTTCCAACATGACCTAGGTGGAGTGGCGAGCACCTATTATCCTGGCAACTTAGGAGGCTGAGGAAGGAGGGTCACTTGAAGCCAGAAATTCAAGACCAGCCTGGGCAACATAGCAAGACCCCATCTCTCAAAAAAAAGTTGTGATTACCTGAGCAATGTGGTGAGTGTCTGTAGCCCTAACTACAGACCCAGGAGGCTAAGGTTGGAGGATCACCTGAGTCTAATAGTTGGAGGCTACAGTGAGCTGTAATAGTGCCACTGTACTTCGGCCTGAATGACAGAATGAGAGCCCATCTCTCAAAATATAAAAATAAATAGATGTTCCAGCATGCACAGACCGTAAGACACACTATAGAGTAAAAATAACATCAGAGAACAAAATAGTGTCTAGTATCATCCATTTAAGGCACACACAAATACTTGGTTCTTTCTATGGATGTCTCTGTTCAGGGAGGTCTGCTTGTATTTTGGGAGCAGGTGGGAAGGGTGTGTGGTAGGTGGAATTGGTGCTTTTGCAATCTCCAGCCCCAGTTCCCACCACTAACCCATTCCCTACGTAATCCCATCTCCGGACTCACAATCTTGCATGTACCTCACTCTGCAAGCCAGAAATGTGCTGGCCACAGGGCCACACACATCCATGCCCACAGGCAGGCAGGCAGAAGGTGGCTCTCACCGCAGGCTGTGCTGGAATGGCTGTGTGGGGTGGTGGTTAAGTTGCAGACCCGGGAACCAGATGACTTTGGTTTGAATCCTGGCTTTCCCGCTTCTCAGCTGTGTGCTGTTGCCATGCCTCCTATCTCATAGGAAGAGAGGATAATAACTGAACTACCTGCCAGGTAGAGATTAAATCCCTGAATACACACGAAATTTCTTGGAACAACGCTTGCCCCATAAAAAGTGCTAACAATATTCATTAAATAGTTGGGAGTGTTGAATGGTTTTCATCCTGGTTGGAAGTTTTTGTCAAGGTTGGGGATAACTGTCTATTTAGTGAGTTCTCCTAGAGGCTGTGCTGGAAACCCTGCCTCCTGATTCTCTCCTAATGTTATTGGGGTGGTAGGAAGCTGGCTGAAGGCTGACAGGAACCCTACTCTCTGTATTATACATAAGCTTTCCGTTGATGAGCAGTAGCTACATGTTTACAACTGTTAGTCTGCTGACAATGCAGGTAATTGCACATCATTTTAATGTATGTATATTTCATGTACCTTACTTTACTTAATCTTCTCCATTGTTTAATTCCTAATTTTGCTTCTATTGTAAATGATGAGATGAACATCGTTGTGTGTCAATATTTTTTCTATAGGTAATTTCCTTAGGACACATGATACTTGAAGTGGATTGATTGAAAGGCAGCATAGTCTACTAATTAACTCAGACTGGAGCTGGATCATCTGGGATCAAATCTAGGCTCCCCATTGGCTTTTGCATCAAGTTTTCCCATCTACCAAATAGGGGCAATAGTAGGATTTAAAGTATAGGGCTATTGGGGGCTTAAACATAATGATGCTTATAAGGTACCTACTCAGAACAATGTCTAGCCTGTATTAAGCATGAGTAAGTAATAATTACTGGGCCAACGGAAGTGAATATTGCCAATTTTATGGTTGATGGGAAAGAGGAGGTCTTAGCCTGTCTCCTTCCCAAGAGGAAGGGACACTGATTGGATTAGGTCAATTTTTAGGATAGTGATTGGGCCACATGGATAAGCAGGGGGAGTCACTGGCTCTTAAAAGGGCTTTGCTGGGAACAGCCAGCTCTTCCTCTTTGGGCATTCCTTCTGATCTCTCTGTTTCTGCAACTGAATGGATGGTGATAAGGTCCTGAAATACAAGTTTAGACTTAGAAAGATGCAGAGGCTCCTAAATTTGGGGAGATACTCTGTTCCAGCCCAGCACACACTGCACAGTTCTCTGCAGTGGGGTTTGGGGCACAAGCTCTGTACCAGCATAGCTGGTCTGTGTGTCCATTCACCATTGTCCCTGTGCGTGGAGGAAGAGGGTTAGATGGGCCAAGGCAGGATTTAGGGAGTTTTGTGTTCCCTGATACATTTTATTATTATTATTATTATTATTATTATTATTATTATTTATTTATTTATTTATTTTCGAGATGTAGTCTCACTCTGTCGCCCAGGCTGGAGTGCAGTGGCGTGATCTTGGCTCACTGCAACCTCTGCCTCCAAGATTCTAGCAATTCTCCTGCCTCAGCCTCCTGAGTAGCTGGGATTACAGGCATGTACCACCACACCCAGCTAATCTTTTTTTTTTTTTTTTTTTTTTTTATTTTTAGTAGAGATGGGGTTTCGCCTTGTTGGCCAGGCTGGTCTCAAACTCCTGACCTCAAGTGATCTGTCCATCTCGGCTTCCCAAAATGCTGGAATTATAGGCGTGAGCCACAGTGCCTGGCCTGTGCTCCCTGATATAATCGAATAATGCCCCAAATGTCACCATCATACGTAACTGTATTTTAAAAAGGGAAATGCCAATTTTCCCACCAGGAAAAAAAAATGTAAGAGGTAGATTTCAATTTTATATTTCCTCTCAGATGTGTTGAGAGGCCCTTGCAGGCTAGGAGGAAGATGGCAGGCTTAATGGAGAGTTACTGGTATCTGGAACACATTGCTTTTTCTCAGAGGCGAGAGCCTGCCGGGGTTCAGAATATGAGACAACTATTCTTTCCTTTCAGGAAACCACCAGCACATCCATTTTGAATGTCTGGTAAACAGCTTAGGAGTCAGTGTTTTATTAGTGTCTCGTTTTCATCTCAGGAGTTTTTTTCAGCGTTCGCTTTTCCCTGATCAGCAGAGGGACTGTCCAATTTGCACTGGATGCTGTTTTTCGCTAAAGGGTTTCTTCAAATGGAAACCAGACAGGAAACGCTCGCAGAGCCGGGCCAGTTAGGTGTGGAGACAGCAAGTCCAGGAGACAGGCTGATGTCCCTGAAAGACCCACATTCACCATGCCTGGCTTCTTTCTATAATTTATTTCTGCCCAGCGAGACTTGGGCCACCCTCCAAAATATATACCAGATAGCTCGGATTATTGTTGAAAAACCTAGTACTTGCCTTGAGTGTCCCTTACTGAAAATAAAGAAGCAAAGACAGCCTCTGGCCTGGCTTTATTCATGGTAGTTTAGCAGGAACCAGAAAAAGAATTATTTCTTTTTTTTGAGATGGAGTCTCGCTCTTGTTGCCCAGGCTAGAGTGCAGTGGCATGATCTCAGCTCACTGCAAACTCTCCCTCCTGGGTTCAAGCGATTCTCTTTCTCAGCCTCCCAAGTAGCTGGGATTACAGGTGCCAGCCACCACGCCCAGCTAATTTTCATGTTTTTTTAGTAGAGACGGGGTTTCACCATCTTGGTCAGGCTGGTGTTGAACTCCTGACCTCGTGATCCACCTGCCTCGGTCTCCCAAAGTGCTGGGATTACAGGCGTGAGCCACCGTGCCCAGCTCAGAAAAAGAATTATTTCTAATCAAAAATTAAAAGGATATTACTAAAAGGGGATTAATATATTGGACTTTTAAGCCATCATTAAAATTCTGCTATAAAAGAACGTTGATTAACACAGAAAATACCCATGGAATATTTCCAAAGGGGAAAAGCAGTTCATACAAAAGAATGCAGGGGCTCGGCGTGGTGGCTCACGCCTGTAATCACAGCCCTTTGGGAGGCCAAGGTGGGTGGATCAGCTGAGGGCAGGAATTCTTCGAGACCAGCCTGACCAATATGGTGAAACTCCGTCTCTAGTAAAAAACACAAAATAATTAGGTGGGTATGGTGGCGTGTACCTGTTAGTCCCAGCTACTCTGGAGACTGAGACAGGCGAATTGCTTGAACCTGGGAGGGCAGAGGTTGCAGTGAGCTGAGATAGCGTGATTGCACTCCAGCCTGGGCCACAGAGCAAGACTCCGTCTCAAGAAAAAAAATGCAGGCGGTAGAGAGCCATGGGTGAGGGATGTGTGCAGATGAGTATCTGTATGGTAGGGATAGGTCAAAATAATAGTGGTTCCTTTGAGAGGATGAGATGGTAGTTTTTTTTTTTTTTTTTTTTTTTTTTGAGACGGAGTCTCGCTCTGTCGCCCAGGCTGGAGTACAGTGGCGCGATCTGGGCTCACTGCAAGCTCCGCCTCCCGGGTTCAGGCCATTCTCCTGCCTCAGCCTCCTGATTAGCTGGGACTACAGGCGCCCGCCACCACGCCCGGCTAATTTTTTTTTTTGTAATTTTTTAGTAGAGACGGCGTTTCACCGTGTTAGCCAGGATGGTCTCAATCTCCTGACCTCGTGATCCACCCGCCTCGGCCTCCCAAAGTGCTGGGATTACAGGCGTGAGCCACTGCGCCTGGCCTTCTCTTTGTTTTTCTAAGTCTTCTGCATAAAACATATCAATGTTTTAAATAGACGTTTTATTGAAATATAAACAGAAACGTTTCCAAATTGGAAGCATATCACTTTCTGATTTTTCATAACATAAATAGGAATGCGCCTCTAGACCTGGCTATAAAGCAAGCTGGAGACTGGCAGCTCTCCCGACTTGTCTTTGTGCCTGTCCCAGCCACGACTCTACGAAGGGTAAACATCTTCAGTGGCTTTGGAAAGTGTCACTTGGCGATGCTCAGCTGTGTCCCAGACTTCCCTGTGTGTGTCCAGTTAAGGTGAGCCACCAGCTTTCCTTGCAAGATACCAAAGCAGGATGCAGTGAGAGGTGCCCATCTCCATGGCTGGCCCTGTGGACCCCAAGTGCCAGCATTAGAGCTTCATAGGTAGCAGTTTATAGACTGTTTAACCGGTATGCACAATTACACAGGGTCAAATCCCTGTAATAAACCCTTTAAAGTGTGTGTGTGTGTGTGTGTGTGTGCTCGGCACACACCTGCAATTCCAGCACTTTCGGAGGTCAAGGCGGGCGGATTGCCTGAGCCAAGGAGTTGGAGACCAGCCTGGGAAACATGGCGAAACCCTGTCTCTACTAAAAACATAAAAAAAGTAGGTGTGGTGGTGTGCACCTGTAATCCCAGCTACTCTGGAGGCTGAGGCATGAGAATCACTTGAACTGGGGAGGTGGAGGTTGCAGGGAGCTGACCGAGATCATGCCACTGTACTCCAGTCTGGGCAACAGAGTGGGACTCTGTCTCAAAAAACAAAATGGAGTTTAAAAAATAAAGTGTGTGTGTGTGTGTGTGTGTGTATACACACATGTGTATCTCCTGATGCGCTTTGTTTCCCTGAGTCCTGTGTGACACAGCATTAGAGGGTAGGTGGTGGTGACCCACTTCCAGATGGTTCCCAATGACTGCTCCTTACTTCTTGATATTCATTCATACTTACATAGTCTCCTCTTACACTGAACAGGGATGACCTGTGTAATGGATAGGATATTGTGCAAATGGGAGTATGTGACCTCCAAGATAACGTCATAAAAAGTATTGCAACTTCCACTTGTCTCTCTTGGATTGCTTGCCCTGGGGGAAGCCAGCGGACATTCAGCCAGAACCACCCAGCTAAACCACTCCCAAACTCCTGACCCTTAGAAGACACTAGATGTTGATCATTATTTTGAGTTGCCAAAGTTTGGAATAATTTTTTTTTTTTTAGAGACACGGTCTCATTCTGTTTTCCAGGCTGAAGTGTAGTGGTGCGATCATAGCTCACTGCAACCTTTAGCTGCTGGGCTCACACGATCCTCCTCCTGCAGCCTCCAGAGTAGCTAGGACTACAAGTGTCCACCATCACGCCTGGCTAATTTTTTTTTTTTAAGTTTTTTGTTAGAAACGTGGTCTCCCTATGTTACCCGGGCTGCTCTCGATCTCCTGGCCTCAAGCAATCCTTCCCCCTCAGCCTCCTAAAGCACTGGGATTACAGGTATGAGACGCTGCACTTGGCCTAGGGGTAATTGTTACACAGCATTAGATCCCAAAATTGTGAACAAATGATTGTATTTTTGGCTCTGAGTTTTAGGCTTGTTTGTTATCTAACAATAGATACAAAACTCATTTCTAAAATCCTGACAGTCATGCTACAAATCTGAATCGGTTAGTTGTATGTACTGCTGTAAAGAAAATCAGGCCGGGGCGGTGGCTCATGCCTGTAATCCCAGCACTTTGACAAGCTGAGGTGGGTGGATCGCTTGAGGTCAGGAGTTTGAGACCAGCCTAACCAACATGGTAAAACCCTGTCTCTACTAAAAACACAAAAATTGGCCGAGCATGATGGCGGGTACCTGTAATCCAAGCCACTCAGGAGGCTGAGGCACAAGAATTGCTTAAACCCAGGAGGTGGACGTTGCAGTGAGTCAAGATTGCACCACTGCACTCCAGCCTGGGCAACAGAGAGAGACTCCATCTCAAAAAAAAAAAAAAAAGAAAAAGAAAAAAAGAAAAGAAATCCAGTTAACACCATGTTGAACAAATGGGGGTATATTTTTCTCATATAAGAAGATATTTAGAGAGAGAGGGTAGTTCATTCTAGTGTGGGCCCAGTGGCTTTACATTTGGGTACTGAATTAGTATCTTTGCAATTTCTATTGCTTCCCCCTCAGTCACAAGATGGCTGCAGCACCTCCAAGTGTCACGTCTTCACAGCATCACTTTGAAAGGAGGGAGCAGGGGGTATTAATGGGAAGGAAAGATGGTGCTCACATACCTCCCTCTTATTAGAGAGGGAACTTGCTCTCAGATGCCCCCTAGCGGATTTCCCCTTAATGTTTCATTGGTCAAAATTGGGCCACAGGGTCATTCCTAGACTGGGGCCAGGAGAACATTTTCTGAGCGCAAAAAAGTACCAGATACTTGAACAAAACAGATGTTCTGGGCCCGGCACCCATGGCTCATGCCTGTAATCCCAGCACTTTGGGAAGCCGAGGCAGGCAGATCACCTGAGGTCAGGAGTTCAAGACCAGCCTGGCCAACATGAGAAAACACCGTCTCTACTGAAAACACACAAAAAATTAGCCAGGCATGGGGGCGGGCGCCTGTAATCCCAGCTACTGGGGAGGCTGAGGCAAGAGAACTGCTTGAACCCCGGAAGTGGAGGTGGCAGTGAGCCAGGATCACACTGCTATACTCCAGCCTGGGCTACAAGAGTGAAACTCCATCTCAAACAAACAAACAAACAAACAAACAAAAATACCAAGTTTTCTGTTAACAAGAGAATCAGCAGGGGCAGCTTTTAGATAGGTAGTCAGTAAGGTTTGCTGTAGAGTCTTTACCAGACAAAATCCATTAGATTTCAACCTTTTCAGGAAGGACTCTGCTGACCGTCAGAACTTTCTTATAAACTTTAGGGGGACATGGAGTACTGGATACTTTCTCTTTGAAACACTAAGCACTGTACTTTGTGTAATTTGTAATTTAACAGTGCCTGTATTTTTTACTAGACCACACCTTTCAGAAATGGGATCTGATATCAGAGTGGGTCTGATTCATGGCTGAGGATATGGCATCTGGCACACATGACTCCAAGTTCATTCTCCTCCTCTACTCTCCCTCTTGCTGTTTTTTGTTACTTCTAGTCATTAGGAACCATCGTGACAAAGTCAAATTCTGGTTTTCCACTAATTTTTTTTTGAAACGGTCTTGCTCTAATCCAGGTTGGAGTGCAGTGGCGTAATCATAACTCCCTGTAGCCTCAACCTCTGGCCTCAAGCAATCCTCCCACCTCAGCCTCTTGAGTAGCTGGGACTACAGGGATGTGACACCATGCCTGGCTAATCTAAAAAAAAATATTTTTTTTACAGACGTGAGGTCTCACTTTTTTGCCCAGGCTTATCTCACACTCCTGGCTTCAAATGACCCTTCTGTCTTGGCGTCCAAAAGTGCTGAGGTTACAGGTGTGAGCCGCTGAGCTCGGTGTATTTATAAATGCATCCTACAGATGTTGAATGGACTTGTTGAGCACAACTGTCTAATAAAGCAAGGTATTGGCTTTTTAGCAAATGAAATGTTCCACTCTGAATGGAAGTCCAAAGATGAGAATTGGGTTTCTCCTTTACTTTATAGACCTGACAATGCTTGGTTAAATATTAATCAGACACTCCTGGAGATGGGGCCTGAGTATGGTGATATAACTGTGGCTCACAGTCACAATTTAGGACTCATACTGCTTCCTGCTTCCTCTGGAATAACGCCATTTCCCTCAAGGCTTGTCAAGTTGAGAGTAGGTAGGTAGAGGTGACAGGAAGATATTCGATCAGACCTGGTTTGCTGGGCGATGAGTAGAGAGGACCCTGATTAGTTTTGACTAGACTGCAGCAGCCCCTCTATCCACCCTCTTTCAGATTTATCTGTTAAATATCGGTTGGCCCCACTATGTGCCAGAAAGTGTCCTAGGTGCAAAGATACAAGAGTAAACCTGACTGACAAATATCCCTGCCCTCATAGAGCTTATATTCTAATGTTTACTGACATCTTCTCTCTTGAGAGCTATTCCATGAATTTTTAATTAATGTCCACTAGTATCTGAGATAAAATTTATTTTCACCCAAGGAAGATCATACAGCTTTTTTTCTGCCCAGCATTTTTTTTTTCCACGTAGATACAAAACCTGAGTTGTGAGAAATGCATTCTTAGTGGTTTGGGTGGAGATGAACAGCTCCTGTTCCAGTGTTCTACAGGCAGACAAGTGAACCACATATGAACACCCAGAGAAGCTTACTTATCTCTGGGCTGGAGGCTTCTCTGGGGCTTAAGCATCAGAACTATCAATAGGACTTTATTTCCTCCCTGCTGAGCTTGCTGAAGAGACAGTCACTGGTGCTGAAGGTTCACATCCCATCTCACCCCCACAGAGAGGGTGAAACAGTGTTACATCTTTCGACCTCCTGAGTTCATTGGTGCTAAAATCAAATAAATACCTTACAGAATGGACCCACCTACTTACTGTTTTTCCTCTGCCATTTCCCTCACTTTCTACTTTCCCGCTCTCATCTCTCTCGTTTTCAGTATTTATTGAATTTTTTTTAGTTTCCTATTTGTGTAACAAATGACCACAAACTCTGAGGCTTGTTTATGATATGATCATATTCATGATGAGTTTCTACAGGTCAAGAGTCTGGGCTTAGCTTATCCCCTGCTCAGTTTCGCTCAGTCGTCCAGGCTGGAGTGCAGTGGAGTGATCTCAGCTCACTGGAACCTCTGCATCCCAGGGTCAAGTGAGTCTCGTGCCTCAGCCTCCCGAGTAGCTGAGATTACAGGCATGCACCACCACGCCTGGCTAATTTTTGCATTTGTAGTAGAGAGGGGGTTACACCATGTTGGCCAGGCTGGCCTTGAACTCCTGGCCTCAAGCAGTCCTCCCCTGCTTTGGGCTCCCAAAGGGCTGGGATTACAGGAGTGACCCACTGCGCCTGGCTGAGAAAAGGATATTTTAAGCGAGTTATCAGAGTTGATGCAGAACCCTGTGTAAGCCATACTCCCTGCCTCCAGGCCTCAGTTTCACCATTGGGAATGATTTAACTAATGCCAGCACATTCCTTTCAGCGCTATAAGACGAAGTCGTTGTTACCTCCATAGCCCAGCAAATTGCCTGGCAACATTACAGGAGCTAGACAAATGTCCGCTGGATCAACCAATGAGAGTGGAGTGGAAATTAAGATAAATTAGCTGTGTGTCCCGGACTGACCACTAGGTGGCAGGAGGCTGACGCCAAGTCCAAGCTTGGTACCCGGTTGCTGGCTGGCTGGGAGCCTTCTGGGAGGAGCCTTGAATGTCCTTTTAGGCTGGGGCTTGTCATGGCGGCGGAAGAGGGGGAAGGGAGGGAGGCAGAAGGTGAGGTCTCTTTCACAAAAGGTCTGACACTTAGACTTTCCCCTTTATCCTCAAATGAATTTATTTCCATTGCCATAGAAATTCACAGATAGGATTGAGAAAAAGCTTTTCATGCAACTGTAGATCTGTATATTTTTATAAATTTAGCATCTAATTTTTAAAAATATATTGGAACATCTTAGTTGCAAGCTCTTTCTCCCCTTCCCATGAGCCATCCCACACTCCTGACCTACAGACCCAGGTATAGAACAGGGCCTCCCCTGTCATGGTGAGATGACACTGGGCTGTGCAGTCTCAGATCATTTCCATCACAGGAGAGGCCCGGGTCCTAACCAGCACTTTTCAAAATGCAGCAGAATCGCCTGGGGCTGCTGTACATAAAAATGCAGATTCCTAGGCAATGGCAGTCTCCGTAGATCAGAATCTCTGGGAGGGCTTTAGTCTGCAATTGTGTTGGCTTTTCACAAGTCTCCTAGGATTCTGAGGTACAACTGAAGTTTGAGAAACACTCCCTTAGGCTTTCTGGGGAGCCTTTCTGGGGCTCTCATCAGCCCTCTTGGAGGTCCAGAGATGCTCCAGCTACCTCCAGCTTCACACACACACACACACACACACACACACACACACACACACACACGTGCATACACGTGCATATGTACATACACATATGTTTTTTGTTTTCTGGATTACGTGCACAATGATGCATGTACATTCTACAAATCCATAGATTATAAAAGCAAATAATGTAGGAAATAGAAATCCTCTATGATATTGTAGACCGGAGAGAGCTGCTGTTGGTAATTGCTATTTTAACTGCCTCCAATCCTGATGCATCCCCTATTTAGGTACTAAAAATGTAGCAGAGTTTTTTCTCCCAGGAAAGCTTCATAAAAGCAAAATAGGGTGCCCACCCTCATCTAACAAATAACTCATGGCTTCTTTATGACCAAATACGTTTTTTTTTCCCCTCCTGGAGAAATCAAATGTCAATGTGGACCTGTAGCACTATGACATCAAATTCTCTACTCCTGAAGGTGAAGGGCAGGGCTCCTGTACTTGTTTCAGGATTTTTTAAGGAGGTGCAACAGGATTTGCACTGCAGGCTCAGTGACTTAGCTATCACATTAGCATGTGTTATTGGGAAACAGTCCAGAGTCCAAGTTCAAGGATTTCTTACAACTTTTGTTTTTACTTTATAGTGAAGTTTAAAGTTTTTGAAATATGTACTTGTCACTGTAATCTTTTGAGACTTCCTTTTCTTACTGAGGTTAAAATTGTCCAGCTATGCTAATGAGTTGATGGTATGTGAGCTCTATGAGCCAAACACTAAGCTAAATGCTTTATGTATATGATCTTAATTCTCTTGATAGCCCAACAGACTGATGGCTGTTATCCTCACTCTATTTATAAGGAAAGTGGTGTGGTTACGTGAGGTTATGACAAGCCTGCCCGAGGACCTACAGATCGTAAATCAGCAGTAAGGCCAGGATTTATAAAATCCTTGTAGTTTGACTATAGAGCCATGTCCTTAATCGCTATAATATAGTGGCCATTCAACTTTTTCTGTGACTTGGCCATGAAGAATCATGGTAAATATTTGCTATTCTTCCTAAGGGAGAATTGGCAGCTTTGCTCATTCTATACGATTTCTTGTTTTATTCTCTTGACAATATTGCAAGGTGGTTTAAGCTCCTCCCATTTTGCTGTTCTACAAAATGCAAAGAACATGAGAAAAACCTCCACTGGACTAGATGATCCTAGGTCAGGGTTCCCCAGAGTGTGTTCCCCAGAATTCTGATAAAAGCCTCCATGGGAACTGAGTATTAGAACTCATCTCGGAAGGTCACAGGGCAGCTACTAGTGAGGAAAGGCTCTAAGAAGGTCTGTCATTAAAAGAAAATATTTGGTACCATTAGCAGTACTATTACCATGAACAATATCAAAGTACGATGAAAGGAACTGATACTTACAGAGTATGATAGGCAGAACTTGAAGTTGATTACCCTGCCCTCCCACCCCCTAGTATCTACACCTGTATTATTTTTCACACTGCTGATAAAGACATACCCAAGTCTTAAGAAAGAGGATTAATTGGACTTGCAGTTTCACGTGGCTGGGAAGCCTCACCATCATGGTGGAAAACAATGAGGAGCAAGTCATGTCTTACGTGGATGGCATTGTGTCCAGAGTTGGTTCCTTCTGGTGGGTTCGTGGTCTCACTGACTTCAAGAATGAAGCTGTGGACTTTTGCGGTGAGTGTTACAGCTCTTAAAAGTGGTGTGGAACCAAAGAGTGAGCAGCAGCAAGATTTATCCTGAAGAGTGAAAGAACAAAACTTCCATGGCGTGGAAGGGGACCTCGAGCGGGTTGCCGCTGCTGGCTAGGAGATGGCCAGCTTTTATTCCCTTATTTGTCCTCACCCATGTCCTGCTGATTGGTCCATTTTACAGAGTGCTGATTGGTCCATTTTACAAACCTCTAGCTAGCTACAGAGTGCTGATTGGTGCGTTTTTACAGAGCACTGATTGTTGCATTTTACAAATCTCTAGCTAGCTACAGAGCGCTGATTGGTGTGTTTTACAATCCTAGCTACAGAGTGCTTGATTGGTGCATGTTATAATCCTCTTGTAAGACAGAAAAGTTCTCCAAGTCTGCACTCAACCCAGGAAGTCCAGCTGGCTTCACCTCTTAGCAGCAAGCAAAATAAGAGAACTTGTGCAGTGGAACTCCTCTTTTTAAAACCATCATATCTTGTGATACTCATTCCCTATTAGGAGAACAGTGCAGGAAAGACCCGCCCCTATAATTCAATCACCTCTCACCAGGTTCGTCCTACAACACATGGCAATTGTGGGAGTTACAATTCAAGATGGGATTTGGGTGGGGACACAGGCAAACCATATCAACACCCTTATAGAATCTCCTTCCCTTGAGTTTGCATGGAACCTGTGATTTGCTTCAAACCAGTAAAATATGACAAGGTGAAGGGATTGATTCTGCGTATACAATAAAGGTCCCAAATTTGTTGGCTTTGAGTTCACAGATGACCCTGTATGGACCTAGCCTAATACTGGGAGCCCTTTATAAAAGGGTCCTGGCCTTCCATGAAGGGAGAAGTACGCTGCCATGCTGTGAGATGCCCTGTGAGCATGGAAGAGGACTCTGAGCTTCAGCAGGGAATACAGCCTGCTAACAAAAGCATTGCAGGATTGTGAGACCCCAGGCAAACAGCACAGCCAAGGGATGTTCCGATTGCTGACCCATGGAAACTATGAGATAGTAAATGTACATTGCCTTAAGCCCCAAAGTTTGTGGTAACTTATTATGCAGTAATAAAAAACGAATCCAGAGACCTTCTGTAAATGACCCAAGGTCATTTCACACAGCTAAGCAGCAGAAACTCTACTCATAGCTCCAGAGAAATTGAGGCATATACCCAACCATGCCCATACTTAGTGATACGGGAGGGGGGCAGGGAAATGCTAGGTAGAGAAGGGCTGGGTCCCTGGTGAGGGCTCCACTCTTGGGCTTGTGTCCATGGACCTGAGTGAGAACAGGCACTCCTGTTTTTCCACCCAAATGTTGCATTTTCCAAAACCACTGTGGCCTGCCATACCCCAACCTGTGCCCATAAAAACCTGAGACGCTAGTGGGCACAGATACAAGCAGCTAAATATGAAGAGAGAGCAGAAGAACACACTGACATACACTAGCAGACACCGGCAGACCATCGAGGCAGGACAATGTATAATTTAGTCGGGACAGTCAAAGGAGAGTCCAGCTCCTGGGCGGCCTGACTCCCGGGGAAGATCACCTTCCGACTCCATCCCCCTTCTGGCTGCCCATCCACTTCACTGAGAGCTACCTCCACCACTCAGTAAAATCTTGCACCCATCCTCTAAGCCCGTGTATCATCCAATTTTTCTGGTACACTTAGGGCAAGCACCTGGAATACAGAAAGGCCTCTGTATTAGTTTGTTCCTTATGGTAAGATAGAAGGTCTAATTGAGCAATTAATACAAGCTGCCTGCAGACGGCAAAACTGACAGAGTTCACTGTAATACACATCCGCTGGGGCTTTGGGAGCTGGAAACATTCAACCCCAGACACGGCTGTGGGGTGAGAGCCCAAAAGCACTCCTTATAACCTGCCCGTCTGTATGCTCCCCCTAGGGGTTTGAGCAGCAGGGCACCAAAGAAGTGAGCCACACCCCTGTTGCATGCCCTGAGGGAGGAATAAGGGAAAACTCCTCCGTTTCATTAGTCTAATGCCTGTCACATCGCTGGTGCACAATCAAAACGTGTTGAACAAATGAAGGCAGGGTTTGAACCCAGGTCTGTCTCCTTGCATCACATCATATTTTCCTCTTCTACTCTAACATCCTGGGTCATGCTCTGCGCTGGAGCTGTGTGTCTATGAAGCAAGCATACCTTACCTTTGAACTTAATCTTCAGTTCATCAATACATCTGCAAATATTTACTAAGTGTAGCTAAATTCTCTGCCTGACTTGGGATGGACTTGCCATGAAGTTTTGTTTGAAAAAAGAGGAGTTAAATGACCATGAAGTGGTCATGATTACAGGAGGCGGATATATTTAGGTAGGTCAGTGTCTGTGCAGACCACTTCCCCAGCCGAAGGTTGTGATGCAAGGGGCCCTCTTATCTATATGCCAATTGCAGAGATTGACCGTGAATTTGAGGAAATGGCATTTCACATGGATTTCCACCTCTAAATGGCTGTTTCATAGATACTTAGTCAGGTGTTCTTTAGGGTGAAAGTAAGTGTAGGAATATCTGGGCCAAAGATTTTCTCTCTTTTATCAACACACCTTCCCAGAGCTCTTCCTCTCTAGTAGCTGCCCTATGACCTTCTGGGATGAACTCTATTATTATTATTATTATTTTGGGGGGGTAGATGGAGTCTCGCTCTTGTCACCCAGGCTGGAGGGTAATGGTGCAACCTCGGCTCACTGCAAACTCCACCTCCCTGATTCAAGTGATTCTCTTGCCTCACACTCCCGTGTAGCTGGGTTTACAGGTGCGCGCCACCAGACCCAGCTAATTTTTGTGCTTTTAGTAGAGATTGGGTTTCACCATGTTGGTCAGGCTAGTGTCAAACTCATAACCTGAGGTGATCCGCTCACCTCGGCCTTCCAAAGTGCTGGGATTACAGGCATGAGCCACCATGCCTGGCCATGGGATGAACTCTAATACTCAGTTCTTACGGAGGATTTTGGCAGAGAATTCTGGGGAGCACATTCTGGGGAACCCTAATCTAGGATCATCCAGTTGAGTGATTTTGTTTTCCCATTACCATTTTAAACTCATTATTATACTTAAAAATTAAGGGAGGGTAAGGCAGGTGGATCACTTGAGGTCTGGAGTTTGAGACCAAGCCTGGACAACATGGTGAAACCTCATCTCTACTAAAAATACAAAAATTAACTAGGCATGGTGGCCCACACCTATAATCCCAGCTACTCAGGAGGCTGAGGCGCGAGAGTTGCTTGAACCCAGGAGGCAGAGGTTGCAGTGAGCCAAGATTGTGCCACTGCACTCCAGCCTAGGTGACAGAGTGAGACTCCATCTCAAAAAATAATAATAAAACAAATAAAAATTAAGATGTAATTGAACTATCATAAAATTAACCATTTCAAAGTGTACAAGCCCGTGGTTTTTTTTTTTTTTTTTACTATATTTATGAGTTGTGCAACCATCACTACTATCAAATTCCAGGACATTTTCATTTCCTTAAAAGGAAATCCATATCTATCAGTCACTCCTCATTCCTCCTCCCTGTATCCCCGATCTACCTATTGTTTGTATAGACTAATCTAATCTGGATATTTCATATTAATGGAATTAGAGAATATGTGAAGTTTTGTCTTTGGCTTCTTTCATTTAGCATCTACTTTTCAAGATTGGTCCAGTTGGTTTTAAACTTCAGGATGCATCAGAACCTCTTGGGGATCTTACTAAAGTTCAGTTTTTCTGGCTCCTGTAAAATTGTTGGTTTGGTTTGTCTGGGGTGGGAATCAAGAATCTACCTCTTTGGGCTGGGTGCTATGGCTCACACCTGTACTCCTAGCGGTTTGGGAGGCCAAAGTGGGAGGATCATTTGAAGTCAGGAGTTCGAGACCAGCCTGGCCAAGATGGCGAAACCCTGTCTCTACTAAAAATACAAAAATTAGCTGGGTGTAGAGGCATACACCTATAGTCCCAGCTACTTGGGAGGCTGAGGTAGGAGAATTGCTTGAACCTGGGAGGCAGAGGTTGCAGTGAGCCAAGATGGTGCCACTGCACTCCAGCCTGGGCAACCAAGAGGAACTCCATCTCAAAAAAAAAAAAAAAAAAAAAAAAAAAAATACAGAATCTACCTCTTTGACAATTTCTCTGGGTGACTCTGTTGCAGGCAGACCAGAGACCAACTTTGAGATCCTCCAGCCTAGTTCAATGCTCTCCTTTTTCACAGGAGGAGGTTGAGGCTCAAAGAGGAAAAGTGGTGTCATGGAGGTCACACAGCTGCAACACTCCATCCAGGGCTTGTCTTGGGTTTGAGATGTGAGGCTCAGGCTTCTATCTCACTCTTTGGACCCAGTACTGTTGTGATTTAGGAGCTAAGAAGAAATTACTTAGATAGTGAAGGTATGGAAGTCCGTTAGAAACGAGCTCAGAATTGAAAGGAAAATGAGCACTCAAAGGATTTCTCAGCAAGGCAAATTTACTTCTGCAGAAGGGTGCTGCTCATACTTCTGGCAGCTGCAAGAGCACACCAAACAAAGGAGAGAAGGAGTTTTTATCCCTAACGCAGTCCCTATCCCTGTGTCCTTCCCCTATTGGCTAGGGTTAGACTGCATAATCTAAGCTGACCCCGATTGACTAAGACTTAAACTTTTCCAAGTAGGGTAAATGTGTGATTCGCAAGGGAGGGAGGGGGCAGTAGTGGTCCCTCTACTACAGCACAAAGCATGTTCAGACGTGTCCGGGCAAGTCAGGGCACAACAAGAGCAGGAGGGCTGCTCTCAGACTAGAAACAAAGTACAAGGAGATGAGGCCTCCAAACCAAGGACAAGGACATTACACAATTAACCCTTTGAAGAGGAATTCATCATCTCTGGCAAAGTCCTTGGTAAGGTTTCCCTTTTAATGTAAAGCAGCCCCTAAATCATATTCCTTTCTAGCAAAGAACATCCTGTAAAATCAAGCTGCAGACATAAGCAAGCTGGAAGCTTGCATGGGTGAATGCCCACAGTTGTGCCCATAGGAATATACTACTTGGGAATAGGCATGTTCAAAATGGCAGCTCCATCTTCTTTTTTTGCCAGCCACGTGTAGAAGTAAGCAGCAGACAAGATGGCCCTGGCCAAGTGGAAAGCCCATTTGCATAATAAGATTAGGTTGGGGTGACCAGCCTTTTCCCGATACTATGTAAACATCACATATGGTCAAACCAATCTGTGAGCCCTATGTAAATCAGCCACTGCCTCCTCAAGCCTGCCTATAAAATCTGCTGTGGTCCACACCTTTCCCCCACTTTTTTTTTCCTTAGCATCTCTCTCACAAGGAACTGCTCTCATCTCTCCTTTCTTTTGCGTGTTAAACTTTCCACTCCTTAACCTATCCACATGTGTCTGTGTCCTTAATTTTCTTGGAGTGAGATGACAAACCCGGTTTTTACCCCAGACAACAATGCTGCTTCAGTAGGTTTTTCTCACAGATATCCCTGTTTGTTCTTTATAATAATTCCTTGTGGGATTCTCTGGCATCTTGCTAGAACTCACGTACCACCATCCCACCAATGCCCCAAAATTAAAAAATGACCTGATGGTTATTAGGCACGTAGACATTTGGGAAGGTTTACAGAAGACCTGGATTCTGAAGCTGTAGTTGCTTCTTGTGGCCTAATAGTCAAGCCACATGTCTTCTGAGCTAGGGGTTGCATAGGTTTGGTCCTACCTGCTATAAGGTTTCCAGATTTAAAAATACGGGTTGGATGGATGCCCAGTTACATTGAAATTTCAGATAAACAATAACTTTTGTGGTATAAGTATGTATCATGTTATATTTGGAACATAATTATACTAAAAAATTGTTCCCCCATTGTTTGTGTGAAATTCCAATATAACTGCATATTCTGTTTTTCACTTGGCAACCCACCAAGTGGGTTGCCTCTTTTACTTTCCTTGGGGCAACCCAGCTTAGTGGTTGATAGTGGCCAAGAACATAGTTTCTGGAGGCATACAGCTTGGATCTGAATCCTGGTATCATGTAGCTGGCTGTAGAACCAGGGTGAGTTGGTTAACTTTTCTTAGCCTCAGTTTCTTCATCTATGAAACAAAAGCACAGTCTCATGTGGTGATGTTACCAGAAAGGGGTCCTGATCCAGACCCCAAGAGAGGGTTCTTGGACCCCATGCAAGAAAGAATTCAGGGTGAGTCCATAGTACAAAGCAAAAGCAAGTTTATTAAAAAAGTAAAGTGGTGAAAGTACAGCCATTCCATAGACAGAGTAGGGCATTCCCTAAACTAAGGGGGAACGCATCCACCTAGGTACAATACTTATGTGTGTGTGCGTATGTGTATATATATATGAGATAAGAAAAGATCATGGGAGGCTGGGCGCAGTGGCTCATGCCTGTAATCCCAGCCCTTTTGGAGGCCGAGGTGGGCGGATCACGAGGTCAGTAGATTGAGACCATCCTGGCTAATATGGTGAAACCCCGTCTCTACTAAAAATACAAAAAATTAGCCGGGCGTGGTGGCGGGTGCCTGTAGTCCCAGCTACTCGGAAGGCTGAGGTAGGAGAATGGCATGAACCCAGGATGCAGAACTTGCAGTGAGCCGAGATTGTGCCACTGCACTCCAGCCTGGGTAACAGAGCAAGACTCTGTCTCAAGAAAAAAAAAAGAAAAAAGAAAAGATCATGGGGAGATGAGCTCTGCTACAATGGTTTGTGATAAAGGATTAATTTTCTTAATTACTATATTTTGCAAGAATCAATATTATCTTTCAAGCAAAATTAGGAATGCTTCTCTTCTCAAGATATGGGGATATCGGGACCCTCCCAAGTCTGGGTCTGTTTAGTAAACACTATGAATCTGCTCCCTTAACCATAAACATCTAGAAGCTAGGAATACCTCACTTTCTGGGAATGCAGCCCAGCAAGTCTCGGCCTCATTTTCCTAGCCCTCACTCAGGACGGAGTTGCTCTGTTTCAAACTCCTCTGACAGTGAGAGGATTAAATGAAATAATCCATCAAGATTGCTTAGCAGGGATTCTTCCTGGTGTTAACAGATAAATAAATATGACTGGGGATTCCCAGTACTCTCTCAGTACCACATTAAAAATTCTATGGAGGTTGCTTTGGTAGTTGGTGGCACTGAAGCTTAGCCCTTTTAAAGTACTGGGACCATTTTGGGGGGGCCATTTCAGGGAGTTCTATCTCATTTGTGGGACTGCAGATGCTTGGCAGCTGGATATAGACTACAGGATTGGTGGGCAGATGGTTTCTCTTTCCATCTGGGTCTCCTGATGTGGGGAACAGAACTTCTCTCCTGATGACTCATTGTTGAAGCTGGGTTTAGCCAGCATTTAAATAGAAACGCCTGGCTGCAGACAATATTGTCACCACCCAAAAGTGAGGTCTGTTTCAAAACTGTTGTGAGCAAAGTGGATTTCTAACAGGCAAAACCAGTGTATTAAATTTAACATACTGGCACATCTTCTCAGCCAAGAGCTGTGCAAAAATGTCAGGCTGCTCTGTCCTACCGCCTTCCCTGGTTTTAGCTACTCAATGGGTCAAAGTTTCTGCAAGCCTCATTTGCTTGAGAGAAGGTTTCCCCAGGTTGAATGCTCTTACCACTGGCGCACATACATTAAAGAGCTTTGGATCACACTGGGGGAAATGCTTTTTCTTTTCCAATGCTCTCCAAACCTTGATTATAGTATCGAGGTAGTTTTTTATCTTGATGGTGGTATGCCTTTTAAAATCTTTCTAAAATGTGCCTCTTTCTTTTTTATTAAGAAACTGGTCTCCAGTATTAGAGAATTTGATGGGCAATAGTTTTTAACTTGCCACTGGGGATTAAGGTCTGATTTTTTTTTTTTTTTCTTATCTTGCCCAAATATCTAAGGGGTCTGGGAAGTCCTGCCCTGCAAACCATAAATTCTCATCAGATGGGTTTTATTTAACCCTATATATCATGACTCACATTCCAATCTGACTCTGGCATAACATTATGTGACAAAGAAGAAAATCAAAATATTTTACCCCAAAACATGTTTCTTTCCCATCTCTTGAAATCGCCCTGCAAAGCTGTCCTTTGTGTGGGAAAATTTACATCTGTAAAGAATCTCTTAACATAGCTACATCTTTTTCTTTCAAGCCCTCCCAATCCCAAAGAGATTAACTGAGAGTCTAGCACCTTTTAAAGGTCTTGAGTAGGAAACATTTACATCTATTGTCTCTAAGGGCAGCCACTATGAGACTTCAAAAGAACCTTGGTCTCCACAGTCTTTTATCTTAACCTGAACTTTTCCTTTCTATTGATTCCAGGTCTTTAGACAAACTTGACCAATTGTCAACCAGAAAACGTTTAAATTTACATACAGCCTGGAAGCCCCCTCACTTTGTACAGCCTTTCTTGGACCAAACAAATGTATTCCTCAAATATATTCGATTGATGTCTCGTGCCTCCCTAAAATATATAAAACCAAGCTGCACCCCAACCACCTTGTACATAAGTTCTCAGGACCTCCTGACGGCTGTGTCTTGGGCCATGGTCACTCATATTTGGGTCAGAATAAATCTCTTCAAATATTTTACAAAGCGTTAGAAACAAGAGCTTGGAGTTGGAAGGAAACCAGCAGTCAAAGGATTTCTCAGCAAGCCAGATTTACTTCTGCAGAAGGGTGCTGCTTACACTTCTGGTTGCTGGGAGGGCATACCCCACAAAATAGGGAAGGGGTTTTTATCCCTAATGTGGTTAGTCCCTCCTTCTGTGTCCTGTCCCCGTTGGTTGGAGTTGGACTGGACAATCTAAACTGAACCGATTGGCTACAGTTTAAAATTGAATATGGCTAATTAGATGGGAAGGGAGAGGCTGTCCATTATGGTACAAGGCATGTTTGGGCATGTCAGGGCACGGCAAAGGCAGGAAGAGCTGTTTAGGCAGGAGGGGCAGCTTACAGAATGGGTAGCCAGGAGCAAAGAGGACTCTTTCCAAACAACGGAGATGTGAATTACAGATTGGGACTGGCAAGAGATATTTAAAGAGCAGGTAGCTTAGGAGAAGGGACAAGGAAAAGCTGATCTTGAGAATGAAGAACAAAGAGGTCAAAAACTAAAGCTTTGAAGCAGAACTCACTGTATCTGACAAAAGTTAGATTTTTTTCGTCGACAACTCTAATAACATGTTTTATGATATTAATTTTGTTAGTGATTTTTGGTAACTTTTTATTATGATTTCTAGCTTATTGAAAAGTTGCAAAAATTATATAAGGAATTTTTTTATCCTATATCCAGATTCACCTGACTACATTTTGCCCCGTTTGTTTTATAATCTTCATTCTGTCTCTTGATGCGTATTTATTTTGGAACCCTGAGAAAATGAATGTTGTCTTCAACATTCAACATCAGTCTCCTTTACACCTAAGTACTCAAGTGTGTAATTCCTAAGACGTTCTCTCATATACACACAATGCAATAATCAAAATCAGGAAACATGATATTGATGCAACGCTGCGCTCTAATCTAGTGCATATGCAAATTTCATCAATTGTCCTGATAATGTTCTGTATAAGTTCCCCCCAACTGCTACTGCCTCACTCCAGAATTCAGTCCAGGATCACACATTGTATTTAGCTGTCTTGTCTACTATTTGGACTCTTTAAATTTGTAACAGTTCTTTAGCCTTTTTTTTGGCCCTTTTGATTTTGCCATGTTTGAGGAGTACAGGCCATTTTCTGGGATTATTTTCTTAGAATGTTCCTCAGATTGGGTTTGCCTGATGTTTTTTCCTGAATAAATTTAGTTGTGCATATTTTGGCGTGGATATTAAGGAAGTGATGTTGTGTCCCTCTCAGTGCATACTATTAGGAAGCAAGTAGTGTCGGCTGGTTCACATTGGTGGTGTCACCTTTGATCCCTTGGTTAAGATGTAGCCTGCTGGGCTTCTCAACAATAAAGTTATCAATTTTCACTTTGTAATTAATTGGTAATTTGTGGGGAAACATTTGAGGCAAGGAAAACCTGCTACTCATTAAACTTTCACCAACGACTTGATTTTCTAACTCCATTTTGTTTGTATTTATTTGTTGGCATTTGACTACAGTTGCATATTAGTTATTGCTGGGCTCATGGGTTTTTATTTTATTCGTGGGTTATGATCTACTATGTATTTATTTTGTGCTGAAATTGCTCCATATTTGACCAGTGGGACTCCCTAACCTTGCTCCATGGTATTAATGCTTATAATTGCCTTCTATTCATGGACAATATTTATTTTCCATTTATGGTAGTAATATAATTTAAAAATACATTTATATGACTTTAAAAGTAGGTGGATTTAAAGAGAAGCATTAATGATGTAATGGGGTATGTGTTGAGGGGGAGGTGTGTATACGTGCATGTGTGTATATATATCTACATATATAATATTAAAAAATATTAGTGATACCCGGGACCTAGGTATGGCAAAAATCACAAAGTGGTACACAAAAAATTGAAATTTGGCAAATACTGCTCTTGATCCATGAATATGTTGGCTGTATTTTTTTGTACTTCAAATATTTGACCATTACGTCTTAATGAAAAATCTGGACTGTTTCAGGAATGACTATAGTTTGGCATTCATACTCTCTTAGGCTGCTCTTGTCACTGATGTGCGATAAAAATCCTTTGCCAGCTATGTGTCCTGATCTTTTTAAAATAAATGTGCTTTTTATATGGATGTAACCGGGAAGTGGAACCATCTGAGTTATAACCCTGGCACATGATTCAAGACCCAGTTCAAAGGCTCTCTTTTTATCAGATAGGGTTCTTCGGTTGCATGTAACAGAAATCAGGTCTGGCTAACTTAAGCTCACAGAATCCAATTTTAAAACTTCTGGTCTCAGAGAAAAATAGAAACTTAAGCAGCTTTGGGGATCTGGGTATCAGGAATTCATGGAGAGTATCTTTAGGGCACTGTCTTTTTTTTTTTTTTTTTTTTTTTTTTTTTGAGACAAAGTCTTGCTCTTGTCCACCAGGCTGGAGTGCAATGTTAGGATCTCGGCTCACTGCAACGTCCACCTCCCGGGTTCAAGCGATTCTCCTGCCTCAGCCTCCTGAGTAGCTGGGATTACAGGCGCCTGCCACCACACCTGGCTAATTTTTGTATTTTTAGTAGAGATGGGGTTTTACCATGTTGGCCATTCTGGTTCCGAACTCCTGATCTCAGGTAATCTGCCTGCCTCAGCCTCCCAAGTGCTGGGATTATAGATGTGAGCCACTGTGCCCGGCCAAGGACGTTGTCTTTAGAATGAATGAGCTCTACCCTATTTGTCTGTGTTTGCATCTCTCTTCTTAAACTTCAAATTACTAGAACATTCATTTGACCTTCCCTGGGTCATGAGCCTCACTTGAGTAAGCAAGGGCTAGGCACGTTGATTTACAGAAACCCCAACACAATATATAAAGGGTGGGTCTTTCCCCAGAGGAAAATCAGGGGCAATGGACAAAACACATCACAATTACAGTTGCTTATGTACCAGGCACTCACATAAGCATCTTACACCTACTGACTCATTTAATATACACCATAACCTGATAACACTTCAGCATCATCATACCCTGCTACAGAGGAGCCAGCAAAGGTCCAGAGATCAAATAACTTGGTCAAGGTCATCCAGCTAGTAACTATACAGCTGGTCAGGATTCAAACCCAGGCCATCTGTCTTCAGAGTCTCTAGTTTTGACCACAGAACTATGAGCCAAATTTGGCAGGCAAAACCAAGAGTGTCCATCCCACCTCCATTCCATAGAGCTTCTTTATCCTCTATCCAAACACCACCTCTTCCACTGTTGCGCCCCCAAGCCCCATGCATCTCTTCTCTTTATGCTTCTAGCTTTTTCCTGGTGATTGATGTCCCTGTCTCACACCATCTTCTCAACCATGGACTTTTTTTGGAGGTGGGGAGACAGAGTCTTGCTCTGTTGCCCAGGCTGGAGTACAGTGGCACAATCTTAGCTCACTGCAACCTCCACCTCCTGGGTTCACTCCATTCTCCTGCCTCAGCCTCCTGAGTAACTGGGACTACAGGCGCCGACCACCACGCCTGGCTAATTTTTTGTATTTTTAGTAGAGATGGGGTTTCACCGCGTTAGCCAGGATGGTCTCGATCTCCTGACCTCGTGATCCACCCGCCTCGGCCTCCCAAAGTGCTGGGATTACAGGAGTGAGCCACTGCACCCGGCCCAACCATGGGCTTTTTGCCAGCAGTGGCCAGGCTGTGTTTAACTTCTTCACAACATGCAAAACAGGGCCATACACATAGCCAAGGCTTAGTAATATTTGTAGAACTGAATCAAGTCTCTTTCATAATATTAACATTAGGAGGGAGAGTGAGAGAGAGAACGAGAGGTCCTGAGTAAGAATGGGAGTTTTAAAAATACACTCTGAATTTATCTAGTTAATAATTAAATTATCTAAGTGCAATTTAATGATAGACTGACTTCCTTCATTGCTAGTTGATTAATCTCAAAGGACCATTGGGATAATTAAACTTCTGCCTCCAAACAAAGACAAGCAGAACAGCTCTTAACATCCGCGGTCAGCCTGAGCAGCAGCCTGGGCTCAGTAAATTGATATTTTGTTTGTTTTAGCAAAGGATGAAGAGAACAAATGTATTGTGATTCTTGGGGCTGGTCTGATTCCCTTTTTCCCAGCATAGCCCATTAATTCATCACTGCTGCTGGGTCCTCTCCTGTTGGCCTTGGATAGAGTTCTCCAGGATCAGGAAAACAGCAATAATCCCTTCTCACTCCCTCAGGCTTTTGAAATACTGTGAAGGGCTGGTCCCAGAAGTCAATTTAATTATGACACTAGCTTAGCTGTTGAATAATTTTTTCCAGCTTAAGCAGTAATGCATGTTTTCAGTGACTTGGACATTAGAGAGAACTTGGCTTGGTTTCTAAGCCCTAATTCTGGAAACTCAGTTGCTAGCTGTGTAGTTTTGGGCACTTTATTTTACTTTTCTGTGCTTCATTTTGTCATCAGTTAAATGGAAATAGCATCACTTACTTTATAGGGTTTTTTCTGGGTGTAGTTGGCAAGTTAAGACATGTAAAATGCTTTTACTTGGGTTCCACAATAGTATCCCTCAAGACAAGGACTTGGGTGGAAATGGTTTATTGGGAATGTGATCTCAGAAAGCAGGAGCAGGAGTGGGAGAATGAGACAAGGAAGGAAGAAAAGCCAGTAAGGGGCATGCTGTTGACTGAGTTGCCATTGTGGGAAATTTGCATTTCATCCTGCCAAGGGGCCCTTTGAGCTACTGTGTGGAACACACCTTCAAATCATGCGACTAGAAGGTGGGAAATCTTGGCATTTATCCACTGGCTGCCATCTTCCACTGGTTGAAGCTACGACCTGCCCCCCACCACAGTAACTCTGGGTTACCCCCATGCATTCGTCTCCTGTGATGTTGGAGGAAGCCTGCAGGCACAGTAGAAAGACCAGTGCAGGTGCTTGATGTGGAAAGCTGTCCCCATGCCAGGAACTGTCTATAGCTGCAGGTGAACTCTGGTGCACCAAGACAATATGTGGTGGGTGTCAGTGGTGATTTCTACAGGGGCTTCAAACAGTGTCTGGTACACAATGAGTATTCCATATACTGTAGCTGTAGTGGACATAGGTTTAACCATCCAGCATCACTTCCTATAAGGATCCTTCTGCAGCTTGACATGGTCCTGATTGGCTTATCAATCAGGTTGCTGGAACCTACAGGTGTGGGTATGTGACCCGGGCTGGCCAATCAATAGCCATCCCTCTGCTTCAGTGACTGTTTTACAGACTAGCATGTGACCAAAGATGGGCTAATCGGAGCCTTCCTGAGAGCACCTTGGTTCACACTAAAGCTAGTGAAGAGAAAGTTCTTTTTCTTTGCCAGGTGGTCGTTGGAATGCCTGGCCTCCATCTTGTCCCAGCCATTGAGAGGAGTCTTTCTGTCACATGGAGCCCTGGGTTCTAGACCGGACTCTTCTGCTTTCCGACTGAGTGTACATAGGCAGGCCACCTAACCTCTCTGAAATCCAGGATCCTTATCTGTAAGTGAGGATAATGCCTGATTTTCTAGGCACTGCCGCGATTCAGTGAGGGTATGTGTCAAATGCCTGGCAAGTAGCAAGTCCTCGGCAAATGCTAGTTTCATTTCCATGGTTGGTCTTGATTCAATTCCATTCTATGGGCATCTGTCAACTCTGAGCTCGGGCACGTTTTTGAAAACGATTCCAATCTTTTGAGTGTCAGTGTTTGTGAATATGCTGCATGGGTCATTTGCACTAGTTTTAACTCCCATGAATGGTGATTTACTTTCTGGGAGCTTCTACTTCCATGGAGACGATGCCCCATATCTCCAGAAAGACAGAACCACAGCCCCTCCTTGTCTCACAACTCCTGAAATGGAGAGGAGTTCTTTTGTTCCCATCCATGCCAATTCCATGGGCACCTTATCTCATGACTAAATAGACAATGGGTGGATGCTGGGAGACTGGCCAAAGAACTGTTATTCCAATATGGCACTTTCATCTGTTCCACCTCCCACAACTGAACCAAGTGAAATAGTAAAGCTCATTCTGGGAAGACTTCCCATGGTCTTCTCTTACTTGAGACACTCTCTAGCAATCTCTTGATTCATCCCTCAGTGAATTATTCTGCTTTTAGTACAAAATCCAGAACCTTTGAAGTGAAATCCATGGATTTCCATAATCCAGTCCTATTGATTTTCTATCTTTCCTCTTGATGCATGCAGTGGTTAAGTGGACCATTCCATGAACCTACCCTGGGCTTCCTCACTGATGGACCTAATGATAGTTACTTCTCCTAGATGTCTCTCTTTGCCTGTTCCTGATAGATATTTCTCATCAATTACAGCCTCTTTGCCACTCGGCCCACATAAATGCCCAGTACCAAGGCAGGCTCTACAAACAAATTGCCATTTGCACAATAAGTACCTTATTTATTACCACATAATTAAACTGAGTTCCTGAATGGCAGGGGCTATGCACTTATTTTTGCAGCTAAGACACTAAAAATAATATGTCGGGAACATACTAGGCATTTGATCAGTGTTTTAATGAGTGGAGAAACCTGGTTTTGGAGGCATTTGTTACCTGGCTTTTGGACTGGAATTGTGGGTCATGATTTCAGCCGGGTTACACCTACACTGTTACATTTGATCTAGAATATATACAATATGATCTTCTCCATTTTAATAGGAGAAAGGTCAGACCCCAAGCAAATTCCCCAAGTTTGACCCCTGGTTTGAAAGATTCTAAGGCTTATGCTCTTGCACAGTTGTTTGTGAGTGTGCACTCCTGTGCTGTGTTGATGTTTCAGTTACTCCTGTCTGAGTTTCTTCTTTGTATGGGTGTTTGGGTGCCAATTTGAATAACATACTTCCCAGCATTTTTGCTTGGCTGGCAATAGAAGCTGTGCTCATGGCAGAGAATACCAAAACATTTATTTTATTTTCTCCCACAAACAAATCTGGAAGCAAAATATTGAGATCTATATAGTCTCTGTTGTTTTAAAAAAAAAAAAAAGTAGAAAAAAGAAGCTAGGCCGGGCACAGTGTCTCATGCCTGTAATCCCTGCACTTTGGGAGGCTGAGGCGGGCGGATCACTTGAGGTCAGCAGTTCGAGACCAGCCTGGCCAACATGGTGAAATCCCGTCTCTACTAAAAATACAAAAAAACTAGCTGGCCGTGGTGGCACACACCTGTAATCCCAGCTACTCGGAAGGCTGAGGCAGGAGAATCGCTTGAAACCAGGAGGTGGAGGTTGCAGTGAGCGGAGATCACGCCACTGCGCTCCAGCCTGAGTGACATAGTGAGACGCTATCTCAAAAAAAAAAACAACAAAAATAAGAAAAGAAAAAGAAAAAAAAAAAGGCTACTGAGTTTTTCCCAAGCATCCCGTTCTTCCCAGCATTGACAAGTGGAGGTAGGAAAGAGAACTAACGTTTACTGAGTGCTTGCTGTGTGCCAGGCCCTATCCTGTGTGCTTTAAGTACCTTATTCTCACGGTTGACATGTGCTCATCTTTCATTACTTCACTCAAGCATTGCCCCCTCTGTGTCTGGTTTCCTTGCCATTCCCTCCCTACTTTGCATCTTCATTATGCCCTCTCCCATTGCATCTTTAAAGCTACATTTATATCTTACAGTCCATTCCTGCCCTTCTTCTACACCTGCCTGTCCAAAATGGTAGCCATTGGTCACAGGTGCTACTGAACGTTTAAAGTGTGTCTAGTCAAAGTTGAGATGTGCTGTAAGTATAAAATATATACCAGGGCCAGGTGTGGTGGCTTACCCCTGTAATCTCAGCACTTTGGGAGGCTAAGGCATCACTTGAGCCCAGGAGTTTGAGGCTCCAATGAGTTAGGATCATGCCACTGCATTCCAGCCTGGGCAACAGAGCGAGAACCTGTCTTTAAAATAAATGAAATACACACCAGATTTTGGAGTGTTAGTATGAAAAATGAACATAAACTATCTCAATCTTTCTGTTGATTACATGTTGAAATAACATTCTGTAAACATTGGGCTAAATTATATTAAAATCACGTGTTTCTCCTTACTCATCTAATGTGACGACTAGAAAATTTAACTTTGTGACTCACATTATATTTCTATTGGATAGCACAGCTCTAGACTGAATTTCTTGAGGCAGAATCTGTCTTGTTTGCTTTCTATTTCTGTGACCTGGAATAAGGTCTTGCATTTAGTAAATGCTCATTTAAAATGTGTTGAGGAAACACATGGAATTGTGTAACAGAGAGCCCAGATTTTTCTGGTCCCAATGAAGAAGAGACCTACAATTTGAAAGGAAGATCCTAATGAAGTAACACATCCTGATGAGATGGCAAGGCAATTTGGCTATCTCCTCTGAGCAGAAACTCTATTCTCCAAGTGAAGAGAACAGTTGACAGAACAAATGTAAAAAAAGAAGGGGTGGTGTGAGGTAATGGGATATAGCTAGAGTGGTTACTAAGACTGAAATACAGTTTGTGGAAAGCCTCAAAAGCTTCCCCCATTAACTTCAGAATATAAAGTAAGCTCTTGAGACAAGTTACAATAGGAGCTGTGGGCACTGCTTCCATATCTCCTAGCAGTTCCCATACAGACCAAGCGCTTCTTGTGGCTTTCCGCGACCAGTGTCCGGCGACAGCAATGTGCTTGGTTCATACAGGCAGCAAGATGGGAATGGAATTAACACCCTTGTTAAGAGTAGTCCCCAACCAACAGTGCATGGGAATTTATGGGTAATCATGACTGCCTCCTTACCCTTCAATGGGACCATTCTGATCATGCCTACAGACTCTTGTAGTGGTGCCTGCTCACCAACATAGCCTGAATGGGCTTCTTTCCTCTTCTGTCCTACTTCCCCTACCTCCTGCCCTCTGTGCTTCTTGGGGTCACCTCCCCAACACGACTTACATTCAAATGCTTGTTTCAGTGTCTGATTCTGGAAGACCCAAACTAAGGCAAGAGGAGTCAAGGCATTTGACCATCTGGCTCCTGGCCACCTATGGGCTCTTCTTATTTCTCCTTCCATTAAACCCAGCACCTACCCTCAGAAATCGCCTCCCAAGCGTTTACATCACACCATTCATTGTATGACCTTGTTCCTTAACATTTAAGATTCCCAGCTTGGCATTCAGCGGCCCCCAGACCTGGTGCTGACTTCCCATAGTGCCTGTCTTCCACTCTACTCCCTCCCCACCATCTTGTATTTCAGCTACACTGTTCTATTCTCTGCTCCTCAAATTTCTTTCCTCCTTGCTCATACACAAATGTTTCCTATACCCCAAATGGCTTTTGAAATGTTAATACCCTAACCTCCTTCAAACCTTTAAAAATTAATTTGGGCTGGGCAGGGTGGCTCACATCTGTAATCTCAGCACTTTGGGAGGCTAAGGTGGGAGGATTGCTTGAGCCCAGGAGTTCCAGAGCAGCCTGGACAATATAGTGAGACCCTGTCTCTACAAAAAATTAAAGTTAGCTGGGTGTGGTGGCACACACCTGTAATCCTAGCTACTGGGGAAGCTGAGGTGGGAGGATTGCTCGAGCCTGGGAGGTGGAGGCTGCAGTGAGTGGAGATCATGCCACTATACTCTCCCTGGGTGACAGAGCGAGACCTTATCTCAAAATAAAAAAAAAAAAATTATTTCCAACTCCTAGTAGACCTCTTTCCCATTTCCAGTTATAAGTGAACATGTGGATTTCGTTTTAGTTTTTGTAGGTGAGCCATTTTTAAATGTGACAGTGCACCAACACTGGCTGGATGTAGCCATGAGATTCATACAGAGAATGTGAGCATTAAATAAGAACATACAGCACTTTGGGAGGCTGAGGCAGGTGGATCAACTGAGGTCAGGGGTTCGAGACCAGCCTGGCCAACATGGTGAAACCCCATCTCTACTAAAAATATAAAAATTAGCTGGGCATGGTGGTGCGTGCTTGTAATCCCAGCTACTCGGGAGGCTGAGTCAGGAGCATCACTTGCACCTAGGAGGCGAAGGTTGCAGTGAGCTGAGATCACGCCACTGCATTCCAGCCTGGGTGACAGTGAGATTCAGTCTCAAAAAAAAAAAAAAAAAAAAGTATACAACAAAGGTCAAATGCAGTGGCTCATGCCTGTAATCTCAGCACTTTGGGAAACCAAGGCGGGAGGATCGCTTGAGCCCAGCAGTATGAGACCAGCCTGGGCAATATAGGGAGACCCTTGTCTTTACAAAAAATAAAAAAGCTAGCTGGGCGTGGTGGCATGTACCTGTGGTCTCAGCTACTTGGAAGGCTGAGGTGTGAGGATTGCCTGAACCCAGGAGGCTGAGGCTGCAGTGAGGTGCGATTGTGCCACTGCACTCCAGCTTGGACAATGGAGCAAGACCCAGTCTCAAAAACAAACAGACAAACAAAACAAACAAAAACCCACAAATAAAACCAGGAAACTTAGTAGTGTGTGACTTCCTAAGAAATTCACCAACAGCATGACTTTCTGCTTTGTCAATTCTGGTTTATATATGTGATATTTTACTGACATAGGCCTGTTCCGTTGGCTTCCTGCTGAGAAAGATGGTAAAGCACAATACACCCTCCCCAGCCATGAATTCCTCTTTTGTGAAACCCTAGCTGGTGGATATTTACTTCTTAGTATCTCTTTGATAACCTTGAGGATTTAAGATCATGAAAACGAAGGCTGTTGATGAGACATGTGAGTTTCAAAATCAGTATGTCACCAAACACTTGTATGGAAGGTAAGAAAAATAAATATGCTTCTGGACACGCATATTATTTGCTACCAAGCAAGACAAATTTACAAGCATATCCTTGAAATCAGAGAAAACCAAATCCCTAACGGGTTTCGAGTGAACAAGGGATCACTAATTTGAAATGCGTTATATTTTACCCTTATTTAAGGTTCAAGGTAGCATGATCAGGTGGTTAAGAGCATGAATTCTGGCGGCAAAAGTATGGCTGGAAATTGGTGAGTTGTAGCTTTCACTTAGTAGCGTGTGATCTTAGGAAAGGGCGCAGGCTCCCTTGTGTTTCAATCTTGTCACCTGTATGTGGACATAATGATAGACCTTACCTCTTAGGGCTGTGGGGAAGGCATGTGAGTTAATATGTGGACAGTTTTTAGCAACATATAGTAGGTTGCCTTATAAATGTTTGGCATTATTATTGTTATTTTATTCTTTTTTTTTCTTTTTTTTTTTTTTTTTGAGAGACAGAATCTCGCTCTGTCACCCAGGCTGGAATGCAGTGGCACGATCTCGGATCACTGCAAGCTCTGCCTCCCGGGTTCACGCCATTCTCCTGCCTCAGCCTCCCGAATAGCTGGGACTACAGGCGCCCGCCACCACACCCAGCTAATTTTTTGTATTTTTAATACAGACGGGGTTTCACCATGTTAGCCAGGATGGTCTCAATCTCCTGACCTCGTGATCCACCCACCTCGGCCTCCCAAAGTGCTGGGATTACAGGCATGAACCACTGCGCTTGGCCTATTGTTATTCTATTATCGTTATCTGTATCATCACTGTCATCATGAACATATGATAGTTTTTTTTTGGTTTTGTTTTGTTTCTGAGACCGAGTCTCGTTCTGTCACCCAGGCTGGAGTGCAGTGGTGTGATCACGACTCACTGCAACCTCTGCCTTTCGGGTTCAAGTGATTCTTCTGCCTCAGCCTCCTGAATAGCTGGGATTACAGGCATATACCACCATACCCAGCTACTTTTTGTATTTTTAGTAGAGATGAGGTTTCACCATGTTGGCCAGGTTTTCTCAAACTCCTGACCTCAAGTGATCCACAGGGTCGGCTTCCCAAAGTGCTGAGACTACAGGTGTGAGCCACCGCGCCCGGCCCATAGGATGTTTTCAATATATATATATTTTTTTAACCTAATGGTTTTACTTTCTGGTTTGAGGGAACCTGAAAGTGATTTTAAAGGCTTTTCTCCTCTTAACCCCTATTTTCTCCATGTGGTCTTTAGTTTCTTATCTGGAGATGCTCCCATTAGGTTTTTAACTTTTCTTGTTTCAGTTCCCCATTCATTGCATATTTAATAGTGCGACTGCTTATCCAGCAATGAATTATGTGGAATAGCAGATGCCAGGTGAGGTTTTGCTATGCTGAATACTTTATTTATATTTTTATGTAAACATAATTTGCTTTATAGGCACAATATAACAAAAGCTCTAAAGCCACAAAGACATTAGACAATGTTTCAGTTCACTTCTATCAAGCTTAAATTACAGAGAAGCCTTCACAGTTCCTTTAAGGCAGACTGAGACATTCTTTACACTTCCTTCAGAAAAAACAATCAAGAGACAGGAAAGAAGGTGCTTAAAATGAGAGTACGTTAAACAATTAACTTGCGTCCCCCGGTTCTTCATGGCAGAAATTGGTCTTATTGGTCAAACTCTAGTTTTCTCGTTCTGTATTCTGAAAGGGTTTTCTTTAACCATCTGGAGTAATTTGCGATTACTGGATTAACTTTGCTAGTTAAATAAAACCAAACCAAACCCAGATTTGGTAGGGGTGGTGGGGGAGAGTGCCTTTTTATGCCTCTCCTCTGGACATAACAAAGGCGATGTGAATTCTGAATGTGGCTGAGTTCCCACTCCCCGGGGGAAGGAGAGCCCTAGTATGGCCAAGGGCTCTTCACTCCTTCAGCTCTGGAAAATGTCATTTCTACCCAACTTACTAGGAATGCCACTTGGATGACAGTTCTCCCTAAGACCCCCTTTTCAGCATGGTTACGGGAGAAACAGCCAATAATATAGCACTTAGCAAAGGTAATAGGGGAATAAACGCCCCATTATCTCTCTAAATGACCCAGAACTGGAATATTGGTGGGTCCTGGAGTACGAAGAAAAGATGATGCTGGTGTCCTCCTTTGGGATACTCTCACCCCTTGGTTCCTCAGATGAAAGCACCCTTTCTTGTCTTCATATTTTACATACACATTCACAATGAGGAGAAACTCTTCAGATAAGTATTTGGCATACATAACTCATCATCATAAGCTTAGGATAGGTAAAAAGACCACGAATGAGGTGACATTTGCTACAAAAGGACTTTGGAAATCAGGTAATTGCTAAGATGCATTCGTTCCTACCACTTGCGGAAAGGGTTGGGTCCACCCTAAGGCTTGTTGGTGGAGAAACTGGGCAATGTAAAATCCCTCTGATGTTTTTCAGAACACAAAGTTGGGGTATGAATCAAATGAGCTCCTGGTATCTCCACATTTGTTTGTGAGTGATAGTTAAGCATTTTAGCCAAAAGGACTGGAAGGACGGGGTGAGGAGCTCCCTCTGTTTCTCGAAGGTAACTGTATTCACCTCTCAAGCACAGTCAAATTGCATGGGGGTGGGGTTCCTTAGGAGCTGAAAAGTTGAACAAGGTGTGTGAGCAGGTGGCTTGTTCCTTGGTTTCCGAAGAGCAGGGCGCTGCAGATTCTACACCGGGGTTTATATATGGGAGGGGAGGAACTGTACATCTGACATCAGATGCTGAATATAAACCTTTTGTATCCCTAGAGTTTGTTACATGTTGGGACATGCTTTGGCAAGGAAGGAGATGCTCATTGACTTTTCCACCTATGGTCTGCAAAGGAACTCTTCTTTGGGAAATCCATGGTCAAAGTGGTCACTTTCCACCAGGAATTGAAATTTACAGAATTGGTAATGCAGGTGGCAAGTGTGCAAACACCAGCAATGCTCAGGAATGACTTCTGAATGTGTCTTGTATGTGGTGCTTTCTTAAAATTGAAACAGATATGGAGCAGGAAGAATCCTGCCCATGAGATGTATTTTGGAGGAGAAATCTTCACAGCAGGTCCTCAAACTCATGCTGTTGACCCATTGTCTACTGTGAAAAATCCATACCTGCCTCCCTGTGTTTACAGATAAGAGCCAGTGAAAGGGTCAGACACTGAAGGGGTAGAAGAGAATGGCTCAAACTTTTGACCGTAGTTGTCTCTTAAATGGAGAGAGAAAAAGTACTACTAGGAGAGTTTCTAAATTTGTGGGCTCATGAAAACATCCGGCCTACTCTCTTTCTGCTGGCCAAATTGGCAAGTGTTCTCATCAGAGGCATGGGTGGCCAGCAGCAAAAAAGTGTCACTGGCCTGAGGAATTCTAGGAGCTGGACAGGGCTCTGTGATAACACCTTTCCATCCAAACTTGTCTTTGCCCACGTCTGGTCTCTTAGGCATTGGGCCTGGGACTTGTATTAATTTGCAAGGCTGTTCTAGAACTGTCAAGAAGAACCCACAGATGGATGGTTTTGATACAGGGGAGAGGGGAATGTGTAATACACAGATAGGAGAGGGACATAATACTGCATGGCATGGGATTGGCACTTCAAAAAACAACAGTGATCAACAGCTTTTTAGCTCAGCTGACTGCAGACAAACACGACACGCACTGGACTACAGCATTTGTTCACTGGGGCACAGAAGAGTTTTCTCAGCCGGGTCCTCATCTTCCAAACCATCCTTCACATTCTCCCACCTGGGTCCTCAGTTACTGGATAAAGGGCATCCGCTCCTTGTTCTCGCTGTCTCCCTCGTGGTCCTCCTCCTCTTCCCCTGCTTCACTGGTCTCTGTGCTGTCATTGGCCATCTGTAATTCAAAAGAGGATGTTATTGAGGGTTGTGCAACCCAGCCTCGTCATCTCTGAGCATCTGACAGAGTCCTATGGGAGGACTTCTTGGGGGCTAGGAACTAGGGTTGCTTGTTTCCCTGGAAGGCAATGCAGGATTAGCTGTCATATGTTGGGCACCCTGAGAGACGGTGCTGAGATAAGGATTTGAATACCAGTATCTGGAATTTAGGAGATGATCCCAGGAAGCAGTAGCAGGGGAGTGAAGAAATGAGACCAAAAAGGGGAAGAATCCAATGCAGGGTATGTTAGTAAGTTGGTTCCTGTGTGGGCAGTGGGACTCAGTCCTGCTGGGGACCTCTGAGAGACCCTGGGGGACACATCTTAGAGCTGTCTCTTCTGAGGGAGGAGGAAGCCATGTTATGGCTAAGGGCTGCTCTCAGGGGAGGTGAGTTATCTCCCTGCACCCCACGCAGTTTCTGTGCAAAACTCAAGCATGCTCTGGTGACAAGAGTTAGCTCTCAGGCAGAGAGGGGCAGGTGCCCACAAGAGGTGCCCCTGGAGCGCAGGGGACCCGAATGCCAAGGGGAGGTGTGAGGGGTATTGAGAGCATCAGCTGCACAGAGTCCCCAGGGTTGAAGTCTTGATGCTGTCACTTAAGAAGAGCAGACACAACAACCAGAACAAAGGTGTATTGATCTGCTTTTTGGTCTCTCTTCCCCCAACTGGAATATAGTTTCTGGGAAGACAGGGATTTTGCCTGACTCCTTTTCTTTTGTTAATCACTGGTACCTGGCATAGTTATGATTACCCCTCTGGGTCTTCATTTCCGCCATCATTACAGTGGCGATAAATCCACCTACCTTATAAATTTGTTTTAAGAACCAGGTGAAAGAAAATGGAGTAATGTATCTAAAGAGTCTAGCAAAGGGCTGAGCATATGACAGAGACTCAGAACAAACTAGTTCTGTCCATTAACATCCCCTACATGATCTGTGCCTCAGATTTCTTTTCTGTTCTTATCCCCTGATCTAGATTGGGCCCCAGATCTCCCACACTTGAGTCCTTGGCTGCTTCATGGCTTATTCTGACAAACAGGAATTTGGCCCCTGAATCTCAGCTCTCCCCATGTTGTCTCACCTGAAGCTGGGTTCTCCCCCTTGGCCACACCATGTGCAGTGCCTTCTCCCTGGAATGTCATTCCTCTACCCCCTCTGCCCAGTTCATCCAGTCCATACCTATGTTTCCTTTAGGGCTCATCCTGCTTCCTCAAGGAAGCCTTTGCAGAATTCCCTAACTGGAACAATCTCCCTATTATGAGCTTTCATGGCCCAAATACCTCTTCTTTGTAGCACTGATCAAGAGCTGCAATGTCCCATTTATATGAATGGCTCATTGGCCAATGTCCATCTGCCCCTGCCAAACGGTAGACACCACGGGAGAGGACCATGTCTCTGCAGTTTTCTTCCCTACCACTAGGTACATATGCAACAAGTGTTTTAGGATAATGAAGAACTAACCAGCTAAGCTGTTCCTTAGTAGTGTATATTATAATACATAGTCACCAATATGCCAATTGGCTCGCAGACATTGGTTCTTTTAATCTTCTCTATGGCTCTTTGAAGTAGCAGCAATAGTAGTAATTATTGTTGTTAGTTCTGTTCTACAGCAGTGGAAAGGGAGACCCTGAGGTGATGTGAACACAGAATCCATAAGGGCAGCAGAGGTCAGTAGCCTTCAGGAAAGGCCACCTCTATTCTCTGGGGCACTGGTCAGATGGCCAGGACTGGGGCAGGGCTGCCCGCTGGTACTGTGGGGTCTGGAGGCAGCAGTTCTGCCTCTGCTCTGACCTCATGACACATCATAGGATGAGTTTCGACTTTGCTTTGGTCCAGCCTCATTAAGAGGAGGCTTTCAGCAGGAGAGACTCCACTCTTAGTGTTTCCCAGGAAATTTACTTCTGGAGCTGCCAGTAGCAGTCGACTTCCCCTGCCTGGGTGCTGCCCACACGCCTTAGAGCCCAGACTATTCTAGAGGAGCAGTGTGTGTCCTGCAGCATGCTGGCTGGGCAGATTCGGGGCTGAGTGAGGGCTGAGACTGGTCATGGCCGGGCGCGGTGGCTCACGCCTGTAATCCCAGCACATTGGGAGGCCAAGGCGGGCAGATCACCTGAGGTCAGGATTTCAAGAACAACCTGGCCAACATGGTGAAACCCCATCTCTACTAAAAATACAAAAATTAGCCAGGTGTGGTGTGGTGAGCACCTCTAATCCCAGCTATTCTAGAGGCTGTGGCATGAGAATTACTTGAACCCGGAAGGCGAAGGTTGCAGTGAGCTGAGATCACACCACTGCACTCCAGCCTGGGTGACAGAATGAGACTGTCTTTAAAAAAAAAAAAAAAAAAAAAAAAAAAAAAAAAAGTGGTCATTCCAGTAGGAGAAAGCACCTCTGCAGGCGCCTCTGTCCCCTCCTCCAGCACCTGCTGAGCGGACAGCGACACATCCTGTGGAGCCTGGAGCTTGAGTTGTTTCCTCTTCTGTCAGGTGCTAACCCTAAAATGACCTCACTGGATCCCTCCTGCATCTCCATGTCTTCTGTTTAACCTCAAGACATGCTCCCTTTCCTTCAAGTCTGCTTTTCCATCTAGATAGGCCGTAGCCTCTTTTCCACCACGTGGTTGCTCTGATTACCCATTCTCTACTGTCTTTTTGTTTCTTTAGGTCCCAGGGATAAAAGCCTTCAAGGGGGCCCGGTACAGTGTCTCATGTCTATAATCCCAGCTCTTTGGGAGGCCAAGGCAGGTGGGTCACTTGGGGTCAGGAGTTCAAAACCAGCCTGGCCAACATGGTGAAACCCTGTCTCTACTAAAAATAATAAAAAAAAAATTAGCTGGGTGTGGTGGCATGTGCCTGTAATTCCAGCTACTCAGGAGACTGAGGTGGGAGGATCGCTTGAACCCAGGAGGCAGAGGTTGCAATGAGCCGAGATTGTGCCATTGCCCTCAAGCCTGGGTGACAGAGTGAGACTGCATTTCAAAAAAGAAGGCTTCAGGAGGTTCAGAAACAAGGACAATGACATTGTGTGTGGCACAGGCAGATCCTGTGCCTTTACCCTGAAAGGTGGATTTTTCAGCATCTGCTCCAGTAAGAATCCTCCCTTGGTAAGACAGGCCTTCCTATCAGCCCGAGGACTTGGGAGCAACTCATGTGTGATGGACACAGGAGCATCCCAGGGTGGGAAATTGGTGCCAACTATTTTCTTGAAAGCCATAAGCTTCCAGGATGGGCCTAGAGCCTGTCTGCCTTCTCCAAATGGGACTGAAAGAGACTTGGTCATATGTTTAAAGACTACAAAGAGGTGTACAGGAGACTCAGGATCCAAGTCACTCCCTCCCCTCCCTCTCGTTGCCCTCTCATCTGCTTTGAACAGCCCTGGAACTTAGTAAGTATTTAATAAGTTATATCCATGTTGTATCAGTCACTTAACAAGAGGGTGTTTTACAATGTTGAAGGTGTCCTTCATTGAATGAAATGACTGTCATACCCAAATTACATTATGGTTACAAGTCAAGGAAATACTTTTAAAAATACACACTCCTGGCCGGGTGCGGTGGCTCATGCCTGTAATCCCAGCATTTTGGGAGGCCGAGGTGGGCGGATCACAAGGTCAGGAGATCCTGGCTAACATGGTGAAACCCAGTCTGTACTAAAAATACAAAAAAATTAGCCAGGCATGGTGGCAGGTGCCTGTAGTCCCAGCCACCTGGGAGGCTGAGGCGGTAGAGTGGCATTAACCTGGGAGGTGGAGCTTGCAGTGAGCCAAGATCGCACCACTGCACTCCAGCCTGGGCGACAGAGCGAGACCCCATCTCAAACAAACAAACAAAAAAACACTTTACATGACAATATGCAAGAAATTTTAGTTCTTTTTTTTTTTTTTAAAGAACTGATGCAGCTTCAAGAATCAATGTGTATGTAAATGAAGAAACAAGAAACACTTCCCGAATATTTTTTCTGTTAAAGATAACCTGGGGGCCAGGCATGGTGGCTCACGCCTGTAATCCCAACACTTTGGGAGGCTGAGGCGGGCGTATCATGAGGTCAGGAGTTCAAGACCAGCCTGACCCACATGGTAAAACCCCATCTCTACTAAAAATACAAAAATTAACCAGGTGTGGTGGTGGGCCCCTGTAATGCCAGCTACTCAGGAGGCTGAGGCAGGAGAATCGCTTGAACCCGGGAGGCGGAGGTTGCAGTGAGCCTAGATCGTGCCATTGCACTCCAGCCTGGGTGATAAAGTGAGACTCCATCTCAAAAAAAGATGACCTGGAACTTAGTACATATCAGACAATGCTTTATGAATACTATTCTAACTGGGAACTTATCAATCTCCACTTTACCGATAGGGGATCAAAGCTGAGTAGTCATGTAACTTGCCCAGGTCATAAACAGGGGCTCAAGGTTTTGAATCCATGCAGTCGGATGGTCTGTGCACTGACCACACCACTACATAGTTCCTCCTCGAGAGGCCCCAGGGAGAATAGGTGGGATGTGAGTTTGACATGCTATACTCCTGGTGGTATCCCTGGGATATAAGGGTTTTATTCTGGTGAAAGAAAAAAAAAATCACAGCTGGGTGTGGTAGCTCACGCCTATAATCCCAGCACTCTGGGAGGCCGAGGTAGGCAGATTGCTTGAGCTCAGGAGCTCAAGACCAGCCTAGGCAACATGGTGAGATTCTGTCTCTAAAAATAATATAAATAATATTTTAAATTATATTTTTATTTATATTTTACATTATTTTTATTATTTTATATTATTATTATTATCATTTTTGAGACAGTCTCATTCTAGTCCCCCAGGCTGGAGTGCAATGACGCAATCACGGCTTACTGCAATCTCTGCCTCCCAGGTTCAAGCGATTCTCCTGCCTCAGCCTCCCCAGTAGCTGGGATTACAGGCACCTGACACCACACCCGGCTAATTTTTGTATTTTTAGTAGAGACGGGGTTTCACCATCTTGGCCAGGCTGGTCTCAAACTCCTGACCTCAGATGATCCACCCGCCTCAGCCTCCCCAAGTGCTGGGATTACAGGCGTTAGCCACCTCCCCTGGCCAATAATAATTATAATTAGCTGGGTGTGGTGGTGGTCTCCTGTAGTCTCAGCTGCTCAAGAGGCTGAGGTGGGAGGATCACTTCAGTCAGGAGGCGGGGGCTGCAGTGAGTTGAGATAGTGCTACTGCACTCCAGCCTGGGTGACAGAGTTTAAGACTCTCTCTCTGAAAGAAAGAAAAAAAAAATCTGTGGAACCATCAGGGAGCATCTCGGAAGCAGCTGGCATCATTCTGTTAGGAACATGAATGTGAAATTATTGAAATTTTCCAGGAATTTCTCCCAAGAGCTAGCAGCTGTAATAGACAGGTCTGTTGTTGCTATGCTTTCCTGCCTATGCCTTCAGATTGCTTTTGATATGCTCTCACTGAAGCACTGGCCTTTCCTTTTCAGCATTCATCTCAGTTTGTCATGAATCCCTCATGTATGACATCATTTGATTACCCCTGGTCTCCTCCACTAGCCCACAGGCTACCTGTACTTCCTTCTACCCCACCCGTGTCTGCATCTGATTGACCCGTGGTGCTCTCTCGCGTGGAACTGAACAGACTCCTCTGCTTTTCACTCACCAGTGGAGTTGGGGTCTTTTCTACATCCAGAATTAACTTGCCAATGTTCCCTCGGTCGTGAATCCGCTGCATGGCCTCCTTCACCTGCGCGAAAAGGTGAGAAACAGAGGTGCTGGTTAGGCGAGATGTTCCCCAGTTAAAAAGGGGGCCTGGAGAACTCAAACTGTCAAGTGACCACCAGAGGGCGCTGCGGCTCAAGTTTAGTGGCTAAGAGGTTGCTGTTGGACGCTGGGGTGCAACTACATTCTGGTTGGGCCATTCACACACACTGATCTTGTGCAAACATCTTCTGGGTCGGAAAAGTGAGGGTGACAGCTCTTGAAATAAGTAGATGAACATTCCTTAAAAGGGTGGGGGAAGGTTCTCTGGAGTTCTCAGAATTATGTGCTGCAGGGTGGCAGGGTGCATTAGTCAGATTAGATTTTGACCAATAGAGATATTTTCTGAAGGTCATTTGTGCCCTGCTTACTTCAATGTTATTTAACTGTGACTCGTAGTTGGGCTAAATTGACCCATTACTCAAGGCTGAACTGAACTCAGGAAAATTCTCACGATTCTGGTTATTGGGAGGAAATGTTGTCTCTATCTAAGTGCAGTTTCCCCTCAACACTATAATATTCTCCCCAGGAAAGAGGGCCTCCTGTTTCTTTTCAAATGTTGGGGGCTTGCCAGGCCAACAGGTGTCTCCTGGGATCCTCTGAAACGGTAAGTTTGTGGCAGAATCCAATTTGCCTTTTGAGCATTTCATTCTGTTGCCATGTGGAATTCCAACTGTTGAGGTGGGGATGGGGAGGGAGGCATGAGAGTTAAATGAAATCCAGAAAGGGCAACATGGAGCTTGGTGCTTGGTACAGGCCCATGCTCCACATCTCAATGAAATCTGCGTGGAAATGCAACATCTCTTGATTAAGAAAAAAAAAAAAGTTTTAATAGATCTAGCCTAAATATTTTTCCTGAAGTCTCAAATGTTTAAAATTTGTGTTAATTCAGTCCAAAAATATTCATTAAATGTTGCGTCTAGCCTAGATGCTATGGTTAAACAAAATTAAAAAGTAAGATACAGTGCCTGCCTTTGAGGAACTCACCCTGTGGCTGATTGATAGAGCAGTATTTGCTTGTATGAAAACCGAAGACTTCTACACATTTGGATAACAACTTGACACAGCTATTAAAATGTTTGTATTCTAATTGCTTTTCTGGAACTTTATCCTAAAGACATAATTTAAATTATGGGGAAAAAAACTTATTACACAAAAGATACTCAATTACAGTATTGCTTTTTATGGCAGAACATTGAAGCAACTTATATGTCCCAGAGATAAGGGGATGATTAAGTAAATAATGACTCTCACATGTGTCTACTGAAAGGAAATGATATGTGGTTGTTAAAGAAGATAAAGATATATACAGCTAATTACAAAGACTACATAGCAGAATTAAATGTTGTAATATTGCTAAATGAGAACTGACATGCATATTTAAAATGTTTTAATCTCTAGCTCCATAAAAACACACATATACTAAAATAACTAGAAAGGGCTATGGATATATGATAAAACATCATGTAGAAGAAATGGATGCCTTTTAACTTTAGCGTCAGTCTGGTAACATATTATCAAATCAGTATTTAATATAAATGCACTTTTAAATGCAGTCTTTGGACAACCTGGCAGTGATCGGAATCAACACATTTTTGGGGGGACAGGGTCTTGCTCTGTTGCCTTGGCTGGAGTAAAGCAGTACAATCACAGATCACTGCAGGTTTGACCTCCTGGTCTCAAGCAATGCTCCCACGTCAGCCTACCAAGTAGCTAGGATTACTGGCAAGCGTCACCACGTGCTCAGCTAATTTTTTGCCTTTTTTTTTTTTTTTTTTTTTTTTAGTAGAGATGTGGTTTTGCCATGTTGCCCAGGCTGCTCATGAACTGTTGGCCTCAAGTGATCCTCCCCCGTTGGCCTCCCCTAAGTGCTGAGATGACAGGCATGAGCCACTGTGCCCGGCCCTGATCTCTGATTAATAGTGTCATATGATTGTTAAAATTTCTTGACCCTAATACATAATTCAGTAGATTCCTTTTATTTTTGTAGTGAGCTCTGCTTTTCAAAGGTTTTCACATTTGTTCATTATAGCTACTGCCCACCGGGAATCTTCATATATTGTAGCAGACACCTTCTAAAATGGTTGTCAGTCATCCCCATTGCCTGGTACTCATCCCCTCCCCGTGAACATGGGCTACACCTAGTGACTTGCTTCTAAGCAACAGAATAGAGCAAAAGTGATGATACATCACTTCCAAAATTAGGTAATAAAGGACCGTGACTTCCATCTTGCAGTCCCTCTTTCTCTAACTCTTGATGCTTCCTTGTTCTGATGACTCAAACTGCCATGTTGTGAGCTGCCCTATGGAGAGGTCCACATGGCAAGAAACTGAAGGCAGACCCCAGCCGACAGTCAATGAGGAGCAGATACCCTCGGTCCAAATGCCAGTGAGGAACTGAATCCTGCCAACGACCACAGAGACCTTGGAAGCAGACCCTTCCCCATTTGAGACCACAGCCCCAGCTGACACCTTTGTCAGAGGCATTTGAACCAGAGCAACTCTGTCCTGAGTGAGGGCTAGGAAAATGAGGCTGGGACTTGCTGGGCTGCATCCCCAGAGAGTTAGGTATTCCTAGCCTCTAGATACTCACGGTTAAGGGAACAGATTGATAATGTTTACTAAACAGACCCAGACTTGGGAGTGTGCTGATAACAATATCTCGATATCTTGAGAACAGAAGCATTCCTAATTTTGCTTTAAAGATAATAATATCAGGCCAGGCATAGTGGCTCACGCTTGTAATCCCAGCACTTTGGGAGGCCAGGGCGGGAAGATCACTTGAGGTTAGGAGTTCAAGACCAGCCTGGCCAACATGGGGAAACCCCATCTCTACTAAAAAAACAAAAATTAGTTGGGTGTGGTGGTGGGTGCCTGTAATCCCAGCTGCTTGGGAGGCTGAGGCAGGAGAATTGCTTGAACCCGGGAGGTGGAGGTTGCACTGAGCTGAAATCGCGCCACTGTGCTCCCGCCTGGGCAACAGAGCGAGACTGTCTTTAAAAAAAAAAGAATTGATTCTTGCAAAATACAGTAATTAAAAAAATTAATCCTTTATCACAAACCCTCGTAGCAGAGCCTGTCCCCATGCTCTTTTTGTTTGTTTGTTTGTTTGTTTGAGATGGAGTCTCTGTTGCCCACGCTGGAGTGCAGTGGCGTGATCTTGGCTCACTGCAAGCTCCGCCTCCCAAGTTCATGCCATTCTCCAGCCTCAACTTCCTGAGTAGCTGGGACTACAGGCGCCTGCCACCACGCCCGGCTAATTTTTTGTATTTTTAGCAGAGATGGGGTTTCACCTTGTTAGCTAGGATGGTCTTGATCTCCTGACTTTGTGATCCGCCTGCCTTGGCCTCCCAAAGTGCTGGGATTACAGGCGTGAGCCACCGCGCCCAGCCCATGCTCTTTTTTTATTCTTCATTTAAACAAGCATTGTACCCAGGGTGAACGTGTTCCTCCTCTTTCAGGAACTCACTACTCTGTCTACGGCATAGCTATTGTTTCACCACTTGACTTTCTTGAACTTGTTTTTGCTTTGCACTGTGGACTGGCCCTGAATTCTCTCTTGTGTGAGACCCAAGAGCCCTGTCTTGGGGTCTGGATCAGGACCCCTTTCCTGTAACACCCCAATTGCAGCCTTGTGAGAATCAAAGGACCAACTAAGCTGTGCCCAGATTCCCCACTCACAGAAACTGGGAGATCATAAGTGCCTCTAAGTTTGTTGGGGGTGGGGGAGTTAAATGCAATAATAGATAATATATTCTTATCTCACATACATAATTATTACCTTGCAAAATATATCCCCATTTTACAGATAATGTACCCTGATGCTCAAAAATAGAAGCAATTTACCCAAAGATTACGTAGTTAATTGTGACACAATTGTGGTTGGCACTCAGGGCTGCCAGACTTCAAAACTAAAGCTCTTTCCCAGTTCTGCCTAGTCCGTACTGCTTTGTTTGACTCTCAAAGGCAGAGGAATGAGGTAGGTAGTGTCTCACGTCATAGATCTCCAGCATTCAGTTATTTATCACCCTGGCAAGTTATTAGCATCTGAAAACTCCTTGGAGACTAGGAACAACTTTTAAGCTGCCTCTCCAGTAAGACAGAGCCCAGAGAAACTGAAAAGCTGTTTTCTCACCAGTTAAAGCTTATTGTGATGCTAGGAGAAAAAGCTCCCTGCAGGGCTGCCTCTAATCTGCATGCTTTTTGGATATTTCTTTCTGAAATGAACTGACTCCTTGAAGTCCCTTACGGAAAGGATGGATAAAGGATTAGCAGTATTTCCAAGAGGCCATTTAAGTAGCCTGACCTCCTATTCACGCTGTGTGCATTTCTATCCTCTTGTTAGGCTGCTCTTGGAGCCTTTCTGATGACAATGTTGAAGGAAAGAAATGATATTGTTCTTGATTAATTCTTTCTTAGGCCACCATATGAGGCCCTTTGCATAAGTTGCTTCCTTTTATCCACACACACCAAGCCTCTTAGAAGTGTCTGCATCAGTTTCACAGAGGAGAAACCTGATGATAAGCAGAGTTAAGCATCACAATGATTAGCTGAGTTAAGCACCACAGTTTCACAGATAAAACATCCAAGGTTCTTGCCTCTGGTGCCCATCTGAAAGGTGGTGAGAACCATGGGGGATCTGAGAGGGCAGCTTCCCCTTCCTCTGTTGTCAACACCCCAAACTGCTCTCATATAACACCTTGGCAAAGCAAAGTCTGCACAAAAGAGACATTGCTCCCAAATTACCGTTTATAAGTGAAAGCACCCCGGCGGGGGTGACAGTGCCCAGAAGATAGTGGTGATGGGCTCGATGGGCTCCAGAAAGCTCAGTAGCACGTGGGAGACTTGTCTTCTCCGTTGGGACCACCAGAGGTGCTTTTTTTTTTTTTTTTTTTTTTTTTTTAAAGTACTCTACTGCTTAAAACCCTTCCCCACTGTATTCAAGAGAACTGTCTAGTAGACCTGCATTGCCTAATCCTATAGCCACTAGTCAATGTGGCAAGTGCGCCTTTGAAATTTGGCTAGTAAAAATTGCCACGTGCTGTCAGTGTAAAATTCACACCAGACTTCACAGACTTAATCACCATAAAAAAGAATCCAAACTATTTCAGTAAGAGTTGTTGACATTTATTACATGTTGAAATAACAATTATTAAAATTAGTTTTTTGTAGTTTTGAAAATATGGCTAGAAACTAGAAAATTTAAAACTTTGCATGTGGCTCACATAATTCTGCTGAACAGCACTGGACTGCATGTTTCTGGAGCTGGTAACTGTTGCCTTTTCTGGCTTTATTGCTTTTCTTCACCTTTCATCACACACTCACGTCCACCACTTACGATGTATCTGAAGTTCACTGGGCTCTCTGCACTGTGTCTCTGTACGTCCTGGGTCCCCTCCTGGAGTGCCCTGGTCCTGAGCTACCTTGGATTTGTCTTGCTGTTGTTGACTTGGATGTGAGCTCTTCTAAGTATTTGCCCTCCACCCTCAACCTCACAGTCTCGCCCAAGCACTTACCCCTTCACACCTCAGTTGGCTAGTGATGTCAACCTTACCCCAGCCTTGTAAGTTACACATCAGCCTCTCCTCTCCATTGCAAATCAATAGAACAGTGCCATCTAAAATAAATATAAAGCGAACCACAAATGTGGCTAAAAATTTTCAAATTAACCACGTCAAGAAATGTAAAAAGAAACTGGTGAAATTAATTTTGAGATATTTTCTTTAACCAAATATATCCAACATGTTATTTCAATATATACTCAATATAATGAAGTAATAATTTACGCTTTTTTGGGGGGGACTGTTTGGAATCTAGGGTGTATTTTACACTGAGAGTAAATCTCAATTCAGATGAGCCACACTTGAAGTCCTCATTGGCCTCCCATAGCTCATAGCTACCATATTGGGGATTGCAGCTCTATATGGGCAGGACAATGGTGTCTACCTCAGAGTCCATAGTGCAAAAGGACATCTGTCACACAATAGCTTCTGGGATGAATGAATGAATGAAAAAGTGGATATGTGGAGACAGTGAGATGTCATGTGGCTGAGCCTCACCTAGAGGTCTTTGTCCTGCCTACCCCACATCCTAGAGCCCCTGGCCTGGGCAGCTATCTCTTGGTGGCCTGCTAAGTGCAGCCTGGGTGGCCCAGCGGAGTCTGTTCATAATCAGGACCATGGTCCCACACCCAGTCTGGGATGCCACGGCCAGCTGCGTGGCTGGCCATATCTGGTCTTGGCAGCTGGATTTTCCAGGGCTGGGATTCTGGATTTACTCAGGCCATCTCCAACAGAGCTGGTTTCCCATCCAGACAGTGGAGGGAGGAAATCTGAGTCATGTCATTCAAGCACCTCAAGATGCCAACATTCTAAGCTCAAAGGACATCTGGACTTTCTCTGACACTTCTGGTGTCTGGGAGGCCAATTTGACAGCATCCCAAGTGCATGGTGGCAGGAGGCAGTGGGAACATTCCAGGGCTGAAACCTGGTTCTGCTTTGAGTTGGTAATATCATTCTAACAACTGGCTTCCTCTCTCTGCATCTCATCTTATGTGAGTGATAATATCTATACTACTCATTCGTTCACTCATTCATTCATTCATTTATTTATTTGTTCAGTCATTCAACAGAACCAAAGCCCTGGGCCGGGAGCTGGCTGAAACAGATGTTCTCTCTCTGTCCTGGGGGAATCACAGTTTCCCTTATTAAATAGGCTTATCATAATCATAAAAAAAAATGTGCTACAGGCAGCCGGGGTGGCTCATGCCTGTAATCCCAGCACTTTGGGAGGCCCAGGCGGGCGAATCACCTGAGGTCGGGAGTTCAAGGCTAGCCTGACCAACATGGAGAAACCCTGTCTCTACTAAAAATACAAAATTAGCCGGGCATGGTGGTGCATGCCTGTAATCCCAGCTACTCGGGAGGCTGAGGCAGAATTGCTTGAACCGGGGAGGCGGAAGTTGCGGTGAGCTGAGATTACGTCATTGCACTCCAGCCTGGGCAACAAGGGCGAAACTCCATCTAAAAAAAAAAAAAAAAAAAAAAAAAAAAAAAAGTGCTACAAAGGGCGTGAGCAGTGTTCCACGATGGAGAATAGATGGTGAGGGGTTGGGGGAGAGTGACCCAGTTAAACAAGATCCCTGGGGAAAGCAGACAGAATGACCTCACACTCCCAACCCATCCATTCCCTAATCTCCAGAACCTGAGGATATGTTTGTTACCTGACATGGCAAAGGGACTTTGTAGAAGTGATTAAGCTAAAAATCTGAGATGGGGGATTATCCTGCATTATCTGGGGGCCCCATGGAACCACAACGATTCTTGCAAGAGGAAGGCAGGAAGGTTTGGCTCAGAGAGCAGGTGATGGGACAAGGGAAGCAGAGTTTGGAGTGATGCCCTTGCTGGGGGGACCGTGAAGCAAGAAAAACGCACGTGGCCTCTGGAAGCTAAAGAAGGGAAGGAAATAAATTCTCCCTTAGGGCTTCCACGAGGAACGCAGCCCTGCTGACACCTTGATTTTTGGGCTTTCAGAACTGTAAGATAATACTTTTATGTTATTTAAGCCACTACATTTGTGGTCATTTGAACAGCAGCTTACAGGACACTAATGTAGGTGGGTTTAAGGAGGTGATGGGTGAGACCTGAAGAGCAGGAAGGAGTGAGCCACAGAAAGAGCTGAGCAATAGGGATTCAGGGAGAGGGGGAACATATGCTTTGGCTCCAGGTGGATCTGAATCCCACGTGGGATTCTCTAAGAGGAGGCCAGAGTGGTGGAGAAAAATACAAGGGCAGGTGGAGGGGAAGGCAGCGGCCAGATCCTGGGGTCTGGAAGTGGAGAGTGTGGCAGATCTTGAAGTCCCTAACCAGCCACTATTTGCACCACGGAAGGCCCTTTTGTAAGACTTTCGGTTTTGTTCTGAAGGTCTTCACGTATTGCGAAGACGTCCTCTTTGCTAGTGAGACAGCTCGTCTCTGATTGCTTCAAATCATTTCTGTGCTGGGAAGTATCACAGAGAAGTGAAAATCACTTTCCCATGGCTTCCCCAATATTCCCCTGTTTACCAAATGCATATGCCTTTCCTGTGAGGACCCAGCCTGTACTGTGGAGCCACGGGAGTCTCAGGAGGGATCCAGGCTCCTGCATTCTCTGACTGTGTGACTTCAGGCAGTTCCCCCAGCCTCTCGGTGACACTGTGGGTTTTTCCCCCCTTTATTTTCTACGAAGTGAAGGTAAGGTTTTGTATCAGTTTCCTATTATTACTGTAACAGATGACCACCAACAGTGACTTGAAGCACAAATTTATTATCTTACCGTTCTGGAGGTCAAAAGTTTGAAATGGGTTTTACAGGGTTAACATCAAGGCTCCGGCAGGGCTGCATTCCTTCCTGCATTTGTTTCCAGGGAGGAATTTGTTTCCTTGACTTTCCCGTCTTTAGAAGAAGCCCTTGCATTTCTTTGCTTGCAGGTCCCTCCCACCGTCTTCAAAGCCAGCAGGGTAGAGCTTCAAATCTCTCTGACTCTCACCCTCCTCCTGCCTCCCTCTTTGAAAAACCCAGGAGGATCTCCCCATCCCCAAGTCCCTAACTTAATCTCATCGGCAAAGTCCGTTTTTCCATGTGAGGTACCAGATTCACAGGTTCTGGGGATGAGGATGTGGGCACGTTTGCGTGGTATTATTCTGCTCGGCCCAGGTTCTCACCCACCTAATAGAACTGCCGTGAAGGTTGAGGGCAGATGTCTGTTAAGCATCTGACACAGTTACTGGATCCACTAGAAGCCTCTTTAGGAGAAAACTTGAGGATCCAGCGCCCTCTACTCGATTTCTGAAAGCTGTCTATGTCCTCCTCACCCAGAACCCTAAGATTGTTTCTTTTCTTGTTTTGTTTTTGAGGCAGGATCACTATCTATTGTCCCGGCTGGAGTGCAGTGGCATGATCACAACCCACTGCAGCCTCTACCTCCCAGGCTTAAGCAATCCTCCTGTCTCAGCCTCCCAAGTAGCTGAGACTGCAGGCATGAGCCACCATGCCTAGCTATTTTTTCTTTTCTCTTTCTTTCCTTCCTTCCTTCCTTCCTTCCTTCCTTCCTTCCTTCTTTCCTTCTTTCCTTCTTTTGTAGAGAAAAGGTCTTGCTATGTTGTGCAGGCTGGTCTTGAACTCCTGGATTGAAGCCGTCCTCCTGCCTTGGCCTCCTGATGTGCTGGGATTACAGGCATGAGCCACTGCTCCCGGCCTATTTCTTTCCTTATAGGATTATAGGATGGTCCCGCCTATGATATACTCGAGGCCACCTAATAAAAGGGGGACTCCAACTGGGTTCTGTTTGACTCCCAAGTCCAGAGGAGAGATTCTACTCTGAGACCTGGGCCCCACTTAGAGGGGCCTACCCTGGCCTTCCTCTGCTTGCATCCCTACCTATGTCAGCACCCCTACCTATGGCTCCCTTTGGTTGAAGCCAAAGGGACAGCCATGCAAAGCAAAGTCTCCCCCAACACATACACTTCTAGACCATGCTTTGGGTTCCTGGCCTTCCAGAATTCTATTCCCAAATGGCCCCAAGACCACATGAGGACTTTTTCCCACTACATGGGCAGGACCCCTCCTGGTGGTGTGGGTGGGACTCTGGGGTGGAGACAGAAGGGGACTGACCACGGGCTGGGATCCTCCATTTGCACTCTTGCCCAGGGCCCTGCAGATGTGAGGGGTGGGTCTGGCTACAGGACACAGTGATTACGTGGCATGACTGGCAGGTTCTGGAAATTAGGATGTGGGTATGACATAGAGACTGAGGAGAGAAAGAATTAGAGATGACTCACAGCTGACCAGGAGGACTATGATACTCTAGACACACTAGTCAGAATGGGGTTCCCAGTGAGGGATTTGTCACAATGCAATGATGATAATGACAAAAATGATGACAACAATATTCACATCTGTATAGCATTCCCATCATCTTTGCTGAGCTTCATTTTGGAACAACAAACCTTAGGTTCCGAGATGCTAAGTGTTTCACCTAAGATCACACAGCTGATAGTGGAGGAGCTGGGAGTAAGGTCAGAAGGCAGGGGGCCAAGCCCAGGCTTTTCCATTAGACCTGGTTTCCTCTCCAAGGAGAAGAGGCTGCATTCATGTCTAGTGTTGTGTTTGAGATCCTGGCTGGGCAGCCAGGGGAAAATGGCAGGAAATTCCTGGGTATGGGGCTTAAGAGAAAGAATGAGGTTGAGGAGGCCAATCTGGGATCATCCTAAGTCAAATGAAGAACCGTGGTGCTACCTGGCTGTTGTGAGTCACAGACTGATCCAGTCCTCGATAAGAAGAGGGCCATGGAAACCTTGGAGAACAATGGTTTCTTCTCCCACCTCCATCTCTAAAATGTAGATCAGAGATTGGAACAGGCCCAGGGATCTGAGAGCCAGGAGTAGGGCAAGGTAAGGGAACAAGAAGGTGAACAGATCCGAGGGAGGAAGGAGAAAGACTGGAAGGAAGCCCTTGAACCCGGTTCATGGTGATTTAGAGAGGGTTGACTTAGCAAAGCGGAGTGGGCAGGAGCTAGATCACCGTGCACCAAGGAGAAGCCCCCTTGGTGACAGCCTGGAACTCCTGTCTCCAAATTTTTTGCTTCTCTGTGAATAGACGTGCAGCCAACAAAGACTCTTGTTCCTCAAGCCCATCCTTTTTGAAAACTGCCCCAGCTGTTTCCCTCAAGGTTAAAGACAGACAGCAGCACAGGAGCTGCAGCGTCCTGATAGATGCTCTCAGAAAAATTTATTCAAAAATATTTCACTCTGTGTAGCTAGACTCATTAATGCAGAGTTCCTGATTTGTTTATTTAACCCCAGTGGATTGCAACCCATTGGAGCTGAACTCATGCCATCAGTTCATGCTCTCAATGAAGTTGGCTGGTGTTCAAGACTCAGCGCGTGACCCATGGGGAAAATTTAATTGGCTCACCCCATGCAAGCAGAGGAGCAGTAGTCACGGTCATTTCTCGGCAGTAGTTATAGTCATTACTGTCTGCAATGAAATTAGGAGAGGTGGGGTGGCTGGAAGCCTCAATCAGGGCTGAGGAGGGGTCCTGGGCTGCAACCTTGGGGTCTTGGTTATCAATAGGGGGTTCCTCCACTCTTCCATTCTCTGGCCTCTATTCATTCCCCCATGGACTATATCTACTGGGCTCCTTGTCCCATGGCTTCCAGTTGGCTTTGGCCAATGAGATCCTGCTAGATCAGAAAACAGGAGAAAGGAGAATGAAGATATTTCCCCTTTCATTCCTGCCTTGTGATGGGTCTCTGGAAGTAGCTATGCCTCTTCACAACTACAGCTCCTGCAAGGTCCTAGCTTTCTCTGTGCAATCTGTTAATGCCTTTGCTTCCTCGTGCCCCTTCAGGCCCAGGGTGGGTAATATCTTCCTACTGTGGCTAGTTTCTGGGCATCTCAACATCCCTGTTGAGTTGGTTTCCTTAACTCTGATACCTTTAGAACCCCAGCTAAGTGTGCTGCTTGCTTCCTGCCAGGGTACTGACTGATATATTTGGCTCCAAGCTTTTTCATTCAACAAATACACTGAGTGTGTACTAACTGTTAAGCCCTGGGAAGACAGTGGCAAGCAAGCCAACCCCCTACAAGACCCCCTAAGCTGGTGAGGCTTTTACAGTCTCATGGAGCCATGGGCTTTATCCAAGAATGACTCAAACAAATGTAACATTACCACTTGGTAAGATGGTGTTATGAGGTTGTGGATGGGGATTTGACCTGGTTGGGAAGATCAGGGAGTGCTTCTCTGAAGAAGTGATAATTGAGCTAGGATTTAGAGGATGGATGGGATTTAGCTATGGCAAGAGGAGAGAGAGAAGACCATTCCAAGCAGAGGAAGTGGAATGTGACAGGAGAGACTGAAAAAAGCCAATGGCCTTGGGGACAAAAGAGCAAAAGTCAAGGTGGGACAAAATTCTGGAAAGTAGTTGGGGACTTTGGTTACTACATTCCAAAGAGTTTCCATGAATGTGGTTGCAAATCTAGAACCTCCTATCTCCCCTCACCTACGTGAGTGGTTAGTTCCTTCACACTTGGGCCACGAGGGTTAATAATCCTCAGTCTTTGTTTGGGGCTTCATTTAGTGCTTCATAGTAGCCAACTTCCTTTTTAATGGTGTGAAAGGCACAAAGTCATTAGGGTACAAATGACAGCACTTAATAACCATAGCACTTGGCTTATGCTATGAATGATAATAAGCATATCCGTGTAAAAAGGGGGAAAAATCAAGAGGGGGGTAATTCCATGGATCACTACGCCTGTTAGATGATAAATTAAAAGCTTTGAAAAAGAAGAAATGAGTAATACTTTAATTAAGAAACACATCTACCAAAGTCATCTGTGAGATATTCCTCATATTAACAATATCCATCTTTGGGAGGGATTGATGATTATCTAAAACATAAAGTGGGTATTTAAATGTAACATGTTCATTGCAAGTAGGCTTGAGATCTGGAATTTCTGGCTTTTGCCAAGTAGCTTCTTCTGGAGTCTAAAGTGCGTGAGCCCCAAGATTCTGACCCAGATGGAAGAGTGACTGGAAAAGTAGAATGTCAGGAACCATGAATTAATCGACTGGAAGGGTAGAGAAAGGATTCAAACACTCAGCTCCTTTTTAGAGCAGCTGCATGTTGGGTCTTTGCAATAATGTGGGGAATAGATGAGGGTGGGGCAGAGGAGGTGACTGGCGTGCAAAATTTAAGGAGGTGGCCATTCTCTGAGTCACACAAGTGCAGGATCAGCACCTGAAAGTGAGCGCTGCCTTACATTTTATACCCTAGCTGTCTGTCTTGACTAATCATAGTCTTGGTCCTGCAAGAATGGTTACTATTTTTAAAGGAATGGGAGAAACATTCAACCAGCTATTATAAAGGAAGTACCTACTTGGCAACAGGATAACTAGTGGGATTCTTCAAGAGGATTTTTAAAGGGGCTATTAGTAGGAACACTGGCTTACAAGAGACAGAATGTTCTTCGAAGGAGAAGAAGAGAAAGCAAAAAGCAAGGCAGTGTAATCTGGATGGAGCAACTGTTCCTTTTGTCCTGCGTCCTTGGATGGTAGTTGTTCTCCTGATCAAATATACATCATGGTCGTAAGGGGTTCATATGAATTAAACATTGAACCAAGAGCCAGAATGTTCTACAGAAATCGAACTCATAATGAAACCAAATTATATATTCTTGTCTTATTGTGTTTTGAACTAAAGCAGAGGGAAAAAAAAATCTGGTGAATTCCCTCCAGTGTTTGTGTTAGTTAACAACGCTCCACAGTGCTGGATTTGGGTGGTTGAATAGAACTGAAGTGGACACTCAGGGGATGCTGATTCCTACATGGGAGTGAGACCTGGGGAAGAGGATAAAAGACATGTGAGGTACTTTAGCTTATGGAGATGCTCAGTCCCTTGGAAAGACCTGCGGGAAAATATCTGTTGCGCAGTGTGTAAGAGAGATGCTTGAGGTGTGATGGGCACAGAAGAGGAAGCAATTTATTTGATATGGGAGAAGGATGAAAACCAGAGGAAGCTGTTGAGAGGAAGTAACTTGAGTAGAAGTTGGTCACTCAGCCAAACGGAGGGACATATAAATAACCCAAGAAGGCCAGGCATGGTGGTTCATGCCTGTAATCCCAGCACTTAGGGAGGCTGGGCAGGTTGATGACTTCTGCCCAGGAGTTTGAGGCCAGCCTGGCCCACATGGCAAATGCTCATCTCTACAAAAAATAAAAAAATTAACCAGGACTGGTAGCACATGCCTGTAGTCCCAGCTACTTGGAAGGCAGAAGAAGGAGAATCACTTGAATCTGGTGGGCAGAGATTGCAGTGAGCTGAGAGCACACCATTGTACTCCAGGCTGGGTGACAGAGCAAGCCCCTGTCTCAAAAATAAATGCATTAATAACCCAAGGAAATATTGCTCTAGTAAGAGAATGAGGGGTTAAAGTAACAACCTGAGCTCCCACCACTCCTGCAATTCCACACGAGAATGGTAGAACTATAATTATTTTATAATTATTATTATTATAAATTTTATATTAATATAATTATAATTATATATAATTGTTTTATTTATTTTATTTTTTTGAGACAGAGTCTCGTTCTGTCGCCAGGCTGGACTGCAGTGGCCCGATCTCAGCTCACTGCAACCTCCGCCTCCCGGGTTCAAGTGATTCTCCTGCCTCAGCCTCCCGAGTAGCTGGGATTACAGGCACGTGCCACCACACCCAGCTAAGTTTTGTATTTTTAGTAGAGACGGGGTTTCACCATGTTGGCCTGGATGGTCTCGATCTCTTGACCTTGTGATCTACCCGCCTTGGCTGCCCAAAGTGCTGGGATTATAGGCGTGAGCCACTGCACCTTGCTAAAAAATAGATTTTAAACTTTTTTTTGGCTTTGAATCTTTCAACAAAACCCTCAACTCAGGGAGAAAGATATTATATTTCTGCATGGAGGACTCTAGTTATTTACTAATGATGTAATTGCCTTGCTTCCAGGTAACACTGGTTTTATTTACTCATAGATTGGTAGCTATGTCATTCCATAATGTCTGAAGGTTTTCACCCGGAATTGTCAAACATGAGAATTCATGGAAAAGGGCTAAAAATTTAAGAATTCCAAAGACCCTTCAAAACCTTGAAAGTTCTCAAGTGGGGAGCTATCTTTGAAAGGGATGACAGCCAGACCTAATAGCATTTGGGAAAGTACCATTTATTAAGTTGGTACAAAGGAATTGTGATTTTTTCCCTTATTTTCAATGGCAAAATCCACAATTACTTTAATAGAAGTCAGAGGTGATCATTTCTTAGGCTTGGAGAAAAAGGGCTGGTTTGCAGGAATAGGTGGTATTTTTAGTACCTAAGGAAACTGAGATACGTTGACTCTATAATCCATATATAACTGTTGTCTACACAAATGCTAGGGTTCCTAGGCTGCAAAATTAGTCAGCCAACAGAGACAGAGCCCAAGCCTGGGATAAAGAGTCTGGGGAACAGACTAAAGTATAGAGTGGAAATAAAAGAGCGATTCTATTTGCGAAAGCATTGCCAACCAAAGTGTTCTTATCAAAAGCCGGTTCTCCCCCACTTTGTCTAAAGCGGGGTATATATTGGATCCTCCCACGAGGAAGGATAGGAGGAGCAAACTATAGGCTCTGAACCTAAGAATGTAATAATATGAGAGTCACCAGATGCCCATAGGTTGTAATGGGAGAAGATAAGTCTCAAGGAAAGAGATGAACCCCAAATTGGGTAAATGTAAAGGACAAGGCAGAGGTGGTAAATCTATGGGGTGGTGGAGGCCGTTGCTCATGATCATTGCGGCAGCTGACATATGACAAGTGCTTACCAGGTGCTGTCACCGAGCAAAGCACCTCATGTGCATGACCTCATTTCATTGCATCAACCCAATGAGGTAAGTGGGAGTTTGTCAGGCTGTCAATCAGGGGTACATAAAAATAGGCCCCCTTTTCTTCCTGAGTCTCTGTTGTTCAAGGAGGAGAGTCGAGATGAGAATGAGGTTCAGGAAGGTTAGTGGCTTGTCCAAGGTTATTTTTTCTTTTTAATTAAAAATTTTTAAAATTTTTAATCTTTGTGGGTACATGGTAAGTATGTATATTTATGGGGTACATGAGATGTTTTGATACAGGCATGCAATAGATAGTAATCACATCATGGAGAATGCAGTATCCATCCCCTCAGGCATTATCTCTTTGTGTTGCAAACAATCCAATTATACTCTTTTAGTTATTTTAAAATATACAATTAAATTACTGTTGACTATAGTCACCCCACTGTGCTATCAAACAGGTCTTACCCATTGTTTTTGCTTAAGGTTAAACAGTGGATACAGAGAAACTAGGCTTTAGACCCCGCTTCATACAACCACAGGCTTGATGCACTGTTGCCAGGTATGAGACAGTGGGTTGGAAGCAATGGAGAGCGAAGAAGGAAGGAAGGATGTAGGACGCTGGGTATTGTATTGCAGGACCAGGAATGGTTTATTTCCTTTGTACTTCTATATGCATCTTGCTTGTCCCTGGGTCATTTCACTCATTCCATTCTCTCTCTTTTTTTTTTTTTGGGGGGGGGGATATGGAGCCTCTGTCACCCAGGCCGGAGTGTAGTGTTGCGATCTCAGCTCACTGCAACCTCCACTTCCCAGGTTCAAGAGATTCTCCCACTTCAGCCTCCCAAGTAGCTGGGGTTACAGACGAGTGCCATCACCCCTGGCTAATTTTTGTATTTTTAGTGGAGACAGGGCTTCATCACATTGGCCAGGGTGGTCTCGAACACCTGACCTCAAGCAATCTTCCCGCCTTGGCGTCCCAAAGTGCTGGGATTACAGGTGTGAGCCACCACGCCCGGCCCCATTCTCTGTTGAAGAGTTCCTCAATCTAGTAGCTATTGGCATTTTGGCCCAGATAACTCTTTGTTGTGGGGGCTGTCCTGGGCACTGCAGGATGTTCGTCAGCATCCTTGGCCTCTGCTCACTAGATGTCAGTAGCGCTACCCCGTTGTGACAAACAAAAATGCTTCCAGGCATTGCCAAATGTCCCTTAGGGAGGCAAAAGCACCTCCAGTTGAGAATCACAGTGTTATAAAAACTTTTTCTATATCTCTCCCCTCCCATTGCTCCATGGGCTCTTGAAGAGCATGCACCTGCCCCATCTCAGTATCCACATAACATGTTGCACACAGGGGATTTTGTTCTGCTCTTTCCCAAGAACGAGGAAGAGTGTGTGGTACACAGCTCAATAGGCGCTCATGAACAGAACACAATATGGTCTCTGATTTCAAAACACTCAAGTGGTTACATTAGCTTTTCTTAAAAATAGAAATTAAAGACTGCCTGCATTAAAATCACGTGTGTTTCCTATATTTGGAGTTGATCTTTAAAAAAAGTAAAAAATCGCATATGTTGCTTTTAAAAAGTGATGTATTGGCCTCACCCTAGGCCTCTTTTATTGAGACTGGACAGGTAGTCTACTCCTGGTGATTCTGGAACTCTGACGTTTTAGAACCTTTTAATTCAAAAGTGCTTTATTTAACAAATATTGACTGCCTACTGTGAGAAGGCATCGTGCTTGGGTGACTCATGCAAAGAACAAGAAAGACAGGTCCCCTGCTTGGCTAAGATGCCCCTGAGAGGGGGAGATGATGTTCCATTTATTTATTATTTATTTTTTTGAGACAGACTCGCTCTGTCGCCCAGGCTGGACTACAGTGGCACGATCTTGGCTCATTGCAACCTCTGCCTCCCGGGTTCAAGCGATTCTCCTGCCTCAGCCTCTTGAGTAGCTGGGATTACAGGCATGCGCTACCACACCCGGCTAATTTTTATAGTTTTAGTAGAGACCGGGTTTCACCATGTTGGTCAGGCTGGTCTCGAACTCCTGATCTTGTGATCCGCCTGTCTGGGCTTCCTAAAGTGCTGGGATTACAGGCGTGAGCCACCGCGCCCGGCCTGACATTCCACTTTTTGCTATCTGGATAGAGCCTAGTTTAACACTTGACTTAAATATCCTGGCATGCTGGAAAGCAGCAGATAGCCGTGACTACAACCCTTTTCACTCCAGGGCAACAGACAAGAAATCGGATCTCAGCTTTGGTTCTGCGCAAGTATCAAACAACTTGATTTCTGCTCAGTGCATGAAGAAACCTTCAGGATATTGTTTTTCTGTTAATTATACCTATTCATTGTCTCCATGTGGCCGCTCAAAAGACCCAGCAGCTGAGTTTCATCTGCTGATGGTTTCAGGGACGAATCTCAGTGGTGGTGGGGTCACACAGGATGTGTGTGAGAAGTTAGAATTAGCAGGTTACAAGAGCAACCCACAGTTCATGGTCTAATGAGCCAGATCTTAGTGCAACATGAGCAGAAAACTCAGAAGCAAAGTTGCATGCTGGAAATGCAGTAGGTGGGCTTGTTTCTTTTCAAGGAAGGAAACATCAGGATCTAGTGTGAACCAATGCCTACTAGAGATACACGTGCTCAAATTAAGACATGCAAATCAGGCTGGGCAAGATGGCTCATGCCCATAATCTCAACACTTTGGGAGGTCGAGGTGGGAGGATTGCTTGAGTCCAGGAGTTCCAGACCAGCTTGGGCAATGAAAAGACAGTTGGATGTGGTGGCACGCACCTGTAATCCTAGCTATTTGGGAGGCTGAGCCCCCAGGAGTTCGAGACCGCAGTGAGCTGTGATTGCACCACTGTGCTCCAGCCTGGGTGACAGAGTGAGACCCTTTATCAAAAAAACAAAATAAAACCAAACAAAAAGAAATGTAAATAGGTGTTCTGTCAAATGAAAAAAAGTCCAGAAATAAAACTGTATTGGGCTATAACTTCAACCAAGTAAACAATTGTTTGCATACAGACAAGGACTAGAAATAATGCTTTAACAAATCATACCCAGTCTTGAGCTAAACTAATCATTCTTTTCATTAAAATTAGGAACACATAATAATGTTTGGGTAGTATATTAGTTTCCTAGGGTTGCTGTCTAAGTACCACAAACCAGGTGGCTTGAAACAACAGAAATTTGTTTTCTCACAAGTTCTGAGGCTTAGTCTGAAATCCAAATGTCAGCCGGATTGGTTCCTACTGGAGGTTCTGAGAAAGAATCTTTTCCATTATTTTCTCCTAGCTTCTGGAGGTTGCTGGCATCTTTGGTGGCCCTTGGCTTGGAGACACATCACTCCTGTCTCTGCCTCCATCATCATATGGCATTCTCTCTCTCTTTTTTCCTTCTTACAAGTACACCATGTTGGATTAAGGGTCCACCCTAATCTGATATGACCTCGTTTTAAATATCTGCAATGTTGTTGCAATATATCTGCAACAACCCCGTTTCCAAATAAAGTCACATTCTGAGGTTCAGGGAGAAACATGGATTTAGGGGGACACTCTCCAACACAATATTGTTAGTAACAGCTTTTTTTTTTTTTTTTTTTTAAATGGAGTCTCACTCTGTTCCCCAGGCTAGAATGCAGTGGTACCATCTTGGCTCAGTGCAACCTCTGCCTCCCAGGTCAAACGATTCTCCTGCCTCAGCCTCCTGAGTAGCTGGGACTACAGGCATGAGCCACCACGCCTGGCTAATTTTTGTATTTTTTAATAGATACAGGGTTTTGCCATGGTGACCAGGCTGGTCTCAAACTCCTGACCTCGGGATCTGCCCACTTCGGCCTCCCAAGGTGCTGGGATTACAGGTGTGAGTCACCAGGGGCTCATGGCTCTGCAGGCTTTATGGGAAGCATAGTGCTGGCATATGATCAGCTTCTAGGGAGGTCTCAAAGGGGGAGCAGGCATGTCACATGGCAAAAGCAGATGCAGGCGAGGGGTGGTGGTGGGGGGTCACAGGGAGGAGGGGCCCCACAATTTTAAACTACCAGGTCTGGTGTGAACTCTGAGCAAGAGCCATTCATGAGGGACCTGCTCCCCTGATCCGAACACCTCCCACTAGGCCCCATCTCCAACGTTGGGGATTACATTTCACCATGAAATTTGGGTTGGGACACAGATCCAAACTGTATCAACAGGTTTCTTCCTGACTGTAGGTCCCTAATCCTCCCTTAGAGCATTTACCTTAGAAAACTTGATATTGTAAATTATTTTTGCTCCTTTAAGACATAAATCTTCTACAACCCAGGAATGTCTTTCTCAAGGACTTGGGAACCATCCCTTCAAAATGTAATCAAGAAAGATAGCATCCCTATCTCCCAGTCTCTGGGAAGGATAAGAGCCTAACTTCCATAAGCACCAATTAGCAAACACAGATGGCTTGATGGCTTCAGCTCACCTGCCTTCTTCCTGAAACGTCCTTTAGGACTTTGCCACTATCTCCCCCTAGTGCTCAAAAATTCTCTACCTTTTGTTTCAAAGGAATTGAGTTCAATCTCTCTGCCCTGTTGAAATAATCTTGCCTAGTAACAGCTTTCAGTTTGTTTTTTCGTGTTTTTTTTTTTTTAATTTTAAACTTTTAAAAGTTGTAAAACACAGATACAGAAAACTACACAAAACCAATACATCAAAGTAGAACTTTGTCAGCCACCCCGAAGTCCTTTCTGTGTCCCTTGTGCTAATCTCACCTCCTTCCCCTCCCTCAAATGTCGCTGGCTCAGTCCTGACTTTTAGAGTAATCGCTTCCTTAAATTTCCTTAATTTCACCCAACTCTGCATCCCAGGCATTATAGTTTTGTTTTGCTAATTAAAAGAATATACACGCACTCATACTTTTAAGTCCTATTTATTTATTTATTTTTGAGACAGAGTCTCACTCCATTGCCCTGGCTGGAGTGCGGTGGCGCAATCTCGGCTCACTGCAACCCCCACTTCTTGGGTTCAAGCGATTCTCCTGCTTCAGCCTCCCGAGTAGCTGGGATTACAGGCTCCCGCCACCACACCTGGCTACTTTTTGTATTTTTAGCAAAGACGAGGTTTCACCATATTGCCCAGGCTGGTCCCAAGCTCCTGACCTCAAGTGGTCTGCCGGCCTCCACCTCTCAAAGTGCTGGGATTACAGGCGTGAGCCACTACACCCGGACCTTGAGTCATTTTAAAACTACAAATTACCCTTCCACTTTGCTGCTGTTCCCTGCAAGTTGTACTGAAGAGCTCCCATTGTTGAGCTTTGTGGAGTTGCATACCGTCTGGACTTTACGGATTTTGAACAGCCAGTGCAGCCAACGTATCTTTCCATTCTCTGTATTTCCTTCAGGTGGATGGAAGCTTTGATCAGGTTAATATATTTTCTTTGCCAAGACCGCGGGCGCTGCTGTGTCTTTTCTCCAAAACCTATACAATGGCTGGCTGGCTCTCTTTCCAGCATACTAACTTAATGCCTAGATCCAGTAATTTACCGGAGGATGAATACAGTCGTGTTCATTTATTAGCTGCCATAATTTTATAAGGAGACATTTCCCTTCATCCATTATTTGATTACCAGTGATAAACAGTTTGTATAGGAAAGGCCGGATAAACAATGGATCCTTTCCTTATGTTTGCCAGTAGAAACAGCCTTTTAAAAGGAGAAAAATTAAAGAAATGGAATAAAGCTGTATAACATTCACTAATTTAACAGTTACTATATGTTATTCAATATTTAAAAGCAAAAAACTGGAGCAAAATGTCCATCAGGCTTAGGATGATTAAGGGCAACACAGAACATCCCTGAAGATCACTGCTTCCCATTTCTCATTAACATGATAAGATCACGCTGAACATACAATTTCTTATTCTGCTTATCTATATAAAATATATATTAATGCAAATTATAGGTTGTATCAACCTCACAACCTTGGCTATATCTGAGTAATAGGGTTAGGGCTAGTTTTCATTTTCTCCATTATAACTGTGTGTGTGTGTGTGTGTGTGTGTGTGTGTGTGTGTGTGTGTGTGTTTAGATGGAATCTTGCTCTGTCGCCCAGGCTGGAGTGCAGTGGCATGCTCTCAGCTCACTGCAACCTCTGCCTTGCAGGTTTAAGCGATTTTTCTGTGTCAGCCTCCTGAGTAGCTGGGATTACAGGCACCCACCACCACACCTGGCTAATTTTTGTATTTTTAGTAGAGATGGGGTTTCCCCATGTTGGCCAGGCTGGTTTTGAACTCCTGACCTCAAGGCATCCACCTGCCTTGGCCTCCCAAAATGCTGGGATTACAGGCGTGAGCCACTGCACCTGGCCAATGTTTTTGTGTTTTAAAAAATGAACACAATGAGCACATGTTCATTGGATAATAAGTTATTAAAAGTGATTATGAGGCAACCACCAGCTCACTTTGATCACCACAGCAGTGAAACGAGGCTACAGAGCCATGGCTGAGGGAAAACTTAAGGGTACAGTCATCTGGAATCTTTCATTAGAAGCTGTGTAAGTAACACCAAAATAAAAGTGACAACCAACTGTCTAGGAAGAGCCACGTGCTTCACAAAGGGCAGGACAAGCATTGCCATGTCATAATCGGCAGCCTCACCTGCTGTATTAGTCCCTTTGTGTTGTTATAAAAGAATACCTGAAGCTGGGTAATTTTTAAAGAAAAAAGAGTTATTTGGTCCATGACTGTGGAGGCTGGAAGATTGAGCATCTGGTGGAAGCCCCAGGCTGTTTCTGCTCATGGCGGAAGGTGCAGGGGAGCTGGCACGTGCAGAGATCACACAGTGAGAGAGGAAGCAAGACAGAGAGGTGAGGCACTAGGCTCTTTTTAGCAACCAGCTCTGGCAGGAACTACTAGAATGAGAATTCACTCTCCATTCCTGCAGGGAGGGCATTAATCTATTCATGTGGAATCCACTCCTATGACCCAAACACCTCTCATTAGTCCCCACCTCCAACACTGGGATCAAATTTCCACATGAGGTTTGGGGAACAAACATCCAAACTCTTAGCACATTGCCTATTCTTTTTTCTAGGATGCCCCAGCATAGGATGCCCTGTCAGTACCCCAGAGATCATGATCCTAGGAAGAAGAAACTCATTGTCTGCCATTGCCTCCACCTCCCTTGACTTACTCGCTCCAGGCCACCAGAATCTAGACTTGACCTTTAATTGCAGAAGGACATCTCCCTGCTGCAGGCAGTCGATCAGAGATCTTGGCTCTAATCTCCACGTGTGTATTGTCTCCACTCTGTCACTGCATCATTCGAGGTCTCATCATCTCCCTACAGTATTCTTTTTCTAGCCTCCTGTTTGTTCTCTGAAGGTCCCAGCTTCTTCGTGCTCCAATCTGCCCCCATCCTGCTGCCACAGTCATGATTACTGATAGATACAGATTACTGATAGATCTTATGTCTTTCATGTCCCAAGGGTTTGATGCTGTGCTGTAAATTCAGTAATGATAAGTGACAGTGATTTTAATGGCTGACACCGACCCCTTAGCACACCAGCTGAGTGCATGCTAAGTGTCAAATGCTTTCCATGGAATAGTCCCTTCACTCCTCATTATAACCCTATGAGGAATGTACCATAATTATCCTCATGTTACATATGTAGAAGATGAACATTAGGGACATTAATTAACCTGCCTAAGGTCATAAACATAGTATGTCAAAGAGCTAGGATTTTAACTTAGAATGTTTATGAAATATTTACAGATGAAATAATATTATGTCTGGGATTTACTTTAAAATACTCCAGAAAAATAGTGAGAAAGGGAAGGCAATGAAGGAAAAAATCAACCAAATATTAATCATTGTGGAAACCGGGTAACAGGGAAGGAGTATGGGGGCAGGGGGTGTCAGTATCCTATAATTGCTGCTTTTATATGTTTGAAATTTTCCAAAAAGTTTACAAAATGTGAACTTTGAGCTTTCTTCCCCAAATGACAACTATAACGACAGTTCCAGCACTCAAATGCTCAACTGTGACACCGTATTGCTAAGGACCCAGCATATGTTTGATGATGGTGTTGCAAATGAGGGGTTTGGATTTCCTAGGAGTTAGGTGTTAGAGAAGTTCAATGTGTTGTTCTCATTTCCTAGATAGACAAGTGTACCCTTTCAATCAAATGGCCTGTGTTTGTGGGGTAATAACCTCCACCTACTATGTGCCAGGCAGCATGCAGAGATGAGCACATGCAGCCTCTGCCCTTGAAGCCAGGAGAAGAGGGAAGGTGGCCATGGAGACAGTCAATTCCAACAGAGTGTGGGAGGAGCTATATCCTAGCTATGAATGAAGAGGCATGTGAGTCCAGTGGAGGAAATTACTCAGTTTAGAGAAGAACTACTTTTCCATTGGGTTTTAAGAGGGAGATGGGGCCGGGCGCGGTGGTACACACCTGTAATCCCAGCACTTTGGGAGGCCCAGGTGGTTGGATCACCTGAGGTCAGGAGTTTGAGACCAGCCTGACCAACATGGGGAAAACCCTGTCTCTACTAAAAATACGAAATTAGCTGGGCGTGGTGGCACATGCCTGTAATCCTAGCTACTTGGGAGGCTGAGGCAGGAGAATCGCTAGAATCTGGGAGGCAGAGGTTGTGGTGAGCCAAGATCATGCCATTGCGCAAACTCCAGCCTGGACAACAAGAGCGAAACTCCACCTCAAAAACAGAGGGAGGTAGGCATTTTTCAGGAAGAGAAACTGCATACACTCAGGCAAGAGAACAGAGTTCTGAAAGGACTGAATGCATTGCTCATTCAGGGGACTGGGCGTGAGTGACAGTGCTATTGGGTGTCCTGGGGATGTTGTGTGCTGGGCCAGGTCAGCTGGCCCCTCTTATGTGAGCAGGAGGGAGCTGGGCATGGTCTTCACTTGGACACAGCTAGAAGTGTGTTTCGGGAAGATAACCCTGAGAGTAATATTGGCCAGTGGGCCCTGGATGGGGAGAAACTGGGAGACCAATGACAACTGGGAATTATGGAGGCTGGCGGGGTGAGACCAAGATTTGAGGTAGGATGCTGAGACATGCTGTTAAAACCCACTTGATCTTTACGATTGCTTCAGGTTTTTTAGAAGCCAGGTAATTCCCCAAAGGGTGAAAAGAGTCCCTAAAATGACCTATGCTTTCAAAGATTCTTCATCAAGGAGACATGAGATCTGAGGTAATTTGATTTATCTTCATCCACTTTAATTAGCACTAGAAGCAGATGGTCTTGTGAGCGCTGGAATCCTCCTTATGTTCCTTCCGTCAGTGTCAGTGTGACTTTAAAATCTAATTTTTAATTATCTCTGCCCATTTGCAGAGGCACGGAAGGGAAACAGAAAAGGGCTCACCCTTTCTTTCCTGTGTCCTTCCCACTTGCCTATTAGCTGAGTGTTTTCCTCTAAGTGGCAAGGAATATCTATCAGCCTTGAGGCTGTGTTGCCATGGTAACGAGATAAAAACAGGCTCAACAGACAGGGAATTAAAGTAAGGGGTTGAGGGAGGTGTTGCCTTCCAGCAACTTTCCATTCCTGCTCAGAGGCCAACTAGGGATGGATAGCCAGACTTCAGCCATTCTTGTTTCAGCCTGGGCTTCACTGGGATCTCAAATGGGACTGATCCCAGAGGGGTGGCTATGAACAGTAGTCAGGTCCTCTAGAGTCACAAGGAAGGGTGAATCTAAGAAGTCTCCATAACCAAGAGTTTGGTAAGTTGGGGAGGTAGGTGGCAATTCTAAGAATCAATTGAAGTCACATCTTCCCAGAGTGACATGTTCATTTTTGTTGGTATAGCTACAACAAACATTTTAGATATAAATACTTTTTAAATAAAATTCCAAGTAGAGGTTTATTTCTTTAAGATACATTCTCGGGCTGGGTGCTGTGGCTCACGCCTGTAATCCCAGCACTTTGGGAGGCTGAGGCGGGCAGATCACGAAGTCAGGAGATCGAGATCATGCTGGCTAACACGGTGAAACCTTGTCTCTACTTAAAATACAAAAATTAGCTGGCCGTGGTGGCGGGTGCCTATAGTCCCAGCTACTCGGGAGTCTAAGGCAGGAGAATGGTGTGAACCTGGGAGGCGGAACTTGCAGTGAGCTGAGATCTCACCACTGCACTCCAGCCTGGGCATCAGAGTGAGACTCTGTCTCAAAAAAAAAAAAAAAAAAAAAAGAACAAGTAACCTAGATGTCCAGAACAGGAGAGTGGTTGAGTAAACTCTGTTAGAGCTGTTTGTTAGAATATTATGTAGCCATTATAGTTTAAAATGCTTATGAGTGTACAAGAGGGAAAAAAAGGCAGTCCACAAATTTTTTTGTACAATGTGATAATGTCTAAAAAACGGCAAGCCCTGGCCGGGTGTGGTAGCTCACGCCTGTAATCCTAGCACTTTGGGAGGCCGAGACGGGCAGATCATGCGGTCAGCAGTTCGAGACCAGCCTGACCAACATGGTGAAACCCTGTCTCTGCTACAAATACAAAAATTAGGTGGGCGTGGTGGCATGCGCCTGTAATCCCAGCTACTCCAGAGGCTGAGGCAGGAGAATCACTTGAACCGGGAAGCAGAGGGGGCAGTGAGCTGAGATCGTGCCACTGCACTCCAGCCTGGGCGACAGAGCGAGACTTTGTCTCAAAAAAAAGAAAAAAAAAAAAAAGTCAAGCCACTAAAGAAAACAAAACAAAGAACAAATCCCCATCTGTCCAAAAAGGAAATACTGAAAGAAAAGACAACTCATACAAAAGGGTTACTGTTGGTAATGGGAGTATGATTTTTCTTGCTTTGAAGGGACATGGTTTTAAATGTCTCTGTTGAATATGTGCTACTTTTCTTATCAGGAGAAAATAACAATTGAAAAAAGTTCTGGCCAGGTGTGGTGGCTAACACCTGTAATCCCAGTGCTTTAGGAGGCTGAGGCAGGACAATCGCTTGAGGCCAGGAATTCGAGACCAGCTTTGGCAACACAGTAAGAGCCTGTCTCAAAAACTATATATATAAAAATTACATGGGCATGATGGTGAGTGCCTGTAATCGCAGTTACTCAGGAGACTGAGGTGGTAAGATCACTTGAGCCTAGGAGTTTGAGGCTGCGGTGAGCTATGACTGCATCACTGTACTCCAGCATTAACGACAGAGTGAGACACACTCTTTCTCTCTCTCAAAAAAAAAAAAAAAAGTTCTGCAATCTGGAATTGGCCATTCCAAGTGAGTCAGTGGCCTCACTAAGCACAGATACCACAAGCCATGTTTTTTGTGCTCTTCTATGTGCTAGAACAGTTCTTGGGTTTGTGCCCCCACAGATTGGACAGACTAGGTCTGATAGCTTCTGGATGGTTCTGAAATTGAACACTCTGAATGGCCTGTGACTTAAGCTGGATAATCTGTATGAACATACAACCGACAGGTTTTTGTACCATGGTGAGTCTATAATTAGCCTCATCATTCTTCATTATCTGGGATTCCATGCAGGCTTTAAAGAAATTATCCCATGGATGAAGACAGCTTGGAAGAGTGTTTAGTTTCTGTGTGTGTGTGTGGCGGGGGGCAGACTAGGAGAAACCTGCCCCATGAAGTTTCCATCTGTTTGGACTCTTTTCCTTTCTTGCCGTTCACCACTCTGCAGAGTCTTGGCACAGAGAAGAGACAGGTACATGTGCCTCTCAGCCACCCACAACTGTTTAAGGAACTAAAATAGACCTAAAATAATAATAATGATGAAAATATCTATTTGAGCTCTGACTACTGTAGGCAGTATAATAGCAAGAGTAATGATGATAATGATTATGTTTGTTGAGAACATAACAATATACCAGCAGTAACTGGCTAACTGGCTTACAGGCATTATCTCCTTTAATCTTCACAACAATTTTATACAAGACAGGTGCATTATTTCTGTTTTTACAGTTGAAGAAATTGAGGATCCTAGCACTTACTATGCTCATGGTCACAGAGCTAAAAAAGTGGAAGAGCGAGGATTTAATGATGGGAATAAGACTGTTAAAAATCTATTCTGTCATGCCCATTATCCTTCGGTCATTTATTGCTTTAACAAGTCGGAGACATCTTTATACCTCTGCCTGGGGAGTGTAAAATTTAGTTACAATTTTTAGGGGCTATGCTACTCTTTCTTAGGATGGTAGCCTAAGGAATTTCTCTAGTATTCCAGTAGAGTAAACACATCTTTTAGAGGGACCAAGCTCACTTAATCCTTAGAGCAGGGTTTTTTATTCTTGGCATGGTGACATTTGGGGCTGGATAATTCTTCGTTGCAGGGGGCTATCCTGTGTATCTTGAGATGTTTAGCACAATCCCTGGCCTCCATTCACTAGATCCCAGTCATACTTTTCCAGTTGTGAGAATCAAAAATGTCTCCGGACATTGCCAGCTGCCCCTCAAAGGACGAAACTGCTCCCAGCTGAGAAGCACAGCCTTTGATGTAGCGTTAGAAATGGGAGGTTGGAGGGGAGCCAGGTCTGTAGCCAAGCAACAGGTAGGCAAAGGCAGGTGGCATCAAGCTCTAAAGATACATCATCTTTGAAGCTCTCCTTTAAACAATGCTCACGTGCCCTGGTTCTACACCTGTGGGTGTGGAGGAAAGAAATGGTGATGCTAATTGCATCCTAATAACTGCCACATGCTATGTGAGAGCCCTATGCTCTTGTGCTCCTAGAAATTTCATTCCTTAGAGGCTAAGTGACTTGTCTGAGACCACACAGCTAGTGAATGCTAGGGCTACTTTAGGAATACAGGGTGGGTCGGGCGCAGTGACTCACACCTGTAATCCCAGCACTTTGGGAGGCCGAGACAGGCGGATCATGAGGTCAGGAAATCGAGACCATCCTGGCTAACATGGTGAAACCCCATCTCTACTAAAAATACAAAAATAAATTAGCCGGGTGTGGTGGCGGGCACCTGTAGTCCCAGCTACTAGGGAGGCTTAGGCAGGAGAATGGCGTGAACCCGGGAGGTGGAGCTTGCAGTGAGCCGTGATGGTGCCGCTGCACTCCAGCCCGGGAAACTACAGTCCAGCCTGGGAGACAGAGCGAGACTCTGTCTCAAAAAAAAAAAAAAAAAGAAAGAAAAAGAAAATAGGCCAAGTGCGGTGGTTCACGCCTGTAATCTGTAATCGCAGCACTTTGGGAGGCTGAGGCGGGTGGATCACCTGAGGTCAGGAGCTTGAGACCAGCCTGACCAACATGGTGAAACCCCATCTCTACTAAAAATACAAAAATTAGCTGGGTGTGGTGGTGAGTGCCTGTAATCCCAGCTACTCAGGAGGCTGAGGCAGGAGAATCGCTTGAACCCGGGAGGTGGAGGTTGCACTGAGCAGAGATAGAGCCACTGCACTCCAGCCTGGGCGACAGAGGCAGACTCCATCTCAAAAAAACAAACAAAAAAGAATACAGGGTGGGCTGGGCACAGTGGCTCACACCTGTAATCCCAGCACTTTGGGAGGCCGAGGCGGGCAGATCACCTGAGATCAGGAGTTTGAAACCAGCCTGAACAACATGATGAAACTCTGTCTCTACTAAAAGTACAAAAATTAGCCGGGTGTGATGGTGGGTGCCTGTAATCCCAGCTACTTGGGAGGCTGAGGTGAGATAATCGCTTGAACCCGGGAGGCGGAGTTTGCAGTGAGCTCAGATTGTGCCACTGCACTCTAGCCTGGGTGACAGAGTGAGACTCTGTCTCAAAAAAACAAAGACAAAAAACAAAAAACAACAACAACAACAAAAAACAGGGTGGTTACTGAATTCAAACCACTGCTCTATCTGCACATGTAAGTGACCCTGTGGCCTCCCTCAACTCGATCCTTCTATGTTGGGAGAGTCAGTAATTGAAAAAGAGAAATGAGGCAACTATGGATGCAAGATTTCTGTTTCTCCAAAGGCAGTGTGGCAATTTCTCAAAGAGCTAAAAACAGAACTACCATTTGACCCAGCAGTCCCATTACTGTGTATATATTCAAAGAATTCTCCTCTCTTCACAATTGTATGCGCATATGAAAAAAAAAGCTCAACATCACTGATTGATATGGTGTGGCTGTGTCCCCACCCAAATCTCATCTTGAATTGCAGTTCCCACAATTTCCATATCGTGGGAGGGAACCAGGGGGAGGTAACTAAATCATGGGGGAGGGTCTTTCATGTGCTGTTCACGTGATAGTGAATAAGTCTCATGAGATCTGATGGTTTTATAAAGGGGAGTTTCCCTGCACAAGTTATCTCTTGCCTGCCACCATGTAAGACATGCCTTTCATCTTCCACCATGATTGTGAGACCTCCCCAGCCACATGGAACTGTGAGTCCATTAAACTTCTTTTTTCTTTGTAAATTACCCAGTCTCAGGTATGTATTTATCAGCAGTGTGAAAATGGACTAATACACTAATCATTAGAGAAATGCGAATCAAAACCACAATGAGATATCATCTCAAACCAGTCAGAATGGCTATTATTAAAAAGTAAAAAAATAACATGCTGGCAAGGTTGCAGAGAAAAAGGAATACTTATACACTGTTGGGAGGAGTGTAAATTAGCTCAACCATTGTGCAAAGCAGTGTGGCAGGCTGGGTGTGGTGGTTTGTGTCTGTAATCTGGGCACTCTGGGAGGCCGAGGCAGGTGGATCACCTGAGGTCAGGAGTTTGAGACCAGCCTGGCCAACACGGTGAAACCCTGTTTCTACCAAAAATACAAAAAAATCAGCCAGGCTTGGTGGCATGGTGCCTGTAATCCCAGCTACTCATGAGGCTGAGGCAGGACAATAGCTTAAACCCGGGAGCTGGAGGTTGCAGCGAGCCAAGATCATGCCATTGCACTCCAGCCTGGGTGACAAGAGCAAGACTCTCAAAAAAAGGCAGTGTGGCAATTTCTCAAAGAGCTAAAAACAGAACTACCATTTGACCCAGCAGTCCCATTACTGTGTATATATCCAAATGAATATAAATCATTCTGTCATGAAGATACATGCATGCATATGTTCATTGTCTGGTTGATAGCTTGAAATCAGCCATGGTGGGAAGATTTACACCATGGAAATTGGCAATAGATACAAGTGAGCAACTGCTGATACAAATCAACATATGACAGCACATCATAACTTGAATCAAAATCTGTTTCGGTGAGTAGGATGAATGGCAGCAGGAGATTCTAAAGGTAGAGAGTTACTGCTAATGCAACAAGCTGCCACTGGGTATTTCTGCCTCCAAAAGGCCCCACTAGCATGTCCCACAAGAAGCTGGGCCTTATCTTCTGAGAAGCAAGTGACTTTTGCTTATTCCAGGTACCACCTTAGTACAAGAAACATATTAACTGACATACTAATAACATATTTAAAGGAAAAGCCCACTCTGCATCCATAAATGGGAAAAAAATCAGTATTATTTGCCATAGACAGCTGAACATAATAAGCAAAATGTAAAGAAACAATTCTAATACATTCTAACTTGATACTGTTGCCAGCCTGAAGACTCTGAACTTGAAGCCTGCTCCCTCTTTGTTGAAAAGGGAGAGGGATGTGTTCAAGAGGTGTTAAAGCAGATTAGTACCTCACTGAGACTTTAATCTTAATATAATTGGGAAGATTGAGAGGGAGAAATGCAAAGGAAACAATGTAAGGCTATTCCATGTCCCAGCCCCCCACCAAGTCATCTCACATAAGAGTAGAGCTGTCTTTGGGAAACATACATTAGGTGATGCTGGAAAATTTGAAGACAGACAGAAAACCACTATTATTTTTAAATTAATTATGGATGTATCATTGAGCTGGGTGCAAAATTCATATTAACTTTTGAGCTAAAGACAGTGGTGTGGGGCTGGGCGCAGTGGCTCATGCCTGTAATCCCAGCACTTTGGGAGGCTGAGGCGGGCGGATCACGTGGTCAGGAGTTTAAGACCAGCATGACCAACATGGTGAAACCCCATCTCTACTAAAAAATACAAAAATTACCCAGGCATGGTAGCACGTGCCTGTAATCCCAGCTACTCAGGAGGCTGAGGCAGGAGAATCGCTTGAACCCGGGAGGCAGAGGTTGCAGTGAGCCAAGACTGTGCCGCTGCAATTCAACCTGGAAGACAGAGTGAGAGTCTGTCTCCAAAAAAAAAAAAAAAAAAAACCAAGTGGTATGTTAGACCTGGCTTGTACTAAGCTCATGAGAATCAATAGCTACATTTTCAGGAATACAGTAAGTCAGTTGATAGCACATTTGTAGCTTGAAATTGGCCATGGTGGAAATTTTGATGCAATGGAAGTTGGCAAATGCTGTAAATCACAGTTCCCCACCCCTAAGATTTGCTTGTTAAAACATTCACTAGCGTATCACTGGCCAAAGCTTTCTTGACATTTTGAGCTTGTTGAGACTCTTTAAACCATAGTCTTAGGCATCTGGAATGTCCATTTTCTTTCTCCTGCCTTGGAAAATTTCTGTGGAAAACCTTGATGCACTGATTAACTTCCTTAAGTCTGATGATCTCATTTCTATTACTGCATCTTAAAGAAGAGTGATAGAAACTACTGCTGAGAAATTTGCTGTAATTGATCATTGTATATAAAGCAGACTAACAAGCCTTTCCAACCCACACTCTTTAATGAGCTATTTTAGTGCTAGCCCTGCTAAATGTTTTAAATTTATAATGCCCTGGAAACTCATCAGTTTCTGAGGGTGTAATGATTATTAGGAAAAATAAACCTCAAGATATAAGACAATAAATTGAGTGCAGGAATTTTTCACCCTTTGTATTCCTTCAAGTCACTACTGTCTATTTTATTCCAAGCCTCTCTGTGTATCTTTTTGGTCTAGAATCTCAAACCCTTCGGTAGCAAGAGGGTTTGAGATTTTCTTGTACCCAGGAAGCAAGAGAAGAGCCAAACCCAGGTTACTGGATTTAGGGAGAGAGCTTTGGAGTTATGTTCTTCTGGGGCTATTTCTAGCACATAACTGTTACCACTGATGTGATGGTCAATATGTAACAACAGATCTCTAAAGGGAGCCCTGATTTGTGGCACTTGCTGAGTTATCACAGTTCTCAGTGTAACTAACTACTCCCACCGTCCCCACCCCGCCCGCCTCCGGCCCCCCACTGGTTTGAGCTATGATATAACACCACTGATGCCTAGCTGGAAAAAACATGCACACAATTGGCTCTCAGGAGCTCGTGCATACTGGCTCCAGCACCCCACAGAGTGTTGCTCAAATATATCTCCAGTCTTTCTGGTGTTTCAAAGAATTGGTTAAGCGTTTAGTCCTACAGGGAGGTTTAAACAAGCATTTTCCCAGAGTTAGCCTGGAGAGGTCGTCACGAATTCTGTTTAGCTAGCAGAGGAAGGTTACTTCCGTGCACTGTGGGTGGAGTACCTAGGAACTAACAGGGCAACAGAGCACTGAGAATCAGGAGGCAGGTAGAAGTGGGAAGCCCAGATCTGAGCAGTCCAGGTTGATGCAGGCAGGAAAGGTTTAAAGTCTCATTCCTGGAGTAGACAGAAGATCCAGGGTCACACCACCCAACCCACTCCTCTCTCCCATCCCCACACTCCTGTTTCCCCTTTTATCTGCCTCTTCTTTAGAAAAAGCAATGATGATCTTTTAATATAAAGTAAAAAATGATTTGTTGTGTTTATTGCTTATTTTCTTTCCTCACTCACCTATTTTTGCTGTATTAGTCTGTTCTCACAGTGCTGTAAAGAAATACCTGAGACTGGGTAATTTATAAAGAAAAGAGGTTTAATTGGCTCATGGTTCCGCAGCCTGTACAGGAAGCATGAGGCTGGCATCTGCTTGGCTTCCGGGGAGGCCTCAGGAAACTTACCATCATGGTGGAAGGTAAAGGGGAAGCAGGCACGTCTTTACATGGCCAGAGCAGAAGCAACAGAGAGAATAAGGGGGGAAGTGCCACACACTTTTAAACAACCAGATCTCATGAGAACTCGCTGTACAGTACCAAGAGGGAATGGTGCTAATCCCCATGATCCAGTCACCTCCCACCCAGCCCCTCCTCCAACACTGGGGATTACAATTCAACATGAGATTTGATGAGGACACATATTTAAACAATGTCACCCACACAGTAGACTATAAGTTCTAGAAAACAGATTTTTTTGACAGAGCGTTCAGTTTTGTTTATAGGTATATCCCAAGTGCATACAACACAGACAGCTAAATAGTTGGAATTCAATAAATATCTGTTGAATCAGGATCCAGCAGGCAAGGGAGACATAAGACACATTTAGAAGAGTGGTTTCCAGTTCATCTGTGCATTAGGGCCACTATGGTAGCATATTAAAACAGAAAACTCTGGGGCCCATCCCTAATAACTTCTGATTCATTAGGTCCAAAGTGGAGCTCAGGAACTGGTCCCAAGTGGTCCACATGTAGACACAGTCTATTTAGTCAGGAGGTATCAGCAACAGTAAACAGTGCTCATAAAAAGAAGGGTTTTGCCCTTTACGCTCTTAGAGTCATTCTTTCCAAATAGTAGCAGGAAACACGTTTTCCCAGTTCTTAAAAATACAGTGACTTAGCATATTCTTTCAGAGCACTGTGATTCTATCTTAAGTATTTGGGCAAGTTTCCTTCGGTAATTTTCAACTCTCTGTCTCTTCTGAATTCCCAACTAGTGGGCTTCACTGTGAGTTTAAGGCTCAGGTTATCTCCTCCCCTTATGTAATTCAAGGGATTCAACTCGCCTTTTCAAGGAGGTCCTTCTCCCGGTCTGAGAATTTGTGAGACAGTCAGGTGGGAAGGGCCCCCTGGCAAAACTCCAACTGGCCTATTCACTGGGAGGAGTGCATACTGGGATGTAACAGAGCAGGAGCACCGTCATTTCAGACAAGCATCACCACTTTAAGTTCCAGCTCCCTTTCTAGCCTCAAGCATTACAAGGAAATCACTTCTCTTCTAACTATAAGCAGCCAGAAAGAGCAAATAGTAAAACACAAATAAAACAGCTCGGCCACAAAGGGAGGTAGTGGGGGAAAGTCTCTTGGGTAACTGTCAAGCCACCCTTCGTGTTTCTCTCCTCTTTCTTTAATTCTTACATTTGGTGCCAAAACCTGGAATGGGTGTTGGGAGCACAGGCTCTCTTGCAACTCAGGAAGCAGTGGGCAACGGCGGCTCACTGTGAGTTAACCTCTGGATCCTGAAGGTCTCTGGCCACCCGCCCATCTTTTCCCTCACTTCATTTTCAACTGATTTGCGTGAGGAGGACGATGAACCTGAAGGGAACTGTGAGGCTCAGGCTGGGGCTACTCCCAGGTGGGCTCTCAAAACCCTCAGGTTGGGCAGGACGCGGTGGCTCACGCCTGTAATCCCAGCACTTTGGGAGGCCGAGGTGGGCAGATCATGAGGCTAAGAGATCGAGACCATCCTGACCAACATGGTGAACCCCGTCTCTACTAAAAATAAAAAGTTAGCCGGGCGTGGTGGCATGCACCTGTAATCCCAGCTACTCGGGAGGCTGAGGCAGGATAATTGCTTGAACCCGGTAGGTGGAGGATGCACTGAGCCAAGAATGTGCCATTGCACTCCAGCCTGGTGGCAGAGCGAGACTCCGTCTCAAAAACAAACAAACAAACAAACAAACAAACAAGAAACCAAACAAACCCTCAGGTCTTAGGAATCCACCCCTGACCACTCGCAAGTGGGATTTTGCTCCCTAACCCTTGCTCCCTCTTCCTCCCTCTCCTTCCTCTCCTCTTTCTTTAATCCTTACAAGATGGAGCCACAGTAACTAATGCTGTTTGCAGCAGGGAGGAGCCTGGCCCCTCCTCTTCCTGTGTGGAACCTGGGATTCAAACTGTGAGGCAGGAAGTGCACAGGTAGGAAGCACGCTCTCTCGCTTCACTAAGAGTCTCTGTTTCCCCTTTTTTTCCTTTTTGCCGAGTAAATCCCATTTTTCTCACTCTTCGAATCGTCTGCAAGCCTACATTTTCGTGGCCATGTGACAAGGACCTCATCTTTAGTTGACTTAAGGAGAAGTCCCCCAGCACTTGGGTCGTTTTCTTTGATGTTGGCTTTTACATAAAGGTGGGTGCCAGGTGCAATGAGGCAGAAAGGGCTGCCTGCGTGGTGACTTGAGGAGACTGAGGCTCCCCTTACTCACTGTAGTCATCCTGGGCAAGTCAGAAAGCCTCTCCCAGCCTCAGTTTCTTTAGCTCTAAAGTGGAAAATTGTCCCAGAGGGTTTAAGTGAGGAAGAAATATAGCTGAAGATGGACAAGTGTTTCGCAGCCTTAAGTCTCAGTATAGTAACATAACCAGGAATGTCCAGCTTGCTATTCCAGGCCATGGCTCCCCCTGTACCTACCAGGTCTTTCCCCAGCCAGTCCTGGGAAGTTATAAGAAAAGTCAGTGGTGCGATAGTCTCCCCACAACCTTATCATGCCTTCCCATTTCTTCCCACCTCCTTTTTTTTCTCCCCAGGTATGTATCACTGATTCTCAAAAGAGGAAAATTAAGGAGTGTCAAAAAGAGAACGAGAGAGAAGCAGGATGCTCTGGAGAATGAAGTGAGTATTTATTAGGCATCTACCATGTTTTAGACAATGCCGGGTACTTCAGATACATGATCACACCAGAATTCCCAATAGCCCTGCAAACAGGTATCATTTCTCCAATTTAATGAATGAAAAAAACTGAAGCTCATAGGGTTTAGATATTTTGTCCATGGTCACACAGGTAGTTTATGCCAGAGATGAGCTTTAAATTCTGGCCAGCTTAACATTACAGCCAGTGCTGGTCTACTGTGCAACCCTGCAGTCAGCAATCACTGCAGACACGATCCAACCAGTCTGAACCTCTTTCCCACATTTTCCCCTTCTCTCTCTCTCTCTTCCCCCCACTCATCCCTCTCCGTCTCTGTCCCTCTCACTCCTTTCTTCTCCTTTTCTCCCTTCCCCGCCACCGCCCCCATCTCTCTCTGCCTCTTAAATTTGGAATAAGGGTAGTTTTTTTTTTTTTTTTTATAAACCGTCATTGAATGGGGAGTGGAGGAAATACTGAGCACAAGGCTTGTGCTAATTGGAAGGTATTTGAAAAAAAATTCTCGTGCCCAAAGAAGATGCTCACCTCGTATTTCCCAAAGAGTTGTAATTCTCTACAATATGAGTTCTCTTACCCGCACTACCAATTTATTTCATTTTCTGTAATAAACAGTAATGACATTTCTTAACTGCACTCCATAAAAAAGTCTCAATTATCACTTTAAAACTGTATCATATCAGATGAGTGAAGAGACATCTCCTACAACCTAAAAGAGATTTCACTCTTCCAATGAATCTTTTACTATTTTTTTCAGAGATGCTGTACATTCTGTAAATCATTTTGCTGGTTTCAATAGAAAGTCCAGACCAAGTGGAATAAAGTGCATTTTGTGGGTCAGATGTAAAAGACAGAAGAGACCTGCCCAAAGAAACATTCCGTGGTACCAGAGGAAATCGAGCACCAAGAGGCCTTTTTATCCCCCCTATACTCAAAGATGAAAACTAGACTAGGGTCCCTTTTCAAGGTAAAATGACAGGCAGGTCCATTAAGCTGCTGTGAAATTGTTCCCCATCCTGCAAATTCATCCACCAGACCGGGCCCTGCATCTTACTCATCCTCATGTCTCCATTGTCTGATATAAGACCTGGCACAAATTGGTACTTCCTGCTTGTTAGTGAAACTCAATATATCACACAATTAAGTACTTTTCCATTTTAAGATTGAACAGTAAACCTACCCTGTCTCCCTCTGTTCTCTGCTCTAACTCCTAGTTTGCTGTGGTGATCACCCTTTAGTGTCTTAACAAGATTCAAGGCACTGTTCACATCCCACTAAATTAGTTCCCTATGGTTCCTATAACAAATTACTACAGACTTAGTGGCTTAAACCAACAGGGGTTTATTATGTTATAGTTCTAGAGGTCAGAAATCCAAAATGGTTTTCATTGGCCTAAAATCAAGGTGTCAGCTGGGCCATGTTCCTTCTGGAGGCTCTAGGGAAGAATCCATTTTTTTTTGTTTGTTTGTTTTTTGGATTCTGCTTGCATTCCTTGGCTCAAATCTCCCCAGCTCAAGGCTCTTAACTTAATCACACCTGTAAAATCCTTTTGGTCATGCAAAGTAATATATTGACAGGTCCAAGGGATTAGAACAGGGTCATCTTGGGGGTGTGGGGAGCATCATTCTGTCTACCAAAACCACAGAACCACAGCTCTTCAGGCCAAAAACCTAGGGGTTTTTCATGATTCTCTTCTTCCCCTCAATCTTTACGTCCAATCTGCCAATAAATCTGGTTGGTTTAACATCCAGAATATATCCTGAATCTAATGACTTTTCACCTTCTCTTTTGAACAGTCTTATCCAGGCTACCATCAATTTTTGCTTGAATGACTTCAGTAGCTCCCTAATTATTCTTCTTACTTCTATTCTTACTCCTCCCTCTAGCAGAACAGTCTATTGCACAGAAATAATAATAGAAAAGGAACCTTAAGAAAAAGAACACAGACCACGTCATTCCATCGCCCAAAGCACTCCAGTGGGTTTCTTCCCATCATGGCTAGAAATTTTCCAGATTCCCGATTGTGCCTCCCTCTCCCAGATTATGCACCATCTGCTTACTTCTCTGACCTAGGCTATGTGCCATCTGACTACTTCTCTGACCTCATTTACTGTTGTCCCCTTCACTTCCTTGCTCCAGTCGTATTTGCCTTATTGTTGTTGTTTTTTAAATGTACCCAGCCCACTGTCACCTCAGGGCCTTTGCACTTGTTAATCCCCCTCCTTCCAGCTCTGCTTAAGACCTCTCCTCCTTTGCTTCAGCCTCTTCTCCTCAGATCACCTCTTCAGGCTTTGCCTGACTCCCCTATTCAAAATACCTGCCTTCCCCATCCCTTTTACTCCATTCCTTTAGCTTATTTTATTTTTCTTTCTGAAATTTTTCCATTGTTGAAATTATTTGACCATTTTTCTTGTTTGTTATTTTATCCTCATACAGTTTTAAATTCTAGGAGAGCAGTGTCTGCCAAATTCTCTACATACTGACTAGTAAATGGTTCAGGTAGGTGTTTAATGAATATTCAAATGAATGAATGGATTTCTGATTTAATCAATCCTCACAACAACTGTTTAAGGTAAATACAGTTTTTGGAGTCAGGAAGATATGGGTTTGAGTCTGGCTTTGTCACTTATTAGCTAAAAGAACCTTGGACAAGTTACTCTACCATGCTGAACTATTGTTTTCTTAGGCGACAATGGGAACTAAGATAGGGGTTTACTATAAGTCCAAATGAGAGAGAGTGATGAAACTTCAAGGAGTGATAGTTGAAGTATTCCATCACATTAATTTCTTCTGACACTGGAATGACTAAGAACTTAGGGTCCTGAGGTGGAAAGATTTGTACTTTTCCATATCTGGTTCTCTTTTTCCTAAACACTCAGGAAGACTTCACTTCCCAGCCTCCTTGGAGTCAGGTGGGGCCATGCGATCAGTTCTAGCCAATGAAATGTGTGGGGGAGAATTGTCCCCAAGTGCTTGGAATCATACCAATGTCCCTCTGTTTCTGTAGAGTTCTAACATGCTTGAATCCTACCATTCATTCTCCTGCGAGCTATCTCAGCACTCCTGGTAAAGAAAGACCTCCTTTGTTTTTTCCCTTTGGATTTCTGTGAATCCAGGAGGCAGGCAAGAATGCAGGTTTGTGGGCAGAACAGAGAGGAAGAGAAGCTTGGAGGTACTGTGGCCAGCACAAATGAGTGGATCTCAGGGATTGCTGAATTGGTAGGAGGTGGCATTCCTTTCACCAGACACTCTGTTTCTACTGCAGGTACCAAATCATAAAGGACTGTCCTGCTTTTCTCTCAAGTGTAAGATATTGTGTTGCTACGATTTGATAATCTGATGGGATATAGGATGGGACACCAAAATCTTGTGAACTTGTATTCAGTGAGATATGAAGAAAAGAGTTTCCACAGTCAAATAAGTAGGAAAATGCTGTATACTCTGTCAACAAGAAGTCCTGCAGGAAAGAAACCTATCTAACTTAGTTTAATCTGGCATTTTAAAAATTTACTGTATTTTGGTTGGGAGTGGTGGCTCAAGCCTGTAATCCTAGCACTTTTGGAGGCCAAGGCGGGAGGATCATGAGGTCAGGAGATGGACACCATCCTGGCTAACACGGTGAAACCCCGTCTCTACTAAAAAATACAAAAAAATTAGCCAGCTGTGGTGGCGGGCGCCTGTAGTCCCAGCTACTTGGGAGGCTGAGGCAGGAGAATGGCCTGAACCCAGGAGGCAGAGCTTGCAATGATCCAAGATCGCACCACTGTACTCCAGCCTGGGTGACAGAACGAGACTCCATCTCAAAAAAAAAAAAAAAAAAATTACTGTATTTCAGGCTTATATAATGCATTTCCTTCCTTGCCATGAAAGAATAAGAATCCAAACATTCCCATGAACTAAATGCTCAGGCGTGGATGAATGAATGAAAATCCAAGGCAAAATAATACATGTCTACTCCCTTAGTGGTAAAACAGGCAATCCCAAAACATAGCAGTAAAGATACAATGTTTTCACAGTACATCAAAGTTTTCCTATAAAAAATAGCAAGTCAAAGTTCACATAGTTGCTTAGGTGATTTTCCCCTAACACTTTGAACTTAAATATAATTACTACTAACCCTACTAACTCTAGCATGTGCTAGCATTTAGTAAGATCAATATATATTTTTCCAGCTGTGTGATTTTCATATTGCCCCCTGCCTAGGGGCTTATAAGATATCACTACATATTCAGACTTCATTATTTCCTACTAGGATTCCACTGTACAACAATCCATGCTTACAAAAATAATTTTCCATTATAAAATCACTTTTTAAAACGTATGATGAAAAGTAATTCTTGCATATAATTTCTGTATAAAATTGGGTGACGTCTCATATAACTGGTGAATTTTACACATCAGAAAATATAGTATTTCACCACAGAACCCTTCTTTCCCCCTTCCCTGAGCTATTTTTAACATCTCACAGACCTTACTCCTCCATGAAACACATTTTGGAATATCTGATGTAAAAGTTATTTCTATGTAGGCTGCTTTTGTTTCCCAGAGGTAAAATTTGTGATCTTGGCTGAGTTATTTCTTTGTGGGTCTCAGTTTCCTTATTTAAAAGGAGCTACTAATACAGTTAAAGCCTAGAGCCTTTCATTTCCAACATTCTTTCATTCTGAGGGTGCTGACGTCATTTTATATAAAGCTAGGCTGCCTAATGCCCACCCACGTCGTTCAATGAAAGAAAGTTTATTAAAACTTCTTCTGAGAGTCATAATTCTATCGAGGAGGCAATCTAATAAGAGCATTAAGACATTGGCTGTGGAGTAGAATAACCTGGGTGTTAATTGCAGGTCCACCACTAACTGACTGGCTGTGCACTCTTGAACAAGTGATTACTTTTTAGCTAAATCTGTAAAATGAGGAGGGTACCATTATCCACCTTTAGAGTTTTGAGGTTTAAATGAGATAAAATTTAAGATTCTTAGTACAGCGCCTGGAAGATCCTAGCTACTCAATGAATTATGTTGAATGTTGTGTCTTAGATTAAATTAGTGTAAAGCCAGAAAGAATGCAGTGTCAAGAGAACAGCCTGCTTTTCTCCACCTGCTCTTTCCAGAATGACAAACACACTGGGTAGGAGAGAGAACAGTGTTCTCTCCATGCCCCCTTGAACAACTCTGCATGTTGGAGCAGGCCAAGAGGAGATGTCCATTTCCTGGGAAGAAGACTGAAGGTTTTCTTAACAGTGGGGGCTTTCAACACCCTGAGATTAGGATTATCCAACCACCAAATGATGATCCATACCTTGCAGAGGGTTTTATTGAGTGCTACGGAACCTACCTTGAGATATAAGCGGGGCACGGGCCCTGGAACCTGTCAAGAACGTTGAGTCCGGATTGAGAGTCTCTTTGAGTTTGATTCAGCGAGGGGTTATCTACCTCACACCTCCTTCCGTACCAGTCTTACCTGCCACTGCAGAGAGCCATTCAAAGGACAGGGCCAGACTAAATTCCTGTGGGCCCTTCTCCCCGAGGTAAGAGATAGGATCAATGGATGGGGTAGGTGGAATTGGCCATTGTTTGGAAACAGCTAAGCCATGTCCCCCCAAAGAACATCAGTAATGATACTCATGGGAGAGACCTAGTGGCTTTCACTGAGGCCATGCATGACCAGGAAAGACAGACAATACAGGCTAGGGGTCGAATTCAGTGGTTCATCTCAACAACAATAAGGAATATGTGTTGGGGGTGGGTGCTTGTGGTTCATTCCAAGGAAGACATGGAATATGGGCTGGAAAGAGGGGTGTGGGTGGTTTGTTTCAAGAAGGATACGAAGTTTGGGCTGGAAGGTAGGTCCTTCTAAAAGGGATAAGGAGTATGGGCTATGGGTATTGGTTGGAGGTTCATTTGGAAATAAGACATCTTTTCTGGAAAGGCACGCAGGAAGAAAAATATATCATGTTGAAGAGGACAGTGACTTGGAGAACTCGCTGTGTTGCCCAGGCTAGTCTCAAACTCCTCCACTCAAGTAATCCTGCTGAGGCCTCCCAAAGTGCTGGGATTACACACCCAGCCAGAGGGCAGTTTTTGAGTTACTGTGCTAACTTCCGATACCAGTTCTTCCACTTATTATCTGGGTCTCCTCGGACAGTTTGCTTAACCTGTAAATGTTTCATCAAATATAAAATGGGGATAATTCCAACACCTACCTCATGTCACCTTGTGAGTATTTAAGCATGTAGTGAGGGGGAGAGTGGCCTTTGTTTCTTTCTGTGAGGGCTCTCTATCTCACCAAAGCATTCCCATCTGACTCCCTATCTGTCACCCTCTCCGTCCTGAAAATGTTAGTGTCTTGAGATATGTTGACTATTTGGAAAAATGGGGCTCTTTTCTTCCACTTGAAATTACATTTATATTTTAAATGTTCTCTGGAATACATCCATGATTTGCTGGAGCTGAGAATTGCTAATAAGGCTTTATTTATGAAGTATTAAACACTGAAGGAAATTCAGCTTGTCTTGAAACTCCCTAGGGCCTAATACAAATACATGTACCTAAAAACACATGCACAGAGGGCTCATATAACTCCTCTTTCTACCAGTGTTGAGAAAATGTTGCCAATCTTTCACTAATGATCCCTGCCTGGAAGAGAGTATCCCGCTGTTCAGGCAGTACTAAGTCTAGAGACTCATTATTGAAGGAGAGGGGGAATTTCTGGAGACAAAGAAAAATGTCGCGTTCCATCAATCCAGAGAATGCAGAGCTCAAATAGAGAGCATTCAAAGTACATCAGTATCACACAGCATAAAAATAATAGAGCGGCTAGGCACGGTGGCTCACACCTGTAATCCTAGCACTTTGGGAGGCCAAGGGGGCGGATCACGAGGTCAAGAGATCGAGACCATCCTGGCCAACATGGTGAAACCCCATCTCTACTAAAAATACAAAAACTTTTACCGGGGCATGGTGGTGCGCACCTGTAGTCCCAGCTGCTCGGGAGGCTGAGGCAGGATCGCTTGAACCCGGAAAGGGGAGGTTGCAGTGAGCTGAGATTGCACCACTGCACTCCAGCCTGGTGACAGAGTGAGACTCCATCTCAAAAACAAACAAACAAACGAAAATAGAGCATACTGGCACAGTGACTTAGAAGACTTCAACAGTCATTTAAAAAAAAAATTCTTACTCTCCTGACACCCCCATCAATTTAAGACATTTTGTGTAATTGTTTTTGTTACTGATTTTGGTGAGTAATATGAAACACGTCATTTACGAGGGGCTTGCTTTCAAATCTTATTTCCTTGATTACAGAAATTTCTTTAAATATCACTATGGTCAAGGGGAGGGCTACAAATGCCTTATTTAAGAGGAAATGTTGGTTGTCACATCACATCCAAGATAGCGGTTTCTGAGATGACAGTTATGGAAGATTCAGCTATGACTTTTGTCTCTCACAGGATAGTGTTATGAAAAATCTCAATACTTGATCTTTTAAAAGATGAGTGACCATCTCCCTCCATCCCTGAATTCTCCCCCAACCATGATGGAATAATCATAAGAGAGAAATAATAGCAGTCACAATAGCAGGATTAGCAAACAGCTGAGTTTTTACAAGTGTGTTAAGCAATTATGTAATTTTTCTCATTTAGCATTCTCCACACACACATTTGCTAGAGGGAAGCCTGGTGACCAGAGAGATGTTGGCTTCCCTGGGACTTCTCAGGTCACAAATGAACCAGAGCCAGGTCTTGCTCTGGTTCATCTTTACAAAAGGAGGCCAGCTCTGGGGTCTTTGATTGAACTAAACAATATTAAAATGACTTTGTCAATAAGGCCTGCTGTGAAAATGGCCCACTTGAGCCCAGTAGACACTGAAGATACTGCATTGTTTTATTATTCTGATATTGTATGGAAGAGGCATCCCATCCTAATGGGAAGGATTGAATTAGAGGTCAAATGACTTTTGATTTCCATGCAGAAAGAGAGTCAGAACTGTAGATCAGGGATACTAGTGGTAAGAATTTTCAAAGGAAATTGAAAAGTTTATTTATTTATTTATATTTATTTATTTTGAGACGGAGTCTCTGTCACCCAGACTGGAGTACAGTGGCGTGATCTCGGCTCACTGTAACCTCCACCTCCCGGGTTCAAGCGATTCTCCTGCCTCATCCTCCCGAGTAGCTGGGACTACAGGCGTGTGCCACCACACCCGGCTAATTTTTTAGTAGAGACGGGGTTTCACTGTGTTAGCCAGGATGGTCTCGAACTCCTGACCTCATGATCCGCCCACCTCAGCCTCCCAAAGTGCTGGGATTACAGGCAAAAGCTACCGCGCCTGGCCAAAGTTTTTCAATTTTTTTGAGGTGCAAATCAGGACAGGCGGCCTGATGCAAATGAATGGGTGTACCTAGGGTGGCCATAGGATGACAGCAAAAGCTAGTGGCTAAAGAGTGCAGATTCTGGAGATGGATCAATTGGTTTTGATCCTGTTTGTACTTCTTACTAGTTGCTGAGCCTCAGTTTCTTCATCTGTAAAGTAGGGACAACAGTAGTACTCACTATATGCAAAGCCCTCCCAACAGTGTTTTTTTTTTTTTTTGAGATGGAGTCTCGCTCTGTCACCCAGGCTGGAGTGTAGTGGCGCGATCTCGGCTCACTGCAAGCTCTGCCTCCCAGGTTCACGCCATTCTCCTGCCTCAGCCTCCTGACTAGCTGGGACTACAGGTGCCCGCCACCACACCTGGCTAATTTTTTGTATTTTTAGTAGAGATGAGATTTCACCATGTTAGCCAGGATGGTCTCAATCTCCTGACCTGGTGATCCTCCTGCCTCGGCGTCCCAAAATGCTGGGATTACAGGCGTGAGCCACCGCGCCGGGCCATAACAGTGTTGATGTGTACTAATTCCTCAGGAAATAGCCTATGACTGTTATGTTGTCTTCTACATTCCTAACCAGAGAGGTAGCATATGTAAATGTGTAATGGTCCTTGACAATCTGGAGGAAGTGATTGGTGGATTTCTAACTTCAGGGGTAGCCACGATAGAGTGGCCCAAGAAGCCAGAGTCTCTTTCTAGGTCACATGTGGAAGGAGGGAGGGTGTCCCCACCAAGGGAGACTGCAAGCGGAATGGGACATGTCTGTGTCTCAGTGCTGGAAACAAAGGCTCAGCCAGAGTTCTAGAGGGGGCAGTGATTTGCTCAGAAGAGTCATTAGTGGGGCATAGAGGTTGGTGAGGACTGTGAAGTCAACCTTAGTTTTTATCCTGAAATACTCTTTAGAAAACCTGGCCACACTTCCATGTCCTTAATCAACCACCGTATCTTTTAGCTCTTACCCCTACTTCTACTTTTTTTGAGATGGAGTCTTGCTCTGTCACCCAGGCTGGAGTGCATGGTGCAGTCTCAGCTCATGGCAACCTCTGCCTCCCAGGTTCAAGCGATTCTCCTGTCTCAGCCTCTTGAGTAGCTGGGATTACAGGCGCCTGCCACCACACCCTACTAACTTTTGTATTTTTAGTAAAGATGGGGTTTCACCATGTTGGCCAGGCTGGTTTCGAAACACCTGTCCTTAGGCGATCTGCCTGCCTCAGCCTCCCAAAGTGCTGGGATTACAGGTGTGCACCACCGTGCCTGGCCCAACTCCTATTTTATTACTCCTATTTTTTTTTTTTTTTTTTTTACTTTGAGACGGAGTCTCACTCTGTTGCCCAGACTGGAGTGCAGTGGTGCGATCTCGGCTCACTGCAAGCTCCGCCTCCCGGGTTCACGCCACTCTCCTGCCTCAGCCTCCTGAGTAGCTGGGACTACAGGCGCCCGCCACCATGCCTGGCTAATTTTTAGTAGAGACGGGGTTTCACAGTGTTAGCCAGGATGGTCTCGATCTCCTGACCTCGTGACCCACCCGCCTCGGCCTCCCAAAGTGCTAGGATTACAGGTATGAGCCACCGCACCCGGCCCCGACTCCTATTTTTTAATGACAGATTATCAGCAGTAAAGGATCAAATGCATACATGCCATTGATCACTCAAGGACCCAATAAAGCATCTAGGCAGCTTCATGGTCAAGGACTTTCAAAGCCAGAAGCAGGGGGAGGTGGGGGGAATTAAAGGAAGATGCTGCTTCTGGCTTTTTATGTTGTTTGGTAGATTTCTCAAAAGGCACTTTTCTGTAACCCAGCAACAACTCTGCAGGATCACCATCTATTTTATTCTTTCAATTTCCTGTAGTCTCTCTAGATTTTACGTCATCTGCAGAACGAGGGAAAAGCAAAATTGATTTTAGGAAGGGAAACTGTAAAAACAGTTCTGGGCTAGCTAGTCTCATCTCCTGCTGAGTTCATTTTATTAAAGGAAGCAGTGAAAACGCTAGAACGTGGAAAGCTGAAATAATCTTTTGTTCTTATATTGACTCTGGGCAGAGAAAAGCAATATTGATTGAAGCGCCATTGCATATATGGACCTCTTTAATACCCCGAAACAACCCTTTCCACTAAGGGGTATTATTAGCTTGATTTTGTAAATGGTAGGCTGAAACTCAAGCCACTTGATCGAGGTGAAATTAGTGACTATTTGGTAAAGCTGGGATCAAATTCACATTTGTCAGATTCAGATAACCAGAAGGGGTAGATGGTTTGGCCAATTCTGCAACCAGGGCCAGGACTAGGCAAGAGAAAGACCAGGGGGTGTAAAATTTAAGGAGGCCCTCACTCTCCAGGCTGCACGTGAACCTGAGAGTGAGTGCCTCCTTAAATTGTGTACACTAGGTACCTTGCTTGCCTGACCCTAGTGTGCCCTGGCAGTAACCATTGCTTGGTGGTAGGGAAGGCAAAAGCTACTAATTTTGAGGACTACCTATAAGCTGAACATTCCATGAGGAGCTTTACATAACGGACCACCCATGTTCTCAAAAGCCTTGTGGGTGAGTATTCTTACCTTTAATGCATACACTATTAGACAGAGATAGTTTTACATATCTTAATTCTTATGGAAAGGGCCATGTATTTGGAAAGAAATCCTTTAGTAAAATGAAAAGGTACAGAGACTGAGCTGGCTATCTCTCTACCCAGGGCTTAGGTAATTTATTTGCTGATATTCTTGAGACATTACCCTGCTAGACAGAGGGGGAAAAATTGAAGGTCTTGGAGTCTGGGTTGAGGGGATATGAAAATAAGGGTAAATGGGCCAGGCGTGGTGGCTCACGCCTGTAATCCCAGCACTTTGGGAGGCCAAGGCAGGCAGATCACTTGCCAGGAGTTCAAGACCAGCCTGGCCAACATGGTGAAACCCCGTCTCTACTAAAAATACAAAAAATTAGGTGGGTGTGGTGGCATACGTATGTAATCCCAACTACTTGGGAGGCTGAGGCAGGAGAATCGCTTGAATCTGGAAGGCGGAGGTTGCAGTGAGCCGAGATTGTGTCACTGCACTCCAGCCTGGATGACAGAGCAAGACTCTGTCTCAGGAAAAAAAAACAGTGGGGAGGAAGGAAAATAAGAAGTGGGTGGAAGCTTGGAGAAGGCTGGGAGTTTGTGCATTTTGATGTGCTCATTCCCGGCTCTCATACACTAAAGCTTAAAATGCCTGATATGTGTGCCAGGGAGGGGCATCTTATGGGACCCAGTGAAGAGGCTGAGCTTGATGCTGGGGTGGTCCTGCATGAAAAAGAGATCCTGCCTGCAGTCATGAGGAAAACCTCCAGATCATAAGCCCTAGAAAATAGCAAATATTGAAGGAAGAGTTTCAGACTTTCAAAGACCACAACATTGACTCGGGGGTGTCTGAGTCAATATAGCTTCTCCGGGAGAAAGGGGGATGCCAGCTGACATCTGTATTATGTACACATGGAGACAAGGAGGTTCAGAGATGTTGAATCAGTTGCTCAGTGTCTCACAGCTGGTAAGAACCAGTGGGGATGCAACTTCTTGTGTGTCTAGTTTCAGAGCTGCATAAATAGATTTCCTCATCTTTACTGGGGGAAGGGAGGGGGGGAAGGCAGACCCCAGACCATGAGGGAGAAATCCAAGCTTGTGGAGAGACAGTCAGCTTGACAAATGGGTCCTGTACACACCAGTGTGTCGGCTGCTAAGCTCATATGAGCTATCCTGGGATGGTTTTCACAGCAGCTTTTGTTTTGTTTTGTTTTGTTTTCCTCTCTCCCCAGTGTAGTGAAGGCACTTTGTTTTCAAAAACTGTGTGAAGCCACCCTGGGTACCAACTTTGAGAAAGAAGCAGGCTTGGGAGAAGCCTTTGTCCATCTCCCTCACTTTACAGATTGGGAAACTGAGGCCCGGAGGAGAAAGCTGTGTGACTAGGCAGGAGGCTGGCTTCTGAAAAATACCAAAGAAATTCTACAGAAGTCCAACAGAGAGTAGAAAAAACCTGATAGGTGAGGATGCTGGCTTAATTTTGTTAACATCAATCTTTCCAGGGACCAAGATTTTAAGACCTGATTCTGGGCCCCTGAGTTTATTCCATTCATTCATTCATCCATGACAGAGTCTTGCTCTGTCTCCCAGGCTAGGATGCAATGGCATGATCTTGGCTCACTGCAACCTCTGCCTCCAGGGTTCAAGCTATTCTCCTGCCTCAGCCTCCTGAGTAGCTGGGACTACAGGTGCGCGGCACCATGCCCAGCTAATTTTTTGTATTTTTGGTAGATACGGGGTTTCACCATGTTAACCAGGATGGTCTCGATTTCCTGACCTCATGATCCACCCACCTTGGCCTCTCAATATGCTGCAATTACAGGCGTGAGCCACTGCGCCCAGCCAAAGTTATTCCTTTTAACGGATGTTCAGAATTGTCCTCCAGAAGCCGAGGTTCGGGGGGTCACACAGGTTGCAGGGTCTCCTGCTGAAGGAGGAATTGAGAGCTGGGAGAACTCTCCAAAGCCCACCACTGTGGCAAGGAACTGCTGACTTTTAACAGGCTGCAAGGTACAGTGGTGGCTCTGAAGATTTAGTGCTTGTAGACGTCAACGAAGATTGAACAAACAGGTCTGGGTTGAGGTCCCGGAATCTGCATTATAAAGCTCCCCAGGAATTCCAACTCAGGTGGTTCACAGTGCACACTTTGAGGGCCACTGGCACAGTGAGAGTGGCATGGGTTGGAAAGTCAGGCAAACTTAGGTTTAAATCCTGGCTCCATGGGGAGGGGGTTTCAGCCCTCTGTTCCTCACCGTTTTTATCCATCAAATGGGAAGCGTTTGGGAGTGTGCAAGCTTAAAGGGAATTTCTAAAAAGTGCCTAAAACACTGCCAGGCACATAGAGTGGCATTCACTTTAATACCGTCCTCTCCCTTTGCCCTATTTTCGAGGCTGTTTCCCTACTTCTCCACTGCATAAGTCCTGTCCTTGCTGGCACATGTCACAGCACCTCTCTCTTCATCACATGCCCAGCTGTGACAAGCCGCTGACAGCTGCCTGTCTTTTCATTGTTAAGAATTAATCTCCTTGCATTCTGAGGCCAAGGCAGGAAAAGAATTTTCCTTTGCAGCCATTAATAAGCAGCACATTTCTAACAGTGGCTTAGGCTCCCTTTGTCTGTTCATTTGAAACGTGTGTGACTCTGCTGCCTTGATGGAACTGGCCTTGGTAATTACTATAATTCTGTGGCTCTGAGAAACTCAGCTTGAACAGAGTACCTTTTAATTCCAAGACCTAATAAGAACCACATGGATGTTGTACATGCATTTGTACACGCAGACATAGACACAGATACACAGAGACACATACAGACACTGCCCCTCCACCCCCGCCCGCCATCCCAAACTCACACAGCGAGAGATTCTTCATTTATGAAATAAAATATTCCACATGCTTAAATTTTCCAGAAAGTAACTTGTCTCAGTAGGTGCTAACCTGAAAAAAAGGTTTTTCTAAAGTATATGTGGCTAGAATGCAGTGGCTCATGCCTGTAATTCCAACAATTTGGGAGGCTGAGGCAAGAGAATTGCTTGAGCCCAGGGCTTCAAGACCAGCCTGGGCAACATAGTGAGACCCTGTCACCATAAAAAAAAATTATAAAAATTACCCAGGTGTAGTGGTATGCACCTGTAGTCCCAGCTACTCGGGAGGCTGAGGTGGGAGGATTGCTTGAGCCTGGGAGGTAGAGGTTGCAGTGAGCTGTCATTGTGCCACTGCACTCCAGCCCGGCCAACAGAGTGAGATCCTGTCTCAAAAAGAAAAAAAAGTGTACAAGTTTCCTTGATTGTTACTTATTCAAGTAGGATTTGAGGTGACTTAGTACAAGTGCCTAAAAGTCACAAATAAAGTGACCAAATTAGGACAAAGGGAAAATATTAGTAGAGACATAAAATTAAGTCACAGGTAAGAGGAACAGATAAAATAGATACGAAAGGTCCTGCATAGGTTTACAGGAGAGTGCATATCTGACTTCCACAGCCGATGCAAAAATAGGAATGTAACTAATTAAAGGATCTGTGGTCCCCAGAAGATCAGAACAAACACATTTCTCAAGAGAAATAGTTTTCTCTCCCACTGGATGTATTTCTTCCATGGGTTCTCCTAAAGGAGAGTCACTTCCATGGATAAAGTTATCAAGCACCCGTATGAGATACACAATAGAGCTGCTTCTTAATGCAACACGTCTCAGTGCAAACATAGGGGAATGTCAACATATTGTTCAGTAAAAGCAATTCCATGAGGAGTCAGAGGAATAGTCCCGATTTACAGTGTTCTTGGGCTATGGCTTATTCCAGCTGGAAAGAAAGACTGGCTTGCTTCCTTGCCCAGCCCCATGATGCTATTCCTGTCAGTAATGGCCCTTCTTACCATTAAGATAAGATTTGGCATCAGAGTCCTTGTGCAAACAGATTTCCAGGTAGCCCTTCGAGGCAATGAAACTGGCAAATGAGATAAAGCTGATTTGCCACTGCTGATCTAATGAAATGGATATTTGTGTTAACTTCTGATGAATTATCTACATGTATGTATGTATGTGTGTGTGTGTATATATGCACATACACACTACACACACACACACACACACAGTCATATGACACCTAATGATGAGGATACATTCTGAGAAATGCATGGTTAGGGGGTTTTGTTATTGTGTGAACATCATAGAGTGAACTTACACAAACCTTGACGGTATAGCCTACCATACACCTAGGCCGTATGGTACAGTTTATTGCTCCTAGACTACAAATCTGTACAGCATGTTACTGGACTGAATACTGTAAGCAATTGTAACCCAATGGTAAGCATGTATCTAAACACATCAACATACAAAAGGTACAGTAAAAATATGGTATTAGAATTTTATGGGATCACTGTCTTAAGCAAACGTCTGTGGACTGAAATGTCATTATACAGAGCATGACTATATCCACACACATTTATATATTATATACATTCATATACATATATTGACATATGAACACATACATATTTCGATATTCAGTCTTCTAAGTATAATTCAGGGGGTGTTTTCAAATGCTGATGAGGTGTGTGGAGTTGTTTTGTTCCTACTAAAAATGGCAGCTATGTGTCGCTGAGTCCTTGAGAGGGCATTTTGGAGGTCTCATCTGCTTCCTTCTCCTGCATTGCTGGGATACAGGCTATCACTTCTGGCAGTTTTAAATGGACCTGCCTCTATCAGTTTCCTCCACCTTTTGAACATTCGTAACTCACACCAGATCAGATTAGACACAGCCAAGATTTGCAATGGCCAGACTTGAATGAAAAGCAAAAGTTTCCAGGGACTGACTAGGTCCTGTTTGAATGGGTGAATGCTTGGCAGCTCTGTGCAATCCTTACAGCAATCACTTTGCTTTTCCTTCTGGAATTTTGTTTGTATCCGGATACGGTTTGATTTTATTTATTTATTTTTTTTTGGACAGAGTCTTTGTAGCCCAGGCTGGAGTGCAGGGGCACCATCTTGACTCACTGCAATCTCTGCCTCTCAGGTTCAAGCAATTCTCGTATGTCAGACTCTCAAGAGGCTGGGATTACAGGCACCCACCACCATACTCGGCTATTTATTTATTTAGTAGAGATGGGGTTTCACATGTTAGCCAGGCTGGCCTCAAACTCCTGACCGCAAGTGATCTGCCTCCCTTGGCCTCCCAAAGTGCTGGGATTGCAGGTGTGAGCTACCACGCCCGGCCAAGGTTTGTTTTTTAGATAAATGAGATATACTGAACCTTTATTAATAGTAATAGGTATCTCTTGCTCTGTGAATTCTGAATTTCTGAATTCTTGCTCTGCAAACTCAGGAGCTAAGGGCATTTAGAAAGCGAGGGATATTTTGTAATTTCTTTGTCCTTCTCTATCACAGTCATCTCTCCTCTATTTCACACATTGACTCACTCATCTGCATGAGAGCCACCAATTGAAAAAATGGGATCTGAGAAGGCAGTTCAGACTCGCTCAGTAACGCTTGCAAATTCCCACATCATTCATCCTACCCCAGCTCTCTTAAGCAGGGAAGCGGGTGGTGTTTTTCAGTTCCATGTATCTCTACCTCTAATTAATTTTAAATAGGCTGCCTGGCAACACTGTTGCTGAACACTTCACATTCCAGCTCCAGCTTCTATTTCTGTTAATTGGAGAATGTTTTGTTTCAACTAATCAGTCCAGCATCCTTTCCAATCAAAACAGCATCCTGGTCTAGGCACAACACCTGTCAATGAAAGGCACCGGTCTGGTTTGCAAATCAGGAAGCACAAGGGGCTCTCTGTTTTCCCCTGGACACCTAGGTTGCAGAGAAAGCTGCTGAAACACACACACACATGCACATGCACACATGCGTGCACACACATGCATGCACACACATGCACACACACACACCCTCAAAACTCCAGAAGGACTTTCAGCCTTTCATTAGTGCCTAGTTGGATTCAATGCACTTCCTCTCCCCTATTGGCACAGCCTCTACTGCAGAATGCCTCAGCACTGTTTACATAGCCACGACTCTCTTGAATAAACAAGAAGCTAGATAGGAAGGAATGATGGATGGTGCCTGCTTCCTGAGCAACTTAATTTTAACTAATAGCCATGGTAAGCTCAGGAGAGAGAGAACTTATTCTACTGAACAAACATTTACTGGGAGCCTATCTTAGGCTGGGTGTTCTGCTATGCGTTCTGAACCTTGAGATCAATAAGGGAAGGCTCCTTCCTCCAGGGAGCTCAGAGTTGGAAGGAGGAGAAAAATGGGCAAAGTAAGATTTAGGAATGATCAGCTTGGGAGGGCTGATGCATTCATTGCCTTTCCATATTAAACTTACAGTTTCCGGGATGAAGCTGGATATTGAGAACCAATTGGAAGATGGTATTTTTCCATCCTCCTTACAGCATGGATCAGCCAAATGGGTCGCACCCTCCCAGCAGACACTGGGGCCTGACATTCTAGTGTTGATCACAGCGACATGAGGAGAGCAAGGGTTGAGGAAGGGGACAAGGAGGGAGGGAGACAGGTGGCCAGTGAAGGAGTCTAACGGCAGGATGATGGTGGGTGGAATTACAGCAGGCCCTGTGGAATGAAGAGAAAGGACTAGATTCAAGAGACTTTTGGGGGGAAGAAGGAAAGATATATGTGTTTGAATATGTGCCTGCTGAGGAGAACTTTCTACCTTGGTTTCCTGCACGGATGGTAGCACCATTAATTGGGATGTAATAAGAAAAATGTTTCTAAATCTTTGAATCAGTACTTAGCTTATTGGGCTCACTGTATCACCTTTTCCTGGCCTCTGAGACACCACAGAATAAACAGCTTGCTGGGCCAGCTGGTGAGTGTCAGTGAGAGAAACTTCCAGTTTCTTGAGCCAATTAGCAAGTTCCTTAATGCCTTTAATTTGCATCCCGACACCTCCCCATTCACACATTTATTGGATATGGAATTCTTCAAACTGTTTCTTTTTGATAGAAAAGATTCAGGCTGTGTCTCTGCTCTTTCTTTCCCTATTTCCCTGCCTAGTTGGGGGACGAATAATTGATGTTTTCCTAGGGTGAAGGGAAGGGGCAGCCCAGACCTTGAGAGTCTTGCATATACAGAACTTCAGTGTCTGGCTTCAACTGATTTCCATCTCTGGGGCTCCCCTAAGCAAAGACCAGGGAGGTCTGGGGATTCAGAATCCTTGTAAATCATGTATCTTCCCCTCAAAGGCAGAAGAAATCATACACTCTCCTTATTCCTCTTTAGTGTACTTTGGTAATAATCTCTCTTACATTCTCTGGAATTTACTGGAACCAGAAAGGCAAGGCAGCAGAGTGGAGGGAACCTTAGATTATTCAGATAGAATCTTAATCGCTACTCCATCCTCTACCAGTTCTTTCGAGTCTCCGTTTTCTTATCTGTAGCCCTGTAAACTGGCTATTAATGGCAGCTACAAACAAATCAAAACATAAAGAAACTATGGTTTATTCTCTGAGCTGAATGAAAAAGTGCTTTCTTAATTGCAATGATTTGAAGTTGAACAGGAATCATTGGGACTGAATTAGGATGAATTTAATTATCTCTGTTACATTTGCACTGAAACCTGAGTTCCTTTAGCAATTTTTATTTTTCAATATTAAAGGTAATGTGGTTAAGGGCAGTACTTTAATAAAAGGTAATTTCCGGGAAATTATGGAGCACAGCTATGCCTTTCCACATAATGGCTACATCTTAGAGCTCAGGATGGCTTGCCCCTTCCTTTTTCGTTGCTTCCAATTTTTCTCCCCTTCTGGTCCTACCTCCTGTCTCTTGTCTTACTGCTAACTGGGAAGATGAGCTTAGATTTCTTTTTCTCCCCTCTTATCGTCTCTCTAGATTGGTCTTCAATTAATGAAGTGAGGCTTTCATGGTGACTCTGAGAATCTAGCTTATATTTCAGAGGCTCCATTAGGCCAAGGGACAAATTAACTCAACAATATCTCTTATCTAAATCCTTCAAGTGCTGGTGGATGAATAATAAACTTTGATCACCGAAGTAATACACAAAGATGATTTTTTTAGAAGTCAAAACAATGTCTATTAGAACTCCCAACTGGCATGGCTGTTGCTGTGAAAATGACTAATATTACCATGAGTGCAATCGCTACTAATCAGAGGGCACTCTTTGCCAACAACAAAGTGGGAGAATGACAGGGGTTGCTTTGAAGATGTGTCTGACTTAGGAAAAAAAAAAAAAAAAGAGCAAAGCGCAGTGTAGTATAAGGAGGCTCCCTGTAGGAGTAAATTTAAAAAGCAATGACAAAAGACGATTCCAGCATAGATTCTTTAGAGAACCTCATTCTTTCTTTGACATTCTATAGGTGATAAAAATAACAAAATAACAATTTACAAAACGCTCTTATGTATATTTTTAACGCTCAGAACAACTTAATGGGAGCAAAGCACAATGTTGCAAGCCTGTAGTCCCAGCGACTGGGGAGAATTGCTTGAGGCCAAGAGTTTGAGACCAGCCTGGTCAACATATTAAGACTCCATCTCTAAAACAACAAATAAACAAAAATTAAAAACAAAAACAAAAAACCCAGTGGAGAGAGAGTAGTAATATTCCTGTTTTACAAAAGCGGAGAAGACAAGAGCTTCACAACGATACAGCTACTTCGTGGCTCAGGTAGGGCCTGAATTCTGATCTTCTGAACCTGAGCCCCTTGCGCCATACCATGTTGTAAGGACGCTGTTGCAGGGAGAGTTCTAGAGGAGGCAGCATTTCCAAGGACACTTCTTTGCTCAAGAACACACAGTGAGTCCCCACTGTTGAGTGCACGAAACCCAAACTGACTTCCAGGAATTACAGCAGAGGTTGTGATTTCCCTGCCCTTGGCCCCCTTTCGTACAGACCCTACCGTGCTACTACCCCCATTTCTTCGTCTGAAGGCTTTCTCTTGCTGATGCTGCCTGCACAGCAGGCCAGAAGTGCCAGGGAATTAATGTTCCGCATTCCCAGAACAGCTCTCAATGAATGACTTTTGGGAGTTGATGCTTAAGTATGCCAGCTCCTCATCCGAGCTGGGTGTTGTGCACTGCTTCTCATAGCGCCCCAGTAGGATTAGCCTTCATTTACCCACAGGAGTAGCTGGCTTGACAATGCACTTCGCAGGAGTTGTCTTCCCTTCCTCGTCTAACTTTCCCATCTCTTCCACCAGTGTGTTCTGGGGTCCCAAATACACATCTTGTATATGATTCTCTGTCTCAGGGTCAGCTGCTGCTTTGTGAGACCCTCTATCTGGCTCCGTCTTCTAGCCAACCTCACTTGCCATTAGTTCTCCATTGGTTCATTCATTCCCACAGGCTTGGTCTTGCAATTGCTGTAGTGATGGAACACCAACAACAGGGCCTCCTGCCTCTAGGCCTTTCCTTATGCAGTTTTAACCCATGCACTTCCTTCAAGGTTTTGCTCAAGTCCCACTCCTCTGGGGAAGCCTTCTTGGTGACTCACAAATAGGTAGACCAACTCACAGGCCTTCTGTGACATTTCCCTACACTAAACAATGTCATATACTGCCTTGTCCTCTAATTCTTATTTTATCCATACCATTTGTTTCCCCCCAGATGGACTCTAAACATCTGTGTATCAAGATCATGCTCACAGCCACTGGTGTGCAGATAAATGTTTAATAACTGACTCTCTGAAAAAATCCGTATATGCATACATTTATGATAATTTTTTACTGACATAGAGGATGTGTAGTACACAATTTACGAATGGTAATAAAAATATACAATACTCTTTACTGTAAAGCCTATGTAGTCTGTTTCCAGAGAATGCTTTTGTTGAGTTTTGCCAATCTATGGTTACGATTCAATCACAATTTGACAAATTGAGTTGCATTCCAATCCAACAACTCTTTTTTTTTTTGAGACGGAATTTTGCTCTTGTCACCCAGGCTGGAGTGCAATGGCACAATCTCGGCTCACCGCAACCTCCGCCTCCCGGGTTCAAGCGATTCTCCTGCCTCAGCCTCCCGAGTAGCTGGGATTACAGACATGTGCCACTAGGCCTGGCTAATTTTGTATTTTTAGTAGAGACGGGGTTTCTCCATGTTGGTCAGGCTGGTCTCGAACTCCCGACCTCAGGTGATCCGCCTGCCTTAGTCTCCCAAAGTGCTGGGATTACAGGCGTGAACCACCGTGTCCGGCCCATCAACTCTTTACCCAATCAATCTGGTGTTATTAAATCTGATATGTGACTGATATTTGATCTATGATAACACTATTTCTTACCATCATACAAATTTCATTCAATGAACTGTAACCTCTTTCAGCTTCAATAACCGGCCCAACAACTCTTTACCCAATCAATTTGGTGTTATTAAATCTGATACGTGACTGATAACTGATCTATGGTAACACTCTTTCTTACCATCATACAAATTTCATTCAATGAACTGTAACCTCTTTCAGCTTCAGTAATATACGTGGTGTATTTTCAAGTTTAATTTGCGTTATTTACATTTTTTTCCATTACTTTCTTTCATCTACACAATAAACCAAGTGATAAATCAAGCCCGGATTGTAGCGTTTGCTGATTTCTTTGGTGTGAATGCTCACACCATGGCTGATTTTCAAATTACCAAAATGACATAACTGAAAGTGGGGTTGGGACACAATGCATGGTAATGCTATTTTATAGTACTCCACCATACAGGTACAATGAATGCATACAACCTCAAAAGCATAGATAGCCAAATGAGAATATAACTAAAAAGTTGTAAGTTATAAATGATTATTCCATTTGTTTTTAATACATATTTTAAATCATTAGTTTATATAATTTAATAACTATAATAGTTTTGTTGAATGACTGGCTCACAAAATTCCTGATTATTTAACAATTGGCTCTTGTGAGCTGGTATGAGCCAGCTCCAGCATACGCTGCATCTATTTTGTAATTCAGATTGTCTAATGTGATTCTGGGCTGCAGTAAAAGCTCTCTGAATACTTGCTGTGTGAGTGAGTGGCTTTGGTTTTCAAAAGAACAGATGACCAAAGAGCTTGAGAAAATAAGGCAGCCTTCAGGCATTTTATCAGTCAATGTTGTTGCTGAATAAGAGCCTCTCTACCAAGAGGGAGCCCTGCATATCCTCATGAGGTTCGTAGAGTTGGTCCTGGCTCTTTCACCTCCCCTAACTTACATCCCCAAATTTATTGTATTTTTATGTCCTAATTCTATGTCTGACTAGGATCTTAAACTTACTGTTTATATCTGATGTCCAATATTGTCTTAGGCAGCTCCTGGCCTTTGTTACAATACACATTTATGCATAGACTGTCCCCCTCCAACCATGTCAAAGAATAACCTGGCCCAGTCCAGATGCCAACATGTCCCAGAGTGGAGTCCCAAGGACGGAGCCCTGGGACATTGCAAGATAAAGCGGTCAAGGAGAAGAACCAACAATGGAGACTAACAAGCAAGGAAGGGCATCCTAGAAGCCAACTGAAGGAAGCATCATAGTAGAGGGAGGGGGGTCTCTGTATCAAGATGATGAGGATCGAGAGCTGATCACTGGATTTAACTTTGTTGGGGGAGGGGGGTCCCTGTTGACTTTGACAAGAGTGGGTTTGGTAGAATGTGGGGGCAGGAGTTTGCTTGGACTAAATTTAAATGAGAATAGAAGGAAAGAATTAGAGACAAAAAGCATAGACAACTCCAATGGGTATAGAGTTTTAGAGTTGCAAGACAAAAACGTTACAGAGATGTGTTATATAATATTGTGTATATAGTTAACAGTGTGCTATACACTTAAAAATTTAAGACAGTACGTTTATGTGTTTTTGCCACAATAAAAATATTACTTTCAAATGAAATTAAAATTAAATCATTTAATCCAAATAAAGCATAGACAACTCTTTCTAAATGTTTTGTAGCAAAGGGGATCGGAGAAACAGCAAAAGCTGCTATAGACTGAATGCCTATGACCCCACCCCCGCAAATGCATATGTTGAAGCCGTAACACCTGATGTGATGGTATTAGGGGGTGAGGCCTTTGGGAGGGCGTTAAGTTTAGATAAAGTAATGAGGATGAAGCCTTCGAGATGGGATTGATGCCCTTAGAAGAAGAAGAAGAAAAACCATAACTTCCTGTCTCTGCCATATGAGGAAGCAGTGAGAAGACGGCCATCTACAGGCCAAGAAGAGAGCCCTCACCAAGCACAAAATCTGCTAGTACCTTGATCTTGAACTTGCGAGCCTCCAGAACTGTGGGAAAGAAACATCTGCTGTTTAAGCACACAGTCTTTGTTTTTTTGTTCAAGCATCTTGAGCAGACTAAGGCAATAGCTATCAGGTGGGGTGAGGTCAAGAGATACTTTACAATAGGAGAAATAGCAACATGTTTGCCTTGCCAGTGAGAATAAGCCAGTTGAAATTGGATGCTATGTTTAATTTTTAAAATTTCATTCTATTGTAAAAAATAATAATAATAAACATAAAGTAGATTTTGGGAGGCCAAGGAGGGAGGACCGCTTGAGCCTGGGAGGTTGAGGCTGCAGTGAGCCGTGACCATGTCACTGCACTCCAGCCTGGGTGCAGAAAAAAAACAAGGTAGACTTGTATAATGAACCACCTTGTCCCCATTCACTCAGCCTCAACCATTATTAACATTTTCCCATTTCTGTTGTGTTTTTCATCATGTTATTTTGTTTATTGAACTCATATTATATGAAAGACTCAATCCCAGGCGCTTTACTTATGTTAACTTCACCCCTACCTTGATGGTATCTTGCTGAGGGTGATCAACCCCACTTTACTGATAAGGCAACTGATGTTGAAAACAACTAAAGAGAACTCACTTATGCTGGGAAGTGGTAGAGTCAGGACTTTAACTCAGGCTTGACTCTTTCTAGGCAGCTCATGGTAAAATGTAGGCATTCTGTAAATGTGTACTGAATGTTTGTCTTTCTACTATGTCACACTGCCTTAGAGGAACTGAAGAGGTATGGTGGGCCCACCCCTTATATTGTGGGGTCCAAGATGAGACTACAAAGAGTACAAATGTGGGCCCATGTGTCATATGTCTAAATATTCAGTGGACATAAATCAACCTAACATACCGTCAGTTTGTTTTAAGTGAACTATTTCTATCCTCCTCCCTTGACAAATACACCATCATCAAGCCCAGGAGGACCAGGTTCCCATTTGGAATTCTCATCCTCCCGAGTTCTATGCCAGAGGTGGGGAGTGAGGACAGCTGACCCCACTCCCTGGGGAGTCCCTTTCTTCATATCTCAGCCCCATCCATCCCCTTGGGGTGCCTTGTGTACACTCGTGTGGACCCAGAGTCTGCACGTGCAAGCTCCTTCCCCACCTCCCACAAACAGCCACTCCTCAGGCTTTGGGAAGTGCAATCTGGTGGCACATTTGACCCACAGGAGGATGGCCTAGAAAAGAAGCTTGTGAAGACACTGCAAGAGGGCTCAGGGCCATTTGGTCAGGGGATGCTGAAGTCTTGGATAGGCCTATATCCTCTTGGCCTTGTAGAATAGCAAGGGTGAGGCCGAGGGAGGGTCCATATAGGGTCCTATGAAGCCCAGGGCCTTGGGCAGGGGCCTGTTTTTATGAATTTAAGAGAAGTACTGAATCCTTAGTACCCCACAGGACACTATGCCACAGGATGAGAAGGTCTGGTCTCCCCAGGGCTGATAGTAGGGGAAAATGATCAAGTAATTAAAGCCACCAATCACCTCATTGTTTTGCTGCTCCCTTATCATAACCAAGGACCTTGGCTGCTTACAATGTGTATTTTCCTTTTTCTTCCCAACTGGGACACTGGGATAACCAACGATATTGCACTTCTGAGATGGAGGTTATGTTTTTCATTGTGAATCAGCTAGGATTCTGGTTTGAACACTGGTCTTACTGGGTGGTACAGTTGGTGTACACTGGCAGGTTACTGCAAACCAGTTCTGGGTCCCTGCCTGTGGGATGATAGTAAATGTTTGCATGTAGTGGTTACAAGCAAGGTTGCATGGGTTCAGATCCCTGCTGTGCCACTTGTTAGCAATGTGACTCTGGGAAAGTTATTTAATCTCTCTATTCTTTTGCCTCATCTATTAAAATGGGGATAGCAATTGCATCTTATGGGGTTGTTTAAAGATGTACTGTCGTAATGCTCTTAGAATGCCTGGCATATAGCACATACTGAACAAATGTCTAATAATTATGATGATGCACTGACAGTTTTGAGAAGTAGTAGCTTAACTAATGTCAAGGAGATTTCTTTAATGCAGGGCTTCTCAGAGTCTTTTAAATGTTTTGATGCCTAGTGTATTCTTTTCTTTTCTTTTCTTTCTTTTTTTTTTTTTTTTTTTTGAGAAGGAGTCTCACTCTGTTGCCCAGGCTGGAGTGCAGTGGAGCGATCTCGGCTCAATGCAAGCTCCACCTCCCGGGTTCATGCAATTCTCCTGCCTCAGCCTCCCGAGTAGCTAGGACTGCAGGCAGCCGCCACCATGCCCTGCTAATATTTTTTGTATTTTTAGTAGAGACGGGGTTTCACCGTGTTAGCCAGGATGGTCTCGATCTCCTGACCTTGTGATTCGCCCGCCTCGGCCTCCCAAAGTGCTGGGATTACAGGCATGAGCCACCACGCCTGGCCACCTAGTGTATTCTTAGGAAGTGATACTGTATAATGAATTTCCAAACTACTAGGATTCATGTTTGTGAAACATATCCTGAGAGGCTCGTTTTTTAGCTTTAACTGGACATCTGTGAAATGTCCCTTCACGAGAAAAAGAGCAGCTGCCATTTCCCAAGTTTTCATTTTCTCTTTCCTCAAAGCAGACATGCTATCCATGCTTACACATCAGGTTCTGGGGCCCTAGCCAGAGTCTTAGGGAATCAAGTAGGACTTCAGGGATGCCTTTTTCCCTTATGAGAATAATTCATATGTTTGCAAATAATATTCCAACTCTAATTGAATTTCACCTTAAAGGGCATTCTTGTTTTCTAAAGAGAAATGAGAAGTTTCCTAAAACTGCCCTCTCTAGCAATTTGGCTGTTGTCACATTCTTGAAAAGTGGTTTCAAACTGAATTCTTCTATAGGCCTGTGGTGTTCTCGCAGGAGCCGTTCTTACGAGGCAAGAAGGGAGGGCGAGCAGGCTGGACTGGGTTGAAGGGCAGGAATGTATGCAGGCATGGAAAAATTCAGAGCCCCAGTGATGTCGGTTCAAATCCCAGGTCCTCCACTGAGCAGATATGTGATCTTGGACAAGCTCCTAAACCTCTCTGAACCGTTGCCCCCTTACCTACCAAAGTTTGATTGGTTGTGGGTAGATTGCACGAAAAGATACAGGCAGAGTGCTCAGCACTCAGTAGCTCAAGAGAAGTCTTTTTTTTTTTTTTTTTTTTTGAGACAGAGTCTCCCTCTGTCGCCCAGGCTGGAGTGCGGTGTTGCGATCTCAGCTCACTGCAACCTCTGCCTCTTGGATTCAAGTGATTCTCCTGCCTCAGCCTCCCAAGTAGCTGGGATTAGAGGCACACACCACCACGCCTGGCTACTTTTTGTATTTTTAGTAGAGACAGGGTTTCACCATGTTGGCCAGGCTGGTCTCGAACTCCTGACCTCAAGGTATCTGCCTGCCTAGGCCTCCCAACATGCTGGGATTACAGGCATGAGCCACTGCACCTGCCAAGAAATCTTTATAATCCTTACTGCAGAGAGGCAAGGAAAAGAAGTGCAGAGGAGGTAAGATTTAGAAGAAATATATAGCTTATGACAGAATATCATCACCTAATTTTCAAAAGCTGTTTAAGTTTTTGTCTTTCATGTCTTACTGTGTGACTTCAGGCAAGCGACTTTACTCCTCTGTGCCTCATTTTCTTCTGTAATCCATAGGGATAAATAATAACATCTACTTCTCATGGTTATTGTGAGGATTAAATGAAATACAGCCCTTATAAAATGTTTAGGACAGTGTCCAGTACATGGTCAATGCTCAATGTGTGTTGATTATTATCATCATTGCTGTATGTTATTGTCATATTATTATCATCCTTTGTCCACATCCCCCTGCTTCTCTCTTTCCTCCTACTCAATTCCACTCTCCTTTTCCTGTCTTTTTATTTTGTTTTTAAGACGGGGTCTTGCTCTGTCGCCCAGGCTGGAGTGCAGTAGCGCCATCTCGGTTCACTGCAAGCTCCGCCTCCCGGGTTCACGCCGTGCTCCTGCCTCAGCCTCCCAAGTAGCTGGGACTGCAGGTGCCTGCCACCACGTCCGGCTAATTTTTTGTATTTTTAGTAGAGACGGGTTTCGCTGTGTTAGCCAGGATGGTCTCAATCGCCTGACCTTGTGATCTGCCCATCTCGGCCTCCCAAAGAGCTGAGATTACGGGCGTGAGTCACCGCGCCCGGCCTCCTTTTCCTGTCTTGAGCCACTGACAGGTCATGGCGATCCTACAATGAGCACCTCTTCTTCTGCAGCTTCGGGAAGTGTTCTTGGCTTTTTCTGAACTCCAACAGGGCCTATTATCTGTAATCATGAAGAGGCTTGTGATGGCTTTTTTTTTTTTTTTTTTTTTTTTTGAGACAGAACCTGGTTCTTGTCCCCCAGCCTGGAGGGCAGTGGCGCTATCTCGGCTCACTGCAACCTCTGCCTCCTGAATTCAAGCAAGATTCTCCTGCCTCAGCCTCCCAAGTAGCAGGGATTACAGGCACTCACCACCACGTGTGGCTAATTTTTTTGTAATTCTCATAGAGACGGAATTTCACCATGTCAGTCAGGCTGGTCTTGAACTTTTTTTTTTTTTTTGAGACAGAGTCTCACTCTGTCACCCAGGCTGGAGTGCAGTGGTGCCATCTCGGCTCACTGCAAGCTCCACCTCCCGGGTTCACGCCATTCTCCTGCCTCACCCTCCCGAGTAGCTGGGACTACAGGCGTCCGCCACCACACCCGGCTGATTTTTGTATTTTTAGTAGAGACGGGGTTTCACCATGTTAGCCAGGATGGTCTCAATCTCCTGACCTGGTGATCCACTTGCCTCGGGTTCCCAAAGTGCTGGGATTACAGGCGTGAGCCCCCGTGTCCAGCCCTTTTGATGGCTTTTCTATCATTGCCTGAAGTGGATATTTCAATCTTTCACTGCTACTCTCTGCTTTTATTATGATTCTCTCTAAACAGGCACTAAAATGATGGATGGTGAGAAACATAGCTAAGGGCTTTTGCTTTTGATAGACCACAACTGCCTAGCTCAGGGGTAAATCTAGCACTTGACACCACTCCTCCCTGCAGGATAGGGGAGGAGGAGAACTATGAAGTTTTGGGTACTGAGCTTGTAAATTAACTGTTGGGGATATAAAACTGAACATGATGTCTACACCTGCTTTTAGAAAGCTTATAGCTTTATGGAAAATATGGACAATAAAAAAATATATCTTTGTGTTGGAAGTAATAGAGTGCTGGGGGTACATAGGAGGGACTTGAGCTGGGCATAGGGTGTCCAAGAAGTGAGAGCAAAACAGAGACCAAAAGGATTATACAGCAATGGACCTAAGGCAGGCCTGGTGCCTAGGGCTGCTGAGAGAGGTTCTGCCTGGATATTGATTTCTTTATATAGCCTCACAGCAAAAAATTCTCAATGTTCTGAGATTTTCCCCAGTTATCTTGTACCAGGTTGTCAAACACAGACATAGCCAGGGTTTCTGCACACAGGAGACCAGCAAAAGTGAGCTCTGTGCCTGGTGGAATCTGCCCTTCAGGCCATCGTATTGTCAGCCAACTCTGTGGAACTGGAGTCCAGGGAATACGTATGGGGCACTGACTCCGATAGCTGATTGTGCACATCTCTTCCCACTTCTGTATTCAGTGATGTCATGTTGATAACCCGCTATTGGTCACGATGGGAGTATTTACAGCGTGGAAATTGGCCAATGCTACACAGCAGGGCTTTTTTTCCCCCGCTAGGGCTGGTTGTTAAAATATTTAATATTTACCAGCATTTCACTGTGTAGACCTCTAATTGGGAGTTTTCTCTGCTGCCTCCTGCAAGATGTAACCAACTTCATAGGTCCCTATATCTTATCCCATGAAAGAAATTGAATCCACTGTATTGAACACCTCTTCTACATCACTTTAAATCTTCTGGGCCCCTTTATACCCTAGCTGCTGTTGCCAGGGCCAGATCCACACAGACTTTGATCAACTTCTTGCATGTGGAAGATGGCAGTTCCTTGGGCCCTGCCTTTAGCTCTGCTTCACCCAGAGGTAGCTCTGATGTGAGAGAGGGCAGCCCACTCACATGCACAACCCTAAAATACTGGGAGTTGGTGCTTTGGAGCCACCCTTGACTAATGGGGAGTGACCGTTCCCCCCTTAGTTTTTCAGGAAGACAGTTTTGAGTTGCATTTCCGTAGTTTCCCCAGGGATTGGGATCAAACACCAGTCACTCACAGCAGTAGCTGCCTTTGATAACCCATCCTTCCTTCATTTTCCAGATGCTCTTCTTCTCCCTCACTTTTTCTCTCTGGGATCATTTCTCAAATAAGTTCCTGCACATAAGTCTGTATCCCAGGCTCTGATTTGAGGCGATCCCAAACTAAGTGTTGACATCTGTCCATCAATCGTATGACTGTCCTATTGTGCAAGTCACAGTGTAAAATGGTAAGTATGCTGGTGATGGAGAACCAGGTCAAGCACAACATCGTCTTTGAAGCTTTGCCTGGTTTTCCCCAGACCTGGTGATGTTTTGCTTCCAAAGGAGCTCTGAAAGCCGTCTCCACATTGCACTGTAATTATCAAATGAGTTTAAACATCAAATCTCTCTCCCTCCAGGCTCTCAACATTAAAACAAAGGGGCTTTGCTGTCCTCACCTTACAACATCCCCTAGCACAGAGTAAGTGACAAACTTTTTGATGAGTGAATAAAGAAGGTACTTTAAAGAACTTTTAAGCACATCTGGGAAGAACCATTAATTCAACACTCATTACTGGGGGGACAGTGGTGAAATGAGTTCCTGATGTGAGCCAAGGCCTTCCAAAATTCATGAGCGATGGTGAGGGGAACCTCAAACATCAAAGAAGGTTTGAGTAAAGAAACCTAAAAAAATTAGTCAAGGAAAAGTAAAAAATTAAGTCTGGAGTAAATATAAGCGTAAACCTCCTAGATCTGACAGAACGCTTGGAATGTCAGGGAGAGATGCAGTAGCTATTGACTCTTTTTAGTGACTATTTTTTAGAACCATGTTTCTCAACACTGCAGGCCTATGATAAGCTTATAAACGCTTCAGAGGACGCACAAACACAGGTGATGAAAGTCAGAGACAGTGAGTCATATTTGCAAAGCAAATAACGTATGATGCTGTAACACAACAAACCTACACTGCAGCTAATGATATAAACAGAATAATGATGCAGGGAAGGCTGCCAACCTAGAAAATAAAACAAGGAACATCAACTTGTGAATAATGGTACAACAGAGGACACTTAAAAACAGCAGCTAGGTGGAAACCAGAAGCAGGAAAACAATCACATAAAAATGGATCTGAACAGAAAAATGATCTCAGCAGGGGTGGCGAGGCTACTCTATGTTTGCACTCAGAAGGTGCCTTCAGGGAACTTCTGAAAAAACCTCCCTGTCAAATTTTTAAGTGTAAAAAGTAAGGTTGGAATCTCGGCAAACAGAAGAGGTCAGCAGCGAGAATAACTTCAGGCATCTCCTCTCAGCTACTGCTTTTTCTTTCTTGATTTTGCTTCAAATTCTTTTCTTCTTTGAAGAAAATCAAGCCATGCCAACAAACGTAATGTTTTCATTTTTCTTTTAGCCATAGGAAAATTATTGCAAGATTTGGTGCATCTAAAACATTCAATTTTCTTTACAGGTTGCCAACAAGAGACATACAAATAATGCCCAATATATTGATAGAGAGGGGATGTTTTATAAGGGTCTTTCATAACCACATTAGTCAGATTTGAATTCCTCTTACTTGACACCAGTATTTCCTAGGAACCTCTCTCCTTGTTGAGCGTGGAACACTGTATTTTAATCATTGGTTTACATTTCTCCTTTACCACCAGTTGTTTTTTTCCTTGAGGTATTTTGATTTTCTAACTCTTCATGGCCTTGTCCCAGGCTTGGTAAATAGTAGGTGTTAAATGAAGAGAAGTAGGCTTACAAATGAATGAAAACAATGAAGTGCAACCATGTGTCAATTGAAAAAAAATTTTTCTTACATAAAAATATGGATTAAGGAAGGAATCCATATGTTGCCCAAACAATATTTAAAGCACATTTCTTGGCCCAAAGTTCTTATATTAGTTAGAAAAGTAAGAATGCTCTAAATCTCTCCCTAGGGAATATAGGAAGTGTTATAGATTGAACGATTGTTCTCCCTAATTTCACGTTTAAGCCCTGAACCCCAATGCAATGGTTAGAGTATTTGGAGATGGAGGCTTTGGGAGGCACTTAGGGATTAGATGAGGTCATAACGGCAGGCCCCCATGATGGGATTAGTGCCCTTATAAGAAGAGACTCCACAGAGTGGGGACCGCGTGAGGACACAGTGAGAGGGTGGCTGTCCACAAGCCAGAGACAGCCCTTACCAGGAACCAAATTAGCTGACACCTTGATCTTGAAATTCCCAGTCTCCAAAACTAAGAAGCAAATCTCTATTGTTTAAGCCACTCAGTCTTTGATATTTTGTTATGGCAGCCTGGAAAGACTAATACAGGATGGAAATAAAGCAATAAACAAAAAATCATGTTAAAATTAAAAGCTGTTGTAAAAAAAGCAGGATATGAATGAAACCTCAGAACAGACAAACCACATGGATACACCAATGGTGCCTTTAATGGAAAAAAAAAAAAAAAAGCAAATCAGTAACACCAAGAATAAGATAGAGTGGTGTAAAATAATACAGAAGCGTTTCTCTTTTGATGGGGGAATATGGTTATTCCTTTTGGGTTATTAGGCTGGTGCCAAAGTCATTGTGGTTTTTGCCGTTAAAAGTAATGACAGAGGGCCAGGCACAGTGGCTCATACCTGTAATCTCAGAACTTTGGGAGGCTGAGGCGAGCGGATCACAAGGTCATGAGATCGAGACCATCCTTGCTAACATGGTGAAACCCTGTCTTTACTAAAAATACAAAAAATTAGCTGGGCGTGGTGGTGGACGCCTGTAGTCCCAGCTACTCGGGAGGCTGAGGCAGGAGAATGGCATGAACCCAGGAGGCGGAGCTTGCAGTGAGCCGAGATCACGCCACTGCACTCCAGCCTGGGTGACAGAATAAGACTCTGTCTCAAAAAAAAAAAAAAAAAAAAGTAATGAGAGAAACCGCAATTACTTTGGCACCAACCTAATAATTTTAAAATCACGTGGCATTGAATAATTATTTCTAAAAATAGAAAACACCCAAGGCGATCTCCAAATCAGAATTTCCAAGTCTAGATAGGGTGGTTGTACCCAATTTCTCTGTAAGATATTTGGGCCTGTGATTTTTCCATTTTTGTACACCCTGGTCCAGTCCAATGCTTGGCTTAGAATAAGTCTTCAGTAACTAGTAGTGCTATTATTATTTTTAGTATCTATTATAGGTGTTATGTATATTAATTTTCACCCTCAGAAACTAAGGATCAGGAAGACTGTATTATATGAGGTACTAACTACCTGTTGCAAAGTCTATTTCCAAAATTATTTCAAGAAGCAAATGCATTTTTAAGCCTTGGACTCCAAATGAAAAAGAAAAACGAAAAGCAAATCAGAGGTAGAGCTTACATAGCGGGGGGAATATCATATTTTCTGTGTGCTTGTCATATGCTGTATCTATCGTAATTCCTCCCAAATTTACAGGTGAGAAAACTCCGGTTCAGTAAGAATAAGTTTCTTGGCGAATTCTAATTTACTAAATGAGATCTGAGACTAAACCCAGGAGATGTCTATTAAAAACAAAGATGGACTATTCTCAAGGAAATTTTTAAGAAAGGGAATGCTGCACATTAAAAGTATTATCTACTATGAGAGTGTAAGGTATAATCTTTTTATTCCTGTGTTACTTTTTTTCTTTCTTTTTTTTTTTTTTTTTTCAGACAGAGTCTCCCTCTGTGGCCCAGGCCGGAGTGCAGTGGCTCCATCTCAGCTCACTGAAATCTCAGCCGCCCGGGTTCAAGTGGTTCTGCTGCCTCAGCCTCCCAAGTAGCTGGGAATACAGGAGTGGACAACCATTCCCAGCTAGGTTTTTGTGGTATTTTTAGTAGAGATGGGGTTTCACCATGTTGGCCAGGCTAGTCTCGAACTCCTGACCTCAGGTGATCCACACCCCCCCCACCCCCCCATCGGCCTCCCAAAGTGCTGGGATTACAGGCATCAGCCACCATGCTCGGCCTTTTTATTCCATTGATTGATTGATTGATTGATCTATTTTCTTTTTAGCACTTCTTCTGGTAGGGGCCATCCTTGTACAGCTTGTTGAGGGTCTTACATTGTTTTACCAAATATAATATTGTTTGGCATTTAAATTCCCTTTTAAAGTATTTAAATTGGTTTTGATTTTAATTCTATTTTAAAGCATTTAAATTGGTTTTGATTTTAATTCTATTTTAAAGCATTTATTGGGTTAAGAAGAATACTTAGTGACTGAATAAAAAATAGCTGCTGAATTTCATCAAATGCCTTGGCATCTACCAAGATAACTACTCAATGTTTTTATGGTAATGTGATAAATTATATAAAAAACCCCATTGACTATTGTCCCTTGACATATACAGATGAGGTTAATTACTCAGAAATGAATATTACCATGCATTTCTTATTCCATCCATGGCCTTCTGCTCCTTTTTGGCTAATTAGAACCAAGGATAAAGAAAGGAATAAGATGAGCTCATCAACCAGTAATGTCTAGGGCTGTGTATGCTTTGTTTTCTAATGGAATTTTAGTAAATTATACATAAACCCAAAAAGTTTAGATTTTTAAAATGCAGCACATTGGAAGACCTGAAATAACTGGTGTTTATATTATGTGAAAACACTGCCACAAATAAATCAGAGTTAGGAAAATGGTGAATGACTTTGGGCTGAAAAACTGGCTGATAGCTTCTCTAAAATGCCTGTTAAGACAGCCACTTCCTCGGCAAACCATAAATGAGGTGAAAATTATCCTGAGAAACAGCAAGAATAAGACCACCACTGACAGTTGTTCTTGAAATTGGTATCTCTTCTTGCTCTGCCCACTTTGGTTGCGCTGGACATTGGTTAGATTATTTCAGGTTAGGGGTGAGGGTGACCCACAGTGGTTCATTTAATGTAACTTCTCTGATTGAGTGGGAGTGGGATGTTGTGCTGAGAGAGATCTGATGCCAAGTGGGATTGATTAGTGATGTCTGCCATGGGGTGTAGAAGGAAGTGCTGATGGCCTGCAAACCTGGGAGTTAGAACCACATTGTGCCTAAAGAGAAATGTATTCCACCTGCTCTGAGAGGAGACTAAGTAAGAGGCACTTGATAGGACCCAGGTAACAATTCTTTTGAATGATTCTGTGACTAACGGAGGAAAAGCAGCAAAAAATGCATTAAATACTAACTAAAAGGTAAACTATGGGCCAGGCACGGTGGCTCACGCCTGTAATCCCAGCACTTTGGGAGGCGGAGGCGGGCGGATCACAAGGTCAGGAGATCAAGACCATCCTGGCTAACACGGTGAAACCCCATCTCTACTAAAAAATACAAAAAATTAGCCGGGCATGGTGGCGGGCGCCTGTAGTTCCAGCTATCCAGGAGGCTGAGGCAGGAGAATGGCATGAACCCAGGAGGCGGAGCTTGCAGTGAGCTGAGATGTCGCCACTGCACTCCAGCCTGGGTGACAGAGCAAGACTGTCTTAAAAAAAAAAAAAAAAAAAAAAAAAAAAAAGGTAAACTACTGGTCACACACCTACCACCATCTTGTTTGTATATCTCAACATCAGCCCCACCTCGGAGCCATCTGGCTATCACTTGCTGTGTCTTCTCCCATTCCAGTCCTCATTCACCTTTTGAACTTGATGCTTGCCAACCGTGAACTTCCTCGCCCTTGCTCTGTCAATGATGCTGACCCAAAGCAAATGCCTCTTGCATTTTGCTGTGACTCTGTGTCTCTGCTTAGAAAAGCATCATAACATGCCCTTAATTTGCTCATAAAGGCTCATGAGCAGACTTGGGGCATTTATAATGACAACTGGTTGCGGGGGGAGTGGTGGTCAGAGAGGGAAAAGATGTATGGGAGTAAAGCCAGGAATGGGGTACAGTCTGACAATAACAATGGTTTTGTTTAGGGTGGCACAATTATGGGCAATATTTTTGCCTTTTTTTCTATTTTCTTTTTTTTTTTTTCAAGACACAGTCTCACTCTGCTGCTGAGGCTGGAGTGCAGTGGCGCGATTTCAGCTCACTGCAACCTCTGCCTCCCGGGTTCAAGTGATTCTCGCGCCTCAGCCTCCTAAGTAGCTGGGACTACAGGCAGCTACCACCACGCCCAGCTAATTTTTGTATTTTTAGTAGAAATGGGGTTTCACCATGTTGCCCAGGCTGGTCTCAAACTGCTGACCTAACCTGATCCCCCCCGCCTTGTCCTCCCAAAATGCTGGGATTATAGATGTGAGCCACCTTGCCCGGCCCTTTTTTCCTATTTTCTAAATGTTGTATATTGTAGTTATATATTTATATAGCTTATTTTAATTGCTATATAGAAAAAATTATGCTGGGAGAAAGGGCAAAATAAGCACATAAGCAAAGCTCACAAATACACAGATATATGCAGACACACAAATACTCATATGATCTCCGGAATAAGGAATGTGGCTTGGATTCCCAGCTCTACTACCTTGTGCAAATTACCTTACTCAGTCTATGTTTATAACACACACATATCTGTGTAATGAACATAACACCTGTCCTGCCTATCTCTGTGGTTTTACTATGGGGCTTCATCCCCACAAAGGCAAGTAAATGCTGTGCAAATAGAAGGTGTAGAGTCAGGTATAGCCTCTTTGAATTGTCACCTCTGCACTTCCAGCAAAGCCTTGCATACGGTGTAGCTTGGGAAGTAAACATGCTCATGTGGAGTATGTCCAACTGCCAAACAATAAAAATGCAATGAAATTGGAGCCTAACTAGTTGGTAATTTGTAGCCATTTGGGTGAGGCTGAAAGGGAGATGGTGAGGCTCAAGTACTGGCCTTAAAGTCAAGGGAATCTGTGCTACTACTTAGTAGAGTTGTGTGTCTTGGAGAACACATCCGCTCTCCGCATCTAGGTCTTCTTATCAACCCTGGAAAGGTTGGGTGAGCATCACGTGGTTTTCAGCTCCTGGTCATGGGAACAGAGCTCAATCACCACATCCCCATCCTCACTCAGTTGGTGTCTGTTGAGCAAACTCACTGAATGATAACACATGTGAATGTGCTAGGGAAGCTATGAAAATGACACACATTTTGGAAGGGAAGTAGAAAGGAAGAAGCAAGCTCAAGTTGTATCAAGCACCCACTCTGTGGCATTTCCATACACAGCATGCAGTTTACAGCTTACACACTGCTTGCAATAGACTTTGAAACAGGCAGGAAGAGCAAGGGTTACAGATGCAGAAAGGTTTGAGATGCAGTGTCACCTGTCTAATCACAGAAGGTAGGAACTGATGAACCAGGGTGTTCAAGCCAATCTCTCCACTGCAAATCAGGATGCCTGACGGGGCAACCAGGTTGAAGAGCTCAGGACAAAGTCATCGCCGCTCCTGGAGGGGGTTGAGGCCTTGGTGACAAGCACAGCTTCAGGAGAGAGCCAGTCTGAGAGTTGAGTTTTGGCTCCACCACTTTTTGTCTGTGTAACCTTGACCAGGTCACTTAATGCTCTAAGCCTCAGTGCCCTCATCTGTAAAATGGGGGCAATAATAGTTCTTTCCCTACAGGATTGCCATGAGTCTAGATGAGCTAATGCATGTAAAGTGCTCAGCACAGTGCCTGGCTCTGGGCAGATATCACACTGTAGCCATGATTGCTCCTTTGTCATTTGTCCATGGCTCTGCTGGCAGCTGCTCACTTAGAGTTTATTAAATGACTAACTGGAGCGTGGCACTTTCCTGGCAGAACCTCCCAAAACAAGCTAACAGTTTAGTAATCAGAGACTAGATGGTTGGAGGGTTAGAGGAATGCAAACACCAGCATGTGTTTATCATTTGTGCTGTTCAGAGCTTCTGTTCCATAAAGCAGCTCCCACAGTTGCCTTTGGAAATGAGTACAAGCACGAGGAAAGGGCACTGGTAAGCCTGTTTGCAGCACAGCAGTAGCACATCAGGGAGGAAACCAGCTCTGGGAGGTTTGACTGCAAGGTGATGGAAAGGCAGGGCCCCACCCAACCCACCCCTTCTGATCTGGTAACAGAGGCTGGCTCGTACTGGGTGCCAGGGCATGCCTTAAGCCCTGCACACACAGCCTCATGATATTTTCACAGCAACCCCACAGAGGAGGCCCTGCTATCATCTTCATTTCACAGATAGCAAAGCAAGGCTTAGGAAAGAAATGAAGCCACTCTCCTAAGAAATCACAGCTATAACTGGAGGAGGGGAGACTTGAACTTAATCTGGAGTTTGCCCTTTTAACCCTCATGCAAAATTTTATCTCTTTAGCCCTTTATAATTTGCAAGGCATCTCCCGTTTTTGATCGTATGTGACTCATAGTTTGTTATGGATATAACTGTGTCCCCCCCCTCTTTTCCAAATATTTATATGTTGAAATCCTAACTCCCAGCAACTCCATCGCAACCTTATTTAGAAATGGAGATTGTGGAGATGTAATTAGTTAAGATGAGATTATACTGAAGTAGGGTGGGCCCTAATCCAATACTAGTGTTCTTATAAAGTGGGGGAATTTTGGAGATAGATGCCCACAGAGGGAATGCCTTGTGAAGATGAAGGCAGAGATAGAGGTGATGTGCTTATAAGCCAAAGAATGCCAAAGATTGCCAGACCTAAGAGAGATGCATGAGACAGATTCCTTCATGACCCTCAGAAGGAACAGACCCTGCAGACACTTTGATCTTTACACTTCCAGCCTCCAGAACGCTGAGACAACACATTTCTGTTGTGTAAGCCCCTTGGCTTGTGGTACTTTGTTACAACAGCCCTAGCAAACTCATACACAACTGTTTTGGGAAATAAAGTCAGCTGTTCCTATTTTATAGGGGAGGAAAAGGAGGAAGAGAAAAATGAAGTGCTACAGGACAAACCACTAGGAAGTGGAAGGGTTAAGAAACCCAGTTTGGGCTGGGCGCAGTGGCTCACACCTGGAATCCCAGCACTTGGGGAGGCCGAGGCCGGTGGATCACCTGAGCTCAGGAGTTCGAGACCAGCCTGGCCAACATGGTGAAACCCCGACTCTGCTAAAAAATACAAAAATTAGCTGGGCATGGTGGCTGGCGTCGCCTGTAATCCCAGCTACTCAGGAGGCTGAGGCAGGATCATTGCTTGAACCTGGGAGGCAGAGGTTGCAGTGAGCCGAGATTGCACCATTCCACTCCAGCCTGGGTGACAAGAGTGAAACTCTGTCTCAAACACAAAACAAAAAACAAAACCAGTTTTTTGGACCAAGAATTTGCCCCCATCCAATCAGACCTGCTTCTGCACATTATAATATGCCTCGTGTCAGCAGAGTGGTTTACAGTGTACAAGAGTTCACCACATATGGACTCAGTTGATTGCACAATAATCATAAATCCTATGCAATAACAAGGAACATGGTAGTATCCCCATTTCTAATGGAGGAAACTGATGCTCAGACCGAAGTGTGGATTCCAGAGGTGGGGGTAGTGGTAATATCCACAGCATGTTTATCTGCCAGGATGTGACCTTTTACTCATGCATTATCTGATTTAAATGTACGTCCCAAGATTCAAGAATCTTGGTCTGCAGCACAGTTATCTACTTAGTCTAGCAAATAAAGAATCTGTGATTAACATATCAGTACAGATATCTTGGAAAAATCTTGAAACTGGTCCTCTGTTGCCTTTCTGCAAATAAGATATATTAAGTAATTTCTCCATCAACCTCAAAGGCAAATAGAAACTTTCCAGTCTTTGGAAACAGCAGAATCCTGGTCTGTGTCTTTTAAAACACAGCCAAGGGCAGTGTGAGTTGACTCTGTCCCTGGCTCACAAGGAAATCCAGTTTTGTGAAGTATTTTCATCTGAATGACAGGCGTAAAGGCAAGGACGAGCATTTTCTTTGTAACAGGAATGTATTCAGAGCTGAGCTCCCAGACTCCTAACAAGGAGTGCTGAGCTGTGAATAAGCCTAATTCTGCAACACGCTGGTCTCCTGGTGTAGATGAAGTTGTCTGCTTAGAACCTTGATGGGAGATGCTGCACCAGGCTGATGAAAATGCATGCCCTGAGGCCCCAGAAATCTTTCGCGGGGCATATCCTGTGTTCTCCTCCCTTGGCACCTTGCCAAGAGTCCCTGACCTCAAATATCTCCACTCTCTGGGGGAAATGCATTTGCAATGCCCTGTAATGACAGCTAATGTTGAGCACTTACTCTCTGTCAGTCATTAAGCTAAGTACCTTTTGTACATTAGGTCATTTAATCCCTCTAAATAGAAACCGAAGGAAGGTAGCGTTATTCTCTCCATTTTTCACAGGAAATTGCCCATGCACATGTCAATGAGGGAGGCAAGCCCATGGGATCTAAAAGCAGTACCTCCTAACTCAGGGTTGGGATAATGGCAAGAGGGAGGAATGGTTTTACGGAAGAGTCGACACCAGGGCTGAGTCTTAAAAGGTGACCAGGAATTTTGCAGGAGGACAAGGATGAGGGAAGGGCATGCAGGCCAAGTTAACAACTGGAACAAAGGCAGGGAGGCTCAGAGTCTCAGGTTTCTGAAAATCACAGTGGTCCAGTAAGGCCAGAGGGATGGGTATATTCCGGCGGTTGGCGGGAATTCCTCCTATCCCGTTTCCTCTCCCCTCCATTCGAGGTCAGCCTCCCCATCACTCTGTGCTCAGCCTGATGAACCTTTCTTCTGTCCTTGAATGTGCCAACCTCCATCTTTCTCTCCAACTTCCAGGCCTTTGCCCAGGCTGTGGCACAGGCCTGGGTCTCAGCCCTGCCCAGCTCTCTTCCTCCAGGCTTCGTTCCCTGCTTATATAATTGTCTGACTGTTCACTTCCACCATCCTGGCTGCCCCTAAGCATAGGCCCAGGCTTTCTCACTTGCAACTGTGTTTGCAAAGCCTGGCCCGGTGCTTGGCGCGCAGCAGGCAGGCACTCTGTAAGCATTTGTTGAGTGGCATTAGTGGTATGTATTAGTTTCCAGTTGTTGCTACAATAAATTAACTCAAATTTACATAAAACTACAAAAATTTATTCTCTTACAGTTCTGCAAATCAGAAGCCTGAAATTGTCTCTTTAGGGCTAACATCAAGGTGTCAACAGGGCTGGCTCCTTAATTTTTGTGCCTTTTCTGGCTTCTACAGGCTCTTCCCATTCCCAGTATCACATCACCCTTCTTCCTCTGCTTCTGCCATCGCATCTGCTCCTCTGACTCCAACCCTCCTGCCTCTCTCTTACATAGGCCCTTGTGATTGTATTGGATCCATCTGCATGATCCAGGGTATTCTCCTTGTCTCAGAGTCTTTCATTTAGTCACACCTGCAAGGTCCCTTTTGCCATATGAGGTAACATGTTCAAATATTCTAGGGATTAGGATGTGGACATCTTTAGGGGGCCATTCTTCAGCCTGTCACAGATGGATACACTGAGGCAGAGCTGTGCCTTAATTTCTTTGGTCCATTGGGCAGCTCAGAGCAGAGCTGGGTGCAAGGGCATGGCAGGGCCTGGGGGCGTGATAGTGCTGGTAAGTTTGAGCTGCAGAAAACACATGAGGCCAGCTGGGAGAATGTGCGTAGAAATCGGAAATGTGTGAGTGTGTGTGTGTGTGTGGGCAAGTGGCTGGGGTGATCACGTTGAACTGAAAAATTTAAAATTCCACTTAAGGGAAAGAAGTCACACAGGAAGGAAAAAATGAAGTGTAGGGACCTACAGCAAACACAGCAATTGCTTCTGGAGCCCAATTTTGCTCATCTGAAAACTGGGAGAATGGACAAGGTGGGATGGTTTTCTGAGGCCACACAGCTAGGATATTAATAAGGATTGAGGCCAGGGATCCAGAGATTCTAAGGCTGTGCCTCTTCCCCATCTCCCAAGTTCTCCTGATCCCAGCATTAAACAGCCCTTCAATCTCTCCCTTTCTCATGTGTAATATACGTGTATACTAGCATATCTATCTTAGCATATATATGATATCTCTATATCGGCTTTATATATAATTCATATGCTATACAATTCACCCACTTAAAATGTATGATTCCATTTTTTTAGCATATTCAGAGTTGTGAAATTATCACTACCATTAATTTTAGAACATTTTTATCTCTCCAAAAAGAAATGCCATGCCCCATCAGCAGTTCCTCTCCATTCTCTCCAAGTCCCCCAGACCTAGGCAACCACGAATTGGCTTTCTAAATAGCCCTCCTGTGACCTCTGTTCCTCCTGGCTGGGTTCCGGGCGTTTGTCCTGTTCAGTGCCAGGTGGGAGGCTTGTGCTGGCTGTTGGCCTGTCCTCCCTGCACCTTCCCTTCACCAACCTCTGCATTCAGACTTCTGCCCCCATCTTTCTACTGACACTGCTTTCTGAAAGGTCAACAATGAGCCTGGGCCAAACCCAAAGGCTGTTTCTCTATGGACTTCCTGGCTTGTCAGCAGCAGCTGACACTAATGACCTGTCAGATGGCCGTGGTGGTTCCTTTACTGCTGCCTTTCTGTGGATGCCTCATCCTCTGCCCAAGGACGAAGGATTCACAGACATGCAGGAATAAAGCGGGGGTTGTAGGGTTCTGGTCTTTCCCAACATAGTGGAGACGCTAATGTCCATAGCATGGACTCGAGAGCCAAACTGCCTAGGTCTGAAAGCTGGTTTTGCCATGCATTGGCCGTGTGACCTTGGGCAACGTATTCCTCTCTGTATGCCTTCATTCCCTCATTTGTATCATAATGTGAGTAACAATTATCACCACTAGGGGTAATCATGAGGATTTAATGAGTTAATAAATGCAAGGTACTTGGCACATATAAACATGCTATGCTAAGCATTTCCTAGTAGCATTATTTTGCTCATTCTTCAATGAGTTTATTCATTATACCTTTCCAAAAACTTCTATACATCAGACTTTCCTGGGGTTCAAATTTCCATCAAATTCAATGGTAAGCAGGGACTATGGGCAAGTATAATCTCTCTAGAGCCTCATTTTTGCGATCTGTAAGATGGGGATAATAATACCTGGATACTATTGTGATGTTGGGAAGTTTAGATCAGTTAATACATAAAGCACTTAGAACAATGCCTAGTACTTAGCGAATCCTCTAGAAATATTGTACTGTAGTAGCAGCAGTAGTAATAGTAGTAGCAGTCGTAGTAGTAATTATTCAGCCTTCTCTCACCTGAATGTGGTTGAGGATTTGACTTGTCTGTGGACAGCTCCACTTTCATGGCCTACTATGACTTTAAACCAAACTCACATCTAAGCTCATCAACTTTTTCACACCAGTGTCTATCCCTGCTAACTAAAATGCCATTGCTGGCTTCCCTGTTCCTGACCTCCCAGCTTAAAAGACCCTTGGTCATTGCTGACTCTTGCTTCCCCTTTGTCCTTTATTTCTGATTTCCTTTCTGTCAATGGCTGAGATGGGTTTATTCTCTGCCATCCCACACCCCCACTTTGGTTGGTGGCTTACCTATATTCATGCCCCCAAAATTGCCACAGCCTCCCAGCCAGACCAGCTGCCACCAGTTCACCCTCCAAACCACTATGTACATGACACAACACACACAGCCTGCTTTTGGGAGAGGCTTTTTTTGTTGTTGTTATTTAGTTTTTATTTCATAATCATAAACTTCACTCTGCAATCCAGCCAGGCATGGAAGGGAACAAGGAAAACATGGAACCCAAAGGGAACTGCAGCGAGCGCACAAAGATGATAGGATACTGCGAGCAAATGGGATGGAGGGTACCCTCCTGAGCTACAGATAGAATGGTCTGGAGGTTAAGATAAAACACAAGTCAAACTTATTAGATTTGTCCACAGTCAGCAATGGTGACCTTCTTGCTGGTCTTGCCATTCCTGGACCCAAAGCACTCCATGGCCTCCACAATATTCATGCCTTCTTTCACCTTGTCAAAGACCACATGCTTGCCATCCAACCCCTCAGTCTTGGCAGTACAGATGAAAAACTAGAAACCATTTGTGCTGGGTCCAGTATTTGCCATGGAACAGATGCCAGGACCTATATGCTTTAGGATGAAGTTCTCATCATCTAATTTCTCTCCATAGATGGAGTTGCCACCAGTGCCATTATGGAGTGTGAAGTCACCACCTTGACACATAAACCCTGGAATAATTCTGTGAAAGCATGAACCCTTATAACCAAATCCTTCCTCTCCAGGGCTTAGAGCACGAAATTTTTCTGCTGTCTTTGGAAACTTGTCTGCAAACAGCTCAAAGGAGACACAAGGGCCCACCATCAACCGCACTGTCAACCCCAACATAGTGGGATTGACCATGGTGCAGCAGCAGTGTCTGCAGAGCCAGGAGATGCTTTTAAATCCTTGCCCCACACTGTGCTCAGTGCCTCAGAAGGAGCTCCTAAATCTTTAAAGAGGGTCCATGCCAGCTAGTTGAAATCTGCCATAGTGAAGTTGGACTTTCCACAATTTCTCCTTGAGTCTTTGCCTCCTAGTTTGGGGTGCAGTATCTGTTTTGGATGCTTGGCCTCAGTCATCCTCTCTGTCCCCTTCCCAGTCTGGTGCTAGAGTTGAAGTTTCTTCAGAACTGACAATCACATTACTCCACAGCCTTGACTCGGGCCATTCCACCTTCTCTGTCCTTGGTGTCCCACATTCATCTCTTTTCTTTGAGACGGAGTCTTGTTCTGTCACCCAGGCTGGAGTGCAGTGGCGGGATCTCAGCTCACTGCAACCTCCGCCTCCCGGGTTCAAGTGATTCTCCTGCCTCAGCCCCCCGAGTAGCTGGGACTACAGGTATGTGCCACCATGCCGGGCTAATTTTTTGTATTCTTAGTAGAGACAGGGTTTCACTGTGTGAGCCAGGGTGGTCTCGATCTCCTGACCTGGTGATCCACCCACCTCGCCCTCCCAAAGTGCTGGGATTATAGGCATGAGCCACCGCGCCCGGCCTAATCTTTTTATCAAGTTACCCTCTTGTCCTGGGACAGATAAAGGTCCCTGTCAAGCTCAGCATCACATTTTCTTCCTTCATTTATTCTTTCAGGCCAGTCTATCTCTGTACAGGTTTAGTGACAGCTTAGAATGAAAAACACAAATCTAATTAAACCATAGTCATTAACATGGAGGTAAAAATGCAGAAGACTCAGCGAGACTGAGGACACTTACATCCAATAAATGACTGCATTTGGACAGCGACCTTCACTACAGCCAAAGTGAGGAAGACAAAGTTTTTCCTACCTCCCCAAAAAAGGATGATACCGTCTCATAGACCAGCTTCAACAGAACTTTCTGCAACGATGGAACAGTTCTATAGCTGTGCTGCACTGGGCACTTGAAATGTGCATAGGTGGCATGAGGAACTGAATTTTTTTGTTTGTTTGTTTTTTTAGACGGAGTCTTGCTCTGTCGCCCAGGCTGAAGTGCAGTGGCGCGATCTCGGCTCACTGCAAGCTCCACCTCCTGGGTTCATGCCATTCTACTGCCTCAGCCTCCCGAGTAGCTGGGACTACAAGCGCCTGCCATCACGCCCGGCTAATGTTTTGTACTTTTAGTAGTGACGGGGTTTCACCGTGTTAGCCAGGATTGTCTGGATCTCCTCACCTCGTGATCCGCCCGCCTCGGCCTCCCAAAGTGCTGGGATTACAGGCATGAGCCACCACGCCCGGCCGAGAAGCTGAATTTTTAATTTGACCTAATTTAAATTAGCTTAAATTTAAATAGCCATATGTGACCAGTGGTACCGTACTGGAGAGTGTAGCCATAGACTTTTATATAAATCATGTAAAATAGTAAAGATAATGTCTTTTTTTTTTTTTTTCGACAGGGTCTTCCTCTGTCACCCAGGCTGGAGTGCAGTGGTACGATCTCAGCTCACTGCAACCTCCACCCCCAAGACTCAAGTCATCCTCCCACCTCAGCCTCCTGAGTACCTGGGACCACAGGTGTGTACCACCACGCCTGGCTAATATTTTGTAGTTTTAGTAGAGATGGGGTATCACCATGTTGCTCAGGCTGGTCTTGAACTCCTGGGCTCAAGCAATCTGCCCACCTTGGCCTCCCAAAGTGCTGGGATAACAGGTGTGAGCCACCACGCCTGGCCCAGATCAGGTCTTCAATGAACATTTAAAAAATTGTTGAGATCTCTGTGCAGCCCTCTGTGTACTATGAAGTGGCAGATGGGGGAAAGCAATTTTAATCAGAGACCACAGCTGTATCTAAGTGTGAATCTTTACAGTGATCATACTTGGGGCCAGAGTGGGCCTCAGGGAAAGGAGAAGATGAAATGGTGTCATGCTTCTTAGGCCCCATACTCTCCAACAGCAATCCCCCTACCCAGGATGTAAGCTCAAACTCCTCTGCCTGGCAGCAAAGGGGACCATGATTTGACTCCATTGACCAAACAAATCTTACTTCCTCTCCTCTACAGCCAGCAACTTCTGCTTTGTTTAGCCCAGACTTTTCTCTCTACCCCACCCACTCCATACTCACTCCCACTTCTGTGATGTTGTTCATGCTGTGCCTCCTGCTTGTCATATCTATTTCTGGTAACTCCAGTGTCATCCAAATCATTCCTATCCTTTCCTATCCTTCCCATACCAAGCAAGCCCCACCTCATCTGTAAAATCCATCTCTCAACATTCTCTCTCTTTTTGTGAAATGGTGTCTTGCTCTGTTGCCCAGGCTGGAGTGCAGTGGCACAATCTTGGCACACTACAACCTCCACCTCCCGGGTTCAAGCGATTCTCCTGCCTCAGCCTCCCAAGTAGCTGGGACTATAGGCGTTGCCACCATGCCTGGCTAATTTTTTGTATTTTTAGTAGAGATGGGGCTTCACCCTGTTGGCCGGGCTGGTCTCGAACTCCCGACCTCAAGTGAACTGCTTGCCTCAGCCTCCCAAAGTGCTGGGATTACAGGCATAAGCCACTGCGCCTGGCTAACATTCACTCTTAACATTGTTCTCTCTTGTTTTCAAAGCCAGTTGCAGTTGAAATTAATACTCTGTTATTGCATACTAAGTTATTGTCTAATTGTTTTATAGATTTTATTTTTGTCTCAGACATTAAATTATAAACTCAAGGGCAGGAAACACGTTGTCTATGACTACTGTAGATTTTATATTCTAAAATAGGATTGTCATATAGCACATAGTAGGTGCTCAGCAATGTTACTGCTGCTTGGTTGACAAATGCAAGTATTAACATGTTGTCTAGGACTTCTGTAGACTCAATATCCTAAAAGAGGATTAGCACACAGCACACAGTAGGCTCTCAACACTGTTACTGCTGCTTGGTTGAAAAATGCAAGTATTTTTTATTTCTTTTCCATCTCTAAACTGTTTGGTGAGACTAACTTTCTTCCAACTTAACGTACAGCTGCACATTTAGTATCTGGAAGCAAACCCGAGGCTGCAGTAGACCCACTCTGCTTTGTGAATTAAATTTACAATAAAGTCAAAGACAGATGGCTAAGAGGAAACTTTAATCGTCTCTGATATTATTAAATCTTCTAGTCTGAGGCTCAGAGAGCCCAATAAAATTTTCTTTGAATCCCTGTGGGCTTTATATTCCATAGATGAAGTTATAGAGCTGGATTGAGAAGCAATTTTGTGCAATCATTTACCAAACGGGAGGGGAAAAATCATTACAGTCCTTCAGAGGTTTGCAAGTAATAAGCATGTTACACTCTCCTCAAGCCCAGAAGAGCTGCGTGGGCTTGATAAACAGCCACGTTTGGTCCGACTGCAGCTCCAAACAGATGTCTGTAGATATTGCAGAAAGCCGGCAGAAAGTCGGTGGGTGTTCTTGATGAGTGGCTGTGGGTGCTGTTGTTGGCAAACAGGCTACAGCTGTCTCTCTCCTTTCTATGGAGGACTATCTTGCTACAGGAACGTAGAATTCCTTTATCTGGCTGGTGACTGTCTTTGCCATCGTGGCTTCTTTTAAAAGCAGTGGTTCTCAAGTAGGAGTGGTTTTGCCCCTACCCTTGTCCCACCCAGGAGACATTTGACAATGTCTGGGGACATTTTCTATTGCCACCGCTGGCGGTACGGGAGTAGAGGCCAGAGATGCTGCTCACCATTCTACAGTGCGCAGGGCAGTCCCTCCCTACCCAGCAAAAAAATTATTCAGCCCAAAATCTCAATCATGCCCAGGCTGAGAAACCCTGTCTTTTATTTATGTATTTACTTATTTTGAGAAACCTTGTCTTAACATAATCTTTTAAAATTATACCTTGTTCAGTCATTCATTCATCTATTCATTAATTCACTCAATCAACACATATTTATTGTTAAACATAGAAAATGTCCAACTAGTCCTCTTTCTCTGTATTGGTGGATTGTTCCATTCACACAGTAAGTATGTACTGAGCACCTATTCCATGCCAGGCACTGGGGTCTGGAATAATATAGTCTAGGTCTTCCCTCATGTAGGGTTTAAATTCTAGTGGAAGGGAGGCAACAGTCTAAGCAAGCTGAGAAATAAAAGAACAGGATCATTTCAACTGACAGTAAATGCAATGGAGAGTATCAAATGGAGTAAAGGGAGACAGAATGGCCTGGTCTGCAGTGGCTGTGCAAGGTGCTACTTTCAAGAGTGGGGCTGGGGAAGGCTTCTCTGTACAGGTCATACTGAGGCTGAGACCTGAAGGAAGCAGACTGTCAAAAATTGGGAAAAGGAGTGTTCAAAATAGAAGGAGCAACATGTTTGAAGGCTCAAGACAGGGAAGGCCTGGGTGGGCTCAAGGACCAGAAACATGAATGCTGCTGAAGCTTGGGTGGAGGAGGTGAGGGTAATGGATGGGCAGGAGTCACACAGTGCAGGGCCTTACAGACCTCAATGAGGAATTTAGACTGTATTTCAGGTATAGCAGGAAGCCATGGAAGGATTTTAAGCAAGGTTGGACATGATTTGGTTTAGGTATTGCTTGAGTCCACCCAGCTTAGACGACAGTGCTAAGAATAAAGATGGAAGAAGTATGTTCAAGGTAAAGTCCCAGACCTGCCTGCATATGATGCATGACTCAGTCAAGCACGCTGCCAGCCTTGGCTTTCTCATCTCTCATTAGTGCTGGTCCTGAGTACCTTTGCTCTGTATCCTTAGTGGACTCAGTCTTTGAGCCAGTGCTGACAACCCCAGCACACATGAAGCACCATTTCCCCCAGCACTGAGGGTTGGAGATGAGTCTTGCTGCCTCACGTGTACCATCTGTGCCTGGCCAGACCCTCCTTAATGCTAGCTGAGCTTCTCCATTGGGAGGCTTCCTGGTCTGTAGTTAGCATGCTTTTCCTATTCCTTAGCTGGAATGAGATCTTCCTTGAATATCAGACTTCTGTAGTTGCCTAGTTGCCCAGGATCCTGCCTGGCAATTTCAGCTTCTGTCCTGATGGATAACACCCTTGGGACCAGGATGTGGTACCTCCTGACTCTGAACCTATAGCAGCCCCCTGCTGCTTAGAGTAAAACCCAAATTTCCATCCAGCCCTTGTTAACCTACTCAGACTCTCCTTGTACCATTCCCTCCTTGGCTCACAATAATGCCCCTTTGGGATTTACCAAAATCTTTTGTTCTTCACCCCTTTGTTTTTAGGGATCTCCTTGTGTTGAATTCTCTCCCTTTAGTTTCTTGCCTCTTTCATGTTCCAGCTCCAATGATACCTATTGAGAGAAACCTTCCCTCTTTAAAGTTTCTCTACAGCATGCATTCTCAATAAGCATGATATCACCCCAGTGGGATGAACACTGGCTCTTGGAAGATAAAATAAAGTTACTCTTTTAACATATAAAATACAGATATACACACAGGACATAAACACACATGTATGTGTACATACACACACATATATGGTAGTAAAACTTCATGAGTTTATTAGGCAAAATAATATCTAAAAAGTCTCTTTAGAGGAGCAACAATGAAAAATAAGTTAAGCAACATTGCTCTGTGGAAACTAAGTCTCCCCCCTCCACTCACCAACGTATATCCAAATTTATCTCTTTCTAAGAACTTATTACGACAGGCAGCTACCTTGCTTATTATTGTTTACTTCAGTATTTTCTATCTCCTCCTACTCCTCTGAATGAAAACTCCATGAAGTCATGGGATCTTGTCCATTTGTTCATCATTGTAGCTCCAGCATTTGCCCAGTACTGGGCACATAGTTGTTGTTCAGTAAATGTTTGGTGATTCAATTACCATTGTAACCAAGGGGTGATTTCAAATACTAGAACAAGAACCCACTGGGCCAAGTGGACTCCTCTTGGATTTCAATTCTCACTTAAATGTTACCAGATTTGTTGGGTCCTTTTGGGCACTGAGTTCAAGTGTAAGTCACCTTCTCTGGCCCATGGACAAGTATATCTCTTAGCTTTTTTCTTGATGATTCCGTTTTCTCTCCTTCCTGACCATTGAGAACCCAGTAACCAGGTAGCCCAGCCCTTTCCCTGTTCCAATGAGATATGATAGTGAATACCATATGGGTGTCTGACTCACTGAATTAAAAACATTTAAAGAAAATTATAGCAATAGGCTAGCTGTATTGGCAATTACACAGCAGAAGGCATGCACAATTATCTGATACGATTTAGCACTAAATTGAATCACGGTGAGCATCTGCAATAGAAAAAAGACTGGAAGGAAGCAAACCGAAATGTTAACAATGTTATCCTTCTCTGGAATGTGGACTTGCAGTTTATTTTCTCCTTATGTTTTTGGTTAATTTAGGAATTTCTGTAATGAGTATTTATTTTGTCATAAGAAACAAGGTTTTTGGTGGCTAAAGGTTTTAAGCCCATCCATGACACTGCAGTATTAGAGAGAGATATAGGCACATTCCTGCTCCATTGATCTAGGACCAGTTGTATTTGAATATACAGTGACCCCCAAAGAGCCTTTCTAGTGGTATTTCTGTGCTTAGAGAAGCCATTGGATTTGGGCCAATGTAATCGTTCAGGCAAACAGACACAGCCTTCTTGCCAGAAGCACACCCACTAGAACTTTCGTACTTGTTATTTTTTTAAAAAGTATTTGTGACTTGCAAAAGTACAACAAAGTACTTGTACCATAAGGCACTTCCCTCATGCAAAATGCAAAACAATGAAAAAAAAAACATTCCCACATATTTTAAAATATTTTTCAGGGGCGTCATGGCTCCCTGAAGCCAAGGCTAAGAAATCTTGACTTAGGTTTCTTAGCGAAATGCCTCTTAAAATCCAGGCCACATCTCTTCATTTCTTCTACAAGGAGCTGCCATTAACTGACTCCCCAAATGCCCAAACCTTCCCCTTACTTGAAGGATTTTCTAGACCCTGCCTTCTCCTAGCAAGGGCCATGTGAACCAATACAACCAGTTCATGCTTCAGTATCCTTCGAGGCTCCATTAGGGGTTCTTAATGTTCTTGTGATCAAGGAATGCTTCCAAATACTATAACTTTTGGAAGATCAACTAACAAAAAGACTCAATCCAACTTTAGACCCAACAATTCAGCAGTAATTCCAAAGTCCATCGTGATAGCTAATGTCTCATCGGGGCTCAAGGCATCCAGCGGAGCACACAAATCATTTTAGCTCAGATCACTGTCTGCTCTGACACTGATCTCTTATGTACTCACAAGGTGACAATATGTATGATGCCTCAACAATGTACACATGCTCTTGTAACCACACCGAATTGTAGACATTGATCAAAATTTGGTGGCCTTACCTGGGAAGGGTTCAGAGCACAAATGGTGTGATGAGGCACGTGGTTTGCAAATCACCAAAGAGCTTAAAGTATTTCTTATATCCAAAGTACTATTCTGTGGTACAGGTGACTTTTAGGACCCTCATTTAAAACAAACCCATCTGGGAAAAAAATCATTTAGTAGAAGATTGTATTTGGCTGCCCAAACCTTCCTGAGTTAAAAAGAGGAGTTTATTTGCAGAAGAAAAGCACCATTCTTACCTCCTCCAGAGCCCACAAGGAGTCCACCACAGGCTTGATCTTCTTCTGGTTGTAGAGCCCTATGAGTTTTTCCACCACTCCCCGAATGAGGCCCGCCCGGCCTTGTTTGAAGAGCAGATTTAAAAGGGAAAACCCCGCGATGACTTTGTTCTCCTCATACAGCTTGATGGGGTTCACCTTCTCCACCTGCCACCACTGCAAAGAGAGGTGGTATTGGGTTATAGGAACTCAATACCGGGGTTAAGCCTACATTGGCAGCATTGCTGATGTCATCAGCTACTACAGGGGGAACGTGGGGCTGCAGCTCAGCAGATTCCAGCTGGCCAAGGGGTTGCTCTTGGTGGTGTATTTTTTTATTTTATTTTTTATTTTTATTTTTTGAGATGGAGTCTCACTCTGTAGCCCAGGCTGGAGTGCAGTGGCATGATCTCAGCTTACTGCAACGTCTGCCTCCCGGGTTCAAGTAATTCTCTGCCCCAGCCTCCCGAGTAGCTGGGATTACAGGCGCCCACGACCATGCCCAGCTAATTTTTGTATTTTTAGTAGGGATGGGGTTTCACCATCTTGGCCAGGCTGGTCTTGAACTCCTGACCTCGTGATCCACCCGCCTTGGACAGTGGTGTATTTTTTTTAAAAGCATCTATTTTTCTAGGCACTGTTGCAAGTGCATGGGAAGCAATAGACATTGATGCTTATGAGACGCTCAGGTCTAAGTGGGAGAGAGAGCCCAAAACTAACTACATGGCCACATGTAGTTGAAATATTAAGTACATGGTCAGGATCATCAGCTCCGGACTTGAATCGTGGCTCTACAACGTTCTCTGTGATTAAGTATAAAGCACTTGGCTCAGTGAATGGTGGTGGTGATGATGGGGTTGTTAAAGGAACTAGGATGGCAGAAAAGTTTACACAATGTGGTGGGGAACATGATGGAGGTGGCCACTCTGACTGCAGAAGCAGCTTTCCTGGGGGAGTGGTTTTGATAAGGCTAAATCTGGGGAGGCGGGTAGGGATCCATCGGATGAAGAGGGAGGAGGGATGATTTAGGAAGAAGTAACAGCATGAAGAAATGATGAGGCCAAATTGTTGGGACTGAATCAATGGTTCTGAACTGGGGGTAGTTTTGTCCCCCAGAAGGCATTTGATATTGTTTGGGGATTTTTGTTTGTTTGTGATGACTGAAGCGGGAGGTGGTGCTACTGGCGTCTAGTGGGTGGAAGCCAGGGATGCAGCTAAACATCCCACAGTGCTCAGGACAAAGAATATTCACAGCAAAGAATAATCCACAACAAAGAATTACCCAGCCCCAAATATCCATAGCATTAAAGCCGAGATGCCCTGGACTAAAGTTCTGGGTGAAATACCTACAAACTATTTAATGTGGCCATCTCTTTTCCAGTCTGTCATCTCCTCCCTTCATATCAAAATAAGTAAATAATCCACTGGAAACCTAGAGAAATGGGGATCCAACTGCTTTGTTATGATTTAATTGCTTTTCCTTTGGTGCTGGTTATAGGTTAGAAATCCAAGCGTCCAGTTTCTGGGGGATTCTAGGGGATAAGATGTTCAAAATCATTTCAATACAGGATGCAAAGAGGAATGTGATGGGCATTTAGAAACATTGATAGCCTTTATGTTATCATTGAGCTCATTTATATCCTGTTTTCGAAAAGAATTAAGGAGACTGACTAAAGTGAAAATTTTTTATTTTTTTTAATTGGGAAGCTCGTGTCACTAGGAGAATAAGCATGGAAAAGGCAGGTTGAAAACAATGATGAGGTTCATATACAAAATTATTTACAAAAGCACATTCGGAGAGGGCCGGGGGACCAATAAGAGCCACGCATTTGACCTTAGGTTTCTTGGCTTTCAGTTTTGATGGTCTTACCTGGCAAGGGTTTGTGGCACAGATGGTGTGGTGAGGCATGTGGTTTGGAAATCACTAAATAACTTAACGTATTCCTTACATCCAAAATTCTATTCTATGGGACAGTGATTTTTAGGACCCTCATTTAAAACAAACCAACTTGGGAAATACAGCAAATATAGAAAAATAATAACTTGATTCACAGTGTATCTGCAATGCCTCAGTGAATGTTTGTGGAATGAATGCTTGCTGCAAATGTACAGTTGTGGTTAAGAAGGTTATAGAGCTGAATGCCTAGTTTTGAATCTCAGCTTTGTCACTTACTAGCTGTGTGACTTTAGGCAAATCTCTTAACTTCTCTGTGCTCAATTTCCTCACTGTTCCTCATGGGGTGGTTATGAGGAGTAAATGTGTTAATGCATATCAAGTGCTTAGCACAGTGTCTGCCACGCATGAGGTGCTCTATAAACATACACCACTTTTATTATCTTAATTTGAACAAGATGTTTTTGGTTTAGTGAATAAGAGCTCCAAATTTGGAGTCAGATTGCTCTGTAAATGTTAACTTCTTCTATTAGTATCATCATCGTTATGGTGTGAAAGAAAATAGCATGTTTGACAAATAGTGAGGCACAAACTGCAGCGATTTTAAGATGCAACATCATTAAGATAGCTGAGTGGGAAATTCCTGTATAATTCCAGTCGACCTTTAATTTCTAAGCCCTTCTTGAATACATTGAAAAATTTTTTTTCTAGGACTTTTCAGAGCAAAGTTCCACCTCTTCGTAGGCCCTCTCTTCAGTTTTCTTCCAAATGACCCTCAGTGTTTGAGCAGGCCTCTGAAAGAAAACATCCTCATTCTTGACCTCCAGGTACAAAGCGTTCTGGAAATAGGAACCCCTGCTTTGGGCAGAGGAATCTCCATCCCCATCCTGGCTGTGCATTTATGAATGCCTTCATTGAGCATGGGCACGCTGCAATTATTTCATTAACACTGTGTGTTGGGATTGTGCATTTAGAGGAGAAAGGGAAAACACTTCTTACAATTGTATGTAATTTGGGACCAGTGTGGTTACCCACAGCAGTCTGTCAACATCATGTTAATTACAGCCACAGCAACAGAGCAGCTGTGCATGGCACAAAGCCTGTCTTCAGGGGACACACTCCAGACAGCATCCTTCATTACACTCCATTCTTGCTCCTCCTGTCGGTTCTGTAGTTAGGATGATCCTTGACCCATATTTTAAAGCCCAAATGCAAAGAGAAGACCTTTGATTTGAATCTCACAAATGCAGGGAGTATTATCCATTCCAGAATGTTTGGGGCTGATGTTTCTGGAAGCTGATGTTGGCACTTTGAGGGCATATGAATAGCACATAGTGCCATACTTAGAATGAATTCCAAACTCCTTACCATACTTTTCACTGACCACTTTGTTTTAATTGCCTCCACCCACCCTGCTATTTTCTATTTTAGCACTTGATTTTTATCCTCTTCAGAGGTTTAATAGCCATTTATAATCATGTTAATTAACATATCTTGCTTATTTTGGGTTTGTCTCCCTCATTAGTATATAAGAACCAAAAAGGCCCAAAGTGCACCTATCTTATGTGCTGTAATAGCCCAGTGCTTGGCACAATACCACAAACAGCAGGTGCTCAGAAAATGCCTGTCAAATGAGTGGATCAATTGACGCTGCACTGGCACATAGAAGTCCAAAAGTAGAGGGGGCAAAAATAAACCCTTGTGAAAAGCAGCAATCCCCTGTTGGGGAGGGGTAAAAATAAAAGTTCCTACCATTTGACCCAGCAGTCTCATTACTGGGTATATATCCAAAAGAAAGTAAATCGTTCTATCAAAAGGACACATGCACCCGTATGTTCATTGCCATTCTATTCACAATAGCAAACACATGGAATCAACCTAGGTGCCCATCAATGGTGGACTGGATAAATAAAATGTGAGACGTATACACCATGGAATACTATGCAGTCATAAAAAAGAATGGAATCATGTCCTTTGCAGCAACGTGGATGCAGCTGGAGCTCATTTTCCTAATCAAATTAATGCAGAAACATAAAAACAAATACTGCATGTTCTCTCCTAAGTGGGAGCTGGGTACTCATGGACATAAATATGGGAACAGTTAACACTGCAGACCACTAAAGGGGACTGGGAGGGGGGCAGGGGTTGAAAAACTATTGGGTACTATGCTCACTATGTGAATGAGAGGATCATTTGTACCCCAAACTTCAGCATCATACAATACCCGGGCAAAAAACCTGCACAGGTACCTCCTGAATCTAAAAAGTTGAAATTACTAAAAAAAAAAAAAAAAAAAAAATACCCTGGAACGTGCGAAGAAAAAAAAAAAGCAACATGGGCTGGTGCTGGTGTACTGGTGGTTCATTTCAAAGAAGAGAAGGAATTTGGGCTGGGGAAGGGGTGTTGAAATGATATTTAAAAAACTAAGTTTGGCCGAGTACGATGGCTCACACCTATAATTCCAGCACTTTGGGAGGCTGAGGCAAGCGGATTGCTTGAGCCCGGGAATTCAAAACCAGCCTGGGTAACAGGGTGAAACCTTGTCTCTACCAAAATAAATACATAAATTCGCTGGGTATAGTGGCACACACCTGTAATCCCAGCTACTTGGGAGGCTGAAGCAGGAGGGTTGCTACAGCCCAGGAGGTGGAGGTTGCAGTGAGCCGAGACCATGCCACGGCACTCCAACCTGGGTGACAGAGCTAGACTCGGTCTCAAAAAAGTTCAAGCCAACATCAGTATAATTCTAGCAAGTATAGCTCCAGATAGGAAGATAGATCAGAGTCAATTTGTAGTGAGGTGAATGCCCAGGGATGTCGCTTTGCAATGGCCGACAAACTAACCACCATATTGAAAGCATGATCACCCAAGAGAGTGGTTCATGAGCTTGTCTGAGTCTACAAGTCACCTCAGGATCTTGTTAAGGTCATAGGGTCCTCATTTCTATCTCCGATTCAAGAGGATGGGGAGACAGAGAAATCTCAAGTACCCCCAGAGACCTGGTCAGAAAGTAGCAAAGTGAAAGGCTGGCCGCTCTATGGAGCAAAGAAAATGCACTAATGCTAAGTTCATTTTTGACCAATAATTAAAGACACCAACACTTAAGCAATTTTGACTGAAATAAAGCTGTAGCTTTCTTGAGTTTCTCTGACACTCCCACCTCTCTGTTTCATTTAGACAAAAGTAGTCTAAATTCTGGTCCTGACCATTTGCAGGGAATAGGGCAGGAGTGCAGGTTTTATGGGAAATGAACGAGGAAATTGAAAGACAAGATTAAGTCAATGCCTTATGATAGAAGAGCTCACAGCTGGGTGCGGTGGCTCACGCCTGTAATCCCAGCACTTTGGGAGGCTGAGGCGGGCAGATCACGAGGTCAGATTGAGACCATCCTGGCCAACACGGTGAAACCCCGTCTCTACTACAAATACAAAAATTAGCTGGGTATGGTGGCGCATGCCTGTAATCCCAGCTACTAGGGAGGCTGAGGCAGGAGAATCGCTTGAACCAGGGAGTCGGAGGTTGCCATGAGCCGAGATCGTGCCATTGCACTCCAGCCTGGTGACAGAACGAGACGCTGTCTCAAAACAAACAAACAAACAAAAACAAAGCTCTCAACATGTGAATCAACATGCCACCACAGTACATCAGATGTGCCTGGATACTTACTGATTTTGCAAAGCTGAAGAAGCTCTTGGTCTCTCCAGTTACCATGTTGGATGAGCCTGAAAATGAAAGATTCCCACATTAAGCAATTGCTAATGAAAATGGACATCTCTTGTTATGCATGAAAAAAATGGCAATTGTTTGGTCCGGAACTGGAGAAATCTTGAAAACAAATTTAATTAAGCCTTGGCAAAGTGAGGGGAATGAGAATGAGGCATAAAGTTGACTATGTTAGCTGACTGTCCCTGATCAAAGAGAAAGTGACATTTCTCATGATGACCGTCTTATTACTTTGCAAAATTTGGCATATAGCAAAAATATGATGTAGGCCAACGTTTGAATAAAATGATGAGTTGCTGAAATGTCTTTTTAGGTCTGTTCTTTGAGGCTGAGAAAGGAACTCCTTAGTGAATCTACTTTGTGATTCTGAATTTGATTCCCCAGCAAGTGAGGGGCTTGGGGCTCTGACCTGGACTGGGTACCTAAATGGTGGGAGAGGTGGAGCAGAGTTAAAATATAGATGGATTGGAAAAAATGGGTATAGAAGCTCACAGGTGAGAATGAAAAGGGGCCCAGGGACCAAAGAAATGGTGTGATCCATGTGTCAGCTCCAAAGAGGTCTGAGACAAGCATATGAGAAACTGAGTTTTGCCAATTGGACAAGCAGTATTCAGAGGGCAGATGGGAGGTGGAGTTGGGAAAGATTCCCTAAGATTCTCATACGGAGAGTAAAGACCCTTTATAAGGTTTCGGGGCAGGGGAGGGGGGAATGAGAGAGCTCTTAACAGTATGGGGAACATTCAAATACCATACAGGTGCTTTTTCAACAACTTTCCTGCCTTGTCTTCAAAGATTTTGGAGTAATTTCTTCTCAGAGAGGAGTTATTTAATAAAATAGTCATGTGTATTTTACACTATTTAGCCTGGGTAAACTAGTAGCCAGTTAATAAGTTGGTGCAAAAGTAACTGTGGTTTTTGCCATTACTTTTAATGCCGAAGACTGCAATTACCCTTACACCAGCATAATAGTGAACCATTGCTTCTGTTTTTATGGGGTGAGTACCACGGGGCATCCCAGTACTAGACTTTGATTAATTAGTGACCAAGTGATCAACGTAATGAAGTAGATAATTGTGAACTACTCACATGGGATTAATCAAGTTGAATTTCACCAAAATGACATCAAGAAACTGGGACAAAAATAGAATTATTGGTAAATGATAAGTAAGGATGACTACATCGTCCATCTGCATTTGACTCACATGTTAGTCATATCCGATATCCTTGCAACGTGCAGGGACTCTCACTGATAATAATAAACCACACGTCCACTTCAAAGGAAATACATGGCTATGATTGAAATTACTGGAACATTCCAGCAATGGGATGTTTACCTGCCTCTGGTGAGTTCAGCCTTCTTTCTGTTACAATGGTCTGAAGATGACAAAAAAATGCTTGCATATTTATACCTCTCAAATATCTATTTTATAAGCTCTTCAGGAAATAGCAGGGAAATAAGTGTTTTTTTCTGAGTTAGCCAGAATTAAAACTCAGTTTTCTATTGTACCTACAGGGGACAAGGTACCAAGAATCTTAAACATTGGATAAACCCAATATTATTTTGCTTCAGATTATGCCATCTAGCTTCAAATACTCCTATTTTAGTTTGTGGAGACTAATGTGGTTTTTTTTTTTTTTTTTTTTTTTTTTTTTTTGAGACAGAGTCCCGCTCTGTCGCCCAGGCTAGAGTGCACTGGCGCGGTCTCGGCTCACTGCCAGCTCCGCCTCCCGGGTTCATGCCATTCTCCTGCTGCCTCAGCCTCCCGAGTAGCTGGGACTACAGGCGCCCGCCACCATGCCTGGCTAATTTTTTGTATTTTTAGTAGAGACGGGGTTTCACCATGTTAGCCAGGATGGTCTCGATCTCCTGACCTCATGATCCGCCCGCCTCGGCCTCCCAAAGTGCTGGGATTACAGGCGTGAGCCACTGCGCCCGGCCTGTGGAGACTAATGTTTAAATTGGTTTGCATGCCTATGACAGAAAAGAAGAAAAAGAAGAGAGAAAGGAGGCCCTGGAGCCTCATTTTGCTGGAGAAAATCTTCTTCCAGTTGTTTTGCATACATCTCTTCCACTCCTAAGACATAGAAGTGAATGTAGAAAGAGATGGAAACAGACATGAGTTCCATCTATCCAGGGCTTCTGTCTTAAGAGTGGGACGCTCAGGAGGAGTTTAGGAGAAGAAGAACAGACATGTGTTCCATCTATTCAGGGCTTCTGTCTTGCGTGGGATGCTCAGGAGTAGTTTAGGGGAAGCAGAGTGTGTACTTTGCAACTTCTCAAATAGTAAAGATCCTCCCTTAAAACATGCATATCCTAGCCACTCTTCCCCATCCTACTGTGGGTCCTTCATGCCTTCTTTATTTCTGAACTTCCTTTGAAGTCATTCATATTTTCCACCTGTGCTACCTTCTGTGGGTGATGTCCCTTAGTGGTTCTAGTCATATCAATGACCACATTGGCTTGGTCTTGCTTTATCCCATTTGAAATAATAGGATATAGGACAGTAGGCACATGTTATTTTAAAATTGAAAATAACTCACAGTAATAGAAACATTATAGGAAACATTAAAAAATGAAACACCCCCATCCCACTACCCCAACATATCAGCACAATTCACTTTTCAGAGCCTTTGCAGGCACATATGTAGAGGTACCTATTGCTGACCACGTCCCTGCTGCTGTTTTGCACTCACCATATAAAATGTAGGTTCCCAGGGGTTTGAGAAGACTGAGACCTTTTCCAGTGTTGTCCCCACAGAGGCAATCCAAAACGATGTCCACACCTTCAGCAGAGATTCTAAATGGTGAGAAGGCAAAGCAAAATTCTGTGACCTGTCAGGAGCCAGACTGTCAATCCCTTTCCTTTCCTGTGTCATATTGTCTGACTCTCAGAATTAGGAACCCTGAAAGCTCCAGGAGTAGCAATAAATAGGGCAGAAGCCCAGGAGGTGGATATGTCTTCCCAGATCCAGTGATAAAAATTTCACAAAACTGGAGGCAGCTAAGAGTCTGGGTGGTAGCTGCCACTGGGAACCAGCCTGGGCCAGAGGAATGAACTTGGGGTCAGTGGGTCTGAGTTTGTGTCTAGCTCCTTTACTCAAATTCTCTAGCTTCAGCTTTATCCTTCGTAAAGTGGAGCTAGTATGTTTCTTTGTGGTAAGAATGAAATGACGCAACAAAAGGGGAGGCTCAGGCAACTCCTATGTGTAGAGCAAGGGTTAGTTGCCTGGTTCTGTTCAAGGTGCTGGAGATAGAGTGAACCAAACCAGTGTTCTCCCTGTCTTCATGGGGCTGCTTCTCTAGCAGGGCCTGGCCTTCCTCCCTCCTAACCTCCCTTTACAGTGAAAACATAAAGCACGTTAGTCTAACTCATAAGCTTCTCTTTCTCCAATGTCTAGGTCCAACCTAAAACTGACTCTGAGAGGAAGAGGGTTAAATAGAGATGAACTTCCTCCAGCAATGGGAGGTTGTGGAGTAGAAAGAAGCCACATTTGTACTGCATTAGACAAAGCATTTGTTGATCTCTTCTATTCATTTCTTTATACATTCATTGATTCACTCACTCACTCACTAATGCATGTAAGCAACTTTTACTGGGCTCCCACTCTTAGAACATATACAGGAGGGGGCTGTAGAACAGGAAGACTCTGGAGATTGTGGGGAAGATATTCATGCCCACAGAGATCCCTATTCTGGCAGATCCCTGCTCTGTTCAGACAAGAATGGCATTCCTTGTGTTTGCAAGTTTGCAGGATTAACTTGTCTTAGCAAATATCTCAATTTTTCTACCCCCAAGTTCACCCTAGCAAAATTTAGGCATTGCAGCATGTGTTAACAGCTGGGTCCTGTGTCCACAGTTTCACTAACTAGGAAACTGCATGTACATCTCCTGGGTGCAGAGACTAAGTCAGCTTCCCTATGCAGCTGAGTCTTTATGTGACTATGCCCTTCAAAAGCCCTCATGTCATGTCCAAAATCCAGCCCACTACCAAGGCTCATCCAAAATGATCAGCTTAGCTTCCTGCCTAATAGAGCTCTTATCTGCACAGGGGTGTCCTCTTAAGTCTCACCTGAAAGTTCAAAACAAAGTAATTAGGACAGTGGATCTCAAACCTAAGTGTGCACTGTAATAACCTGCAGGGTTTACTAAAACAAAGATTGCAATCCTTCCTTTCTTTGATCCTGTAGGTCTGTGGTGGGGATTTGCATTTCTAACGTTTCCAGGTGCTGCTGCCACTGCTAATTCCAGCTCCACGCTCTGAGAATTACTGATCTAAGCCAGTTACTTAGGAGCCAGACTGGCTTTTTTTTTTTTTTTTTTTTTTTTACAAATTAATTTGTTCATTAAATATTCAGCAGTGGGCACTGCACTAGGCACTGGAGGATGTAGTATATTGCTTTCTCCTCTTTTTGGAGCGTATAAGAGGCAGATATTCACCAATAATTACACAAATAAATGTTAAGTTGAAATGTGGTCTCATGCCACTAAGGGGCTCTAGAATTGTGTAAATGGAGAATTTTCCCAATCAGGGCTATCAGAGAGGCATCCCTGGGGAAGGGAAGGAGTTAAATAGGTAAAGAGTGAAGGGAATAGTGTCCTAGGCAGAGGGAACAGCATGTGCAAAGGCCCTGTGGTTGAGGAAGACTGGGAAGCAGCCAGTGTGGCTGGAGTATGAAAACAAAGGGGTGTTTGCTTCGGGTTGGGCTGGAGAGGCAGGTGGGAGTTGGACCTCATGGACTCTTGGTTGGTGAGCTTCAGGTTGGTGGTCAGGTCTTCACCTTGCATTATGGGGTGGGTAATTGTGCTCCTGTCTCCCTCACTTCTGCCCGGGTCTGTTTTCTGCTAAGTTTGCTCACTCTTGCGAGAGTGGGGTCCTGGTCTGCTTTTACCAGCCCACCCTCCTGAGCCATCAAGTCATCTCAGTGAACTGCATTTCTCCAAGACCTCTCCCCTTGCCTGCAGGATGCCCACCTGTGGTCAGAAGCAGCCTCACCAATATTAGGCCATGCATACCTCCTGCTGTACCCATGATGGGTCCGCCCAGCCTTGAATTTTTGTCCTCTGATGCCCCTCACATCTGCATTCTACTTGGCGGGCCACATTCTCTCCCACAAACTGCCAGTCATATCTCCTTGTATTAGTCCCACCTTGACCTGTTGCTCTGTCCGCTGGACTCTGGTTCTGCAGAGAAGCAGGGCATGTCCATAGCCAACAGTGGCCTATAAACTCCTGTGCACTTCCCCATCTTCACCTCCCACCCACAGCTCAAGGCATTTGGCCTTTTGATTGTCCCTAGAACTTTCTGACCTCAGGGCCTTTGCATGTGCTGTCATCTCTGCCTGGACAGCCTATCCCCTGCTCTCCTTAGAGCTGGCTCCTTCTCATCCTTCAGACCTCACCCACATACGATCTTTCCAGAGGACCTGTAACTAATCACTCCACCTAAAACGGATCTCCATTTTAGTTTCCTTTATGCTTTAATGTCTACACTGGAGATACTTTTTAGTACCTATCATAGGTTGTAATTATTTATTTATTGACTTTCTCTTCCACCAAAATTTAAGCCCCTTGGACCATGTTTGTGCTGCTTATGATAATATCTATGGCCCTTCTCTTCCTGTTGGATATAGTGTTGCTTCTCAAGAAATAGTGATTGACCAGAGGAATGCACAAGTGTTTCAATGAATGGGTAACTGAATGAATGAAAGATGATGAAGAAAACAGTTTAAGACTGCTATTCTGTGTCTCTATATGTGTGCTTCCTCGGAAAGGAAACTCATATTTCAGAGCTCTCCTATATAACAGCTATTTCATAATTAACCCTCACAAAAAGCCTATGAGGCAGGCATTTTAACTCCACTTTTAAAAAAATGAAATCACGGCTTACAGATGCAGCAATCTTGCCCAAGCTTACGTAACTAGCACAGCTGGAATTCAATTCTAGGTCTAGTTTAACTCCAGAGATGATGGCCTTTTCACCAGTCTGAGTTTAAGACTTAATAAATGTTCAAGCCAGTATTAAGTATGGAAGCATCACTTTAGCAAGCAGCTCTGAGAAGCAGCCAATTTAATTTAGTCTCTGAAAAATCCAGGCTTAAATTTTGTCTTGAAATAAATACACATACATTCAGAGTCTGATTACATTTGATCAAAGTTTGGCCTAGATCAAACATCTAGACCAAAAGATTTCTGTTTTCAAGCTGGTTTTCCCCGAGAGTTTATAGGAAAGACCCAAGTTCAGAGTCCCACAAATTTACCCTTAATTTCCAGCCACTGGATAACCATTTGCTGAGTGTTTACTACATGCTAGGCACTGTGCATGCTGAGTTGTGAATACACAGAGAAGGCAGAAGTTTGCCCTCACCATCCAGGAGCTCATGGTGTACAAGGACAGACATCTATAAATGAACCAAACACAGAGTGATCACTGCTCCAATAGAGCAACTTACGAGCATTGGAAGATGACCCTCTGTTGAGGGTTGGCAGCAGAGGGAACCAGAGGGAACAGGATGTGCAAAGGCCTTATGGTGGGAGGAAGACTGGGAAGCAGCCACTGTGGCTGGAGCATGAAAACAAAGGGCCGCTTGCTTTGAGGTTGGGCTGGAGAGGCAGGTGGGAGTTGGACCACACGGACTCTTGGTTGGTGGGCTTCAGGTTGGTGGTCAGGTCTTCACCTTGCATTATGGGCTGGGTAATTGCGTTCCTGTCTCCCTCACTTCTCCCCAGGTCTGTTTTCAGAGCAGAAATTGGCCAGGTGACAAAGGGAAGGCACTTCTCAGAGAATAGTATGATAGCTTGACCTAGGACAGTGAGAAGGCTTTGGGACACCAACCATGGCAATCAGGAGGCCTGGCCACTGACTCCTTGTAGAAGGACCCTAAGAATGGCTATCACAATCAACAGCTCACATGGAGGTGGGTACGCAGGGGAGAGGGGTGGCTCAAGGGCAACACAGTACTGGGCTTAGGAATATACATTTTATTTCAGTGTTAAGCATTCATTTCTGCTACTTACATGCTGTGTGACCTTAGGTGAGTTACTTAGCCTCTCTGTGCCTCAGTTTCCCCAACTGTGGAAGGGGATGATGGTGATAACACCTACATTTTCTTTATGAAGCTTGAATGAACTGATGCAAATGGAACACAGAGCCCAGTTCATGGTAAGCTCTGGGTCCATGGTAGCTTTGATTGATTACCATTTTTCAAAATGCCCCACCTTCAAGTCTTTTGGTTGGGAAAAGGGCATGAAAAGAAAGAGTACGCAAAACCTCTCCAACTCAACCTTCAGGGTGGGTGGAGACACCAGCCCAGAAATGACTGGAGCTGAGGCTTGATGCTCTTGACCTTCCAAAGAGAGTGTGCCACACTCTTGAGCAATTACTATGTCCCAAGTAGAATGCTAAGAAGTTCGTAAGTTTTTAATCATTGAGACTGGGTCTTGCTCTGTTATCCAGGCTACATTTATGCCTCATGCCAATCCTCTGACTCTGGGGCCATCATTATCCCCATTTGATAGACAAGGAAAATGAGGCTCAGTGAGGGTCAGGTGACTCACCCCTGGGCCCACTGCATAGAGTGGGAAGACCTTAGTTTGTTCCATCACATCTAGAAACCAGGCAAGGGCATCAAAGGTGAATTAGGGTTTCATAGGGTAAGTAGCGGCCAACCCTGAGGCGACCACCACTGTCACTTCTATGCCATGCAGGTACCTAGCAGGGATGAGAAAAGCTGGGGGGTGCTTTCTTGGGCTTAACACTAGAAGGAGACACTTGTGGGTCTCCTTCACATTCAGGCCACCTGCCCCCGTCCATGCCTCTCTCTCGGCATTTCTACAGTTGGATCACATGCATGGCTGGGGGTCAACAGAACCACAAATCCTCTCCTTCCTGCTGTCATTGCATCCTTTTGAAGGTCAGTGGTGGGGTGGAGGGTGGGAGGAGGTAGGGGAGGTGGATTCTGAGGGGGAGAAGTTGGGCAGAGGCAGATATCATTCTCAGCACCTGAGGGTGAGGATGCTTTTGCTCTTTCTGTCAAACCATTCCAGCAGCTATTGCTCCTTTCAAGGGTAGAAATGTTCCTTCGGGTAAGAATTTCAAAATTGAAAAGTGCTCCACCTCTGTTGAGTCCCTTCTATGACAGACCCCATAGAAAGACTGTACTGAACTGGATTCAGTTGGGTCTATTTAGAATGTTCCTGGTCCCATGAGCAGCCTTGGGACTGACCCTGCCTCAGTTACACCCACACTGAAAAGCGCTGCAGTAGCCCTTTTAATGAAATAATCATGAAAATCACAAGTGGAGCCGGAAGGCTCATCAGAGGAACAAAGACCATCTTCATCATTTCTGTGCCCCCTGACTCCGGTTTCTGGGGGTGTTCACCACTGCCTGCATATGTATGATTATTACATGAAAGCGAAGAAGGTGTGGCAGAAGGCCAAATGCAGCAATTCCTCTGTGTGCTTTTTCCTGCTGCCATAAATCTCTGCGGATTTAAAAAGCAAACACAAATAGCCCCAGCTCGGGGATTATATGAGCCAAATTCAGCAGTAAGATATTTCAGAGTTGCTGTTCCAAGACCTTCATGTCTGTCCTTCCTGTGTCCCCAGCCCCGGGCCCTGGATGGTGAATGCTGCCTCTTTCCTTCTTGCCCACACAGATTAGGGAAGAATTTCTCTTGAGTGGCAGTAGGTTCCAACAGAGGCGGTACTTAGAGAGAAACCCTTTGACCTTGCCAAGAAAAGTATTCCTCTTTATGGTGACTTTGCTCTCCAGCTGGGTCTTTGGCTCTCCACTCTGTTTTCTCTTTCTGAATCCCTTTTTCTGAGAACTCATCTGTGCCACAGCTTTAACCATCACAGGATGAGACTATTTCCGAGTGCCTGGCATTTAGTAGGCTTTGCACAGGGTGCCAAGCACCGTGCCTGGTACGCGATAGGCTTCTTATAGAGGACTGGACACAATGCCTACTCTACGGTAGGCTTCTTACAGAGTGCCAAGCACAGCACCCAGCACGTGACAGGTTTCTCACAGGGGGCCAAGCCCAGTGCTGATGTGTGGTAGGCTTCTTGGTAAGTGTTTACTATTAGTAGTTCCCATATGTACTTCGCAATACTACCTCCAGGAATGCCTTCTAGATCCCTTGGTCCCTATTCTTTCCAGGTGATTAGACTCTTATTAATTTCCACCAGTTTTAAAATAAGCTCCTATTATGTGCCAGGCATTGTGCTAGAAGTGCAGGAGTTCGGTCTGATCTCTGCCTTTTCTGATCTTATACTCCTTGGCTTCACCTATGACTGCTATCGGGTGAAGCAGATAGCAAGATTCAAGTCATTTTAACAATTAGCTGCTCCCCCTCGATCGGGAGTTTGATTCCTTCCTCTGTGGGCTTTGTGCTCCTTTGGCTAGAGATTGTGCTTTATCGCAGTTTCCTAACTTCCAGAGCCAGCTCATGTCAGTCATTTGGAAAATGCTCGAAGTGGGTGGTTTTTTTTAATCATTGAGACTGGGTCTTGTTCTGTTGCCCAGGCTGCAGTGCAGTGACATGCCCACAGCTCACTGCAGCCTCAAACTCCTCGGCTCAAGAGATCCTCCTGTCTCAGCCTCCCAAGTAGCTGGGACTACAGGTGTACACCACTACACCCAGCGAATTGTTTTTTAGAGATGGGAGTCTCATTATGTTGCCCAGGTTAGTCTCAAACTCCTGGCCTCAAGCTATCCTCCTGCCTTGGCCTCCTAAAGTGCAGGGATTATAGGTGTGAACTACCACATCCAGCCTAAGGGAGTGGCTTTGTACTCAATGGAGCTCCAGTCCCACTTTCCCTGGCCTGTTATGCAGGCCCCTGGAGTTCTCACTCTCACACTGTATTTATCTTGTCTAAAGGAAGTCATTACAGCTCCATTCCTCATTGTCTAACAACAACAAAAAGGAAAAGACGTCTTGGTCTCATCTTGCAGTATTTTCCCTAGTCATAGGTCATTCTCTCGTTCTCCTTCAAAATCTCTATAGGCACTGCCTCTCCCTTCCCCCTTCTGCTACTCATTCTCCTGATTTTGGAGATCTCTTCTCTCACCATTCCTGTACATGGCAGCCAGATCATTTTTTTTTTGTAGTTTCACCTTTCTGAACAGTGCTTAACTGCTTCAAATCTGCAAAGAACTCTACATTTCTGACATAATGCAATGTTTACTCCATTTAAGAGCTTTCAAGAGTCTCATCAATCTAGCCCTGTTCTCCACCAGGGTCTGCAGTCGTTTCATATTTTCATGACTTGAAGGGCAGGGGGGTGCCACTGGCATCTAATGGGTAGAGACCAGGGATGCTGCTCAACATCTGCAATGGACAAGGCAGCGCCACCGATAGCAGAATGATCCCAGCCCAAATGTCCACAGTGCTGAGGTTGGAAGCTCTGATCTAACCAAGCACCATCCAAGCACCTCACAAAACCACATGCTTTAATACAGGCAATCTGGCTTCCTCCCTGGCTGAGGAGCAAGCCGCCCTCACTTCCTTTGTGAGAGTCAGTGTGGGTGCTAGAAAGATCACAAGCTCTGGCACTACAGCCACCTGGAACTGAGTCCCGTCACGTCTATTTGTGTGATATTTACTTAACTAGGCTTGCCTTGCCTCCCTCTGAAAAATAAGCACAGTATTTACTTCATACAATGTGGAAGACCCAAAAGAGAGCTCCCATGTGTTCTTCAGGCTTCCATTTAGGCATTGCTCACCTGTGCCCCCACAGTGCTCTGTACTTCCCTATCAGCTGCCAACCCCATTGTCTTGCATGGGGATTTGCTTGTTTTGCTCACCATTGTATCTTCGTAGTCTGTTTGTAGGCCTCACTAATATAGATGGTACTCCATTTACAATGGTCTCACTTCATAATTTTTCAACTTTGTGATGTACCCATACAACTGTTCAGTTTCTCACTTTCAGTACAGTATTTGGTAAGCATTAAGAATCCTGAGTTGTGTATACCTGACTGCATACAACTCGAGGTTTTCAACACTTTATTGTAAAATAGGCTTTGTGTTAGTTTATTTTGCCCAACTGTAGGCTAATGTAAATTTAGGGTAGGCTAAGCTAAGCTATGACATTCAGTAGGTTAGGTGTATTAAATACATTTTTGACTCATGATATTTTAAGCTTATGATGAGTTTACAAGGATGTAACTCCACTTTAAGTTGAGAAGCATCTGTACAGAATAAATGAAAAAACAAAAGGTCTGAAATAATATTGTGTACCCATTTCCCACCCAATGTTTTGAAATGTTGTGTTTTGTGGGTTTTCTTTCTTTCTTTTTTTTTTTTTTTAAGATAGTCTCGCTCTGTCGCCCAGGCTGGAGTGCAGTGGCATAATCTGGGCTCACTGCAACCTCCACCTCCTGGGTTCAAGCAATTCTCCTGTCTCAGCCACCTGAGTAGCTGGGATTACAGGTGTGCACCACCTCACCTGGCTAAGTTTTGTATTTTTAGTAGAGACGGGGTTTCACCATGTTGGCCAGGCTGGTCTTGAACTCCTGACCTCAGGTGATCCTCCTGCCTCGGCCTCCCTAAAGTCCTGGATTTACAGGCATGAGCCACCAAAGCCTGGCCTTAAATATATTTTTGACTCATGATATTTTAAGTTTCTAATGGGTTTACAGGGATGTAACTCCATTGTAAGTCGAGAAGCATCTCTACATGAATGAATGAATGAATGAATGAATGAACAAAAGGTCTGAGATGATATTGTGTACCCATTTCCACCCAATGAAGTTTTAAAATGTTGTTTGATTTTTTTAAAGGCAGGTTTTTTTAATAGCTTTATTGAGATATAATTGACATACAGTAAACTGTACATATTTAAAGTGTACAATTTGGTGAGAGATTAAATATGTTCACACCTGTGAAACCCTCATCACCGTCCACGTAATGAACATATGCTTCACGCCCAAAAGTTTCCTTGAGTCCTCTTGTAAACCAAGAGGAGTTTTGCAGAATAGAAAGCTGACAGACTCACACACCTCCAAGGCCAAATCTGTTCCTACCTCTCAATTTCCTTATCTGTAAAATGAGGAATGTTCACCTTGCAGGATTGTCTCAGGTGCACAGAAAATGGTCTAATTGAACTCGTAGCAGGATGGCAGGAGAGCAACAAAGCGTGGCTATTATTATCTGCCCTGTTCTGTCCAAGATTCCCTTGTGTGGATTCTCTCACGCTTCCCCCTCCACCTACTGAAATCGATCGCAACCTTCAAGTGCACCTGAGGGGCTGTCCATCTTGACGTGCTCTCTCTGATCTTTCTCTTTTCCTTATTTGTAAAGCCCTTGCAGTTAGGTACACACAACTCAAGGTTTCTAACGCTTTGGCTTGGTTTCACTCATAATCATCTCTCTCCTCCTAAAGAGAGAGAAAGTAACGGATGTAAAGGTTAGGTCTGTGTCATAAATATTTTTTTTTCTATTCCCTTTACAACACCTGCCTCAAGGCTGAGAATGTGTTCAAAGGAGGCTTCCCGATTGACTGGCTTATAAAAGAGTTTTCATCTCAAGAAATTTTATCTTTTTTTTTTTTTCTGGTTCATTGTACACCTAATAGCGTAACAATATCTGTGATCAAAAAATAAAGAGAAATCACTCTGCATTCCACTCCTATCGCATGTTGGCAGTTGGATATTTTCCCTTTCCTTTCATTTTAAGTCTACATGCACCGAGAATTTGTACAAAGCTGTGATCACAGAGTAGATGGAATCTGGCATTCTGCTTTTTTCACGCAATGTGCTACCATGGGCATTTTTTTCATTTTGTGGCTGTCTTCATAATTATCATTTTTTAAGGGACTGCCCAATACTCAAGTATGTGGGTGTGGCATAATCGACTGAACTATTTCCCTTCTGTTGATTGTAGGGGCTTGTTCTGAATTTTCACTATTGCAGACAATGCTATAATTCACTCTGTCAACATGTGCTGAGCACTTACAATGAAGCAGAAGCAGGGTTTGGCTCTGCAACAGGCAGCCTTGTACCTGTAGCTTTGCTCTTCTTATTTCCTGAGGGTAGGTTTGCTAGGACGGAGGGTTGTGTAAACGTATCTGTAACTTCCTGGGCATTCTGAGTGTAATCCCAAGGTCTCTATTTAAAAACACAATGAATTGTGGGAAGTCACCTTTGAAGGAAGGTGAGGGTGAGGTGGGTCTCAAATGCCTTCTGTTCTTCTGACATCAGCAGACACCAGTGATGTGGGGGCTAAGAGAGTAGATCTAGGGCAGTGGAAAGATAGAGGATGGGAAGGATGCTGAGGAAATGGAGCAGGCAGGAGTTCTCTGGTTATGGGCTATTACTTTTTCAGAAGAGATGCCATCTCCCTTCTCTTCCCACTCCCCACATCCTGCCAGCTGCACTGGCCTCCTTTCAGGTTCATAAGTTCAGCAAGCTTTTCCTGATGTGGGATCCTAGCCCATGGCATCCCTGCTAGTCAGAAATGCTCTTCCTTTGGCCAACTTCTCATCCCTCAATTCTCAGCCAAAATCCCACTCTGCGATTGACAGTGTTTCTGATTTCTCCATCAGTAAGTATTCGATAGCACCTTGCATTTCACTACCAGAGCACATGTCGAAAATGTGAATCAGTTATTTCTCTTTATAGTTTTATTTTTTGTCCCCTCTCCCTCCGTTAAGACTCTATATTCCACAAGGACAGTGGCTCTCAAGATGGCATTGCTGGATCTCTGGCTCTGGCACAGTCTCCAGGCCATCACAGACACAAAGCACAGATGTATTAAGCAATTGTATTCATGCGTACATGAAAGAATGCTTGCAAAAATACACGTAAGGAAGTCAAAGAAACAATGACTGAAGGGACAACGATAGTTCATTTTCCAGACCACAGCTTAAGAGAGTCAAGTTAAAGATAGGAAGAACTGACCGGGCGCAGTCACACCTGTAATACCAGCACTTTGGGAGGCCAAGATGGGCGCATCACGAGGTCAGGAGATCAAGACAATCCTGGCTAACATGGTGAAACCCCGTCTCTACTAAAAATACAAAAAATTAGCCAGGTGTGGTGGTGGGTGCCTGTAGTCCCAGCTACTCGGGAGGCTGAGGCAGGAGAATGGCGTGAACCCAGGAGGTGGAGCTTGCAATGAGCCGAGATTGCACCACCGCACTCCAGCCTGGGTGACAGAGCGAGACTCCGTCTCAAAAAAAAAAAAAAAAAAAAAAAAGGATAAGAAGAATTACCTGAGAGCTATGGAACTGGGCAAATGGATGTCCTCAAAATTAGCCTGCAGCCTCTAGACATCTGAGAAACAGAGGGTCAACTTCTAACATCTAGCTTTAAGCTTTCCTTTCACATCCTGCTGGAACTATTGGGACAACCTTAAATTATATGCAATGCTCTGCATTCAAAATTGAAAAATAAATCTGAAAACTAAGACCATCAGAACCCCCTCCTTTTCAAGAAACTTCCCAAGTTTCACCAAATCTGTTCTAAAACTATCACCTCAAATAACCAGCTCTCCCATCCACTTGTCCTTCAGTTTTCCCATCTTAATCTGTGATTTGAAGAAAATTGTTTCCCTTTTGAGACAGGCTCTTGCTGTCTGTCACCCATGCTGGAGTGCAGTGGCATGATCTCAGCTCACTGCAACCTCTACCTCTCGGGATCAAGCGATCCACCCACCTCAGCCTTCTGAGTAGCTGAGACTACAGGCATGCATCACCATGCTCATCTACGTTTTGTATTTTTGTGGGGGGGCACAGGTAGAGATCGAGCTTCACTATGTTGGCCAGGGTGGTCTCAAACTCCTGGGCTCAAGTGATCTGCCCTCCTTGGCCTCCCAAAGTGCTGGGATTATAGGCATGAGCCACTGTGCCCAGCCTTGTTTCTTTATTATGATTCTATCTGGACAACGTAATACCTTTGTACGTAACAATTTTGTGTTGGAAAATGAGAATGCCGAAACAATGGCTCTGGCCCAAATCTGAATCCTCTCGGAAGCTCTGAGTGGCATGGACCCTGAGAACAAGCCTGGGGCCCAGAGCAATAGCCAGAGTGAGACACACAAAATCATCTAAAACCATGATGGCAGCTGGGTTTCCATCTGCTTCCCTGTGCTGACAAACATGTGGCCATGATCAATAACTTCAGAATCACAGGTTATAAACCATCATTCCCCCAGGTGACTGCAACAGCCAGCAAATGATCTTGCAGCCCCAGCCTCCCTCTACCCATCCATCCCCTCTGCACCACCAGTGATTGTTCAAAACTCAAATCAATCATAGCCCCATTTTAGTCTGTCAGTGGCTCTTGGTCACACCCAGGTTGGAGTCCACATTTGCTGGATTGGTGTACATGGTCTTTATGTGCATCTGATACCTGTCTCCTTGCTCAGCCTCACCTCATGCCCCTTCTTCCCTTTCCCCCCAGGTGTCCCTTTGCCAACACCTATAATTAGATGAGATAACAAGACATCCCTGGACTTGCACCCCAGTAAGCCTTCTTGTAGTTCTCCCAGCCTCTGAGGCTCTTGCATTCCTCAGTATGCATGCACACGACTTTCCTTTCCCAGAGCAGCCCCCTCCCTGCCCCTTTCTTCCTATGGATAATTCTGGCTCATGCTTCACTGTTCAGAGAGGTGCTATCTATACAGGAAAATCACGGGCTCCGAAGTTGAAATGCCTGGCTTGACTCCAGGCTCCACCCTTTACTGCCAGTGCCAGGCCTTTCTGGGTGCACCCAATGACAAGGTTTCTCAGTTTGCTTTCAGTAAGGCGTAGCCAACGACCTGAGCAGTAGTGCTAGACTATGAGAAGGGTGTGTGTTCTTTCTGGGACTGGCCCATAAAACCTCCTATTCATGACCCTTTGGTGCTGTCTGCCCATCTGTTGGCTAGAAGCAAAGGACCTTTAGACCCAAGACAATAGTGGAACCATAAGATGAAAAGAGCCTGGGTCTCTGAATGCTCTTACAGAAGATCATCCACCAAATATCCACCTTAAGCTATCATGTGAATGAATGAGAAATAAACTTCCATGTGTTAAGATGGTCAAATAGGAGCTAGCGTAACTTTAATACATTAACTTTCCAAGTTAGCCGATTCGTTCCTTGGTGATAATAGTGAGGTTAAGAGGATTAAATGAACTAATGCGTGTGAAATATTTGGCACAGAGCTAATAATACTAAGCCCCCAATATATGTTTGCTACATATTATTATTATCCCTCTTTTAAATAAGTGCTACTGCTCTTTGAGAGCAGAGCAAGGGCCAGCCTGGTGCTTTTTCAAAAGCAAACATCTTACCTTTTAACTTCTTGCACGTAGTCTGCATTTCTGTCAAAGAGGTGGGTCACAGAGTCTTTGATTGCTTCATGCTTGAAAGTAGAGGCTGTTCCAAAGACAGTCACGTTGGGGACAGTGGAACACAGCTGAGCCACAGCTTGACCCTGGAAGGAAAAGACAATAGCTATGTCACACATAGGAGCCACCAGATCATAGCCAGTCTTGCTGGGTGTAGAGCAGGATTTCTCCATCGGCACTATTGACTTTTTTTTTTTTTTTTTTTTTTTTAGAGATGGAGTCTCACTCTGTCACTCAGGCTGGAGTGCAATGTGCAGTGGTGCGATCTCGGCTCACTGCAACCTCTACCTCCTGTGTTCTAGCGATTCTCCTGCCTCAGCCTCCCAAGTAGCTGGGACTACAGGCACATGCTGCCATGCCCGGTTAATTTTTTGTATTTTTCGTAGAGATGGGGTTTCACCGTGTTGCCCAGGCTGGTCTCGAACTCCTGAGCTCAGGTAATCCACCCGCCTCAGCCTCCTAAAGTGCTAGGATTACAGGCGCAAGCCACTGTGCCCGGGGGGCCTTTTTAAGGTTGGATTAGTCTTTGTGGTAGGAGACTGTACTATGCATTGTCAGATGTTTAGCCCTCCAGGCCTCTACCTACTACATGCCAGTAGCATCCTCCCAGTTGTGACAACCACAAATGTATCCAGACATTGCAAAGTGTCGCCTTGGTGGAAGGACAAAATGTCCTGTGGTTAAGAATCACTGGCATAGAGGAAAGTCAATGGGAATCAGGCGAATCCAAGCACCAAGACTTAAAAACTGATATCTTACAATGCCACCTACTTCACAGCGCTCTTGCAGATGTCTTAGTTTGGGTACCCCAGAAGCCGAACCTAAGATAACGATTTGGATGTAGGTATTTTACCTGGACAATGATCTCCGGAAATAACAAGGTATTAAGACAGTAAAAGAAGGCAGCCAATAAAAGATGTGTTATCAAGGCCATATCTACCATGTGTAACTGGAGCTCAATCCCTCTGGGGAACCCTGTGAGCAAGTGTAGAATACGCCTCTGAGTTATCCCAACCATGAGCAAGGAAGCCGGAGTATTTATCCAGCACATTTGCATCTGATACTTGTTGAGGGCTGCTTCTGCAATAGTAATTCTTGTGCCTATCTGGCTTCTTCCAGTCAAGTGGGCTCCCACAGCAGACAGAAGTCCTAAGCAACCTTCGGCATGTTAAGTGCAGAAAAGATAGGATGTGGCTGACAGCATCTTCTACAGGGAAGTGTAAATAAGGTATTTTGCAACACAGGTCAAAGACCTGGCACAAAATGTGACACTTAGATAATAAATCCTAATTACCTTTCCCCCTTAGGGGCTTATTATATCCATTGCCGAGATGTCCAGGCATATAGAGAAGAGGTCAACACAAGTTTTAAATATTAAGTGGTCCAGGGGAAATCACAAATGCAGTTAGGAGCAGGTTTATTTTTCCATATCGTTTTTCAGTATGGTCAAACTTGAAGTCATTGGACAAAATGTTGTGGTCATGTATATTCAGGCATTTTCCAGTAAAACCCAGTTTTCTGGTAACTAAGGTGCATTCTAAAGCCAAGTGTTGTCTCTTTCTGGTGTTCCATCTGCCATTTTAAGGAGGGAAAATATTCTACCAGCGTCATCTGTGATGTTAATTTCTGCCTATCATCTTATTTTCATGTCTTCATGCTGGCGGACTAAATCAGGTTGGCAGGTCAATTTATGGAAATGTCATCTTATCACCCGTTGCAATTAAAGGCAACACTGAGAGAATCACAGAATGTCAGAGTTGGAAGATCATCCAATTACCCCCTCCCCTGACTGCTCTATAGATAAAGGAAAAGACATTCAGAAAGGTTAAGGTTACCCACTTTTTCAGAGGCAAATCTGGGATTCAAAGTAAGGTCTCCTGGTTTCCACTTATTACCACTTTCCATTGTTATGCTGTCTACTTATTTTGACATTTTAAGCAAAGCAGGCTTTAAACTTCCTACCTAAAATAGACATGTTGCTGGCACACTCCCTTGGAGGTCAACATTTCAGAATATGGGCATGAACCTGAGACTCTGGACAGGCTATAGTTTTCTGTCCTAAGAATAGCATTGATACTTGTTTAATTCTCCTGCCTTCTAGATTTTATAAAGCAAAGAGAGGACTATCTTTTCTAGGGAGGGTAAATATCAGCAACCAATGCAGCAATTCTCTAAAATTTGCTGGCCTCAGATATGTCATAGTTATAGCTCCTTATGGACAGCGCTTGAGATAACCTTCTTACTACTGGGATGGGAAATTACAATTAGTTCCAGTCTCCCTGTATTCCCTTCGCCCTCTGTCCTTAGGCAAATAGGATATTCATTTATTCATTCAACTATTTTTCAAATTTCTATTCTGTACTGGTTGCACTGTGCTATGAATGCCAGAGTGTCCAAAATGATTGGCATGTGTTAATCTCCGGTCCCAAGCTGCCCACTGAGTCCTGGACTTGGGTCTCTATCGTTTTGGCATTTGTCTCCACCTGGCTGTCCCAAAAGCGACACATCACACTCAACTGATCCAAAACCTAACTCGTGGCCATCTCTGAATGAGTTACTCCCTAAGTCAGTTTCCTAGTGCTGCTGTAACAAAGTTCTACTGACCCAGTGGCTTAAACATCAGAAATTCCTTTTCTCACAGTTCTGGAGGCTCAAAGTCTAAAATCAAGGTGTTGGCAGGGTTGGTTCCTTCTGAGGGATGTGAGCGAAAGATCTATTCCAGGCCTTTCTCCTCGGCTTGTAGATGTGCCTATTCTCCCTGCGTCTCTCCACGCCGTCTTCTCTCTATGACACTCTGTGTCCGAATTTCCCCTTCTCATAAGGACACCAGCCATATTGGATGAGGGCCCACTCCAGTGACCTCAATTTAACTCGATTGCCTTTGTAAAGACCCTATCTCCAAATAAAGTGACGTTGTGAGGTACTGGGGGTTAGGGCTTCAACATATGAATTTGGAGTGGTGGGGGTGGGATGCAATTTAACACTCCTCTTACTGTGTTTCCTGCTTCAGTGGATGGACTGCACCATTCCCCAGCGTTAAAGCCAGGAATCTGGGCAGCATCCTGGCCTCCTCTTCCTCCCTCAACCCCACGTCCCTATATTCAGAAACTGTGTTATCTCTTTGTCCTCGACAGCTCTTATAACTGTCTCTTCTTAGTCTGGATCATCACATTTCTCACCCTGGACTATGACAACACTCCTCCACCTGACCTGGCTGTTTCCAAAAGTCCTTCTGTGGTCAGAGTGACATTTCTCAAACACAACACTGAACATGTCACTATTTATTTTGGACTTCCCAATGTCCATCACAGCTTTCAGAATAAAATGCACACATCTAGTTTATCACACTAGACTGGCCCCTATTATCTGACCCAGTCTCCCCTCATTCACTTATTTCCTCCGCTTTTCCAATTTCTACTCCCTAACACACACCGAACTTCAGCCACCACAGTTAGCATTTGCCATGAGCATGGCATTGTGCAGCCCTCAACCCTGGCATTCTCAGAATGACCTTTCATCTTACTTTTGTTTGTTATTAGAGACAGGGTCTCACTCTGTCAGGTTGGAGTGTAGTGGTTCAATCATGGCTCACTGCAACCTTGAACTCCTGGGCTCAAGTGATCCTCCTGCGTCAGCCTCCCCAGTAGCTGGGACTACAGGTACATGCCACCACACCCAAATAGTTTTTTTTTTTTTTTGAGATGGAGTTTCGCTCTTGTTGCCCAGGCTGAAATGCAGCAGCACGATCTTAGCTCACCACAACCTCTGCCTCCTGTGTTCAAGCGATTCTCCTGCCTCAGCCTCCAGGGTAGCTGGGATTACAGGCATGTGCCACCATGCCTGGCTAATTTTGTATTTTTAGTAGAGACGGGGTTTCTCCATGTTGGTCAGGCTGGTCTCGAACTCCTGACCTCAGGTGACCCGCCCGCCTCGGCCTCCCAAAGTGCTGGGATTACAGGTGTGAGCCACCAAGCCCAGCCTTTTTAAAATTTTTTTTTGTAAAGATGGGGTCTCACTATGTTACCCAGGCTGGTCTAGAATTCCTGGCCTCAAGTAATCAATCTTGGCTTCCCAAACCACTAGGATTACAGGCATGAGCCACTGTGCCCAGCGTCACCTTATTTTACTGAGGAAGAAGCTGAGGTTTACAGAGGTTAGATGTCTGCTCCAACACCACTAGAGTAACAGCTTGATCTGCTTCACTCCTGGCTGCCACACATACCAGCTGAGCAACGTATTGGCACCTCTGTTCACTCGTCTAAAATATTTGGTTAGCAATACTCTACACAGTCTAGGTTTACTGTGAGATTACGTGATATAATGCATCAAAGTGCCTAGAACAATCAATGCTCAATACATACTTGCTATCACTACTCCTAAGTCCTCTCTTACTATTTTTCTTGGTCTTATTACATTTGCAGTAGCAGCATATCTGCTATCCTGCTATCAGATCCTGCGTGACTATGCTATTTTAGCATCAACGCCAGTTTCCCCACATGCTTTCCCCCTTCTCATTATGCCCTCCCTTCCTCTTTCTTCTTCCAATCAGGGCTATTCCCACTCAGTCATCTCCATCCCCAGGAATCCTTTCCAGCATCCCAGATAGAGTTGGTTGCCCCCTTTTGTGCCCCTTTGACTTGTGGTTCTTTTCTCCCGAAGCGTGACCACCACGGCCTCTGTGGCTTCTGCCTGCCCCATCTGTGAGCTCTGTGGGGGCAGGGACTGTGTCTCCACCGGCCCTCTGCTCCTGTGCCCAGTGCAGAACCTGGCACATAGTAAATGTCTGGTAAAACTTGGTGGACGGATGCATGAGAAACTGGAGGAGTTGAGTGTATGGGGGCAGCCCTTCCCAGTCGTTTTGCAGCCTTCATGTCCTTTAGTGTTGTAGAGTTGGAGTAAAGCGTGCATTTAATTAACCTATGCAGGTTCTGACTGAAGCAGAACTTCACTATTTCTATTTTAAAGAAAAACATGCACATGGTTAAAAAAAAAAAAAAGAGAGAGATAATATAGGTAATCCAAATCACTTATGTACTTATATTATTATATAACATATAATATGTGAGTATTAGATAATGGATAAATATATGACTTATAACTAGAATAATGTACAATTAATATATATAGCCATGATGTGTATATGTATAATTATATATACATAATATATACTATCTATTTAATAAGTAATAGAGAAATAGAATTACTAATAACACAATTAAGATTAGTATGCTATGTGAGTATTATGTATAATATATAATAATCTATACTTTTATATAAAGATTAATGGATGGAAAACACAAATTCATCACATATCTACTTGCGGCCTTTCTGTTCTCCATCACCTGTCTTAGGCAATGAGAGGCCCTGGTAACATTTTCAATAAATTTTAAATAATGCTTAGCATTCTGTATTTAAGCAGAAAAGTGCCTTCCCACACATTTATAGAAAATCTGTATTCTCCCTTCTCCAACTCCCGAGGTGAATGCAGGATCAGCAGCTCATTTATCCTCATTTCTCCTACGTGCCTAGCAAATAGCATGGACTCAATAACATTTGTGGAAGACAGAATGAACTTTCAATAAAAAGGACCTTGCAGTTTACCTCCAGAACCAGAACATAAAATGAACAAGACAATCCATTCTCCCAGTCACTGCAGTAAATGACGATTTGCATGCGCTTGTTTTTAATGGATTTTCCTTCCTTCTTTTGAACGTAAGAATTCTGCACCACATCTGCCCTTCTCTTCCCTTTGGCTAACAATACAGCATTAATAGCAGCTGCGGCTTCTTTTGTCCCACCATGGGGCAGATACTGTACTAAGGTGCTTCGTTAAATCCTTAAACCACCTTTAGTGTAAGTATTTGTGTCTTCTTTTCATACGTAAACATGGGGATTCAGAGAGAAAAGGAAAGTTCCCAAGGTTACCTGGCATGTGAATGAGAAAGCTGGAAGTCAAATGCAGGTATCCGTGACTCCAAGGCCACTCTGCTATTAATCTTCTCATCTGTGCAGCTAAGCCCTCGAGTTGCCATCTTAGAGACAACTTCGGGTCTTTGCCATCAATTACTCTTTGGATGGCTTTGTCTCAGGTTCATATGGGCGAAGAGATTTTCAACCAGATGTTAATCAACTCAATCCTTATTGCAGAGCTGCTGGAGTCTCCTTAATCAGAGCACAGGCAGCAGGGAATCCAGGGACTGTGGTAACAAGGGAGCTGATTTAGGTCCCTGAAATATATGACCCTGATCGACAGACTGGCAGTTTAAAGCAAGATCATATTCCAGCATGTAAACGAATGATTAGAGGAGTGAATTCATCTCTTTAAAGGCTTACTACACTGCCTGGTACATATTAAGTACTGAGTAAGGAGCAGTTTTTAGCTATAACAGTTTTGAGATTGGGATGGGGCCCAGTTGAAATTCTTTTTACCCATTAAGTGGGAATTTAGGCTAGATGAGCCTACCAGTGCACTGAGATTCAGGATTTAGCATCAGAAACTCAACTAAGTAAGGACAGAGAATGGATGGCTTAGGAAAATGTCTATAATGTAAATACTGTCTACTCCTCCAGCCTTGTTTCTCACTGTATTCCAGAACTCTACCTTGACCACAAGGAAAAACAATCAGTTCTTCCTAAGTGCCACCCTCTCTTTCACTGTAGGATCTTTGCACATACAATCCCCACTGCTTGGAATCCTCTTTCCTGTCTTTTCTCCCGGTTTATTCCTTATATCCTTTGAATCTCAGCCTCTCTGTTACTTCATTGAGTCATTCATTCTATCACTACAGTGTTTTTTGTTTGTTTGTTTGTTTGTTTGTTTTGACGGAGTCTTCCTCTGTTGCCAGGCTGGAGAGCAGTGGCACAATCAGCTCACTGCAACCTCCACCTCCTGTGTTCAAGCAATTCTTCTGCCTCAGCCTCCCAAGCAGCTGGGACTACAGGTGCCCGCCACCATGCCCGGCTAATTTTTGTATTTTTAGTAGAGATGGGGTTTCACCATGTTGGCCAGGATGGTCTCAATTTCTTGACCTCGTGATCCGCCCGCCTTGGCTTCCCAAAGTGCTGGGATTACAGGAGTGACTACAGTGCTATATAATGAGCATCTCTACTGGATCAAACATTATCAGAGGTGCCAGAAATATAAACGAGTTATTTATGTATATGGTCCCTGTCTTGGAACTTGCATTGTAATGAAGATGACAGACATTAATAAAATAAATAAACCATTAAAGTACAATTATATTCCTAAACCATGAGAATGAGAGCACCAATTCCACTGAACCACTAGCAAAAGACTGCATTGGTGCACTATGTTTTTGGACATATGCAGACAATGAAGGGCATGCATTAAAGTGGAGTGTGTGGGCATGTCGGGGGAGATAGATAAGGAGAAGGAAAGGACTCACCTGTGGTCAAGTTTCTCAAATGGGTTGTGTGACTAGGGGTAAGCTCATGTCTCTGTGCCTTGATTTCACTTTTTTTTTTTTTTTTTCTGAGATGGAGTCTCGCTTTGTTGCCCAGGCTGGAGTGCAGTGGCACGATCTCGGCTCACCGTAACCTCTGCTTCCCGGGTTCGAGCGATTCTCCTGCCTCAGCCTCCTGAGTAGCTGGGACTGCAGGCACGTGGCACCATGCCCAGCTAATTTTTGTATTTTTAGTAGAGACGGAGTTTCACCATATTGGCCAGGCTGATCTCAAACTCCTGACCTCGTGATCTGCCTGCTTCAGCCTCCCAAAGTGCTGGGATTACAGGCGTGAAACAGCACGCCCAGCGGTTTCACATTTTTAAAATGGGAACTTGGACTTAATGATCTCTGTGGTCTCTTCAGTTCTAAGATTTCTTGATCACATTGACTAGTTATTTAGCTGGGCCAAAAACAGTGTATTTGGAGAAATCTCCCAAAAAGTATGAAGGTTGAGTCCCTGTACCAAGTTTGATGAAAATGGAACTTTCTGTTACTAACTTGACCATTTTCAAGATCATCTTACAAAAAGAATTTTGTATATCTCTTCTAAAAGTTGTTTTCACTGTTAAACAGCTCATGAAAACCACAGATCATTAATGTAGTCAAAGAATGGAAATGAATTAGCAGAATGAGCTTGTGAATGTTCGGAGAAGAGACTTGGAGGAGATGGTGAGGTAAGATTTTCTTCTTCCAAAGATTGTCAGTTTATTTTTTCATCTTCATCGACGCATAGAGGTACTTAGATGAGCAAAAATAACTGAAAATTATCACAAAATCAAGTACATTGGATGCATGAGCCATACTTACGTTTTTCTTACAACAATACAAGCTCCCACATTGAGGTTTAGACACAGAGTCAGAAACATTTTTTTCAGATCACGCTGTCATTTGTCTGCTCAACAATTCAGTGACTCAATTGTTGTAAGAAGAGGAAATTCAAACTCCACTGTGTGGGCTGATCCATGTGACCTGCCACCAAAGGCAGCAAAGACTATTCTGTGTTCTCACCTACAATGCTTCAAGCATCAGTCAGTTTTTCTTTTTCTTTGTTTGTCACTGCAAAGCTGTTGACCTACACGTGATATGCGCTGTGACACACAGGTGCCGAGAATTTCAATGGCAGGAGGTTACAGGGGTGCATGGCTGAGATAGGAGAGAGGGAAGAAAAATGGAAAAGAGTGGGACAGGCATTTTTCAATTGCTCAAAATATAAGTATGGGCAATTTTTTTTTTTTCGTTTGAGACAGAGTCTCACTCTGTTGCCCAGGCTGGAGTGCAGTGGTGCGATCTTGGCTCACTGCAACCTCCACCTCCCGGGTTCAAGAGCTTTTCTTGCCTCAGCTGCTCAAGTAGCTGGGACTACAGGCACGTGCCACCATGCCTGGCTAATTTTTGTATTTTTAGTAAAGGTGGGGTTTCACCATGCTGGCCAGGCTGGTCTCGAAATCCTGAACTCTCCTTGGCCTCCCAAAGTGCTAGGATTACAGGTATGAGTCACGGCGCCCGGCCTCATTTTTTTTTAATCCCCAAAAGAAGTAGGCATATTCTTTGAGAAGACTTGGTGGACAGTGTCTTATTTTTTTCTCTTTTATTCATTGTATGGATCCGTGCTTCTCAGTGTGTGGTGCCAGAGCCAGCAGCCTCAACATCACCTGGGGACTTGCTGTAATGCAGATTCCCAGGCTCCAACCCAGACTTATGGAATCAGAAACTTCCAGGATGGGGCCCTGCAGCCTGAGTTTGAACAGGCCCTCTAGGGGATTCTGATGCAGCTCAAGCTGAGAATCACTGACATAAATCATCATGGTAAATCACTGGCACATTCCCTGTGATTTAGAGGAGAAAGGCCCCATGATGCTCACAGTATCTGATAATCAGGTATTTTATTTAAAACCTGGATGTGGCCTGACTATTCGTATATAATTATACATTCCCTGGAGAATTCTAATGTGCTGACGGCGCTGAGATCCACTGCTCTATAAAGGCATCCTTCTAATTTGCTCAATTATGGCATTGTAGCAATCCACTTCCTCTTTTCCTAGTTGAGGCTGACATCAGAGTCCATGGGTTTAGTGTGTGGGATCCTGTAGATCAGGGCATGACCAACACAGTCTTCTGTGATCAGAGAAGTAGGAAGAGAAAATAAGCCCCCATCCCCATTAGCAGGCTCTGAGGCTCTTGATGCTTGGCCACGGTGCACCGGGTTTTCCTAGCCTGTCACAGCTCTGCTCCAGCAAGTGACTGGGAAGATGACAATTTAAACCTTTTCTTCTACTTAGACTGCTCTGAGCTCATTGCAAAGGTCCTGGATTAAGAAGCAAGTGAGGCAAAGTGGTGAAGCATATAGGTTGATTCATTCAACTCCAGCTCCACAGAGTTTACTGTGTACCTGGCAGGGCTCAACATACCCTGTAAATAATAGCTCATTCGATCCTCATCACAACCTTTATGAGGTAGGTACTAGTTCATCCTCATTTCCCAGATGGAAGAACCGAAGCACAGAGAAGTTAGGTAACAGCCTACAGTCACACAGTAATACCAGGGAGAAGATCTGAATCCAAGTAGTATGACTCCAGCTTCCACAATTTAACCACTGCCTTATGCTGTAGGACAGTTGTGGATCTGTAGGCCAAAAGGAGAGAAGGAAGGGGAACCACCTCTTCCTGGTAAGTTACGCTTTGTCAAGCACTATGCTGGGTACTTTACACACATCTCATTCTATCCACCCAACATCATATTGCCATCTGGAAGAAAGGCTCGGAAAGAGCAAGGGAACTTAGAGTAATCTTGCCAGGATCATTGGAAACTGAGGCTCAGAAAGTCTAAGTACTAGCAACTGGAAGTGGTGAGGTTTAAATGCAAGGGGCCTTATTGCTAAGCCTGTGGGGACAGGACATGTTCGTGAAGTGATCTGGCAACAATGACTCCCACTCCCCACATAAACTCAGCTGCCAGCCAGTGCCCGAGACGCCTGATCAGATCCCCCTCAGCTGGGTTTCCTGACACCCCGTCCTCACGGAGCACAGCAGGCAGCTTCAGGATCAAGGGTGGGAGGGAGGTGACTTTTGCTTTCCCAAAGCTTCTCCTAGGAGGTGGCTCCATGAGCCCGGGCCTACGGGATGACACACCAGTGACAGCCCCTCCTCTGCTCTAGCTGAGAGAGAGAGGTCAGTCCACTTTCACCTCATGGTATGTTTGAGGGTCAAGCCAGCACAGTTTTGTTGTTTGAGCAATAAGGACGGGCAGCCCCGAGATTGGGAGGGGGAGAGGAGCACTAGTATGGCCCTGGAGGAAGAGACTGTGGGAGATCCCCGCTTTCAGAACAAGACCCAAAGCAAGCTAGCTCTGAAGGGAGCCTTGAACACGCAGGAACAGAAAACCTGAGTTCTGATCCTGCTCTTGCCATTTCAGGGCTCTGTAGCTTACGCCCCTCAAATGTACAAGAAGGACAGGAGCAGAATCTCCGAGGGTCCTGTGTGATGGCGCTCAGCACTGGGGAAACACGACAATATGGACTTTGGAGTCAGGCAAACCGGAGTTTGCAGCCTAGCTATGGCACTGACAGGCTGTGTGACTCTGGAAAGCTACTTCATCTCTCTGAGCCTCAGCGAACTCACATGCAAACAGGTTAGCATACTTAGTACAGTGCCAAGCATAGTGGATGCTCGGTAGATTATAGGGCCCTGCTCTCTCTCTCTCTTATTATTATTTTTTTAATACAGGTTTTCAATCTGTTGCCCAGGCTGAGGTACAGTGGCATGATCATAGCTTGCAGTAAACTCAAACTCTTGGTCTCAAGCGATCCTCCCACCTCAGCCTCTCATATAGCTGGAACTACAGGCACTTGCCACCATGTCTGGGTAATTTAAAACAATTTTTTTTGTAGAGACAGGGTCTCACTATGTTGCCCAGGCTGGTCTCGAGCTCCTGGCCTCAAGCAATCCTTTCACCTCGGCTTTCCAAAGCACTGGGATTACAGGCATAAGCCACCGTGCCTGGCCAGCTCTGCTCTTCTTACTCTAAAGACTGTATCATTCCATGTTATGGTCTTCGGTTTACTAATTCCAGGTTAAATAGCTTTTTTCACACCCTCTGGGATTTCTGATTGTCAGTGGCAGGGCAGGGTTGGAAAGGTTCAATCTGTAACCATAGCTGCCCCTGCTCTACCCTACCACAGTTTTGTGTGAATTAGAAAGACGGGCTAGTATCTGTTGCCGGGCAGAGCTGTGAGCCCTAGCAACTAGAGTGTGGCCATCTCTTGCTTGCCCCACAGTTTGGTGTTTCTGTGCAGTGTGCAGCCTGTCCAACCGCACATGGCAACTCTGCTAATCAACCCTTGTAGAGACCATAGCAAGGCTTGTGTCTGTCATCAGCAATACTCTCCAAATGAGGGGCACCATGCATGGCCACAGGACAACCCATAGCCCACAGACTGACACACTGTTTGAGAGTTGGACTCCAGCAACCGTGGAGCCGTCCAGTCCACCAGATGGCAAAGTCCCCTTCACAGGGCTCTAAATCAAGGAGTGCAGGAGTATTAGAGTCACTTCCAGGCTGGCTGCCTTCCATGTAGTGCATTTGGATACATTTCCTGGATGACTGTATTTGCATGGTGGGATGCCGGATTCTCATTTCCAGCCAAATTACAATTTGCACCCACAGTTTGAAGTTGTGGTTTTGATAAATGCGTCTCTTTCAACCAAAAGAAAACAAAAACAAAAACAAAAAACCAAACGACTCAAACTACTATTGTGTAGGGTGCCCATATAATTTATTATCTAAATTGGGACTCTTTTTGAGAATGAAAGGGGATGCTATTATTAATTCCCCTTGATCAACAGGCATAAACTGTGTCTTAGGCAAATAGGGTCATATAGTCATCCTAATATTAAGTCAAGGAAAATAATTAATAGGGTGGCCAGGAGAGAAGGGCAGAGGGGCAGCATCAGTGGGACTTGGATTCTGATCCTTGGATCTACTGCTAAGCACCTGAGGGAACTTGACCTGGTTACTCTGAACTGATAGCCTTAGCTATAAAGTTGGGATGATATTACCTACCTCACCAGGTTACCATGAGTGTACAACAGAGAAGTGTGCATACAGCCTTACACGGAATCAAACACAAAGTGGGGGCTTAGGAGATGTAAGCTCATGTCCCCTACTCCTGTCTTTACCCATCTCCTACAATGCCTGTACCCTACACACGGGGATTTGTACACCAGCATGCAGCAGTGCCTGGCAGAAAGCAAAGGCGTTTACTTGGGACTATCGTGTTCACAGCTCAGCAGCCTGCCTTCCTGCCTGGCACGCGTGTCCATGTTTGCTGGAGGCACCTCATTAACAAGGCCTCTCAACAGGAACAGGAGCCTGACCTTGGTTTCAGCACCTTCTGATGTGATCAACAATTCCATTTCAAAGTACCTGCCCTGAACATGAATGACTCAAACGCTCAAATCATTGCTCCGTTTCTGCCAGTCCTCAGAGATCAGACATCGGGACTCTTTCTGTGACTTCAGATCCTGCGGCTGAGGTTCTGTTCTGGGCGGGACAGGACCCATCACAGCTGGAAGGTGACATCGGAGGCTTCTGGATCAGAGTACGTTTTAACTGTCAGTCTTGTAGGGAACTGGAATGCAGTGGCCAGGTCTCCAGATAGAAATTCCTACTGGGATGTTTAGTTCTATTCATTTCACCTTTGCCACCTTTCCATTCTCAGACCTGCCTTCTTTGTAGGACAGGACCCTTTTCAAAGCTCTATGTCCCGCTGTTTCCTATCAATGACAAACTTTCAAAGTTAACTGGCTTTCTTTGCGAGTGTAGTAAGAGTAAAATTATTTCACTGTTAATATTGTTTACCAAGCCATCCCCCTTGCTCAAACACTGGTATCACTAGGACCACTGCTGTCATCAGTGACCTCTTATCTGGAGCCCCTGGTACACAGCCAGGCATGTAGAATTTGTTCATAAAAACATGGAGATGAATGAATGAATGGATGAACGAATGATGATTTCTTCACATTTTCCCCTCCTTTGACATCTTAGTAATGCAACGCCCTGTTCCTTTCATGGTATGCTCTCTGTCTCATAAATTTTGCACATTTGTTTCTTGTTTCATTCAGTGGACATTTATGTGCCACGTACCTAAGTGCCATGCACTGTGCACCTACTTTTTTTTGTTATTATACTTTAAGTTCTGGGATACATGTGCAGAATGTGCAGGTTTGTTACATAGGCATACACGTGCCATGGTGGTTTGCTGCACCCATCAACCCATCATGTACATTAGGTATTTCTCCTAATGCTATCCCTCCCCTAGTCCGCCACCCCTTGACAGGCCCTGGTGTGTGATGTTCCCCTCCCTATATCCATGTGTTCTCATTGTTCACCACCCACTTATGAGTGAGAACATGTGGTGTTTGGTTTTCTGTTCCTGTGTTAGTTTGCTGAGAATGATGGTTTCCAGCTTCATCCATGTCCCTGCAAAGGACATGAACTCATCCTTTTTTATGGCTGCATGGTATTCCATGGTGTATATGTGCCACATTTTATTTATCCAGTCTATTATTGATGGGCATTTGGGTGGGTTCCAAGTTTTTGCTACTGTGAACAGTGCCCTATACTGGGTAGGTTCTGGGAACATGAGGTGGCATGTTCTAGAGGCAGACCATCTGCGGAAGTACCCCTGATCACGTTTACTGGATAGCTGGCGTTGGGCAAATCACATAAGCATTCAGAACTTTTGTTTTTGTCGTTTTTGCCCCTGTGCATGGTAACCGTGTCTCCTGAAGGTGGGTGTAAGGAGTAAAGGAGATGACCTCAGTAAGGGCTTAACACCCTGCCTGGTACCAGCTAATATTAATGGTAAGGACTTCAACTCCTTACCTGTCTCTCCAGCAAGATCATGGACCAGGCATAGTCCCACATGGGGCAATCCCACATGGGGGGCCAAGACAGAGGCAACGTGACGAGCATTGAAAACACAGCTCTGGAGACTCTTAGGACCTAAAATGTCCTTGAGTCATCCACTCCAACCTCCTACCTGGTGCAAGAGGAGCTTCCTGACTCAGCTTCCTCCTATAATATTTCCAGGATGAAAACTAATGAGGTGGAAATGGAGCACTAATTGCCTCTCTAGTCAGCCCGTTCTATTTTGAGGCACCTCTGATTGTTAGAAGGTCTTATTTAGAATATGCTGTCCACAGCCTTCCTGTAAATTTTGCTCTTAGGAAGCATGACACACAAAACTATAGGTTTGTATGTCTCATATCCCTTCTTACTCCCTGTTGATATTTCCACAACGTTCCTGCACCGTGGATCTTCTCTTTTCCAATCTGAGCATGTTTAATCCCTTCAACTCTTCTCTTTGGCAAATGGCACTACGTCCAGGGGACGGTGGCCTGGAAGGTGATAACCCTCTTAAACGTGGCACAGCAGAACCATCTCCTTCCACTTGAACATCAGCAGTTCTTGATATTTCTTTGTTGACAGCCTACTTTTGTATAACACAATTTTTGGGTAGCATACTTGACTGATAAAAATTCAAATAACACTAAAAATGCAGGCAAGATTACATTGCCATTCACAACCACAGCACAACAACATCTCACAGTCTCTACAGTGACACTTACTGTCACTGACACTTGGTTTTGCCACTCGACTTTAGAACTTCTTAGTGGTCTGACCTGGCCCTTTTGATGCATGTGCACAAGAAGAATTTCTTACATGGTCCAGTGAAAGGGTGATCTTCCTCAGGCAACAGCCTCAATTTAGTACTCACAGCAAGTGGTATTGCACGTCACACTGCATTTTTGAGCTCTATCATGTCCACACTCTGATGGACAGGCAGGACATGCATATTCAGTTGTACCAAAAATGAAATGCACCCATGGGTTAAAATATGGTGGTGCACTTTGCCGAAGTTTTGAAGTACACAGCTAGCACAGGATGAGGGCAATACGTTTCCAGGACCACAGGTTTATACGTCAGAAGCACGGGAAGACCGGGGGAGAGGTGATTATTTTGGTTTCTGTCTCCCTTCCTCCTCTCATACACCTACTGCTTTTGGCCACTATTTAGTGGTTGCAGGTCACAATCAACAAAAGAAGTAAAGGCACATCAGTCATAGTTTAAGAGCTTTTTTTTTTTTTCCTGCTTTCTCATTTCCAAAAAGCTCTTGGCCTGACTGAAAGCAATTACTTCTCCAAGAGCAGCAAAAACTCTGAACATTTTAGTAAGTTCTCCTGATACACTTAAACATCAGAGAATGAAATGCTGCATTTTGCAGAAGGACCTACTCTGACCTCTACTAAGCTCTTTATAAAAAGTATTATTATGAAAGCAACACATTTATGCCATTGTAAATCACGAAATCTGGAAAATACAGAAAACTATAAAAATGTCAACTACAATGCCATATCTCAGAGATACTCTAAATAATTTGGCTTATTCTGTTACAGTAGTTTTCTAATATGTATTATCAATAATTTTTTTTATCCACAGAATTGGAATCACACTGAATACACCACTATATACCCTGATTATCTTTTTCTTTCTAAGCTTACATTGTGAGCATTATTGTGGGTAATGACAAATTATTTAACACCCCATTTTGAATGACTATGGAATATTCTATTATATAGATATACCATAATTCCTTTTAACCAACTATCTGACAAGAAATTATGGTGTTATAGTATTATAAACTGTATTTCAGTGAACATTTTTGTATAAGTATCTTTGATTCTAAGTTTCAGAAGCCAGAGTCTAAGTCCATCTTACCTATGACTGTATACTTTGTGTCTAGCTCATTGCTGGAAGAACTGCTGATGCTCAATGTTTGCATAGAGACTGGCTGGCTGTTTGACTAACTCTCTGGTTATCTCTTTAGAAGATATTGCCAGTAGTGAAGGTGGCATCCTGTCTTTCATCAGTATACGGCAGCCCTACCAGTATGAAATCGTGAGGTCAAAGGGTTCAGTAAAATTCTAAAGAAAATATTTGGGGCAGCAAAGCAAGAATTTCTGTCATTGTGGTTCACTGAGGGATCAAGCGGAACCTGCTGGGGGCTGTTTCTGCTTTGGTATTGGGAAATCAAGCAGTCACTGGCATAATGGCTTACAAGCTGTTTTCAGTAATGAAACTGTGTCTACATGTAGCTCACATGTTGATGACAATGTACTCACTTATTAATTCTACATACTAATGTATCCTCCCCCTGTGTAATTAAGAACCTCATTATCATTACATAGGATAGGCAAAGTTCATCCATTTAATTTGATCCAACACTTGCCAAGCACCCACTCCATCCCAGACCCTGTGATATGTGGTGGAAGCACAGAGATGCTAAGGCCCATTCTGATTTCAAGAAGACCCCTCTAGCACAGGAAGACCCGGGATAATTGCACACATTAGTGCCTGGGATATAGAGGCAGTTAAGGCATAGCTGCTGGATGGATGGACGGACAGATGGACGAATGGACAGATGGATGAATGCACAGATAGATGAATCTAATAAGGGTAATATTAGAAAGATAATGTAGAGGGCATAGAGGCAGAAGAGCGGGAGGGGCTTCCAAAAGGAAGTGACATTTAAATGGTGAATAGAAACTTGCCAGGCAGAGGAAAAAGGGGAGCTAGTCTGGCTCTCAGGGTGGACGGTTGGACAGTGCAGAATTACATGGAGAGGATGAGCGGACAGGCTGGGCTGGAGAGAAAGCGACTGGGGAAGGGGATGATGAGGAGAGGTGTTTGTGTTCATCTTGGCTGATCATCAAAGACTTGTTCAAAGGGTTTGAATTTCCCCACAAGTGGACCCTAGGGTAAAAGTGTGGGTGCATATAGTTTAGTTGGAATGGGTCTCAGGAAGTCAGATGAACGAGTTAGGGTGGTGAGGCGGGGAAGGGAGGAAAGCCTACAAAGTGGCTTACCCCTGTGAACAACAAAGCTCTATTCTAGTGGGGCCCCTCTGAGAGGTGACATAGAACACACCTCCTAACTGTCCCACAGAGGGGGAGAGCACACTCAGGAACATACTGCCACACTCTTATCCCGCACCTGCTGAGGGATGCGCCTGTGGCATTAACTCAGGGCTCTTGCAACCTGCCTGAACATGGGCCAAATTGCAAACCAGGAAACAACCTCAGGCAGAGCTGTGGGCATCTGCCTGTGTGAATGGGGACTGTCAGCGCCGACCTCAGGGATGGGGATATGGCTGTGTCTGCTACACAGCCCAATGGCCAGCAGGCTAGATCTTAGCAAGCAAGCTCTGTGACTAGGAAGAAAATGCTCTTCCAATGACTTAATCTTGATGGCAAGTCCTGTCTGGGATGTTTGCAATTTCCAAAAGCTTTGCAAAGTGCTTTCTTCCTGCTTTTCACATAACTGCCTCCTTATCTCTGCTTAAATGTCACCCACTCAGTGAAGACATCTTTGATGATTTAATGTGCAGTAGGTCTCTCTGCCTGATATTCTCTATGATAGCATCTTGATCCTTTCATATATATATATACACATGCACACACACGTATTTATCGTGTGTGTATATGTGTATATGTTTGTGTGTATATATAGCCATCCCCAGTATCCTTGTGTGATTGGTTCCAGGAGCCCTCTGTAGATACCAAAATCTACAGGTGTTCAAGTCTCTGATATAAACTGGTAGTGCAGATGTGGTGGCTCACGCCTGTAATCCCAGCACTTTCAGACGCTAAGACGGCTGGATCACCTGAGGTCAGGAGTTTGAGACCAGCTCGGCCAACATGGGGAAACCTCGTTTCTAATAAAAATACAAAAAGTAGCCAGGCGTGGTGGTGGGCACCTGTAGTCCCACCTACTTGGGAGGCTAAGGGGGGAGAATCACTTGAACCTGGGAGGCGGAGGTTGCAGGGAGCTGAGATAGCGCCACTGCACTCCAGTCTGGGTGACAGAGCAAGACTCCATCTCAGAAAAAATAAAAAAAAATAAAAAATAAACTGGTGTAATAATTACATATAACCTATGCCCATCTTCCTGTATACTTTAAATCATCTCTAGATTACTTATAATACTTAGCACAATGTAAATGCTATGTACACAAGCTGTTATACTATATTGTTTAGGGAATAATCACAAGGAAAAAGTCTGTACCTGTTTAGTACAGATGCAAGTATCCATTTTCAAAAAATATTTTTGACCTGTGGTTGGTTGGATCCACAGATATGAAACCCATAATATAAGGGCTGGCTATATCTTATTTACACACACATACTATATGTATAATATGTATATGTGTGTGTGTGTATATATTTGCTGTATAGCTATGTGCCTTTCTCCCTTACAGATGGTCCTTGAGGACAGTGACTATTTTGTTTGCCATTGTATTCCAGATACCTAGCATGCCACCTGGCTCATAGTACATGCTCAGTAAAGATCTGCTGGGTGACCCAAGAAGGTCCACCACCTGTCTCCTGCTCTCCCTGGCAGAGGAAGGCAGAGGCAGGTTGGTCTCTCTGCTGGTCCTCCTCCACAAGCCCAGACCTCTGGGTCTAATTGTCTCCCCATGCTGTGGGGTCGCATGGCTGGGGAGGGACCCTGAGTGAGCATAGGTTGTATGCAAATATTAGACCAGTTTTTATCAGGGACCAGTTTGTATCAGGGACAGGGAGTAGACTGGCCTCTGTTTGGCCCTGTGAAGGGGGGTCCAGGTCTGCACTGAATACAGCCTTTTTCTCATCGTGGGGATGGGCTCTAGAGAACAGGGCTCCTTTTAGCTGCTGCTCTTGAGGCTTAAAATATTTCCCGTTCTTAATGCATTCCTGACTGGACGTGTCTCCTAATCAACTCAAATCCTGGCTTTCAGCCTCACTGGTGTAATTAATTCCCTGGAATGTTTAGAACTTTCTGTAGGAGAACTCAGGGGTTCCTGGGAAGTAAGGTTTGCCAGATAAAATTTGTATTTGCTAAATCCAGCATCTCTCCTGGGGGTCAACCTTCTGTTGGGGCTCTGGAGATCTGGGAGTAATGTGCCCACCTCTTTAAGTTGGGGCATCCTGGTGCATCCTTACCACCCTGCCAGCCCCATGAGCTTCACCCCTGCCCTCCCACTGCCCAGCTGGCTTCTCGGAGGCCAACATGACCCTATAAACCATTGAAAAAACAGCCCATAGCAAGGTCACCTTGATGCTCCCACAATAGTTGAGTGGGCAGAGGCAATGAGCAGATGGGTAGACCCGTACCTGCTGTCCCCTTTCTCATTTCCTGACCTATCTTTGTGGCTTAAAACACAGGATTTGAGAAGGACCTATCTGAGTGTGAATTGTACCTCTGTCTTTGCCAATCTTGTGACTTTGGGTGACTGGCTTTATTTCAGTAAATTCTGAGTTCTTAAATCTCAAAATGAGTTGATGAGAATACGCTATACCTCACAGAGTTGTGAGCAGAAATAAAATAACGAATGCAAGGCACTGAGCAGCATGCTTGTCAAAAATGGAACGGGGAAAAATACATTTCCTTGTTTAATTTTACATACATATTATGCATACAAATTTACATGGTAAAATTTGAAAAATTGCTACTTGGTATTATCTTGGAATTCATTCATCCATCAGTTTATCCATCCAAGGAGTTGTGAATAAAACTCAATTAGTGGGGCTGGGAGTAGAGAGAGCAGAGGTGTTTTAGGAAACTGACATTACAGTAAGAACCAGGGCCCTCGTGATTTATTTCTGGCTGCCTGTGTCACTTATCACTACCTACCCCTGGCTTTGGCCATACCCGATTCTTACAGCTCTCTCAAAGTATCATGTTCTCCTGGGCTTTTGTGCCATGTTTCTTGGCTACCTAGAAAACTCCTATTTAAGAACTCTGCTAACCTATCATTCCCCCACTCCGCACAGGAATTAATCATTTTTTTCCTGTGAATTACTTTCGTTGGTTCTGTCATTGCAGACTCCACACTCCATGCACATATTTGGTTGCTCGTTGGTCTCCTCCAGGGAACTGGGAGCCCTCTCAATGCAAGCACTGTGTCTTACCCATTTCGTCTCTGCAGGGCCTTGTACAGGGCCAGACACTGAGTGGGCACCCATCTATAGATCTACAGGAGTGTGTTTCCAATGGCTCTCAGGTTCATCAGGGCCCAGAAAGAGTTTTTAGACTTTCTCCTTGGAAAAGAGCAACCAGACTGGTTTTGAAAGCCCTTGGTAGACTGGGCGCGGTGGCTCACGCCTGTAATCCCAGCACTTTGGGAGGCCAAGGCAGGCAGATCACCAGGTCAGGAGATTGAGACCATCCTGGCTAACATGGTGAAACCCCGTCTCTACTAAAAACACAAAAAATTAGCCAGGCGTGGTGGCGGGTGCCTGTAGTTCCAGCTACTCGGGAGGCTGAGGCAGGAGAATGGCGTGAACCCGGGAGGTGGAGCTTGCCATGAGCCAAGATCGTGCCACTGCACTACAGCCTGGGCAACAGAGCGAGACTCTGTCTCAAAAAAAAAAGAAAAAGAAAAAAAGAAAGCCCTTGGTAGCTTCTCCTGATGGATAAAGGCTTAGACACCACTAAGTCTTTCAGAAAAAGTGAAATCCAGGCTTTTCCTTGCACCAGTTGAGACTCGCATTTTGCCACCATGTTCCACCCCCATGTAGAGCTCAGGACGATCATCTCCAGAGGAAATAGTTTCCAGGCTTTTTCAATCATGTAGGAAGCCCCCACCTTTCTCCCTTTGTCAGAACAATGAAGCCCACTCTAAAAAGCAGTTTCCAGGAGACAGGGTGATGGAATTGTCAGCTCTTTGACATAGAGGACATTCCTGTACCGTGGACAAAGTCTGACATTTGTGAGACAGAAGAGGTGGTAGTAATTTACGCTTCCAGTGTCCCATGACTACCATTAGGAGGGTGACAATCTGTCATGTGTAATGGGTCAACAAGGAGGAAATACACCCAGGCATTCCTGCCCGATGAGAGAGTTATATATGAACATTTCTCAATGCTCATAAAAAATGTGTTATTGGCCAGGTGTGGCGGCTCATGCCTGTAATCCTAGCACTTTGGGAGACCAAGGCAGGAGGACTGCATGAGCCCAGGAGTTCAAAACCAGCCTGGACCAAATAGTGAGTTCCCATCTCACCAAAAAGTTTTTAAACATTAGCTGGGTATGGTGGCATGAGCCTGTAGTCTCAGTTACTTGGGAGACTGAGGTGGGAGGATTGTTTGAGCCCAGAAAGTTGAGACTGCAGTGAGCCCCGATTGCACTACTGCACTCTAGTCCAGGCAACACAGCAAGACTCTGCCTCAAACAAACAAAAAAATGACATGTTATTGGTGCATACAAGGCCATTTGATTTAATAGTTAACTTTTAAATCCATGTAGCTTGCTTAAGGTTTGAAGCTAAAGTTACCATAACCCTTAAGATGAAGAGGAGTGAAAAAGTGTATAACAAGCATGTTTATGTAATTTGAATATTTGCCTTCTGAAATCCATGCTGGATTGTGTAATAAGATGATTTCCAATACCACAGTTAAAAATAGCTAAGTATGCATTACATTCTAGACCCTATGCATTAAATGAGTGTTTACAAATGAGCAAGCTGAGACTTCGAGAGGTGAAGGAATGTGCCCCAGGTCTCACAATCATCAAATAGCTGGGCCAGGAATCAAACACGTATCTGCCAAGTCCAGAGCCCTAACCACTGCATTGTCCTACCACGGGAGTAAACATATTCATCACTAAGTTGCTGTGTATTTTACAAATACAACTGGTCTGTAGTATTTTCTCCTGACATGCAAAACGAAATGAGTGTTCCTAGGATGAGGAGCACAGATCTGAATACCAGACAGATTTTATGGATACAAAATAAAAAAGAAACTGAAGAAGATGAATAGCATCTAGATACTCTTTATCGGTTGTTTTTCTTGTTATTTTACAACAAGAATGGAATGCTCCTGATACTCTAACTACTAGCTTTATGCTACAGAGAGAGGTCAGCCCTTCCACCAGCTGGGCCAGCATACAGAGATGTTTAAAAGGGGAAGAGGTCATAGGTTTGGTTTTGAAAGATTTCGAAATAACCATTCACGTGTGCCCTTTTATGAGAACTTCCCTGACTACCTGCCTCCCTGCCTCCCCACCTAATATGCTGGACTGCCCATTTGCTTTTATGAGCAAACACTAAAACGTGTACAAGGTAATGATTCTGTTACCTCTTATCTCTGATGCAGGGCATGATATTGGCATAATCACAGCCACCACTCACTGCAGGCTCTCTTGGAGAGCTAACGATTCCATAGATTATCTCATTAAACTTCACAGCAACCTTAGGAGGGGAGGTGTTTTGCCAATTTTACACATGAGGAAACTGAGTCTTAGATGAAGCAGCTTGATTAAGATCACCCAGCAAGGTGCGGAAGCTAAGATGCAAATATAGGTCAGTCTCACCCCAAAGACTCTCAACTCTATGCCATCATAGACATAAATGACCATACACTCATTCAGGGTTGACATTGAAGATCAATACATTCTTTAAATCCATATTTAATGTGCTTTGCATGTTCTAAAGCACCTCCATGCAATGAGGGTGATATTTAATTCTTATTGAACTGCTGAGCATCAGGTTCTGTTCTAAGTGCTCTGCATCAGTGGTTCTCAACCTTGAGCATGCATTAGAGTCTCCTGGAGGGCCCATGACAAGATAGATTGCTGATCCCGCCCCAAGGTTGTGTACCACCCAATCACTTACTGTCATTTCTTTCTCTATTCTCCTTCTCACTTGTCATACTCTGGTCAGTTTGTCAAATGCCCAGGTCTCATGTTCTTGCCCATTCTTTTTTTTTTTTTTTTTTTTTTTTTTTTTTTTTTTGATATGGAGTATCTCTCTGTCGCCCAGGCTGGAGTGCAGTGGCGCGATTTCGGCTCACTGCAAGCTCTGCCTCCCAGGTTCACACCATTCTCCTGCCTCAGCCTCCTGAGTAGCTGGAACTACAGGTGCCCACCACCACGCCCAGCTGATTTTTTTGTATTTTTAGTAGAGACAGGGTTTCACCGTGTTGGCCAGGATGGTCTCCATCTCCTGACCTCGTGATCTGCCCGTCTCGGCCTCCCAAAGTGCTAGGATTACAGGCGTGAGCCATCGCGCCCGGCCGTGTTGTTGCCCATTCTTAAAACACTGTATCCTTTCCCCCTTCATTCCCTTCACCTCTCATTCCCTCCCCCTCCTTCAGACATCAGTCCTCAGTTTAGTCCCTGAGCACAGTCATCTTGGGTCCTCTAGACCAGGCACTTACGTCCTCATGTTCTGCGGCAGCTTTTACTCCTCCCTCTAGTACCAATTACCACTGCCATCGATGACTAATGCGCCTCTTTGTAAGTCTATATCATATCCACAGGACTGCAGGCTTCAGGAATATGGGATGAGACCTGAGTTTGCTCACTATGGAATACCCAGAGACCAACACAGTTACCCCCAGGGCTTGTACTTGACAGATGCTGAAAGAAAGAGATGGGGGTGGGGGGTGGAGAGAAAGAATAAAGGGGAGAAAGAGAAGGAGGAAGGGAGGAAGGAGAGAAAGAGAGAAGGAAAAGAAGAAGGAAAGAAATGAGAGAGAGAAAAAGAAGAAAGGAAGGAAGGAGAGAAGGAAACGGAAAAGAGAGGAAGGGAGACAGAAAAAGAGTGAAAAAAAAGGAAAGAGAGATGGAAATGGACAGAAAGACAAAGGAACAGAGAGGCAGGGAGGGAAAGGAGGAGGGAAAGGGAAGGAGACAGGAAGTATAGATCAGTTTGTTGCGGTGGGGAGAGGGACATAGCTTGTGTGAGGGGCAGGGAGTGCTCAAATTTAATCTCTCTATCCTGTCGTGGAGTCGGACGCCCAGGCATGTTGAGAGCAGGGGGGTGAGTGCAAGGAAAAGGGAAACTGCCAAATTTGCCATGACATGAGCTGCAAAATGAACACAATCAGAGTGACCAGTGGCCAGCCTGGGTGATGGGGGGCCAGGGCCAACATCCTGGTGGGTGTCAGTGAGAACAGAGACCACGCGCCTCAAAGGCAACGAGGCTGCTTCTTGCTACACACCTCCCTTTCCCAACTGAACTGATTTTTCTTCTTAATAAAGGCAATAATAATCTGAAAAGCAACTGTGGCCTTTTGGGTATGTCACTGGGAAAGTGGATGGGTCCCCAGAGTCATATAAACCCGGCCAAGAGTAGTCCCTGTGTTTGGAGTTCTCAGCATGTATCCAAGGGGCCAGAACTATAGAGCTAAATTTTCCCTAAAGTCTAATTATTTCATATGTGGTCAAGGAAAGCGATGTTTGGAAGGGGGCTTGAGACAATCTCACCAGTTCATAGAGCATGGAGCAGCGGCTGTCAGGGAAGATAGACCAAGGGAGATGAGATCGGCTTTCTTTGCCCCTCGCTCTAGGTTTCAACCGTCAACCTAACCTGTTTGCTTCTGGCTGTAAATGCCAAAGTATCGCTGGGTAATATTGTCTAATGAGACAGTGATAATAATGATATAATAGGAATAATAGCAGCTAACATTTGAATTTTCTATGTGCCAGGGAGCATCTAAGTCCATTACAAGACCCCCTTTTTAAAATGCCATATAATAAGGATACAATACGTATTAGACCTGTTCTTTATAGAGGAAGAAACAAAGTCCAAGGAAGTTAAAGTACTTGCTCAAGCTCTGTCACCTGGAAACCAGAGAAGCTGGCATGAAAACCAGCTCTGACTCCAGAATCTGGACCCTTAAGTTTCATACCATTTTTATAATGTACATACTGCTGGTTTTGGCCCTTTTCTGTCTTCTTTCCCTTGATTCTTTCATTTCTTCTACAAATATTTCCGAAGCAGCACCAATGTGCTGGGTACTGAGATCAGTGGTTGGGATACAGGGGATGAAGGGTTCACACCATCCCTGCCTTCACGAACACAGCAGCCTGAGGTTTAATTTCATGGACACAGGAGCCTGAGGTTTAATTTCATAGATGCAGCAGCTTGAAGTTTAATTTATGGACACAGCAGCCTGAGGTTTAATTTATGAACATGGGAGCCTGGGGTTTAATTTCAGCCAGATAGTTAACATCAAGGTAGCTCCAGGCACCAAATCTGCCTGACCCCTTGAGAAATCAGCTGTGTCAACTAAAGATCCTCCCCTCTTCCTCAGCTCCTGGGAAAACCCAGGCAATCCTTAACTCACGGAGGCAAAGTCGACCAACAAAACCCGTGGAGTGAAATCCCTTCCATCTCACTCTAGGCAGAGGCAGGGCTTCTTTCAGCACTGCCTACCTGTCAGCCCAGCCTAGCACTTAAACACATGGGCTCTGTATTCAAAGAGAGTGCACATGCCAGCTCTTCCTCTCTATAAGCTGTGTGACCTGGAATAAGTTACTTAACCTCTCTGTGTCTCAGTTTCCTCTGTTAAAATGAGGTGCGATAGTATCTTATAGACAATGTATGGAAATTATTGAGCTCAATCTACTTTAGCTCTTCTGTCTTCCTGAGCTTATATATTTATTCAACTAATATTGCATAAATAAATCTGTCACAGAGGCCAAATTCACCTATACGATATTTATAATAAAGTTAGTTCATTTGAGTCAATCATGATTTACGGTCAAGGAGATAAAAACAATTAAAATAAAGAATGAGTGATGCTTTTTCAGCAATAGACGTGGATTGGAAGAGGTGTTTTTAGATCTATATATTTACATATTTTTAACCTAAGGCATTTTGCTGCTATGAGGAATCCAGTCATGTGCTGTTGGCATTAGAGATTTCTGGGAGCAAGGAGGCGGGGCCCTCGTTCCACAACATATCTCAGAAATGTCTCTGACATTTTGGAAGGCAAAGGCCTGTTTCCCAGGGTCAGCAGTTAGGGAAAGAGGGTCTTAATCATTCCAGTGAGTCCCCAGCCATAGCCCTTCCTGCTGATGTGCAGATGCAGTTAATCCTCATCGCTTTGATTATTCATGAAAGACATGATAAAGCCATTTAGTTCTCTTTAAATTTTCAGGGCTTCTGTTTCCCATTATTGCAGGACCCTGGGGACCAGGTATCTGGCCATAGTGAAATCTCCCTTATCCTGGGGCTCACGGTGGGACAGGCAGAAAAAATGAGCGAGGTGCAGGTGTTTCTGAGGCCACTGTGTGGTATAGTGTCAAGAGCACTGAATCGGGGGTCCCTAGCTCTCTATATTTGAGTTCAAATTGGATCCTCTGACTATAATTAACATTATAGCCTAGAAAATAACACTGAAACTCTTAGTCTCAGAAATCAGTGGGTGTTCAGTCATGTGCCAAGCACTGCCCCAAGTTCACAAGTAATACCTAAGGCTGGCACTAACATCACCTCCACTATACAGATGAAGAAACTGAGTCTTAGTGTGGTTAGGAAGATGGAGCTGGGACTAAACCCAAGGAGTCTGACTTTAGAGCTCATACTCTGTTCTCTTCTCTGTCACATACTATTCAACAGGGAGGATTTTAGGAGGGTTAAATGAACAGCATTTTTTTTTTTTTCTTGAGACAGAGTTTTGCTCTTGTTGCCCAGGCTGGAGTGCAAAGGCATGATCTTGGCTCACTGTGACCTCCGCCTCCGGGGTTCAAGTGATTCTCTTGCCTCAGCCTCCTGAGTAGCTGGGATTACAGGCATCCACCACCACGCCTGGCTAATTTTTGTATTTTTAGTAGAGATGGGGTTTCACCATGTTGGCCAGGCTGGTTTTGAACTCCTGACCTCAGGTGATCCACCTGCTTTGGCCTCCTAAAGTGTTGGGATTACAGGTGTGAGCGACCACACCCAGCCATGAACAGCATGTTTGAAGAGTCTAGTACACAGTACTTGACTGACAAAAGTGAGTGTATGTCTTAATTCCCTTCTAGCTCTGAGATCCCATGCATTGCCTGCTAGTTGGGGCCTTGAAGGAAGTGGACTCAGCACAGCTGGACCATGGGATGATGGATGGAGTGATGCTGGGACAGCCACAGGGGCCATGAAAAGGGGACCTCATTTAATGAATATTACATACCAGAGGCAGCCAAAAAATCTGGAAAGACTATTCAGACTGTTGGATAGCATGAGAAAGAACCCCAAAGACTGCTTAATAGATTTAAATTTACAAGATCACTGGGAATGATTTTTCCTCCCCCTGGGATTAACTCAGTTGGCAGGGCTCTCCTTAGTTCAGCAAATAACTCTTCTAGAATATAGAAAAAATTGGCTTGTGACAGCTTTTTGATTCACAAGTATTTACTGCATTTACGACGTGGCAGGAACCAGACACAAAAAGAAAAAGAACCAGTTGCTTTGATGGAGGGGCTTATAGGTTTGGGGGAATGAAATTAAAAAAACAAAAGCAAACCAACACTTAACAGTAATAACAATAACAATAATAAAGATAGCTAACACTTACTTTATGCCTGGTCCTATGTTTAGTGTCTCCCAAGCATCAGCTCATTTAACATACACAGAGACCCTCTGAGGAATAAATGCATTGTTATTATTCCGATGACGTGAATGAGCAAACTGAGAAGTATTTTGCTCGCGGTGGTAAGCTTTGGACATAGACTGACTCCAGGGCCCAGGCCATTAATCTTAGGAAAATGAAGGGATGAGGAGGATGCAGTCTGGGATGCAGAAAAGCCTAACACATGGTAGGTGATGTCAAGGGCCTGGAATCTTAGTGATTTAAGATAAGAGAAGCTTCTTTTTTTTTTCTCCCTTGCTCACATAAAGCTCAAATGCAGGGACTGGATAGAGACGGGGGATAGGAGAAGAGAGTGGAGTTATTCAGGGTCCCAGGCCGATGAAGCCTCTGTAATCTTTAACACGGGCTTCCCAGGTTGACTTCAACACCTACCAGAAAACTGGGGAGAAAGAAAGAGAGATCATAGAGGATCTCACAGGACGGGGCAGGCCTGGAAGTGATGTGCATCGCATACCTCTGTCCATGTTTCGTTGGTCCAAACTCAGATGCATGGGCCCTGCTAGGTACTAGGGCAGGGGGCAGGGAGGATGGTTTGAAAATGCAGTCTCTGGCTGGGCAGCTGCTTATAAGCAGCAATTCTGTCCACAGAAGCAGACTACAAAGCTTCTATAGAACAGGCAAGGGCCACACACCTTACAGAGGCTGCAAGTCCTTCGGTATTACTGAAGTAAGGAGAAATAGAGGAAAAGTGGACAGAGAGAGAGAGAAAGAGAAAGGAAGGCAAGGGCCTAGATAATGAGAGCCGTGTGTGTCCAGAAGCTAAGGGGACTGAACTTGTCCTGAGAACAATGGGAGCCGCTGTGGATTCGCAACAGGAAGTGACAAGAACAGATTGGTATGTGTGGAGAACCATTCTGGTTGCAAGTAAGGAGTGAAAAGAATAAGGAGAGGAAACTAATGAGGAAGCCTGTTGAATAGCTGCTGCAATCACCTGGGGAGAGATACTGGGGCCAGAAGTAAAACAGCAGTGAATGGAAGACGGAGAGTTAGGTGATGTAAGAAACGCCCTCCTGTCCGGAATTCTTTGTATGAAGGCCTACCCCCATTCCACGTCTCATGAAAGCCCAGCCCACCTCCACTTCTAATGAAGCCCCCCTCACCTCTCATGAAAGCCTATTCCCACTTTCATTTTTCTTTTTTTTCTTTTTCTTTTTTTTTTGAGACAGAGTCTCACTTTGTCACCAGGCCGGAGTGCAATGGTGTGATCCCGGCTCACTGCAACCTCCGACTCCCTGGTTCAAGCAGTTCTCCTGCCTCAGCCTCCCTAGTAGCTGGGATTACAGGCACACGCCACCATGCCCAGCTAATTTTTGTATTTGTAGTAGAGACTGGGTTTCACCGTGTTGGCCAGGATGGTCTCGAACTCCTGACCTCGTGATCTGCCCGCCTCGGCCTCCCAAAGTGTTGGGATTACAGGCGTAAGCCACCACGCCCAGCCCACTACCACTTTTCATGAAGAACCTCCTCCTCCACCCTTGTTCAGTTTATCTGCTTATCATCCACAGATTAGCGTTAAATGCCACTTCCTTGGGGATGCCTTCCCTGATTCCACCCCTCACCTCCTCTGGTGCAGGTCAGGTCTCTGTTCTCAATACTCATATCACCTTGTATCTCCCTGGTGTAGCACTTGGCAAAGTTATCCATGTGACTATTTGATTTATACGCCCATCAATGTCTAGGGCTTCTCATTGAAAGAAGAGAATCTGTCTTATTCCCTACCGAACTCCTAGCGCCTAATTCAATGTCTTGAACAGAGTAGGCCCTCACTGCATATGTGCTGAATGAGTGAATAAGTAAATGAATGAATCACAGGATTTGGAAACTTGTAGCATGTTGAAGAAGAGCAAACCATGATTCTTGGGTTGCTGACTTGAGTAACTGGGTAGATACTGGTGCCTTTTAGGGTCAATGATGGTTTTCTTTTCAACAAAATATACTCCTGCGGTGATGCTGTAGATGGTTTTGTCTTTTCTGCTAAAACTGTATGAGTGTATCTTGCATGTCCAAATCCTTCAGCCACTGAAGATCGTCACTTGCTCCATGCTGTTGTGGCTTAATGATAAGATGATGTTGGTTCAGGGAGGACCACAAGTGCTCAGGCACATAGATGGTGTGGAAAAGCCTCATAATGCCCCCTTTATAGATTCTTCCCCTCCCTTGTGTGGTTTATCCTTTTAAATAGTTTGAATGACACTGGGAAATGCCTCATCCATAACGAATAGAATTTAATCATTGAGTGGTTACCAAATTTAACTCCATCTGAAAGTTAAGCTCTGCTTTCCTTTCCAAGGTCTATGGTCCAGCCCAGGCTGTGGTGATCAGAGAAGCTTCTCTCAGCCTGCTTAGTGTTTTCCCCAAATGTCTTAGCTGGATGCCTGTCAAGAAAATCTCATCTGAGCCCGGTAGAGATCCAGGAATGCTTCTTCCAGCCCTTCCTGTGACTTGCAATTGGGACCAGACTAGAGGAAGTTACAGCTGTCTTTAGGTTGTCTCTAAATTGTCCTCATGGTAGGGAAAGCTAAGACCACATCATGGTGGAGCTGGAGAATATGCCTAGAGGTGAAAGAATTTGAAAACTCATTTGCCTTCGTGGAATCCTCTGGGTAAAATAGTCTGTCACTCCGTGTTTCTCTCCAACTCTTTATCTTGGAATAACTTTAGTTTTACCGAGAGGTTGAAAAGACTATACAGAGATTTCCAAGATACCGTTTGCCCATACTTCCTTAATGCCAACACCTGACATTGCTATGGTACACATCAAAACTAAAGAAACAACACTGGGGCTGCGCACGGTGGCTCACACCTGTAATCCTAGCACTTTGAGAAGCCGAGGTTGGTGGATTGCCCGAGGTCAGGAGTTCGAGACCAGCTTGGGCAACAAGGTGAATCCCTGTCTCTACTAAAATACAAAAAAAAAAAAAAAAAATTAGCCGGGCATGGTGGTGGGCGCCTGTAGTCCCAGCTACTTGGGAGGCTGAGGCAGGAGAATCGATTGAAGCCGGGAGGCAGAAGTTGCAGTGAGCCGAGATCAAGCCACTGCACTCCAGCCTGGGTGACAGAGTGAGACTCCATCTCCAAAAAAAAAGAAAAACAACAAACAAACAAAAAACACAAAACAAACCACTGGTACCAAACGGTTAATTAAACTGCAGACTTTATTCTGATTCCATCAGTTTTTCCATTAATGGCCCTTTTCAGTCCAGGAAACCACATTTTGTGTGTATTTCTCATAGCTCCTTTGTCTCTTCTCATCTGTGATGGTTTCTCAGTCTCTTCCTATGGTTTTCATTACCGTAACAGGTTTGAGGAGTACCGGTCAGGTATTTTATAGACTTTCCCTCAATTTGGGCTTGTACTATGTTTTATCATGATTAAATTAGGGTTATGGGTTTGGGGAAAGAATATCAGAAAGGTAAAATGTCATTCTCATCATCTCAGGGAGTATGACACATACATGGAAGCAGCACCTTTTCTGCATCAAATATTTGGCCAGGAGTAATTCAATAAACATTTATTCAGCCACTGATAGGTACCCAGTACTATGAATATAAAGAAACCTCTCCCTCCCTTCTGCTCTCTTTCTTCTCTGCCTCATCTCCTCTCTTCTTACCATTTATAGACTATATGTCAAGTAGTCTGCTAAGCCCTGTGTTTCTCCCTTAATCCTTACGTGAGGTAAATGTTACCATTTTCATTTTATAAAAACTAAGTTCTTTGCCTAGTGTCCCCCCACCACCTATTAAATGACAGAGCTGAAGACTGGATTCAGGTTTGCCTGTCTTCTTCTTACCAAACAACCCAGCCTTCAGTAGATGATAACTCTGCCCATGAAATGTTGCTGGGAGGATGAACCATGTATTATTCTGTTCTCACACTGCTAATAAAGAAATACCCAAGACTGGGTAACATAAAGAATAAGAGGTTTGGCCAGATGCGGTGGCTCACGCCTGTAATCCCAGCACTTTGGGAGGCCGAGGCGGGCAGATCACCTGAGATCAGGAGTTCGAGAACAGCCTCGCCAACGTGGTGAAATCCCATCTCTACTAAAAATACAAAAATTAGCTGGGCATGGTGGCTCGGGCCTGTAATCCCAGCTACTCAGGAGGCTGAGGCGTGAGAATCCCTTTAACCCGGGAGGCAGAGGCTGCAGTGAGCTGAGACTGCGCCACAGCCCTCCAGCCTGAGAGAGTGAGACTCCATCTCAACAACAACAAAAAAGAATAAGAGGTTTAATGGACTCACAGTTCCACATGGCTGGGAGGCCTCCTAATCATGGTGGAAGGCAAAGGAGGACCAAAGTCATGTCTTACATGGTAGCAGGGAAGAGAGCTTGTGCAGGTGAACTCCCCTTTATAAAACCATCAGATCTTGTGAGAATTACTCCGTATCACAAGAACAGCATGGGAAAGACTCCTCCCACTGGGTCCCTCCCACAACATGTGGGAATTATGGGAGCCATAATTCAAGATGAGATTTTGGCGGGGACACAGACAAACCATATCAAACCATAGACAAATAAAAGGCTGTAAGGATTCTCCTATAGCTTTTATTAAAGGGTTAAGGCTACCCAGACAAGAGAGGACAGTATGGCTTCCCAGAGGAGCTTACATCTGAATTGGGAGAGAATACCATTTTGGAAAGAAAAAAACAGCATATGAAAAGGCACAGAGGTTCAGAGCTTCAAATTTTGCTACTTTGATGCTATTAGATTACATTAGGAGTACACCATAAGATAAAGAGTGTTCTGAGTAGAGTGAGAAGGTCAGGGTGGCTGGAGGGCAGAGTGCTGATCTTGCCTCATCTTCCCTGAGACAGTTTCTGAAAAGGCACAGAATAGAGGCGCATCTCATGTTCCTCGAGGGGCTGGCTGGAGGTGGTGGACCAGTGACAGCATCAAATGGGGTCAGGAAGCCGGGGCACATGCTGGCACCTAGGTTCACTTCATTTTCTCTAACCCTCAGCTTCCACTTCTGTAAAATGGGAATGATGCTTGCTTACTGCCTATAGTAATCTCTGCTCAGATGATATGATGATAAAGGTAAGAGGACTCTGAAAACTGCAAAGCATCAGATATCAGACACAAATGCAAATAACCTCACAGGAACAGTAATGCCACTCTCCAGAAACTGAGCACACCCGGATTAAGAGACTCAGAGTCATAGCAGCTTTATCAACAAGGCTCATTAAACGGGACTGGCAACAAAACTCGAGGCCCAACATGAGTCTCATTCTGTTACCTATTTTGTTACTTTTCCTTTAAAGGATTGTGACCCAATTTTCAACCAGTTTCTAAAGATCTTATTAAGAGCACTGCCATTTGGGGCCATCTTGTCATGCTATTGTCAGAGGAAAACAATGTCCTCAAAGATATGACAGAGCATGGAGGCAGTGGGCAATTCCAATGAGAGTGTATCCTGCTCCAGATTGAATTATTTTTCCATGCTGTATTCAGGTTTCCTTAAAACCATAGCTAAGTTTGGTATTCCTCACATGCTGTCTGCAAATTCCCCATCTCAGCCTTTGATGAAACTCGGACAGAAGTCTTGGTGCCATTAGGGCTACACACTTTACATAACCCTATTTAGGAAACTTTGCCCCAGCTATTACTAGGTTTAGTCTTCTTTGTCATCTCATCGACACCAAGTTAGCAAATATGTACCTGGGCCCGTCTTTTGGATCTTGAAAACATCTATGCTGAGCACTGGGTAGAGGTTGAACAAATATTTGTTAAATGAAGGACTGAAGAATCTGGGCTGGCTCTCCCAACATTTTGGGCTGTTGAATGGAAAGAGAAGAGGTTTTGGAATCAGCCAAATTGAGGTACGAATCGTAGTTCTGCAATTCGCTACTTTGATTTTCTTCAGGCCTCTGCTGGCGGGCCATAATGAAAAGGGAGGGAGAGAGGCAGCCCCAGGAAAGTGGTAGTATCGGTTTCCCATAAGTGGCAACAAATTAACACAAACTTAGTGGCTCAAAACACAGATTTGGGATATTAAATTGCTAGAGGTCTGAAGGGCAAAATGGGTTTCGCTCGGCTAAAATGAAGGTCTTAGCAGGGTTGTATTCCTTCTGAAAGCTCAAGAGGCGAATCCATTTCCTGCCTCTTCCAGCATCTAGAGGCCACCTGCTTCCTTGGTTCACAGCCTCCTCCTCCATCAGAGCCAGCAGTGTAGCTTCTCTCATTCTCTCTCTGATTCTTCTACTTCCCACTCCCACCTTTTTTATTTTTATTTTTTTATTTTTTTGAGATGGAGTTTTGCTCTTGTTGTCCAGGCTGGAGTGCAGTGGCACGATCTCAGCTCACTGCAACCTCTGCCTCCCGGCTTCAAGCGATTCTCCTGCCTCAGCCTCCTAAGTAGCTGGGATTACAGGCATGCGCCACCATGCCCAGCTAATTTTGTATTTTTATAGAGATGGGGGTTTCTCCACGTTGGCCAGGCTGGTCTCGAACTCCCGACCTCAGGTGATCCGCCCGCATTGGCCTCCCAAAGTGCTGGGATTACAGGCGTGAGCCACCGCGCCCGGCCCCCACTCCCACCTTTAAGGACTCTTGTGATGACACTGGGTCATCCTGAATAACGCAGGATAACCTCCCTATCTCAACGTCCTTACTTTAGTCATACCTGTAAAGTTCCTTTTGCCAGGTAAGGCAACATACAGGTACCAGGGACTCACTGGTCTCTCCCTGCAGGGGAGTGTGATGGTGTGGGCTCTCTGCAGGACTCCTTAGATTTTGTAAGACAGTGCCCCACCCATCCCGGCTCAGCGGAGTGTTCACATATGTGGATCTGCACTTTGCCAAAAATCTCTTCTCTAATGGTAACCTTTAATTGCCACACACCACCTATCAAATCTCGTTTCAGAGAACGCTATTCAAAGAGACCAGCCCGTCTGAGAGATGGGTCCAACTGCACTTTTCAACTCTGCCTGAAGATTAAACCAGACCACATCCTTTTGGCCCAAGAATATATGCTCTCACTAAATCTTGCTTTACTTTGATGCTCTTAGATTACATTAAGAGTGCACCGTAAGAAAAACCTTCATGGAAACAGTTGCATTTACTATAACAGCTTTGTTGAGGATGTTTATTGCATTTCACCATACATTTCTTATGAGAAACCACAGAGAAAGAAAGAGTCCTCTGGTCCCCAAAACCAGTGTTAGTTATGGTTACCCCTAGTAACTGTTTTATTTCAATCAAATGAACACTAGTTCACATGGATGACCATTTCCCCCTATTTTCACTCACTATTAGAAAGCTAAGAGACAAAATTGTACAACTTCAGCAAAGCTTTAGGACAACATAGCCTGTGCTATGTGCATTGACTTATTTTCCAACCCTCATTGTCCACTTTCCCCAGTTCCTTCACCTGTTTTACACTTTAGTTAGTATTGTCGGTAGCATCTGTAAGCCCAGAATAGAGCACGATAAAAACTTCTTTTTATTTTCCAAGATTATTTTCCTTTTGTAAGACACATGCCCCTGACACATTCTTCTTTGCTCCAAGAACAAAACAATAAAAATAAAAACATGAAATGAAATATCATAGGTGTAAATGTATAAATACTAATTCTCAGCAGAACTGAGTCCAGCGTCATTGTAAAGACTGAAGCTTATGCTGATAGTATGACTACAAGTCTCTAATACTTTGTATGCTGAGCACACTAAGATCATAAATGCCAGCATTCTAAATGGCTTGCTTGCTGTTAACAGATTCACTGGAACTGAAAGCCATTTCTTTTCTACGGGATGCTTAGCTTTTATATGTCTTTATTCATGGTCGAAAGGTATCAGCAAATTTGCTAAAATGATTGAAGATATTTTTCTTAAGGCATTCCTAAAGTTTCCTATCTTTGCCTTCATGGTTCTGGATGTGAGCTTGTTTTCTTAGATACAAACAACGGAAATGTGCTCTACACTATATAGAGTTTTAATAGTTACAGAAAGCCAAGTTTTTCTTTTTTAAAATCAACGGTATGCTAGCAAAACCTCCAGTGAAATATCTCTGAGATACACCAAATCCTAAGAGTTTATTTCTGAGTTCATCAAACTACAGAATCAGTGACTCTGAGAACCTCTCAAAACCTCTAAGATAGGGGATTAATCTCTATATCCACAGAGTCTAGAACATGTTATGTGTTTAATTAATATGTTTTGAACTAGTAGGTAGTACCTTCCACTCTCAGAAACACTAACGTTCCACCCAGACCCCAGTAGACCAATGACAGACATAGTGCTTGCCATGTAGCAGGCATGCAATATACACTGAATGCCTGGCAATGAGACACAGACAAACCATGAGAGAAGTTTCTGCCATCCCTGAAATCTAGAGCAGAAATTTTGATTTCCACCATTCTCCGCCTTGGCAGAGACACACCTGACAGATGACGCTGACATGTGCAACCACTTTCATGAATGTACTTAGGTTTATGTATGATTTCTAGTGTGCTGGTACAATCTCTGCCCACTCAAGAAAATATAGCAGAATACAAATTAATAAGAATGTCATTAATATGGGAACCATCTCAAGTCCACTGCAATTTATTGAAAAAACTAAATCACTGACAAAATGACCATTTTGTCATTTCAAATAATAGCAGTAGTAGATGACTTGTGAGACGTCTTACAATGATTGACACAACTTTTCATCATGATACCAAGACTGTTGAGAATGCTTCTCTTTTTCTTTTTTTTTTTTTTTGAGACGGAGTCTCGCTCTGTCGCCCAGGCTGGAGTGCAGTGGCGGGATCTCGGCTCACTGCAAGCTCTGCCTCCCGGGTTCACGCCATTCTCCTGCCTCAGCCTCCCAAGTAGCTGGGACTACAGGCGCCCGCCACTACGCCCGGCTAATTTCTTTCTTTTTTTTTTTTTTTTCTTTTTTTTTTGAGATGGAGTCTGGCTCTGTCGCCCAGGCTGGAGTGCAGTGGCGCAATCTCGGCTCACTGCAAGCTCTGCCTCCCGGGTTCACGCCATTCTTCTGCCTCAGCCTCCCGAGTAGCTGGGACTACAGGCGCCTGCCACTACGCCCGGCTAATTTTTTTTTTTTTTTATTTTTAGTAGAGACGGGGTTTCACCGTGTTAGCCAGGATGGTCTTGATCTCCTGACTTCGTGATCTGCCCGCCTCTGCCTCCCAAAGTGCTGGGATTACAGGCGTGAGTCACGGCGCCCGGCCTGAGAATGCTTCTCAACAGGAACTATCTCTGAAAGCCATTGTGTCCTCACAGGCCATTTTGGTGACCTTCCAAAACTCCAGAGAAACCATCTCTCAGGCTTATCCTACCCCAATGCAATCATCTATATGGGCTTTGCTGTCCATGTGAACTCTACCAGAACCATAGTGATGATTCCTGCTAAAGGACATAGCTCACATAAGACCTCAGGGGGGTGTCACTCCACTTCCACCATCATGACCTTAAAGAAGAGAAGTTACAAACAGCTGACTTACCACGCCCCCACCAGCTGAGTGCACGAGCACAGACATCCCTTCCCGGAGGTTGGCAACTTCAAACAGCATCACATAGGCTGTGACGAAGTTCATGGGGAATGCAGCAGCCTCGGAGAAGCTCATGTCATCCGGGATCTTGTAGACAAACTCCACTGGTGTGCAGACCACCTCTGCCCAGGCATTGTAATTGACAAATGCCATGACACGGTCTCCAATCTGGGCATGGGGAAACACAGAGTTAGTGGAGGCTACCTCATGACAGAGGCTCAAGGAGAGAACAGAATTACTGGGAGCTGGCCAGGCGCTGTGGCTCATGCGTATAATCCCAGCACTTTGGGAGGCTGAGGTGGGTGAATCAATCAAGATCAGGAGTTCAAGACCAGCCTGGCTGACATGGTAAAACCCCATCTCTACTAAAAATACAAAAATTCACCAGGCGTGATGGCGCATGCCTGTAGTCCCAGCTATTCAGGAGGCTGAGGCAGGAGAACTGCTTGAACCCAGGAGGCGGAGGTTGCAGTGAGCTGAGATCATGCCATTGCACTCCAGCCTGGGCAACAAAGCAAGACTCTGCCTCCAAAAAAAAAAAAAAAAAAAAAGCATTATTGGGAGCTATCCACGGTACAAACACATGGTTTTTCCTGACTCATACACTTGAGAACTCTATCCAAATTTTTTAGTATCACAATCATTTTTTTTTTTTTTTGAGATGGAGTCTCGCTCTGTCACCCAGGCTGGAGGGCAGTGGCGTGATCTCAGCTCACTGCAAGCTCTGCCTCCTGGGTTCACGCTATTCTCCTGCCTCAGCCTCCCGAGTAGCTGGGACTACAGGTGCCTGTCACCATGCCCGGCTAATTTTTTTGTATTTTTAGTAGAGACAGGGTTTCACCATGTTAGCCAGGATGGTCTCGATCTCCTGACCCCATGATCCGCCTGTCTCGACCTCCCAAAGTGCTGGGATTACAGGCGTGAGCCACCGTGCCTGGCCCACAATCATTTTTTAATACTTTGATGAAACGAATAACTTTTAAAATACATTTGCAGTGCAAAAAGCTAATACATTTCACAAGTAATACAACTGATTTAATGAACCATTGACAGCTCTATGTTTCTTGTCCACCCATCTTCAGCCACTACCCTCTCCTCTCCAGAACCAGCTAAGTTGGTTAGTTGAGAACCCATTCCTTGAAACTCTGAACATTATTTAGGTGGTAGTGAAAGTCCTGGGAAGTGTCAGTGCATCTAAGGAAGGTAGCAAAACAATGCAGAGCCCTCCTTCATTCTTCTGAAACCACCTTTCACCTGGCAAACTTCTGTCCTTCCTTTAGGACTTCTCAAAAATGTAGTCCCCATAGCCAAACATGAGGAACTTACAGCCTGGCTGGAGAATGGATTCCTCCTCATGCGAGGTTTTTCTTTTTCTTTTCTTTTTTTTTCTGAGATGGAGTTTCGCTCTTGTTTCCCAGGCTGGAGTGCAATGGCACGATCTCAGCTCAATGCAACCTCCGCCTCCCAGGTACAAGCGATTGTCCTGTCTCAGCCTCCCAAGTAGCTCGGATTACAGGCACACATCACAATGCCTGGTTATTTATTTATTTATTTTTGTATTTATTAGAGACGGGGTTTCACCATGTTAGGCTGGTTGTGAACTCCTGACCTCAGTGATCCACCCGCCTTGGCCTCCCAAAATGCTGGGATTACAGGCATGAGCCACTGTACCCAGCTGAGAGGTTTTTCTATATGTACATTTGATCACTATGAAATCTATGATTTGCTAAACAATCATAATGTACTAGACTGTAATCTTCATTTTGTCAGTTAATCTACATGAAAGCTTAATAGGATATTATTCTTATTATAATTTTGAAGAAACTGAGACTAAGAATGGTTGAGTATCTTGCCTAATGACATACAGAGTGAAGCCTGTCTAATTCCAAATATTTTTCCATGACATCACAATGAGCACCCGCCATGTTTGCATATGAAGCCCCTTTTTGATCTTAGGTTCTAGGCACTGGAGATAAAACTGTAAATGAGGTACAGCTCATGCTTTCAAATTATTCATATTCTCTGATATTTTCATATGACAAGTGCTATGAGTGATAGGGCTTAGAGGAAAATCTACTTGGAAGGGATAATATTTCAGAAGAGAATGCAGTCTTAAGCCAAAAGCATGAAACTATGATGACGATGTTTCAGATATCGGTCCAAAGATAACAGAGTTCATTTTTTGGGTGTGGGAATGGTGGGTGGGGTCAAGGGATGTCAGAGTAGCCTGGAGGTGAGCGCTCCCAAAACCCTGGGGATTTTCCAGGTTGGCCAGTTCTGCGTATTTTGGAATAGAGCTGCTTCAGCCTCAGTGTGTGTCTGGAACAGGATCCAGAGGACTTGATTGTCCGTTTGGCTACAGGATGATATAGTATAAAGACAACAGACTGATCTTGGCACCATTCAGACCTGGGTAATGAGGAGTTCAGGTGAATGAGACAGTTGGAGACAGCATCAACAATGTTCTAAGTGAGTCTGGCCACCTCTGCTCCAGCTGCCAGGGCAGCTCTGTCGGGGGCAGGGGTTCGGGTTACCTAATTCAGAAAAGACACCTGAACCACAGAATCAAATTGCTCTGCCCCAGTGTGTCTTCTGGGGCTCTCGTGACAGCAACAAGAGCAAGGCAAAGTCTGGTCTGCTCGCTTTGAGAAAAGAGGCAAGTAATTAATCAATGTGATGATCCGACAGCTGGGCAAGGAGGACATTCTCACTGCCTCCTTGCATCTCCTTTCCTTATCCTTGGGTAGCCTGGCATAAACCTAAGCAGGTCTTCCCCTCTCTGAATCCTCCCAGGACTGCTGGAGAGGGAGAGGTCCTTGCCTAGATTTATCTGTATGTTATCTGTGGCTCAGCCCCCACATGCCTTCTTCTCTCCCCTCCTCCAAGCCCCTAAATGACCCTAGATTTCTTGGATACTGGAAGGGGGTGGCTCTCCACACTAGTGGTGACAGCAGTCTGTTCCAGAGAGGGTACAATTAAGAATAAAACATCAGCCAGGCCAGGCGTGGTGGCTCACGCCTATAATCCCAGCACTTTGGGAGGCTGAGGTCTCGGGAGTTCAAGCCCAGCCTGATCAGTATGGAGAAACCCCGTCTCTACTAAAAATACAAAATTAGCCAGGTGTGGTGGCCCATATCTGTAATCCCAGCTATTTGGGAGGCTGAGGCAGGAGAATCACTTGAACCTGGGAGGCAGAGTTTGCAGTGAGCCAGGATCGCACCATTGCACTCCAGCCTGGGCAACAAGAGCGAAACTCCGTCTCTAAATAAATAAATAAATAAAATAAAACATGAGCTAACAATAAAAAGTGGCAGCAGTGGGTGGGAGCTCAGACAATGTGAGCAAAGGAGAAGGAAAGGATCAGCCCCTGTGCCTGTTCAGTATTGACGCCTGTGTCTCCCTTATGGGCATGCTGGAAAAGCAGCAGGAAACACGAGAAAGTGCATGCTCACACCCTTATGCTTTTGTATCTACTATTTCTGCACTTGGTGCTGTCTTTCTTTCAGGAAAATATTTGATTTTCCTTTAAAGCTCAGCTCAAATGTTCTTTTCTCCAAAACTTTCCCTGACGACCAACCTTCCCCTACAAAAGCAGAACTGACATCTCTTCTTATTGCTGTCAGTATCTCTGTTTATTGAGAGCTGCTTGTGTGCTGGCACTGAGTAGACAGCAAATTAAATTACTGCATTTAATTCTTATGACAACTCCTTATGGTTGCTTTTATTATTGTTCCCATTTTATAGACTGGGACCTAAAGCTCAGAGCAGTTAAATAACTTGCCCAAGACCACACAGTTGTAAGTGGTAAAGACAAGATTTCAGGCTGGGCACGGTGGCTCATGCCTGTAATCCCAGCACTTTAGGAAGCTGAGGAACATAGATTACTTGAGGTCAGGGGTTTGAGATCAGCCTGGCCAACATGGTGAAACTCTTTCTCTACTAAAAATACAGAAAAATTAGCCAGGTGTGGCTGTAATCTCAGCTACTTGGGAGGCTGAGGCAGGAGAATCGCTTGAACCTGTGAGACAGAGGTTGTGGTGAGCTGAGATCATGCCAGTGCACTTCAGCCTGGGCAACAGAGTGAGACTCCCATCTCGAAAAAAAAAAAAAAAAGACAAGATTTCAACAAAAGTCCACCTAATTCCTTATATAATCCTTCATAATTATGCAGATCCCATTATATTGACTTATCCTTTTACATGACTAGCTCCCTCTCTAAATGGGGAGATCTTAGAGGGCAGAGGCTGGGTCTTATTGATTTATGGATTCTCAATGCATGACCCAATGCTTGGTGCATAGTGAGTGATGGGTTGATGGATAATTACAAGTAACTGAACGTTGTCTAACTTCTCCATGGGTGGGAAATGGGAGAGAATAAGGGAAGAAATTCAGTCCTGGAGAAGCTTTCAGTAGTCTCATAGGAAACATCTGTAGGTCTAAAGGGGAAAACCAGTGTCTGCAATTGACTAGAATGCACTGCTAGGGCAGGGACTGCTGGGGCAGGGAAACTACTGGGGAAGGGGCTGCTAGGTGCTATTGTTATTGATAATAATAAATGGCATTTACCAAAACAAAAACTAATATGTTCCTGAATCTGCGCTAAGTGCCTTTATTTATGTGACCTTATATAATTCCCACAAGAACTCCATGTAGTTCTTGAAGTTCATGACTAATAATGAACTATGACTGTGCCCTTTATATAGATTGGAAAATTGAAGCTGGAAAGTGAAGGAGCCTTTGAAGAGCAGAAGCAGAAGGCTTCCAGTTCAGATCTGTCTCTCTGCAGAGCTCTCCTTTGTTCTAGCCAGTTTCCATCTTCTTGGTGTTGCTAAGACAAGCTGTTACTAAGAGGAGGCTATCCTGACTGACGGCTCATGCTGGTTTGAGGGTCCTTCTCTTATTCTGCAGGAAAAGATACAGAAACAATGGGAAACACCCCTACAGAGCTCGAGCTTGAGGATGTGAGCATCGATGAGCTTTCCTTTTCTTGGCAAGGGGTTTGGTCTTCAGCTAAATGTGTGTTTTTGCTGATTTTAGGGGGATTCTAAAGCAGCACTGGTTCATCTAGCTGGAAGTAGCCTCAGCCAAGGCCATGGTGAGTTTTCTTAGTTCTAATATATTTGTAGAGGGAGAATCACGGAAACCCTGGGAGTCACCATGACTATTGTCATCTCCTCCTAGTGTTAGGTAAAAGTTCAATCTGACCAGGTGCGGGAGTCTACCTCAATCCTCTTGAAACCATGAAAGAAATGGCCTCAGATAGTCTGATTCCAGATACAAATAATTAATTCATTACACTTGAGAAAAGTGCTCCAAAGGAAACATAACGTTATATAAGGGTGCATAACAGAGGAACCTACAAAGTGTGGAAATATTAGTTGAACTTTTCAGGGCTCAGTTTCCTCAGCTCTGAAATGGGTATAATATTAGTAAAGGGTCTTTATGAAAACTAAATGGCATAATACACACCCAACGCACTTAACATGGTGCATGGAAAATGAGGAAAGAGCAATACATGTTTGCTCTAAAAGAACAGATTGGTTCCTGACCTGATGGAATTCACAGTTTAGCAATCAGCAGTTAAATACTGACTCATTATATTTCAGAAAGCAGGAGGAACAGCTGTCTAAGGAGGAAACTGGGGTAAGAGAGGCTGTCCCACTGTCAGTGAGTGTCCCAATCCCCGGAAGGGGTGAAGACCAATTAGTGAATGTGAAGAATATCATCTTCAGGCTGGGCGCGGTGGCTCATGCCTGTAATCCCAGCACTTTGGGAGGTTGAGGCGGGTGGATCACCTGAGGTCAGGAGTTCGAGACCAGCCTGGCCAACACGGTGAAACCCTGTCTTTACTAAAAATACAAAAAATTAGCCAGGTGTGGTGGCAGGCACCTATAATCCCAGCTACTCAGGAGGCTGAGGTAGGAGAATCACTTGAAACCGGGAGGCAGAGATTGCAGTGAGCTGAGACTGTGGCATTGCACTCTAGCGTAGGTGACAGAGTGAGACTCCATCTAAAAAGAAAAAGAAAAAAAAAAGAAAAAAGAAAAGAATATCATCTTCAGTGCATCAGAAGATAACTAGGGTCTAATACTAGCATCCTGTTCTTCACAGAATCACGAAAACCCAAAGACACAGCCTCAGTCCCACAGAATAGCTGATGGCCTCCAGGGTCAGCACAGAGTGTAATGAACAGAATATTTCAACCACCTTGGCAGTGGTGCTCATGGCCATCACTACAGGGCTGGCTGCTCCCAGATCTCTCCTTTGACTTTGCTCCATCACTTCCATTTCATTATCAAAATAGCAAATATGTCCAAGCCATAGGTTCAGCTCCAGTCTCAGAGTCCAGAGGCAGGCACATTTAAAACATAACCACTTCATCTCATTATTTGATTCTGCTAAGAAAAAAAAAATCAGTCCTGGCCAAAATGCACCCAAGTTATTCCTTTATTACCCGGCCTCCGGTGACAGCTTTTCATCATCCTTTGCGATCTATCAAACCAAGAGAGCTATTCAGTGTGCTGCTGCAAGGAATTCCATCTCCAATATGACTGAAGATCTTAAGTCAAAATTATAGATGGAATACTAGTGTCAGTTTTCTCCCATATCACACCCTAACTGGAAACGAGTAAGTGACTTATTTTTTTGTGCAGCCACAAGTCACTGGAAGGGAGAGAGTTTAATGGGTGGGCTTGATAGTAAACAAGCCAGGGCAAATTAGCAAAAGATAAGTCATATTGAAAGGAAAAATATACATAATCAAGTATAGTAAGTTCTCCCTCTAAACCAAGTTGAACAATGTCCCTGTTTCCTGTTATATTCTAAAATAACTGGTTATTTATTCAATGCTTGGGGTTAACGGAGTGAGCTGCATGATCTTTTCTTTGGGGACCATGTGGAGGATTGAAGAGAAGATAATATTTCTTATGTGCAGCACTTTCAGGGTGAGATAGTGTGCCTTTGGTTACACTGCTTACCTGGGGACAAAAAAATGTAAATTCGTATAAAAGAAAAGAAAAGACTCATTTACTGCCTCTTTCTCAACATTTATCTGCTGTCTTATCTGAAAACCATTGGCAAAAATACTAATAAATGGGATGAGATTTCCAGACATTTTTCATAATGAATTTGGAGCATATTGATCTTTTCACAGGATACTGAGGCTCAGACACGCTGAGACTGAGAAGCAGGCTCAAATTCAATTTCAAGGGCATTTTGGCACTGCATTTTATAGGATTCTTCTTTAGCTCTCCTGTCCTGCATTTATTATTGCAGTATTTGGGGGCTGGGAGTAGGGAGTGAAGATCATGAGACTGTAGGAAGGATAAACAAGCTCTGGTGATTTGAATCCGGGTTCTAGTGGTACTAACTACCCTTCTGACCTCACAGAAAATTACTGAACCCTCCCGAACCTCATCTGCAAGGGGATAACAATCTTTGCTTTGCAGGGCTATGGTGGAGGCTTAAAAAAGATAACTTCTCCATGGTTCTGATTATAGCGGGTTCTCAAATGTTCATTCCTCCCTAGGGGAGCACTTAGTTATGAGTAAGAGCCCTTGTACCTGATTTGCATTGGTTTTTCTGACTCCAAACTACTGCAATTTTGTGTAATTGACTTGTGCACAGGTTTTCAGTTTTTATAGACTGGTTTCTATTTGATTTGCGTTATAATAGTAGGAAGGGTCATACATCTTTTTACAAATTAAAAAAGGTTTTATTATGGAGAATTTTGAACATGTACAGAAGTAGTCAGCATAATGTAATAAACCTTTTTGCCCATTTCCCTACTTCCAAAGCCATCAATCCATGGCCAGTTCTGTTCTACTTATCAGGTACCTCCACTCTTTGACTTTAACATCTTCTTCATCCAAAATGCTACCTCCCCAATTCCTGAAGTAGTTAGGGATTTATAAATGATTACTTAAATGTACCAGTTAAGTGACTATTTGAGGGAGCCAGGTTATAAAATAGAGAGTCCATTTCCTCTACACTTCTGTGTTTTGTAGTTGCATTTTGAGCTGAAGATGATCAGAAAATGAGAGTTCCGGATATGGGAAGGGGCTATGCACACTTAGTTAATCCAAATGCCAAATACTTTTGTTGAATAGCTGCATGACATGAATGAAGGGGGAGACAAGATTTGTCCTGCCCCCTGCACCAGAATGCTGCCAGGAGCAACCAAGATAGTCTATAAAAAAGGCATGAGACCTTAATGACTATAAACATTGTCAACAGTCCAAATAAGAAGACAATGATAATAATGCACGCCATAGGTTATTTCAGACATTTCTTTCTGCATCATCTTTTGTTGTCTCAATGGATTCCAAATGAATATTACTCTTCAATTGAGAGCCAAACATTACCTCATATCCTTTCACGCTGTCCCCCAGAGCTTCAACAATCCCAGAACACTCAAATCCTGGCACCAGGGGAGTCTTGGGAGGGTTGTCAATATTCCCTTGTCGCACCATCAAGTCAATGAAGTTTAATCCACTGTAAAGAGCAAATGTGAAAGGAGAGAAATTCAAAATGAGATCCAAAAGAAAGCACCGACCTGGTTTTCTTTTCTTTCTTTTCTTTTCCTCCTTTCCTCCCTCCCTTCTTCACTCCTTCCTGTCTTTTTTTTTTCTTTTTGGCAAAGTATCCCTAATAGTAATGCCGCTTAGCTAGATGTCACCAATAATGCAAAATTCAATTATCTCTATGCAGATAAGCAATACATTTGTGGCAATGAAAACAGTAGTTGCAGAGTTTACACTGATTCAAGAGATGGCCCCTTTGTCTTCTCTCAGAGCCTGTTTATGCTTACTCTAAAAACATATTGACTAGCCTGGCTATCAGAGTTCTTAGTACTTAATCAAAGGTAAAAGATTTACCAGGAAGTGGTTATAAACAGACACATGGAAAGCAGCCAGACCTAATGGCCACTAGCCAGTGCCTGAGAAAGAGAAAGAAGACCTAAGGTCTCAAAACAACCAACCACCTCTCCTCAATCATCACACACACTTACATCAGCACTATGCATAAACAGCTCCCACAATGGTGAATATAAGCCATCAGGAGATTACATTATGTTCCACTGGAGGAGAGGGGACTCAAAGAGAGATCAAATGAATGCCCCAATAGATATGGGAATACTGGAGTGTTTCAAAAATCTAAGTTATTTCCAGATGAGAGATATTATTAGATATTTTTGATTAACACATTACTTTTGGAATAAGAAAGTTATTAAAATATATCAAAGTCATCATAATGGAAAACCATACACTTGATTCCAATGACGCTATTAGCAATGCTCCTGGACTCTTTTTATTTTATCAGAACTGCTCTTGGGAATTCCATTTAACACCCATTTGCTAATCACATGGGGAAACACATCCCATTAAACATGCATTTTTTCCCAACAGATGTGGTTCTAATGTACTTTTTTTTTTTTTTTTTTTTTGAGACAGAGTTTTGCTCCTGTTGTCCAGGCTGGAGTGCAATGGTGAGATCTCAGCTCACTGCAACCTCCACCTCCCGGGTTCAAGCGATTCTCCTGCCTCAGCCTCCCAAGTAGCTGGGATTACAGGTGCACACCAACTCGCCTGGCTAATTTTTGTATTTTTAGTAGACATGGGGTTTCGCCATGTTGGCCAGGCTGGTCTCAAACTCCTAACTCAGGTGATCCGCCCACCTTGGTCTCCCAAATTGCTGGGATTACAGGCATGAGCCACTGTGCCCAGCCAACTTGAACTAGTTCTAAAGCACATCTTGCTTATTTCTTCCCTGGTCTCTTTGGACCCAAGGAAGCATCTAACTCCACCTATGCCCACTGGTCTCACTTATGAGTCTCATACACAGGGACTGAATAAAGGTGAGTAAGACGACTTCCTTGAAGTCTGGGCTCAAAACTCACCACCTTCTCAAAGTTTTCCCAACCACAAATTAGAGAAGTTTCACATACTGAACCCGGCTGGTATTTCTCTAAAGTGCAACCTCCTTGAAGGCATCTGTATGCCTCATATTTCTCTGCTTCCAGTGTGCCTGGCATGCATCAGACCCAAAGTAATATAGCAGGGACTCAAGTAACATCTGCTGAATGAAGGAATAGTCATGGATATTCAAAAATATGTGCTGCCAGTTTGAGTGCTAATTCCTTCTAAAAAGCAGTCAAAGAATTTGGAGTAATGGATACATTTCTGAATGATATTTGTAGACTCCCAAAGATCCTACTTCAATGATTAGTGGTTATCCAGGTCATTTATTAACTGAAATGTTAATAATTTAACATGGCCACTTCCTTAAGAGCTTGGGGAGACTGGGGTACAAATCCCAATTCTACCACTTCTATCTCTATAACCTGGGAAAAGTTACTTAACTTCTCCATGCCTCAGTTTCCACATCTGTAAAGTGGGAGTTATGACAGTACCTACTTCACAGGGCTGTCATTGAAAATTAATGCACATAAAGCACTGACATGTGGTGCCACGTACATAGTCAGTATTCAATACATGTTAGCCTTGAAATTTGCATCTTCCGTTAAGAAGGCAGAAGTATGTGATATATTTTAGGAAGGCACTCGTAAAAAAAGGGTTAAAAACAGTTTCACAGCTGACATGGAAAAACTTCAGCTATCTCTGAACTTCACTTGTATAAAATGGCCGATTTTCTGACACAATCAAATAAATAACGCATCACTGTATAACAGTAAATAAAATTTCTACAACCTGAATCAAGCACTCCATCTCATTTCATGTATATTTTAGCTCATTGTGTTTTTCTTTTCATGAAAACCAATGATTTCCCAAGGCCCTGTTGGAAAAATGCTAGAAGAAATTTGTTGCCATTTCTGCAAACATGGCAGCCCCCTGGAGAAGGCCTCATCTTCGACACTTATTACGCTGCTCAACTGGGCTGCCTGCATTCGCCATCCAGCATGAACTGGGCCCAGTGATGGTAAACTGAGAGCCAGCTACTTAAATTCCAATGAGAAGAGGCTAACACTGACTTTTCAAAAGCCTGTAGCACCCTGTTTCCTCAGTGAGGCATTAGGCGATTCTGTCAGGTCATGGAGAATGCCCCCTATTTTTAGGACGCAGGTGTATTTTGGAGACGGAGACTAGGACAGGTCAGTATTGTTTATTTCCACACAAAGGGGATGTAAATAATTGTTAACAGAGTACTCCCGAGTGTTGGATCAGACCTGTTTCTCCTGATTTGGATATAGCTAGCTTTTGCTGAGCGTTTAGTTTGTGTCAAGAACTGTGCTAAGTGCTTGACTTTTGTTATTTAAGACTCATCAATACTCCTCCTATGAGGTATGAACTATCATACCAATTTTTCAGATCAGAAAATTGAGACCCAGAGAGCGTAAGTAACTTGCTTGCCATCACATCTTTTCAAAGTGTCAAAGTCAGGATCTGAATTCATGCAAAGCCTAGAACCTGACCCCTTAGGCAATACACTCTACCTCTTTAAGGGGAACTTCTCTATGCCCCGCCCTTGCCCATACAAGAGCCATGTTTATAGCTCTTTATATCTTCCCCCTTGCAGAGAACTGACTGCACCAATGTGGGCCCAGTATTGGAGGAGTGGCCATTCATAATCTAGACGGGAACCCATTCCTTAAACTGAATAAATGAGCTGGTCCAAGAACTGGGTGTTCTCTGTAAAACTATGAATTGGGAAACACACATCAAGAGAACGACTTAGCAATAGAAAGGATGTCAAAAGACAGAAGTGAGTGACAGAGATCTAGTTGACCTGAGCTTTGGGGAAGCATACGTGGAAAAGCCAATAGCTGGAAGAATTAAAAGAAAAAACACGAACAGCAACAGAGTCAACCCAACTCCCTGCACCAGGATGAGGCTTTGTAGACTTCCATTGCTGAGTTCCCTAGAATGAGGAGAGGTCCAGTCTCTGGGCTTGGAGAGGTCCAGCTCCATCACACCTCCTGCTCTATGATTTCCATGAATTCCTTCATTACTTCACACATGTGTTTATAGCAGAAGCTCTTTGCTTGGACTACCTGTGTGGTCCCTGTCATATGAAACCAAAAGATACAAACTCAAACGAATACCGTAATCAATCACCCATTGGGACAGACATTGTTGACTCTACTTTTTTTTCTTCAGACAAAAATAACTTTGTTGGTTTAGAGATAATAAGTTATTTACCCAAGGCCACACAGTAAATAGTGAAATCTATGAACTTAAAAACTTGAGTCTAATCCTTTTCTTTTTCTACCACAACAGAAAAAATAAAATAAAATAAAAAAACAGGGGCATGTCAATGCCCCTGTTTTGCACAATTACAGTTTCCAGTATTCTCTAAGGTAATCTGATTCTTAGTTAGAATGTTTTTGGGGGTGGCAATGACTATGCCTGATGACTCAGGCCCACAAATGGAGTAAAAATTTTATACAGCTCTTAAACATTTCAGATCATTGCAAAAAAAGAAATAGTGTTGGAAAGTGCCTGACATAAAGTTCTGCCAGGTAATCCTATTTTTCTCAAAGATTGGTATAATTTTAATAAATAATATAAGACTGTCTCAGTTTTCTTCCCATACTAAATTATTAGTCAGAGGCTAGGTTTAAAGAGTTATCATTGAGACATGGCATCCTGAAGGAATGAAGATAGAGGTTTGAAAAAGAGACCCTGAAAAGCTCAACAGTTAGAATGAGGGATCTGAAGATATGTTAGGGAAGATACAGGAAAATTGGGGGACAGTTCCTTAAAATAATAACACTTTCTTATATTTGTAGAGTACAGCATGGTTTACCATGTGCTTTCATACACATCTCATTAAAATTCGTAACAAGCTGAGAAAACAAGTGCAGATACCGTTAATCCCATTAAATAGATGTGAACATTGAGCCTCAGATAAGAAAACTGACTTGTTAAAGGCACCACAACACCACTGACAGTACATGACAGTGACAGAGCCGAGACTTGAATAAAGGTCTTCCAACTCCTTCCTTATTGTGTATCCCATAACACCATGAAATCTCAAGTAAATCAAATGTTACTAAAATCAAGAGTTTTAAGATTCGGGAACGGCAGGGCATGGTGGCTCACGCCTGTAATCCCAGCACTTTGGGAGGCCGAGACAGGTGGATTACCTGAGGTCAGGAGTTCGAGACCAGCCTGGCCAACACGGTGAAACCCTATCTCTACTAAAAATACAAAAATTAGCCGGGCGTGATAGCGCACGCCTATAGTCTCAGCTACTCAGGAGACTGAGGCAGGAGAATCGCTTAAACTTGGAAGGCAGTGAGCCAAGATCACTCCACTGCACTCCAGCCTGGGTGGCAGAGCGAGACTCTGTCAAAAAAAAAAAAAAAAAGATTCAAGGACAAGAAGGCTGAAAGGAAACAGTGAAAAGAAACAGATGCAGGTGCTTGGGTTTTAATCCCTGTGCTGCCATCAATTAGCGGTGGAGTTTGGCTGAGTCTCTGAAGCCTTCCCCAGCTCTCATCGTCTGTTTGTTTGATGGTCCTTTATCCTGTGGGCTCTGTTTCAAACATTATCAAAATCAAAGCTTAGGTAGAGAGGAAGAGACGCTTGGTGGTCTTGAGAAAAAGACATTGACTTGTATGCTTAGACTTTATATAAGAGTTAAAAGCTAGCCTTGGCCTCTACACTTTCTTTTCTGTTACCTAGTAAGTGATGAATATCACCCTGTAAAGTCTCCTGAGAGATGGTTAGGTGCCTTTATTTTTGTCTTGCCAAAGTCAACAAACATTGCTCCCGTGATGATACTGCTACATGTTAGGTATTAAGGGATGGAGTGTTTTAATCTCCATTTTGTGCAAAAGGGAGGTGAGACCAAGCGAGAATAAAGTACCTTGTCCAAGGTTATATAGTTCGTACCAGAACTGGGAATATAAGCCCTTTTTATATGACTGCCAAGCTTGAGTTCTGACCACCAGGCTGTCATTGTGTGATCTATAAACCATGGTAGGCCGCTGTGTCTTCTTGTCCCCAAAGCTTATCGTTTGGAATTTTTTTTTGGATATGCTAACAATATCAAATGAAGACACATTTGATTTCTTAAAAGATATCACTAAGTGGATGACAAAAGAATCAGCCCAGCTATAGTTTATTAATTTTCCAATTTGAGGTTAAAAGTGACTCAAAAGAAGGAGTTTAGCAAAGATACATGTAGCATGGAGATGCTCCCTTGTCTTCTACTCTCCTGGTGAAAAAGAGGCAGGGGTTGCTCATATGAAAAGATCTTAGGCCTCTTGCTATCCTGTTCTTTCCTCAGGTTGTCAGTATCCTCAGCATCAATCATGAAAATCCAAACAGTGTCAGATCATTAAACAAATCTCCCTCTTCCGAAACCTACTTCTCTATTGATGCAGATTATAGAGCCTCATCCTATATTTTCCTATTATACTCAATAGAAATCCCAAGTCTTGTTCTGTCATTAGTTCAATTAAGAGACAGACTGCCAAAGAATCTTCAGAAACCCATTGTTTTATTAGGTTGGTGCAAAAGTAATTGTGGTTTGTGCCATTACTTTTAATACTTACTGTAGGGATTTTGTTAAGTATATAATTTGCTACAATATATATTTACGACTTTATGAAGACAGTACTTTTTCCTCAAATCTCAGCACAAGGATTGGCTTTATGGATCTTATAGGCTCAGTACAGTATATACATTGGTTATGTTTATTTCTTTGCATTGGCTGCTAGGAAGCTCTGAGCCAAATTTGTCACATTCATTCTCTATATCATTTTTGTTGTTGTTTTTGAGATAGAGTCTAGCTCTGTCACCCAGGCTGGAGTGCAGAGGCGTGAACATGGCTCACTGCAGTCTTGACCTCCTGGGCTCAGGTGATCCTCCCACTTTGGCTTCCCAAAGTGCTGGGAAGTGTGGGAAGTGCTGGGCCACCGTGCCCGGCCTCTATATCATCTTAATAATCAACTTCATCTTAACCTCTGAGTACTTTGGAGATTCCATTTTTTAAATCCTTATACTCCATTACCAGTGTTAGTAGTATTGTGAATGGTTCTCAAACTTTATTATTCATCAGAACTTCCAGGAGGGCTGGTTAAAACACAGATTTTTGGGCCCCACCTCTGAGTTCTGGACTCAAGTAGATCTGGGGCGAGGTCTGAAGTTTTTCATTTCTAAGTTCCTAAGTAATGCTGATGCTGCTGATCTGGGAACCACACTTAGAGAATCACTGATCTTGTTTTATTTTTTAAAGCTAATTCAAGTCTTTTGCTAAATGAGACAGAGTACAAATTAAATGGTTAAATAGAAAGTAAATGAAAAGTTCTCATTGTCCTCTAGGGCAGTTGAATTTTTGATCTTAGTCCAGAGGATTATAGTTATCCTTGCTAGATTTGGTGTTATTAGATTAAGTTCATCATTCTCATTTGTCTGTCTCTTTCTTGAATTCTAATTCTTTCATCAAAAAAAATTAATTCTCCCTCCTGGATTTGTAGCCTGTGAAAATGTGGTTATCATGACACGAGCTTCTACATCCAAGTTGCTGATAAAAATATCAGACAGGCTGCCCCGTTCCTGGTTACTAAGGATGTTTGTGAAGACCATGAAGGATGTCATGGAGGAAATTTAAAACACAAGACTAGCTGACATCCTTTCTTCAAATCTGGAGCTCTCATGATTCTATGAAATAGTTCCAAGACACCTTGAAGTCACATGTAGTAAACTCGATAAAGACTATGAACCCTCTCTCTTTGTGGGCAATGGCAGTAGATCCCCTCCCTCTACCCATAGCAGCAATTGCTGAGAAGAGGGGATGAGCCTTGAGTACAATCACTTTTTGTAATGCAAGTCAGGATCATCATGACATTTATTTTTTCTGAAAGTGCACATCCTGGCCCCAGCTCTGAGAGTCTCTTTAGTGAAAGCACACACTCTCATGTGCTGTTAGGGTTGCAAAGGACCACTTGAGTAGCCCAATGTCAGCTGTTCCCATGGAAAAAAAAAAGATCAAAAAAGAATGGACTCTTTCTGAGAGGGCTGTCCTATAGGGCTTTGTGACTGTTGGAGGCATCCCCAAGAAGCTAACAGAAATCTGGCCTTTCTAATTTCTCTGATGATGGAGGATGGGAAGGAAAAGAATTGATTTGTGGCTAGCAATTGTAATAGGTAACTTTTATGGGGCGCTTTCTATGTATCAGGCATGGTGTTGAGTGTCATTTCAGTTTTACAACAACCATAAACAATGCTAAGAGATCAACAATATTACCCCCATTTTACAAAGAACAAAACCAAAGCACATTAAGGTTTACAAAATGTTGGTTTTACCTGGCTTACATTACTTGCGAAAGCAAGTGATGTAAATCCAGAGCCTGTGCTCTTGACTAATGTACTTTGCTCTCCTAGAGAAAGATCATGGCTCAGTTTTCCCAGTTACAAAGACAAGAACTCTCCACTCAACTAGCACATTGAGCCTACTGTATACTATGCCGTATACTAGGTAGTGGATGCCCAAAGTTAACAAGGGGCTCCAAATTCTCATGGGGAAACAGAATCATAAAAACTGATCACAGCTGGGCACGGTGGCTCACGCCTATAATCGCAGCACTTTGGGAGGCTGAGGCAGGTGGATCACCTGAGGTCGGGAGTTCAAGACCAGCCTGACCAACATGGAAAAACATCATCTCTACTAAAAATACAAAAAATTAGCCAGGTGTGGTGGTACATGCCTGTAATCCTAGCTACGTGGGAGGCTGAGGCAGGAGAATTGCTTGAACCCGGTAGGTGGAGGTTGTGGTGTGCTAAGATTGCGCCATTGCACTCCAGCCTGGGCAACAAGAATGAAACTCTGATTCAAAAAAAACAAAAACAAAAACAGAAACAAAACTGATCACTGTACGATGACAAGTGGTCTTCTAGAGCAACGGTCCCAAACCTTTTTGGCACCAGGGACCAGTTTAATGGAAGACATTTTTTTTCCATGGAGCAGGGGTGGGAGGATGGTTTTGGGATGATTCAAGCACATGACATTTACTGTGCATTGTATTTCTATTATTATTACATTGTAATATATAATGAAATAATTATACAACTCAGCATAATGTAGAATCAAGTGGGAGCCCTGAGGTTGTTTTCCTACAACTCGACGGTCCCATCTGGGGGTGACAGGAGATAGTGACAGATCATCAGGCATTAGATTTTCATAAGAAGTACACAACCTAGATCCCTCACATGTGCAGCTCACAATAGGGTTCATGCTCCTATGAGAACCTAATGCTGCCGCTGATCTGACAGGAGGCAGAGTGCAGGTGGTAATGCGAGTGACGGGTAGTGGCTCTAAATAGAGACGAAGCTTCACTTCCTTGCCCACCAATTACCTCCTGCTTGGTGGCCCATTTCCTAACAGGCCACAGACCAGTACTGGTCTGTGGCCCAGGGAGCCCTGTTCTGGAGTATAGGCAAAGTGCTCATATAGCCACCATGGCACATGCTAATGTACAATATAACCATGAAGTCAAAGCATCAACCTCCAGAAAGTTCTCCCCAAAGAATTATTCCAAGCAGTCCTCTGCAATCACCAAAGCTAAGTTTAGATCTTTAGCTTTAGCTTTCTGGCTCCTCCTCAAGTGGGTTGCTTGACCTTGGGCCTTAGTTTTTCCATCTCAACAATGGGATAGTAACACAACCACCTTACGGGGTGTTGTGTGGATTGCATGTGACAGTATATGTAAAACAGAGTACCTCGTACACAGTAAATGCTCAACAGATATAAGCTTGCTATCCGAATCACTGTCATCACTATGACACAAAGAAAATGCCATAGGTCAGGTTCCCTGGGAAACAGACTCCGAGACTGAGATTTGCAGCAAGAGGTCTGATAGGGAGTGTTCTAAAAGACAACTCCTAGATGGGCAGGAGGGAAGCTGGACTGGGGACGGGGAGAAGTTGAACTCTGATATACCAGTAAAGAGGTCTCAGTTCATCCTTGCAAAGTTCCAGACATAGCATGGTTCCTTGAGTAATTCTGAACAAAGACATGGGGACTGGGCCTTTGCACCCCTGCATCAACCAGTCAGGAATGAGGGCTGCCCCCAGGGAGGGGGTGCAGGCTTGGGGAAGGAGACTTTCTTTGGCTGAGAACAATTCCTCAGGAGAAACCAGCTGTGAGCTGTCAGCTGCCATCATTCCTGGTAGCTGGGGGAGTGAGCACTGAGATTCTAAAAGGATGCTTTAGGGGTGGTGCACACTAGCTCCCACTACAAGAAGAGTAGTGTGATCTCTCCTTTCAGGGTTTATTCCCCTGTGGTCACAGAGCAGCTGTCACTGATGGTGAATTTTTATGAGGCTCCTTTGCACGGCAGTTCCTGAGGAGGAAAGATCTGGTGGTTCTTATAACAAATGGTGCAAAGGCAGGAAAGAGAATGAGACCTTTAAATAAAAACCTGAAAGAATGAGAGGGAGGGGAAAGAACCTGCTGGGATCAGGTGCTTCTCACAGAAAGTATCCCTTAGGAATGGGCGTGCCTCTTGCTCCCATTCTCTCAGCCTCTCTGGCCTCACCCCAGCTTTCCATGGAAGGGAGAAGACAGCACAGAGTGGCCATGTCTTGATTTCTCCCTGGAGCCACCAAGGACCAGCATTCCCATGGAGAAACAGTCCATTTTTGCTATGATATGACAGCTGTTTCCTAAGATATGTTAAAATAAAGTTCTTATGTTTTATGATATGTTATCATATCATAAAAGATATGATAAAAGTAATGTTTAGTAAAAACAGTTGTTCCCATAGAAAAAAAGGAAGTGAAGATTAGAAAAATAAAGAGATCAGCCTGGGCGCGGTGGCTCACGCCTGTAATCCCAACACTTTGGGAGGCCGAGGCGGGCAGATCACGAGGTCAGGAAATCGAGACCATGCTGGCTAACATGGTGAAACCTGTCTCTACTAAAAATACAAAAAACTTGGCCGGGCGTGGTGGCTCACGCCTGTAATCCCAACACTTTGGGAGGCCGAGGTGGGCAGATCACGAGGTCAGGAAATCGAGACCATGCTGGCTAACATGGTGAAACCTGTCTCTACTAAAAATACAAAAAACTTGGCCGGGCGTGGTGGTGGGCACCTGTAGTCTCAGCTGCTTGGGAGGCTGAGGCAGGAGAATGGCTTCAACCCGGGAGGCGGAGCTTGCAATGAGCCGAGATCTTGCCACTGCACTCCAGCCTGGGTGACAGAGCGAGAGTCCATCTCAAAATAAGTAAATAAATAAATAGAAAGAAAAAGAAAGAGATCGAGGAATTTAAAAAGGGGGCAGAGGCTGGGTGCTGTGGCTCAGGCCTGTAATCCCAGCACTTTGGGAGGCCAAGGCAGGCAGATCACCTGATGTCAGGAGTTCAAGACCAGCTTGACCAACATGGTGAAACCCTGACTCTACTAAAAATATAAAAATTTGCTGGGCATGGTGGCAGGCGCCTGTAATCCCAGCTGCTCAGGAGGCTGAGGCAGGAGAATTGCTTGAACCCTGGAGGTGGTGGTTGCAGTGATCTGAGATCTCACCATTGCTCTCCAGCCTGGGCCACAGGGCAAGACTCCATCTCAAAAAAAAAAAAAAAGGCAGAGACTAAGGAAAAAATAACACAAAAAGTAACAAGCAGATAAATACATGCAGGATTGGTAAACTGCTTGGGGAAAATCTATGAAAAATCACACTTCAGGGCTTTCTATGTGTCTGTGGGAAGTCGGAGATCACGACACTGGCGGAGAGGCAGGCATCAGGGAAAGCACCATCAAATTCTCAATAGAAAGCTTTACCAGCCCTCTGCCTCGGAACTTTAACCAGTCCTGCATTTGTGGCAGCCTTTGCCAGCTCCGGGCAGAAGCAAGCAGACCTCGTGCGAGGCTTTGTGCCAAGCAGACGCAGTAAGGGAAGGTGTGCTCTTTGCTTATTCTGCTCTCGTCTTGCTGATAATATGTTCATCAAAGCACTTAACTCCCAATCCATGCGGGGTCAAAGAAGCAGATGTTTGATTAATTTTCTCATTGCCCCAGAACTGAAGCTTTTGTTTTTGTTTCTTAATCTCAACTGAAAACTTGAAAATGCTTAGGAAAATAGGCATTGATCTCAGAAAATCTTGGGCATAAATCTTTTTTCTTTTTTGATTTGCTCAAGTGCCAGTTTTGTTATCTCAAGACTGTGGGAACAGACTGACACAAATTTGCTAGGAAAGAAAAAGCTCACAGTGACCAAAGCAAGGACACTGTTTATGCAAATCTCAGATGGCAGCTCTTATTTGAGAACAGCCAGAATTGTCTCAGAGAGGTCTTAGGATTCACCTGAAGAATCCACCTGTGTTCAATCAGAGGCTGGAAAGGGTATGCTGGGATGCTCAGACTCCCTTCCCACACTGCTGGCTCATGGCTCTTGACACTGGTCCCCTTGGTGACCAGTTCCACATAACCCTGTCCACCCTCTCTAACCACTATTTTAAGATAAGCAAGCCACTGCAGCCACGGGAGACATACGGAGTTTTCCGACCCATCTGATTTTATTCATAATCTACCACTTTACATTAGTAGTGCTGTCACTGCCCCACTGAGATCCCTTTGTCCATAACATATGCTGGGAGGAAACTGGGAGAAAAAAGTTCTCTTTGCAGTGGGACTTGCTAAATTTGTACATGGCTGCTGGAGCTAAAGACCACCGCCTTTTCCAGCCTCAAGAAGGAAGCTCATTGTAGCAGGAGCACAAGATGCCAACTCATGAGGAGAGAGAGGAAAAAAGATGGAAGGGGAAGGAGAGGGGAAAGCGTAGAATCCCAGGGACAAACTCATCATGATGGCCAGCATGGCTGAAATAAGGACAGAGAGGAGGGAGGAAGTGACTTGGCAGTGATGATGAGGGTAATATAGCTTGGGATACAGTTGTACAAGTTCTTTGTTTCTACCGTGTCTGGGAAAAGAAATACATTCAGATCATATGCCCAAATTAGTATTCAAAACACACCTCAGTAGTATTTCCAACACAGAACAAAACAGCCAGGAGACATATTGAGAATCTAAATGTCTAGAGCCAGTTTTCAGCAGAAACAGAAAAGCCAGGTCCGAAAGGGTCCAAAACAAGCACTCCTAGATGCTGAGACTAACTCTTTTGACTTTGAGACCTGGAGTTATTTACTCTCAGCCCCTCCTCGGGACACAGCAGGAGGTATTTATTCCTAAGGTTCCTGTAAAGGTTAACATCTTTATGCTCCATGTTTGATGTTGACCAAGGCATTCACTTCAAACAGGTGTTCGGCAGTGACTGGTTGCATAGAACATTTAATGTCATCCAATTGAAATTCAACAGACCCCTCTGTGTTTTGGGGCTTGGCTAGGCACTAATGTCACAACAGTGACAATGACATCTCTGCCTTCCAGGACTCAGAGATCAACAAAAGAATGACTACACGGCATGACAGTTCCATAAGAGGAGGCTGTACAAGAGTCACAGCTAGCACAGAGAGGGTAGTTCTTAAATCACGTCACTGGGATCAGGTTCTTCTCACAGAAAGTATCACTGAATGGGCGTGCCCCTTGTTCCTGTTCTCTCAGCCTCTCCAGCCCCATCTCACCTCTCCACAGAGGGGAGAAGATAGAGTAATGATGGTTTGATTTCTCATCGGAGCCAAAGATGGACAGGGTCTCAATGGAGAAATAGTCCATTTTTCCTACAACGTGACAGCTATTTCCTAAGACATTACTGCTGATAAAAAGAATGTGTAGCCAGGCATGGTGGTTCACGCCTGTAATCCCAGCTCTTTGGGAGGCCCGGGCAGGCGGATCACGAGGTCAGGAAATCGAGACCATCCTGGCTAACACAGTGAAACCCCGTCTCTACTAAAAATACAAAAAATTAGCCGGGCGTGGTGGAGGGCGCCTGTAGTCCCAGCTACTCTGGAGACTGAGGCAGGAGAATGGCCTGAACCCAGGAGGTGGAGCTTGCAGTGAGCCGAGATCGCACCATTGCACTCCAGCCTGGGCAACAGAGCAAGACTCCATCTCAAAAAAAAAAAAAAAAAAAAGAATGTCTAGTAAAATGGTTGTTTCAATAGGAACAAAAAAGGAGGTGAAGACTTGAATAGACATGTCCAATAGAACTTTCTGGAATGATGGAAATGTTCTGTCCTTGCTGCTCTCCAATATGGTAGCCACTTGGCCACATGTGGTATTGAACACTTGAAATGTAACTAGTGTGACTAAGGAACTGAACTTTTAGTTAGGTAATATTTAAGTCTAATGGATCCTAAGGAGGAGAGAGTAGTAGCATCTCTACCCTATTATCTTCCCTGTAGACTATGAGCAACTTTAGGGCACAGGGCTTGTCTTAAAATCCACCTTTCAATGTTCAGTGCTTAGCACAGGGCACATTAAAGGCTGGCAAACAATAATTTCTGCACTGAAGGTGTAAGTAGGAAAATACCTAGGAATGATTTGAGCCCTATTCTTTCTTCTCACGAAAGAAATCATTGCTGGGCTGCCGGCCCTGCTGTGTCCGCTGCCGTGATGGTGAGAAGGAAACTGAGAAGATCAAAGGCCTGCTTGATTGATGCGCCTCAAAAAAAAGCAAGGATTTACTCCTGAAAGATTAAAGACTAGATATGAAGGGTGAATAAAGATTGCCAAGAAATGGCAAGAGCAAGGTTTCAAAGTCTGGAAGAGTTTGAACAGAGTAGGGGAGAGTTTGGAGGGAGCAGCGGCACTTAAGGGATGTACACAGGAAAAGAAAATGTTTGAGAAGTTTTGTCCGTGCCATGAATGGATGCAACTTTAGTGTGTGTGTGTGTGTGTGTGTGTGTGTGTGTGTGTGTGTGTGTGTGTGTGTGTTTGAGATGGGGTCTCGCTCTGTTGCCCAGACTGGAGTGCAGTGGCACAATCTCGGCTCACTGCCACCTCTGCCTCCTGGGTTCAAGCAATTCCCTGCCTCAGCCTCCCGAGTAGCTGGGATTACAGGCGCCTGCCACCACACCTGGCTAATTTTTGTATTTTTAGTAGAGACGGGCTTTTACCATCTTGGCCAGGCTGGTCTTGAACTCCTGACCTTGTGCTCCACCCCCCTTGCCCTCCCAAAGTGCTGGGATTACAGGCGTGGGCCACGGTGCCCCGGCAACTTTAGTGTTTTCTAAGGGACTCAAGACTTTCACAGTGCTTTTCAATTATTTTGGAAGCTGGGTCTCCATTCAAGAACAAACAGGCCTAGCTATCTTAAGGATACAAAAGGAAAAAAGATGACTAGGAAAAGGAAAGAAAACTGCTAAAAATGCAAAAGGAAGTTGTGGAGTCTCCCACATGTGCTGCTGGCTGAGGACAGAGATGCTGAGGCTCAAAGCGGTGGGAGGGTGAAAATTGCCTTTGCCATTCATTTCCTATGAAGTAGTAGTCCCAGAGACATGGACTGTCTGTCTCTCCTCCGGGGTCAGACAGAGAAGGCCTTCAAATCTGAAAGGACTGTTTCAGGAAGGTGGGCGCATGGATGGCTGCGTCATGCATCGTCGATTCCGGCTGCAAAACGTTGAGTCAGAGTTTATTATGAGGTCCCCAGTAGGAACAATTTTAGGGAGTTTAACTGAGTGGATAAAGGGAAACCAATTAGAAAATCATTCAGACCAATCATAGGTATGGTAGGTTTAATAGCTCCCCATTAGCTGATTGAACTAGGCGTAGCGTAGATAAATGAAAGGCATTTCTTTCTGATCCTAGATGAGGGATGCTTTTTTTTTTTTTTTTTAAATGAAAGTGTGTACTTTGATGGATAGTCTGCTCAAAGGTACAAGTGTGCCTGTGTTGGGAGGAGGGGTAGGAGTATGAAGAGTGCAGTTTGAAAGTCTCATCAGAGCTCCCTTGAATCATATGGCTCAGACTATCTGGGCCAGTGGGGCTGCCCCACAATCTGTTCATTTGCTGAAGGGCAGCTATGTATTCTGGGAACAATAACAAACCTCATCCTAAGGGTAAAGTGAGTTGGAGAATACAGGCCTGGATGAAACCGTTTCAGATCAAACTATGAAGGGCTGCATTCTTAGTGTAGTTGTTTCTTATTGCGGAACGTTCTTTTCAGCTATTACTGAATGTTCTTTTTTTAGCTCGGGAATCTCCTGTGTAGGACAAAACAGTGAAAAGTATGGGCTTTGGAAAGAAACGTAATCCTGTTTTGAAGCCAAGGTCTCTGTAGCTTGCGTGAAGGTTAGCAAATTCCTTCACTTTCTTCATCATGCTTTTTCACGGGTAGGATGCTTGGTATCACAGGGATCACCATAGAACACTTAGCATAGAGCTTGTGGAACTTGGAAAGTACCCAAAAAAGGCTACTATGGGGCCAGGGGCGGTGGTTCACGCTTGTAACCCCAGCAATTTGGTAGGTCAAGGTGGGCAGATCAGCTGAGGTCAGGAGTTCGAGACCAGCCTGGCCAACATAGCAAAACCCCATCTCTACTAAAAATACAAAAATTAACCAGGTGTGGTGGCACATGCCTGTGATCCCAGCTACTCGGGAGGCTGAGGCAGGAGAATTGCTTGAACCTAGGAGGCGGAGTTCGCAGTGAACCGAGATCGCACCAGTGGGCTCCAGCCTGGGCAACAGAGTGAGACTCTGTCTCAAAAAAACAAGAACAAAAGGCTATTATGATAATAGTGAAATATAATTAATGTATCTTTCCTATTAACTCCAAACAGTGGGAGCATTAAATATACAAGGTAGCATGTGCTGCTTTGTAACCTGCACTGGGGGGAAAATGTGCCACAGCGCAGGCAGGGAGCCTGATTTTCTATCTGGAACAGGGAGAAAATGGGGACATATTCTGGGTGGCTTTAGTGTATGGCAGTGGGAAAAGAACAAGGCAATAGGAAAGGTTCAGGATCATTTGGGCAACCAGGAGAACTGTGTTTCTGAGTACCTGTGCAACACCTTCTAGGCAACCCTTGAAACTCTCTGTGGGTACTGAAGGGTGCAGTTTGGGGTGCCTGATACCTACGAAGGGTAGGGACAGAGTCGTGGAAATAGGGTTTATGATTTTAACATCCATGTTGGTCGGCCTTAGAGTCCCCAGGTATACCTGATAATCCCATGTATTGCAGGGATGCTTGAGTGATTGCTCATGAAATAACAGTCATTGGGCCTGCATGGCAGGTTCTCTCTAAGAGCTTTGGTCTGCGGCACTCGATGAAGCCAGATATCAACAAGGAGAAAATTACAGAGCATCGTGAGAACTCAGAGACCCACATTTCCCAGGCTAGGGAAAGTCATTATTCATTTCTTCTTCCAAGAGAATAGACTGTGTTAAGGAGAAGTAAAACTCCTGAAAATATAGTCCTATGAAAACATAGTTTGGTATTCTTCCAGGTTCTCACTCACAGATCTGCATGTGAGAGGCCTTAGGAGAGATTTAGCTTCTTGTAGGAGAAAGCTGAGATGAGGAAGGGAAGCTTGAGCCCCACTGACCAGGAATGGCCACTGTTTGTATTAGGAAGGTCATGTTTACTAGAAAGTCAGTAATATATTTACTCATTCTCCAGACTTATTGAGTGCCTACTGTGAACCAAGCACCATGCTTGGCATCATGTTAACTGATCACAGAGAAAATTCCTAGAACTTCCAAGATTACCAAAAATATCTACAAGATGATGGGCCTCAAAGTTGAAAATATGTGTTATTTAATGTGACTTAATAACTGTGGTAAGAAAGGTACAATCACAGGAGAGGGAATGGACCTGACTTCTCCAGTTCCCCTCCGATTCTTCACTTTTTACTGGATGAAGAAGAGTCTCGCATCCACTCATGATGGCTGCCATTTAAAATAGTCTCATGTGCTTCTTATCCCCCTCTTTCTGGTAATTGCTCTCCATTCCTTTTGGAGTATTTACCCTCTCCTTTTCCCCCAATACACACCACACACACACACACACACACACACACACACACACACACACACACACACACACCATGTATTCCAGTGGGGCTGTCAGACATGATGCTTACCTTCTTTTAGACCAAGGTAAGAGAGCATGAGGCACAGGTGTGGTCAATCACAGCTCCTCATTTTCTTAAGCCAGAGAGAGAAAGAGGAGAGAGAGGGAGGCAGTGGAGAGGAAAAGAGATGGAGAAAGTGGGAGGGAGAAAAGGGGAAAGACGGAGGGAAAAGAAGGGAAGGAGAGAGACAGAGAAAGAGGGAGAGAGAAGAAGGAGGGGAGGGGAGGGAGGGAGAGAGAGAGGGAGAGACAAGGAGAGGAGGAGGAGGACCGGGAGAGGAAGAGAGGGAGAGAGATCTCCAGGGGCTGGTATGTGATTTGCAAAGGACCAATCAAAGTCCTTCCTTAATACATAAAAACTGGGAGAAAAAAGTTCTCTTTGCACTGGGGCTCGCTAAATTTTCACACGGCAGCTGCAGCTAATGACCACCACCTTTTCCAGCCTCGGGAAGGAAGCTCATTGCAGCAGGAGTACATGAAGCTAACTTATGAGGAGAGAGGATGAAAGATGGAAGGGGAAGGAGAGGAGAAAGCCTAGAATCCCAGGGACAAACTCATCATGATGGCCAGCAGGGCTGAAATAACGAGAGAGGGGAGGGAGTAAGGGGGTGGCCTTCCCGCCCTCTGAAGATCTCTAAGCTTGGTCCAGTTTCTAGCACACAGTAGAAGCACAGTGTATTTTGGTTCCATTTCCTCGCTTGTCCCTTCAGGAATTCCTCTTGATCTTCTTGTATATGTCATGACACAGTGGCATATCCTGTTTGAGCTACTTTTGATGTCAGGGTTTTGTGGTCTTTGGCGGATACAGGTGGAGTCTGAATGAGGGACTCCATTCAGAAAACTTTATGAAGCACAGAGGGACTTTTTAATGTCCTATTTCTTTGTACCTCCTCCCCACCATTAATATCTATCAAACACATCTTCTATGGCACACACACTTCATTTATTCATTCATTCAACAAATATGAAATGTATCAACATCCTTGCTAGGCACTTTAGCTGCATTATCTTCTTCTTTCCCCACACAAAAACTTTTACCCCATCCATATTACAGATGAGCAAACTGAGGTTTCAAAAGACTTAATCATTTTTCCAAGGTTATACAGGTTGCTAAAATTGTTAGAGCTAGGATTTGAATTCAAGCTTGTTTTAGTTCACACATTAACTACTTTATAACCAAGAAGCCTACTGCCTCTCATCTGGCTTGGGTGTATGGCTAGTGCCAGGTTAAGAAAGGAATCATTGTCATCCCTGGCTCAGAAGATAATTATCCTGCATTAGGCTCTGGGGACCACAGTTATTTAGAGAAGTCAAGAGTGAGAGGACCCAATGCTTTGGCTTTGGGTTCTGTTTGGTGAAGCATTGTTTAGCATGTCCCTGGCTCCAGGAAAATTCTGGGGATGAGACCTCAGGGGTCAGTGACAGGAGACTGAGGACAGATGCTGACGGCATGCTCTCATCAGGAAAATATCATGTTCAAAGATAAAACAGCTTCTTTCACTGGAACATCTATTTTGTCTCCTGGGCCTTCAGACATAAAATTCACTCATTTTCATACCATGGCTCCAACCAATTTTCTGTATGAGATCACACACAGAGGAATCAAACTAATTTCAGATTACATGCTCGCCACCCTTTCCTGTGAAGAGTCTCTTCTTCCTTCTAATTACACTTTTTCTTCTGTGACAAATGCCAAGATGTCCAAAAGGCTCTCTCTTAGGAAAAGGAAGTCCCAGGAGCTTGGAGGTCATCGGGGCACTATTTCTTCATGCCTGGGTGAGCTCTGCTGTCAGTGTTGAGTGTCAGTGATGTGTCCAAAGCATGGGATTTGACTCCTTTGAATGAGAGTGCTCCAGAGACTGGATTGTCTATATACACCCAGCTAGCAAAGCTAGCTCCAGAGGCTGGATTGTCTATATACACCCAGCTAGCAAAGAAATCCCTGCAGCAACCCATGGGTGGGGATGCAGGGGGCTGGTGGGAGGGCAGCAATAGATCAGTCCAAATCCATTCCCAACCCTGGAAGTTGGGTGGCTTTGAAAGCTAGCATCCTAAAAAAAGAAAAATTGCTGGGCGCGGTGGCTCACGCCTGTAATCCCAGCACTTTGGGAGGCTGAGGCAGGCGGATCACCTGAGGTCAGGAGTTTGAGACCAGCCTGGCCAACATGGTGAAATCTGTCTCTGCTAAAAATACAAAAATTAGCCGGGTGTGGTGGTGCATGCCTGTAATCCCAGCTACTTAGGAGGCTGAGGCAGGAAAATCACTTGAACCTGGGAGGCGCAGGTTGCAGTGAGCCAAGATAGCGCCATTGCACTCCAGCCTGGGTGATAGAGCGAGACCCCATCTCAAAAAAAAAAAAAGATTTAAGGGTACAAGTGCAGTTTTGTTGAGTGGATATACTATGTAATGGTGAAATCCGGGCCTTTAGTGCACCCACTGCCCCAGTAGTGACCACTGTACCATTAGGCAATTTTCAACCCTCATCTTCCTCCCACCCTCACACCTTTTAGAGCCTCCAGTGTCTATTATTCTACTCAGTGTGTACCATGGCCATAGGTACCCACTTCTAAGTGAGAACGTCCCAGATTGGACTTTCTGTTTCTGAGTTATTTCCCTTTGGATTACAGCCTTCATCTCCATCTATGTTGCTGCAAAAGACATGATTTCATTCCATTTTGTAGAAAAGCCAGCATCCTACTCCGTGCTGGCAATGTAGTTTAGTGTGAGAACGCTAGGCAAGAAAACAAGAGATGGCAATTCATGTCCTAGTTCTGTATGTAAAAGCCCAAGTCATTTAGGAAGAAACAACCTTTATTGAGTGCCACCATGTGCAAGGCACCGTCAAGACTGCTACAGACACTTAGCTAGTCTTTGTAACAATAAGTAAAAGTGCATATCATTAACAAAGTGAGGAAGTAGATAAGTTGAAAGTGCTATTTGCTTAAGATCACACAGCCACAGTGAGGTAGAGTTAGGATCTGAACCCAAATTGGTTATAGCTTCTCACTATTTCCACTCCATCCCTGAGTCCCAGCTTCCTCTCCTAGAAAACATGGATGATAATTTCAGTGACACCTACCCCATGGGGTGGTGAAGATCAGATGAAAAGCTGAGGTACATAGTAGGCTTTGTCACTGCAAAGATGCTGCAGATGGATGGTAGGGTGGGTGCAATAATCAGTCCCCATTCCCTTTGCCCATCATCAGCTACCTGACATTGGTTTCTCACTGGTCCCTATATAGTTGAGATCTGGCTGCTGTTCATGGAAACCTAGTATATGTCGAATGTTCTATAAGGTTGTATCTCCATTTTGTAAGTAAAGCAAATAAGACTTAGAGAGCTAAGCAACTGGCCAGGTGTGGTGCCTCATGCCTGTAAATCCCAGCACTTTGGGAGGCCGAGGCGGGCAGATCACCTGAGGTCAGGAATTCGAGACCAGCCTGGCCAACATGGCGAAACCCTGTCTCTACTAAAAATATAAAAACTAGCTGGGCTTGGTGGCAGGCACCTGTAATCCCAGCTACTTGGGAGGCTGAGGCAGGAGAATCGCTTGAACTTGGTAGGTGGAGGTTGCAGTGAGCCGAAATTGCGCCACTGCACTCCAGCCTGGGCGACAGTGCAAAACTCTGTCTCAAATGAAAAAAAAAAAAAAAAAAAAAAAAAGAGAAAAAAGGGAGCTAAGCGACTTGCTGAAACACAAATGGTTAATAAAGGGCAAAGCAAAATTTTAATCCATGTCTGCCTGAAACCAGAGCCCCAGCACTTTCCAAAGGATAGGCAGCTTCCTCCCCGTCTGCGCTGATTCCCTACTAATGCTAGTTGACCAACTTGGTGGAATGAATGAATCTTTTCTGAATTGACCCATCCACCTTCATTCCTGCTCTTCCTTCAGGCTCTTCCTTTTGATCCCAGGTTATTTTTAATTCCATAGTTTCAACCCCCCAAAAGGTTTAATCCTGAGGAAATACCTACTACAAACAAGCCATCAGAAGTATGACAACAGTGTTGGTTTTTAGCAAATTAAAATGTTCTAAATGGCACATTTTAGCTATTTGTTATTAAGCTGTTAATAAGCTGTTAAGCTATTTGCCATTTACTTCGCTTTTATTTTCTGAAATTATTTCTACTTGGATGAATCCTATTTCATGTAAAATATTATTAAAACAAATCTTAATTTCTCAATCTTTCCCCCCGCCCCCACTGTAAATTCTACCAATTATTGCTTCCATTAGTGAGGTTATTCTTTGGTGGCTATTAATTTTTTAGCAGCAGAATGGAAAAATGGGAAGACAGAAGTATGTGAAGATACAGATTGAGGGAGAGGGGACACAAAATGGAGAGAAAAGACAAAGGCTTCTCTACTGATAGATCAAAGTATTCTCAGGGGGTAAGATGCTAAGTATAAACAGTGGGTTCAAATGATGGGGTCAAAACTTATTTCTTTGTTCTCATGAGATAGAAGAATCACTGATTCTAGGTTTCCTTTCCTCTTCAAATCGCCAGAAAAGCAAGAAGCCCATTTCATTATTGGATAAAGAGCGGATATTGTCACCATCCCCAGTCCTCATCAGCAAGGACTCAGTTGATGAGAGAATGCAAATTTCATTAAATAAAAATGACCCGAGCTAGCACTTCCATGTTCTTTCTCATCATCAAATGAGCCTTAAATATGACTCAGCATGGAGTCATCCTTTCCTCTCAAATCCTGATGCTTCCATCCAATACAGAGTGATTCAGAACACATTATTCCAATCTCCATGTCAGAGTGGCTCCTGGCTTGGCATTAGAAACCCTCTGAGCAACATCTTAGTTTTACAAACATCTTAACCTCATGGATGCCACTTGTTTATTTTGAATAAACACAGGGAATATCATGTTGGCCACCTTTCATTGCATCAACCTTACTGGTGACAGTTTAATGCTCTGTTGTTTGGGGATAACTTATACTTGGTTTGCCAATGTAGCAATGGCCTGATCAAGGTAAATGAGGCAGAGGGAGGAACTCCAATATCTTTAGTGGTTCAAGGAGTGGTGATTGTGATTGTGTTTAATCAGCATGGGTGTTCTGGGTCAACAGTCATAGTAACTCCATCTAGATGGATCCCCCAAAGCATCCCACATACTGTATCTCACAAGTGTAGATGAAATGGATGTGGTGCATAAACATAATGGCCGTTTTGGGGTGGGAGGCAGGATAGTACTGTGCAATTTTGAATCTTAGCAGTTGTATTTCAAATCAGTCAAATACATTCATGGCTCTTTCTCTGTATTCCTGTCTGTGTGCCCGTCTGCCTCTCTGTGTCTCTTGATCTCTCATGATTTGTGTGTGTGTCTCTCTGTCTCTTTCTCTTTTATGTCTTTGTCACTGTGTCTGTCTGATTCTCCAAAATGTAAAGAGCCATTTGGGTTTTAGGCACACTTGGGTGTTCACATGGCTCTTCCACTTAGCAGTCTGTGATCCTGATGTGTCTGTGAATATCAGTTTCCTCATCTTTAACTGGAGATGGCAATACTGATTTTGTTGAGTTGTCATTAGGATGAAATGAAACAAAGAGTGTATTGCAGCCAACTCAGTTCCTGGCTCATAACCACTGATCAATACATGTTTGTTCCTTCCCTATCTCCAATTTACTATACCCTCGTGACATATTAGAATTCCACCAATCTGGTAGCTTTCTTCTGATGTGGCCTGCCCTCAGCCCATTTTCAGATCAGCCAATGGAACCATGACTGGCTGGAACCATTTTTCATCCACTTGGTGTCTTTCCAGCAGTTTCATGTAGCCTCTTGGTGTAAATCATTCTGGGAAAATAAATGTCCCTAATCCATTAGTGCCCTTCTACTGCAAGCCAATTTGAACCACAAACCAGACAAGGTTTGTTAATGGCCACTTAAATACATTCCTGCAGCCCAACCTGGAGACCCTCTGCCAGCCTAAAATCCTAGCAGCCCCGGTCTAAGAGACACTCAACTGTGACAAGACTGATAGCAGCAAAGGCACAGTTCTGACTTGTATCAGTTAGGGGCGAACCATACACCTTGGTTTGCCTAAGACAGTTCCAGTTTATGATTGTAGCTTCTCCTATGTAGGAGTAATTATAAATAGTGCCCCTTCTGCTTTCAGAAGAGGTTCAGTTTGTTTGAAACCAGCCTGAGCAACATAGACTCTGTCTCGACAAAAAATAAATTAAAAAAAAATTAGCTGGGCACGGTGGCACATGCCTGTGGTCCCAGCTATGCAGGAAGTCAAGGCAGGAGGATCACTTGAGCCAGGGAGATCAAGGTGGCAGTGAACCATGATCACACCACTGCACTTCACCTTGCGTGACAGAGCAAGACCCTGTCTCAAAATATAAGAGTTCCAGTTTGAATAATAAACTATATAAGTATCTATGGCAACCAAAAGTAAAAGTTTACATAATAATGGTTACCATTTTTTGACTACTTGCTATGCCTGTCTCAAAATACAAGAGTTCCAGTTTGAATAATAAACTAAAGTTTATACGGCAACCAAAAGTAAAAGTTTAGATAATAATGGTTATCATTTTTTGACTGCTTGCTAAGCACCAGGCATCCTTATAAAGGTCTTTGTATATGGCATGTCATTTAAGCTTCATTACAATACTATGAAGGGGGATGCTATTATAAAATGGATGCTCTATTTTATAGTCCGGGAAACAGAAGTTTGTTAACATGTTTTTAACAACAACATGGCCAAGGCCAACCAGAAGGCGTGGTTTGTACCTCACCCAGATCCTGTCTATGGGCAGGTGCCCATCCCCAAACTGCTGGAAGTGTTGGATGCTCAAGCCTCAGAGTCATCCCTTTCCCTAGAGAATTTTGCTCAGTCAGATAGAAGCCACTTCTGCTTGAGAGGCTCAATGTCCCCACTTAGAAAGTAGCTCACAGCCAATGACACACAAGGCTCCCTCTGTTCCTTGCTTCAAGGTGAGACTGACTCTGCAGTGGGATCCAGCTAAGACCACATCTTTGCTTAACTCCTTCCTCTTCCCTAGCCTGCTTCCCTTGCTCCCATAGTTCTAAAAGCACACTTTCAATAAACCACCTGAAAAAGGATCCCTGCGTCAGGTTCTGCCTCCAAGGAGCCAGACCTAAGACATCCAGTTAGCAAGTATCAGAGCTGGGACTCATGTCTAGGAAGCTCTCTTAATCACTAAGCAGATGTGACATGATATTGCCTATATTATATACATGATTAAAATGATGGCCTCCAAGTTGTAGGTCACCAAGCAGCATATATCACATTGGTTTAGATATGGCAACAACGACAGTCACAATGAATCCTACTTATTGAATGCTGACAACGCGGCAGTGTCTTTCTTGCATCTGATCCTTTCAACAATACCATGAAGTTCATTTTATTATCCCCACTTTGCAGATAATGTATGGGAAGTTTGGAGACACTGAGACACATCCCCCAGGGGCATATGGATAGGAAGAGATGAGGCTTAAGCTTATATTCAAGTCCCTCTCTCTTCAAGGGCCACATGCTTTTTCCACCTGGTCACTTAAACCTCTTGTTGCGTAAAGTATTCCATGAATAATTGGTGAAATCCATCTGCCATCAAAACTGACATTTTAAAAAACAATTTAGACAGAAGACTCTGCTATCATTCCAACCCTGACCCCAGCAACAGTTCTTTTTGAGCTGCATTTGACCAAAATGTCTCTACTTTCTGGAGAAAGCCATACTACTTTGGAAATAGCTAGAGAATATTCTCTTAAGCCAGACACAAAAAGAGCAAAGGAACCATCTTCGGTGGAGAAAGGAAAGAAAGTGAGACTGCATGCTAAGAGGGGAATCACATGTGCTAAGGCTTTTCCACCAAGGGAGACAAAAATGGAATAAAAGGAAAATAGCAAAAATATAAGGAGAATTAGATTCAAATCCTAAGTCTACTATTTTTTGATGTTTTTGGCAAATTACTCAATGTTTCCAAGCCTCAATTTGCTCTTCTGTTCTGTAGGAAAAATACCCATCTCACTGGCGCATTAATGAAAAAGGGTCCATGATATAAAATGGATATTTCTTCCTGCCTCATCTCTTCCATTTTCATAAAATTCATAGCCAACTTGGAACGTCATTCCAGGTCTGTCTAATACTGGTTCAAATGGACTATGCTTTATTCCAAGCAAAAAGCATATCCTATTATGACAAAAAGGTTTCTATTAAAAATAGAGAGCAGATAAAAGGGAGACCATCATCCAGGAAGCCATCGGCTGATTCATAAAAATACAGAATGAGTCATCCTGTATCCCAAGGCTAAAACTTATAATCAATGATCATGTCTGGCCAGCCAATCCCAGCCCAGAGGAGAAGGAGCTGCCCAGTGGGCCATTTACAAGCCTATTACAATCCTTCCTTGTAAAACCATTAACTCTGCTTCCAGCTTGGTGAAAGGAAAATCAATCTGGGCTGTTTGCAACACTGTATTCCAAATGTACCTGCAGCCTGGTTGGCTTTCTGAACAACTAGGGTCGGGGAAGTGCAGTGATTTCTGTGTGTGTGTGTGTAGCGCCACTGAAGAACAGGCTTTCACATCTGGCTTTGAAAATCAATCTCTTGGCCTTCATCTTGACATTTATTATTTCAAAATGCTTCAGTTCCTATCAGCAATTATGCAGTTAACATAAGACTGGAAAACACAGAACTATGTGTACTGCAGATGATGCTCTTTCCTTTAAAAAGTAGTTTTATCATTTTCCCTCTCTGAATATGTACTCTAGAATCCTAGAATCCCATCCTCAATTTGGATGAAGGGTCATAAATTACATACGCATACATATGCAACTGTATATATAATTGTATATATGTATATGCACATATATGCATAGGTGTGTGTATACAGGTAATTTTTTTTGATGAAGTGGTTAAGGAAGGAGAGTTCTAAATGCATGGTTTTAATTGTACTAAGCAAAAGCTCTTCCACCAGCAAGTAAAGAAAAATAATGACCCAACAATCCTCCTCCGAGCTCTTTCCTCAATCCATTCATTCAGCGATAACTTATTTAGGATGTGCAGTGGGCCAAACAGTGTGGGGTGGGGGAGTGGGCTGGTCTTTGGGGATTTAGCTGCGAAAGGGCAGATATAAGCTCTCCTTCTGGGATCAAACAACTTGGTTCAATAAGAGTTTATTGTACAGGATCCCCCGGTTTGCAAAAGCCTCTTCCCTTACCCGGAATTCCCCACAGAGACTCACGAGTCGTGTTCAGAGTCAAACCTGACCAGCTGCATATATGAGCAGCAAGGCAGGGATCAGCGGCTGCTTCTCCCACTAGCTGCTTTCTAATCTGGCCGATGAAACCTGCGTCTGTTCTCAAGGTGGTGAACGGGAGGGGACCCTCGTTTGTATTTCTCGTGCCTCTAGAGAGGTCCAGATATTGGGTTTCTGATCTAACCTAGAAGCTCGTGAGCTGGCTGCTGCTTTGGAGAGCAGTATGTACTGGGGGGCTCTAGAAAACAGATGGGAAGGAATAGGCTCGTCTCACCGTGATTAATAGCAAGTTCCCCTTACAAGTTTAACATGCAAACCTAGTGTTGGGTCCAGTCCGCCTCTGCTGGGTAAGCTCTTCCCAGAACTTCAGGGAAATTACAGTGCCCGCACACAGAGAGGCTTAAACTCTCCCCGGGAATTTCAGCTGAGCGTGAGGGCCTGGAGAAGTTCCCCCAGGGGGAATGGGGAATAGAGGGCAGCTTAGAGAGCTGAGCTCCTTCTGAGATGGGACCAGGAATTCCGGGGAGACTGATCAGGGTTTTTTCCCCTCTCGGAGAAACAGAGGATGGAGAGGGGCATGGAGGGGGTTGCGCTGCAGCCCTGGTCTCCACCCTCACCAAGCCTGGGTGCAAGGTACCGACCCTCTTCCTTCCTAGTTCCTTTCCCCGTCAGGCTACGGGGAAGGAAGTGGGCAGGAGGCGGGATCCAGCCCTGCACCCTGTCCCAGGCCCTTCAGGACAACAGCATAGAGGTGAAAAAAGATCATGTATCAAATTCCCGGCCAAGCCACTTAGTGGCAGCTGACTGATCTTGGGCAAATCACTCATTCTCGCTGAGCGGCGGCTTTCTTACCTGTAAACGGATCATGATGGCACCTGACTCATTAGGTCCCAGGAAGTATTAAATAAGATCGCACGTGTAAAACTACCAACGGCGGCTGGCACACAGTGGGCTTGCGGTTCTTAATACATATATTTTTAATTCTGTTAAGCATCAACCCTCCCGTGCGAAAGCTGAGTTGTCCTCTCAGACGGAGAACTCCCGTAGCGCAATCTTCCAGACCCGGGGTGCCTGGGCGCCAGCATTCTCCCCGCGCCCAGGAGCTCACATTCTCCTCCCGTCACCCCTAGATCTGGCTTGGGGAGGCCGCCCCTCTGCATCCTCCCCAGCTTTGGCCCGGGGAGGCTCTGAGACCCGGGTGAGGGCGCGGAGGGGGTGCGCGCGGCGGTTCTACCCGGGCAGCATCCCAGCCGCAGCTTTCCCACCCCCTCCCCAGCGCCCAGCGCGCAAAAAGAGAGAAAGCGAGAAAGGCGCGGATACTGGACCAGGCTTTGACGCGGATCTTGAGCTCGCCGTCCTGAGGCTCGGGCATGGCCTTCCTGAAGAGCCGCAGCTTGTTGAGCCCCCCGAAGCCAGCCAGCACCACCGCGCGCATCTCCTGGGCGTCCCCGAGGCGGTGCGAGCCGTCGCCGCCGCCGCCCTCCGCCGGCTCCTTGCCTGCCTCCTTCTCGATCATTTGCTCCGTCTCCTCCGCCTTCTCCACGCCTTCCTTGGCCATGGCGCTCGAGGGCGCGGGGCGCACGGGCTGCGGTGGCTGCGGTGGCTGCGGCGCTGGGGGAGTGGGGCTCCTCTCCCGCGGGTTCCTCCTGTTGAATGTGGGATGCTCGGCTGTGCAATGGCTGCAGCCTCTGCGAGCGCCGCCGCGGTCCACAGCCTCCGCCGTAATCCTCACAAGAGCCGTGCCCTAAGCGCTTCACCCCCGCCCCACCCTTCTTTCCTGTCCCAACGAAGCCTCAACTCCAGTTCCTGAAATAGTCCCAAGTTAGGGTCGGGATCGCGGCCCTAAACCCAAATTTGCCGAAGATCTGTGACTAAAACGAGCCTAGAGAGACCACCCTGTCATCCCCCTTCCTGTGGGCCCAGTACTTGGTTATATACGGCACAGGCTCGGGTGCCTTGAAATGGACCGAGACTAATGTCTGGGCCTGGAGGATGCCTTACCGCGACAAGGTTGCCCTCTCTCCCTCCCATCTTCGAGGCTGGGCGGGATAGTCGGGAAATTGGGTCGTTTCTCAAACAGCCAGTTTTGGGTGGAAGGGCGGAGAGGTTTGGGAAGCAGGGAACTAGAGATCCCGCTCACTGCCCTGAAGAGTCCAGTGCAGGGTCTTTTCACTCCAGACCTGCAGGGTCAGCCGGGATGCTCTTTGCTGGGTATCACCAGGGGCTTCCTTACGACGGCGAATTCTCACCACCCACACCATTTCGGGCTATTAAAGAGGCTTCAGACAAGAATCCTGTACCAGAAAGGATCCTGTTCGTGTTCTGATCCCCGGAAGACCAGTGTGTACCCGCTCCCCAACATGCATGCACATACACAGAGTAGTAACTGGCGTTTTGTTTTGTTATCAGGCTCTTTGAGAAAAACAGCTCATAGAAAAACTTGGAATTTCTGAAATAAAATAATGGGGAAGGACGTGGTTTTCCTAGGGGCAGTTTAAGGAAAGAGATGCAGGTGAGGAAGTAGGTCTATATTCTATTATAGTTGCTATGCCATTGCCAGCCTTGAGATCTTGGGCAACTCATTCAACCTTCCTGAGCCTCAACACACTCATCTATAAATTGGGTACATTGATTTTTTTTTCTATATTGTGTGAAGTGCTGGGGTGGACATGATTTCAGTGAGACATGGTCCTTATATTGGAAAAGGTCAATTTCAGAGCATGAGGCATGAAGGACACAGTCAACAAATGTGGTACAATGAATGATGTAAGTGCTGCCTCTTCTCTCCCCTCATTCTTCCTGTGCCTCACTGCTTTAAATGCCCTTGTCTTCTATTCCTTAAAAAAAAAAAAAAAAAAAAAAAAGACGATTGCCATTTTCCCTCCTTCCACAGGGTTCTGCACCTGCTGTCCCCTTGGCCTGGGGTATGTGTTCCATCTCCTTTATCTGGTGTTAACTCCTACTTCGTTCTCACCTCAAGGGTCCATTCCTGTTGGGAGGCACTCCAACCTCCAGATTGGTGTCCTCCCTGACTATAGACACTTATGTCCCTTTGTAGCCAACTTTTATATGTTTACCTGATAATATCTGTTTCCTTTATCCAACTGTGAACTTCATGTGAGCAGGAGCTATTTCTACTTTTATCCAGCGTGGTTTTCCCAGGGCTTAATACATGATTGGTACATAGTAGAATATGCACAGAGGCAGCCTGTTGAAAAACTGGTCCAGAGAGTTGGAGAAGTTCTCATGGAGGAGGGAACATTTGGGCTAGACCTTGAAGGATAAGGCAGGTTCTTCTGGCAGAAAAGGTCGCAAGCTCATTCAAATAACACAGAAAGGTAACAGGTAAAAGGGCTTTTGAGATTCTGGTTTGTTCTATGTAGGCAGAACATTGGCTGTATTTAGCAATCATTGGAGATGAGGCTGAAAGGTTTATTGGGACCAGCTTTTGAAAGTTCTCACATACCAGGTTATAAAATTTAAGACATAATCACAGAGGCAATTGGTGCCATAAAGGCTTAAAAAACAAAAACATGGGGAGAGCATTACCAGAACTGCATTTTAGGATAATAACTTTGACAGTAAGTGGGTGATGGATTAGATGATAGAGTTACTGGAAGCATCGAGATCAGTTAGAGACTAAGTGCAGGCAAAAAAAAAAAAAAATCCCCAAAAAGAAACAAAATAAATGAGAATGGTCCCAACTGAGGCAATGGCCATGGGATGGAAGGAAGAGGGCTAAAAGAAGCCTGAATAGGGCTTGGTTAGTGAATTGAACATTTTATTGTGAATCCAATTGTCCAAATTGTTTGTCTTGTTTACATTGTGAGATACAGTGTTTAGGCTGGATTCTGTCCTGAAACAAGAATTTGAACACCCGTCGTTTATTTTGGAAGTAATCCCAGGAAGCTCTGGCTGGGAAGTAGGAAAGTGAGACAGAAAATTGATACTACCCAATATGAGATGTATTAATAAGCAGATTACCGCAGTGGACAATTGGAGCTCAAACCCGCAGGGGACATTTGAGAGACAGTGTAGAACAAGTCTCAGAGTTGTCTCACCCAAGGAGTGAGGACATAGGTATTTATTCACTAAAGTCTATGCTTGATTGGTCAAGAACTGTTCCTGGAATTGTTAACTCCTTGACATTTCCATCCTGTCCCATGTACTTGGGCTGAGAGAATCCCCAGGCAGAGAATTGTGGATGCTCTTTGCAGGAAGCTATCATTTTATACATGGAATGATGAATTCCATGGAGACATAGCTTTGGCACCAATAATATCTGCAATATATGTTATTGTTTTGGAGGTGTCTACTGTTCTAGACACTGTAGGTATATTTCTTAATTTGATTCTGAAAATAATCTCATGAGTAAGAATTCCTATTCCCACTTTATGGAAGAGGAAAATGAAAATGAATCTTAACATGATGAATTATTGTGCTCAAAGGAACATGCTAGTTATAATGAGATAGAAGACCAACTCCAAATCTGTGCTCTTAAGATCTCATCATGCATGTTTATACGGACAGGCCAAACCAGTTCTGCCCCTGATTGACAATACTCCATGGCATTTTTTAATGTTCCCTGCTCTTTTTTTTCACCGCCTACTATCTCTGTACCACCAAGGTCCCTTGCCTTGGTTCTGAGTGTTTGTTTTCCTTTGGCATTAGTAAAGTAAACCCACTTTGTAGTCAGCACACAGCATGTTAAAGAGAAAGTGTTTGTCTTACAGTGTGTTAAAGGGAATATAATTACTCCCTCCAAGGGAATCTTCTGGCTGTTTACAAACCCCAGATTATAATTGGTAGGCAGCTGATTATCACAACAACCCAGAGAGAACCCACCACAGTCTGTGCTGCTTGTGGGGGGGTGGGGAGATACCCTCTTCTGAGTCCTATATACCACTATTGTTAAATATTCCCAACTCTGGTACTCCCTGGTGGAACGTGGAAAGAGCCACAGTGCATGGCATATCTCCAAATAAACACAATAAATCAATTTTTAATTTGTAAAATTGATTCCTTGGACATTCACTCAGAGCCTCCGTTGTGGAATTTCTTACATTATTGTAGAATAATGTGCATTATGTACATCATTGTACATAATGTCAAACAGTGGCCACTGATGGTAAAACAGAGTATTACAGCTCAGCTCTGTTACCTTGCAAATGGTCTGGGGCAGGGTATGTGCACGTGGGGGTGTGTGTGGGGGGTGGGGGGGGATGTAGAAGGCCAGATATAGGAACCCCTAATAGAGGTAAAGTCTCTGAGTAAGAAAATATGGGAAACCATCAGTACTGAGAGGTGACAGCATACTGGCAGCCCTCACAGCCCTCGCTCACTCTCGGGGCCTCCTTGGCCTTGGCGCCCACTCTGGCCGCGCTTGAGGAGCCCTTCAGCCCGCTGCTACACTGTGGGAGCCCCTTCCTGGGCTGGCCGAGGCCGGAGCCGGCTCCCTCAGCTTGCGGGGAGATGAGGAGGGAGAGGCCCGAGCGGCAACCGGGGCTGCGTGCAGTGCTTGCGGGCCAGCTGGAGTTCCTGGTGGGCGTGGGCTTGGCGGGCCCTCACTCGGAGCGGCCGGCCGGCCCTGTCGGCCCCCGGCAATGAGGAGCTTAGCACCAGGGCCAGCGGCTGCGGAGGGTGTGCTGGGTCCCCCAGCACTGCCGGCCCACTGTCGCTGCCCTCCCGGGGCCTTAGCTGCCTTCCCGCGGGGCAGGGCTTGGGACCTGCAGCCCGCCATGCCTGAGCCTCCCCTCGCCGCTCCATGGGCTCCTGTGCAGCCTGAGCCACCCCGACGAGCGCCACCCCCTGCTCCACGGCGCCCAGTCCCATTGACCACCGAAGGGCTGAGGAGTGCGGGCGCACGGCAAGGGACTGGCAGGCAGCTCCACCTGCAGCCCCCATGCGGGATCCACTAGGTGAAGCCAGCTGGGCTCCTGAGTCTGGTGGGGACTTGGAGAACCTTTATGTCTAGCTCAGGGATTGTAAATACACCAATCATCACTCCGTATCTAGCTCAAGGTTGGTAAACACACCAATCAGCACCCTGTGTCTAGCTCAGGGTTTGTGAATGCACAAATGGACACTCTGTATCTAGCTACTCTGGTGGGGACTTGGAGAACCTTTGTGTCGACACTCTGTATCTAGCTAACCTAGTGGGGACGTGGAGAACCTTTGTGTCTAGCTCAGGGATTGTAAACGCACCAATCAGCGCCCTGTCCAAACAGACCACTGGGCTCTACCAATCAGCAGGATGTGGGTGGGGCCAGATAAGACAATAAAAGCAGGCTGCCTGAGCCAGCAGTGGCAACCCGCTGGGGTCACCTTCCACACTGTAGAAGCATTGTTCTTTAATTCTTTGCAAGAAATCCTGCCGCTGCTCACTCTTTGGGTCCACACTGCCTTTATGAGCTGTAACACTCACCGCAAAGGTCTGCAGCTTCACTCTTGAAGCCAGCGAGACCATGAACTCACCGGGAGGGACGAACAACTCCAGACGCGCTGCCTTAAGAGCGGTAACACTTACCGCGAAGGTTCACGGGTTCACTTCTGAGCCAGTGAGACCACGAACCCACCAGAAGAAAGAAACTCCGAAGACATCCGAACATCAGAAGGAACAAACTCTAGACGCGTCACCTTAAGAGCTGTAACACTGACCGCAAGGCTCCGCGGCTTCATTCTAGAAGTCAGTGAGACCAAGAACCCACTAATTCTGGACACAGTACACTTTTAGAAATCGTTTTCTAAATTATTTGGAATGGTTCAGTAACTTCCCAGAGAAATGTTATTTAAGGAAGAGGGTCAATGTCTTTAACTATATGCTTTAATAATATTTGTTGCATTGTATTCTCTTCAATACAATTAGAATCATTTGTTGTACATATTTCATCTTTAAAATAATCCTATGCTATAGGACTATTATCCCTACTTTACAGAGGAGAAAATTTAATATAAACTGAGTAACTTTCCCAGAATTACTTCCTAAACAAATTGCAGAGTTGAGATTTGAAATGGGAGCTATTTGACTTTGAAATGTATGTTCTTAACCACCACACTTCAATGCTTATGGTTTTATTTGTTGCTCTTTTACTCACAAGAATGCCATCAAATAGGTTAAGAAAAAGGAGACAAATTTAGGAGGTCAATAATGGAGAGAGGTAAAAGATTCTGGCTGTTGAAATATCCTAACAAAATCCAGGGAGTTATATTAGAGGATTTGTGCCATAATTTCTTATAGTTTGTGGTTAATTCCCAATGAGCACAACATTATTTTTCAGAGAAGTGCTAGAGAAGTGTGCAGCCCATCCTGATGGTGGCAGTATACACTTCCTGTCTACACTTTGTAGGACGGGTCTTACATGGTAAACTCTAGTTGTGTCTGAGGGGAAAAAAAGTGCACTGATACTTATCACCTTTTGAGTGGTGACCTTGTGCTGTTGCTAAATGCTGGAGATAACATGGTGAATAAGACAAATATATTCTCAGTCCTAATGGAGTTATCAGCCCTGTTGAGGAGGTATATATTGGGTTGCCCAGGAGCAAACGTTTGTTAATTTGAAGATTTGCATACATACGGCTTGAGAAGTGATCCCAGGAAGCACTGGAAGAGGTCTGTGAAGGTGAGACAGGGTAGGAAAGAAGCCAATATGAGGTGTATTACTTAGCAGGTTATCACTGCTATAACCTGCTTAAATCCTGCTGGGGAACTCTAGGAGACAGCGTAGAGCACATCTCAGATGTATCCCCATCAAGAGGCAAAGAAAATGGAGAATCCACCAGCTCCTGTTAGTCCTTAGTTGAGGACTGTTTCTGTGGGGCACTAGCCATCTGCCACTTCTAGCCTGCCATGCACATGGGCTGTTTGGGAATAGGCAGCCAGACAAAGCTGTCCTGAAAGAGTTGCAGGTGTTTGTACTTGGAAGCCATGGGGTCGCTGTGCATGGCAGTGATGAGATCCAAGAGGGGGTAGGTTGGGCACTGACCATCTCTGCTACATATATTAAACCAAAAAAAAAAAAATCATGTAAGTAATTAGTCATTTACCAGTTCAATAAGTGCTGTAAAGGGGAAATACAAGGGGCTATCTGCATGGTCGGTAAAAGCTTCTCTATGAAAGCAATGGTAATGTATTAGGTTCAGCTACAGACAACAAAATATAATAATAAAATAAAAATTGGCTTAAAGAATATAAAATACATTAGGATGGGATGGAGGCTGTACATTATCATCAAGGATCAGTGTTCCTTCCTGCTCTGTACTCCAGGTCATGAATCACTGGCCTCCATTCTCATAGTTTAAGATATAGCCATCACATTTATGTGCTGGGTGACAGGACAGAGATGCGTGAGAGGGGAAGAAAGACCCACAGCTTTCATCTTAAGGGCACTTCAGGACTCCACCATAATACATGTACTTATCTCATATTAGCCAGAGCCTAGTCACATGGCCACATCCCACTGCAAAGGATGCTGGGAAACCTAGTTTTTTCTTAGCTAAGTAACAATGTCCAAGTAAAAGCTAAGGTTCTACAATTAATGAGGAAAGGGACAGATAGCATTAGGAGGTGTAGCAGTATCTTCCACAGATGCCACTGAAGGGCTTTAAATAAATGAATGATAGTCTGTGTGGAGTATTGAGGAGTCCCCATGGCCTCCCTACAACAAAACATTACCCAAGAATCCCAGTCCCTGGGATTCAATGCTTCCCTCTCACAACTCCTCTGTAAGATACATTTTCACCCTGTTGGAGTTTTCTCTCCATAGGGATCCAGCTGCAATTTTATAATGGATGTTAACAGGAAAACCCTAACCAAAAGTGCTACTCATAAGACCCTGAACACCATTTTAGCTCTCTATTAATCTGCTCATGTATGAATAGAAATAGAAACATTTCACCTGCTCTTACTCATCTCCATAAGCAGCTGTTATCCATGTGGAGATGATCTTATCAATTGTTTAGTATCATTTGGTAAACATGGTTGGTCAAGTAAAGAGGAAAATATACAACATAGGACTAAGGAATTTAAATCATGTAGTTTGTTTTTGAAATTTCACTCACACTGAAAGATAATTTCTGAGTGATTTCTTGTACCCCTCCCCTTGAATATTATCTAGGGTCCTCCCCCTAGTGTGATGCTGTATGATTTTTTTCTCTTTTTCTTTTCTTCCTCTTCCTCTTCCATTTCTCCTCCTCCTCCTCCTCCTGCTCCTCCTCCTCCTTCTTCTTCTTCGCCTCCTCCCCCTCCCCCTCCCTCTTCTTTTTGAGATGGAGTCTGGCTCTGTCACCCCAGGCTGTGGTGCAGTGGCAGAATCTTGACTCACTGCAACCTCCACTTCCCAGGTTCAAATGATTCTCCTAAATCAGCCTCCTGAGTAGCTGGGACTACAGGCATGCACCACCACACCTGGCTAATTTTTGTATTTTTAGTGGAAACGTGGTTTCACCATGTTGGCCAGGTTCGTCTCGAACTCCTGACTTCAGGTGATCCGCCCACCTTGGCCTCCCAAAGTGCTGGGATCACAGGCGTGAGCCACTGTGTCCGGCCCCTGTGTGTTTTCTTGTATGAATCACCACACAGTAATGCTGCCTGCCTCTTCCAAGCACTGCAGAGAGCTGTGTTTTCCCTAAAGTACTTTGCTATAGATCATGATGAGTAATGGGATGGGGACGTAAAATTCAGGTTCAGAAATAAACAAAGCATTTACTCCTCAAATAGGGTCCAACAGAAACCAGAAAGGGGACGAATTCCTCCCCTGCACCGTTTTTTCCACCTTACAAGCTGAGATCATCATACTATAAATAAGGATGAACCAGCCCTCCAGCTAATTCACTCTCTTGTTGCCCTGATGTCTCTGGTTGAGGCTAAGAGCTGATGTCCCTGAAAGTTTTGTTCCTTTTATTGTTGGATTGGCCTATATCCAGTTGGTTGGGGCTTCCTTGCAGTAATGACTGTGAAGCTACAAGACCTCAATGTAACTGAAAATGCACACCATGAAAAGGGCACATTTTGCCTTTCCTGTTCTGAGGGTAGCAGGCTTAAATCCCAGGAAATGGGGAAATGTTCTTCAGAAATCCTGTCCTATTCCTTTTAGTATGCCCCTTCTCTTCACAGAGCCTAATGGGGTACTTTCCACAAAGCAAATGGGAAGAAGTCCATCCATCACCCAATTGTCCAATCATCCATCTATCCACTCATTCATCCAATTCTACATTATTTTTTTGTTGTTGTTTTGTTTTATTTTTGTTTGTTTGTTTTTTGAGACAGAGTCTTGCTCTGTCGCCCAGACTGGAGTTCAGTGGCACGATCTCAGCTCACTGCAACCTCCGTCTCCCAAGTTCAAGTGGTTCCCCTGCCTCAGCCTCTCGAGTAGTTGGGATTACTGGCACCTGCCACCATGCCCAGCTGATTTTTGTATTTTTAGTAGAGACAGTGTTTCATCATGTTGGTCAGGCTGGTATTGAACTCCTAACTTCAGGTGATCTGCCCACCTCGGCCTCCCAAAATGCTGGGATTACAGGCGTGAGCCACCATGCCTGGCCCAATTCTGCATTCTTGATATGCACTAAGGAAGGTAGAAGGAACACATACCTTGTTTCCAGGACTTGTTCAGAACCCAGTTTTCCCATTTCCTACCTATGTGAATTTTAGGCTCTGAAAGGTTAAGAGAATTGCCCAATAAATGAGTATTAGAATATCTAATTCTGCATGAGATACCATGCCAAACTCTTCCAAGTATTATTTCCCATGCATAACAGTTGATCAATGGACAATAATTTCCTGGCTACTTCCTTCATGAATAAGGCCTGGCACCTGTCTTGAGTGGGGAGGCAGACACATAGAGAACATGGTGCAACGTTTCAGGGAGGCAAGACAATGTAAAGAGAGGCTACGTGCATATGTCTTGGGATCGGACAGGCTTTGTTCCTGGCTTGACCTTTTCCTAGCTATGTAACCATGAACAAGTTCCTTAATCTTTCCGTTGCTTCATTCTTTTTTTTTTTTTTTTTTGAGACGGAATATTTCTCTGTCGCTCAGGCTGGAGTGCCGTGGTGAGATATTGGCTCACTGCAACTTCCACCTCCCGAGTTCAGGCGATTTTCCCACCTCAGCCTCCCGAGTAGCTGGGATTACAGGCACCCGCCACCACACCTGGCTAATTTTTGTATTTTTAGTAGAGACAGGGTTTCATCATCTTAGCCAGGCTGATCTCCAACTCCTGACCTCGAGATCCACCCTCCTCAGCCCCCCAAAGTATTGAGATTATGGATGTGAGCCACTGTGCCCGGCCTGTTGCTTCATTTTCTAATCTGTGAGGTGTAGACATTGATCACATTGTCTTCACAAATATGTGGAGAAATTTAAAACAGCTGATTGAAATAAATGTCTATGCTTAGAAAAAAACTCTTTACATGTTAGTACTTTGTAACTGCCTTTGTCATAGCGCTTAATATTAAACACCTGTGTCTAATTTGAAATGGTTAGAGTTTAGTTAAGTGGTTTCCAAAGTCTATTCAACGAAACAGTGGTTTCCTAAATGTTGATGGATGCCAGGGTAAAAGGAGGGTCTGTGGTCAAATTAGCCTGAGACACTCTGGGTCAAATACAGTTAAGCAGCTTTCTTTAATGTAGATTTAGAGTCTTAGCATAACTCTTGAATCTCTACATAGGGATTCAGAATACAGCTTTACTGAGACTTATTAGACTTCCAGCCCTTTGCCCTTGAAGTTAACAAGATTAGCATTCTGCAGGATATCTTTTGGGGAAAACTGCTATAGGTAAATAAATGGATAACTATTTCTAAGTGTCTGCTCAAGGTTAGGCATTGTAGAAGGAACAAAAGAAAAAAATAACATGACTCTGACCTCAAGGAACTGAGGGGCTTACTTAAGATAAAATATACCACAAATTGTTTTAAGAAAACTTTAAATCCAGGCCCGAGAACATTATGAAGCAAATGAAGTGGGCCTGTTGTGGGACATAACAGAGAGTGGTGGGGACTGTGAGAAACCGGAGTGCAGAGGGCATTCTAAAAGAGATAGTGACTGGGCATGGTGGCTTAAGCCTGTAATCCCAGCACTTTGGGAGGCCAAGACAGGTGGATCACTTGAGCCCAAGTGTTTGAGACCAGCCTGGGCAACATAGTGAGATCCTGTATCTACAAAAAAATGCGAACATTAGCTGGGCATGGTGGCATGTGCCTGCAGTCCCAGCTACTCAGGAGGGGAGGCTGCAGCAGGAGAATTGCTTGAACCTGGGATGTTGAGGCTACGGTGAACCATGATCACACTACTGCACTCCAGCCGGGGCGACAGAGCAAGACTCTGTCTCAAAAAACAAACAAACAAAAAACTCAACTTTGATCCATCATTGTAATGTGAAAATGTGAGCTCAGGGTTGCTGGGGCTTCCAGGTGTTTCTGAGAGGCCAAAAGTCTGAATCATTATGTGAAATATACCAAATTTATAAAATTTTGACAAATATTACATAGGCTAAACAAAACATGTCTGTGAGCCAAATTTAGCCCATATGGCTCCAATGTGCAATGTTTTCTCTAAGTCAGAGGTGATTTTACGCCTTGGGGGACACTGGCAGTGTCTGAAGACATTTTTGATTGTTACCAGTAGTGCTACAAGCATCTGATGGGTACAGGCCATAGATGCTGCTAAGCATCCTGCAAGGCACAAGATAGCCCTAAAACAAAGAATGAGCCAGCCTAAAATGTTAATAGTGCCAAAGTTGAACCACCCTGTTCTTTTTTTTTTTTTTTTGAGACAGAATCTTGCACCGTTGCCCAGGCTGGTGTGCAGTGGCATGATTGATCTCGGCTTGCTGCAACCTCTGCCTTCCAGGTTCAAGCGATTCTCCTGCCTCAGCCTCCTGAGTAGCTGGGACTACAGGTGTGGTAGAGACAGGGTTTCACTATATTGGCCAGGCTGGTCTCGAAGTCCTGACCTCATTATCTGCCCACCTCAGCCTCCCAAAGTGCTGGGATTACAGGTGTGAGCCACCGTGTCCGGCCTTTTTTTAAAATTTATTTTATTTTTTAATTTTTATTTATTTATTTTTGTGAGATGGAGTCTTGCTCTGTTGCCCAGGCTGGAGTGCAGTGGCGCGATCTCTGCTCATTGCAATCTCCGCCTTCTGGGCTCAAGCAATTCTCCTACCTCATTCTCCCAAGTAGCGGGGATTACAGGCGTCCACCACCACGCCTGGCTAATTTTTGTATTTTTAGTAGAGGCGGGGTTTCATCATGTTGGCCAGGCCTGTTTCAAACTCCTGACCTGAAATGATCCACCCGCCTCAGCCTCCCAAAGAGCTGGGATTACAGACATGAGCCACTGCACCCGGCCTGAACCACCCTGTTGTAAGCCATGGATCCTTGGTTTCTGGGAGCAAGGTAGCCTGTGGTTTTGACTTGCTGCCTGTGTGACTTTGGAAATGTCCTTGTTTTGGTTGGTAAAAGAAGGTCCTTGGACTAATTGATGCTCAAGGGACTTTCCAGCCCAGAGGCTGAGGTCACATTAGTCCTCTCTATTGGCAGTGGCCTGGCACACAAGGGCTCTCTTTGCAGAAATGACATTGATCGGAAATGATAGCTATTGATGTGACAATACACACCAGGGGAATGTTCCCAACCTGGAATACTGTTTGTCCTTTGGATGAGCTCAGAGGTCTGTTTCATGCAGGTCTCATTGCAGACACTTGAATACATTTGAAGCTGATGTTAGAAGGCTACTAAATCATTCTGGGCAATTTTGTTTTAGAGACTGCCATATTTTGTTGAGGGAAAAATCAAAGGACACACTTTAATTTAATACACCTCTCCTTTTCCAAATAGAGACAGTCTCCCAGATATTGATTTTGAGTTTTGGCATTGCATGTGCCTGTTTATCTAGTTGGTCATTGTGAGCAAAGTTTATTTTTTATCTTAAGGATTTAACTCAATCATTTCCACAGTGGAACTGAGCAGGCAGGAAGATGAGGTGCATGGGGGGACGGAGTGACACTTGGATCAGGAGAATCAGTGATGGGGGGGAACACAGACTACCTGTACATGCAGGTACTAAAGACTGGAGTCTCCAATACATACACCCAGGACGTTACTGCTAATGCCCATCCCCAGGCAGTGTGAGTCACCCAGGCTGCTCGCTCACTCCGTGTGGGCTGCTATCACAAAACACCATGAACAGAGTGGCTTATGAACAACAGAGATTTATTTGTCACAGTTCTGGAGGCTGAAGTTCAAGATTCAGGTACCAGCAGTTTTGATGTCTGGTGAGGATCTGTTACCTGGTTCATAGAATGGTGCCTTCCAGCTGTGTCCTTACATGGTGGAAGGGGCGAGGGGATCTCCCTCAGTCCTCTTTTTTTTATTTATTTATTTTAGTTTAGTTTTTTGAGACGGAGTATCACTCTGTCACCCAGGTTGGAGTGCAGTGGCGCGATCGATCTAGGCTCAGTGAAACCTCTGCCTACGGGATTGAAGCGATTCTCCTGCGTCAGCCTCCTGAGTAGCTGGGATTACAGGCGCATGACACCACGCCCAGCTAATTTTTGTATTTTTAGTAGAGATGGGTTTTCACCATGTTGGCCAGGCTGGTCTCGAACTCCCGACCTCAGATGATCCGTCTGCCTTGGCCTCCCAGAGTGCTGAGATTACAGGCATGAGCCACCACGCCCGGCCTTCAGGCCTCTTTTATAAGGGCACTAATCCCACTCAAGAGAGCTCTGACCTCTTGACCTAATCATCTCCCAAAGGCACCACCTCCTGATACCATCACCTTGGGGATGAAGATTTCATATAAATTTGGAGTGGGGGACACAACTTCTAGTCTATTGTACTTCCCTCACATGGTATCATTGCTTCTTTCCTCAACACACTGCAGAGCTTCTCAAGCAGGTACATTTCTAGGGCGAAAGGGCTTCCTTTCTGTGATCCTAGAGAGGTAGAGACAGAATGTTGTTTAGTGATGTTTGGGTGCTGACCCTATCCCCCTATCCCTCTCCAAGAGGAGATATGGCCTTTAATGATGCTGCATTTCATTCAACAACCACGAAACAAGGTGTTTGCAACATTTACTTTAATAGCAGCATGTCAATTGTTATGGTAAGTTCTTCTGGGATCATGATACAAGCTTGAGGATGTAACAGCTGCAGAAAAATGAAACCCTATGTGGAGAGTGCCATCTGCGTCTATGCTCCTGTTAGGGGCTTTGGGGCCCAGAGGAACTGCACCAAACCATGCTATATCCGCCCCTTTTCTGGGTAGCAATTGCTCTTATACCCTTAGTTTGTTAGGCTGGGAAATCAATTCACTTGTATGGTAGGTGTGAGAGCAAATTCAGGCAATTCTGCCAATCCCCTAACATACTTGCAATGCAACATGTAAAGATTCACTTTACCAGTGAAGGTGCAATGATGCCTGATGTGCAAGTGTCTTAGTTTAGGATAAACCAAGATTAGGAACCCTGCAACTCGGATTTGAGGCCAAGTAGGAGAGGATCCCAGGAGGCACTGGTAGTGGAGTAAAAAAGTTAGAAAAGGAATGAAAAGAAACAGGAAAAGGGTGCATTTTCAAGCAAGTAGGCATCTGGGGCTCATCCCCACTGGGGAATTCTGGAAGATGGTGGGAAAATGTGTATTTTGAGTTATTCTACATAGCCACTGGTGAAGCTGGGATATTTATGCACCAATAATTCCCCTTCTTTCATGGGTTGAGGGCTGCTTTCACAGGAATTAACTTTTCAGAACCTCTGGCTTGCTCTACTTTCAGGCCAACCAGGCTCCCATAGCAAAAGCCCTCAGGCAAGAAGTAGCAGATATTCACAGTGAGCATCTTTAGCAGTAGAGAGTTGAGAGACAGGGCTATGGGTGGAGAAGTGATGGCACCTGCTGTTTGTAACACATTGATTTAAATTGTAATTATCATCATACAACTTGTATGAGTGTAAGCCAGCTGTAATATCCTCATGCTTATGGCTCTTATAAATAACTCTAAAAAGCAGGGCGTGCTTACACACTACATTTGTAAAGCAGTAAAAAGCAATACAGGTGAAAATAACAATAACGCAATGTGAGGCATGGTGGTGTTTGGTCAAACAAAATCAAAGTTTGCAACACAAGTATGGTACCGACTACTAGGGGGCAGGTTCTGTAGACTCTACCCTGCCTGTAATATTCTGTAATAACTACACTCCCTCCCACTTTTCTATCTTTCAGCTGCTGCAAAAAGTCAATCCTGGAGCTCATTTGCTCTTCACTTGACATAAGTGCTTCCTTTGGTATTAATTTTTTTTTTTTTTGCACCAGTGAAGGTTCTTACTTGAAACTGATTTAACATATTAAGGAAAGGGATCAATTGAAAGAATGTTGGGTAGCTCACAGATGACTGGGAAGTCTGCTTTGGATGCCTGCTGGAACAATGGAGGTTGAGAAACAGCTAGGACCCCAGCTGAAATCATGCCTGTCTGGTAAGGATGTTGCTTTTACCATTTCTGCTAACAGGAGACACTTTTGTTTGTGCAACCACCGCCACCACCAAACGGGGTACCATTGCTGCTTCATTGCCACGTTGCTACTAAAACCTCAACCATGAAGTTGGTTGTGAATCTGCAGTAGAACTTGAACCATAAGCCTGTATCCAAACTTGGGAGAGGCTGGCAAAGCCAATGCCTCATGTCATCCATATTAGAATGGGATGTGGGCCTTCCTACCTCTGGGACTCAAGGTGTGGCATACCCCAGACACGGTAAAGAGGTTCCATTGCTAGGCAGCCAAAAAATGTGACTAATGTCTACTAAAGTGTCTTTCTTGTTAGTGTGCACAATTAAAGAGGCAAAAGAAAAGCTTGGTGGACAGGTCCTAAAAGATTACTGAAATGTTCAAATAAAAAAATTTTAACAGTTCAAATATAGGGAAATGAGAAGTGCTAAGTACATAAGGACAGTAGAATCTTCTCTCTGTGTGCCTGTGACCATGTCTTGTCCTAGAAGGCAGAAGTTATGTCTATACATTTTTTTTTTTCTTTAGAGACAGGGTCTTGCTCTGTCACCTAGGATGGAGTGCAGTGGTGTGATCTCAGCTCACTGGAGCTTGGATCTCCCAAGCTCAAGTGATCCTCCCACCTCAGCCTCCTGAGGAGCTAGGACTGCAGGCATACACAACCACACCTGGCTAATTAAAAAAAAAAAATTGGCCAGGCGCGGTGGCTCATGCCTGTAATCCCAGCACTTTGGGAGGCCGAGGCAGGCAGATCACAAGGTCAGGAGATCGAGACCATCCTGGCTAACATGGTGAAACCCTGTCTGTACTAAAAATACAAAAAAAAAAAAAAAAAAAGAACATGAACTCATCATTTTTTATGGCTGCATAGTATTCCATGGTGTATATGTGCCACATTTTCTTAGTCCAGTCTATCATTGTTGGACATTTGGGTTGGTTCCAAGTCTTTGCTATTGTGAGTAGTGCCGCGATAAACATACGTGTGCGTGGTTGTGCACATGTACCCTAGAACTTGAAGTATAATAAAATATATATATATATTAAAAAAAAATAGCCGGGCATGGTGGTGGGTGCCTGTAGTCCCAGCTGCTTAGGAGGCTGAGGCAGGAAAATGGCGTGAAGCCGTGAGGCGGAGCTTGCAGTGAGCCGAGATTGTGCCACTGCACTCCAGCCTGGGCGACAGAGCGACTCCCTCTCAAAAAAAAAAAAAAAAAAAAAGTAGAGACAGGGTCTCACTACGTTGCCCAGGGTGGTCTCAAGCAATCCTCCCTCTTTGGCCCCTCAAAGTGCTGGGATTACAGGCGTGAGCACCTTGCCCAGCCTATGCCTACACATTTCTTAATGGATAAGAATAGGTCTTGAATGTGTATGTGTAAAGAAGGGGAATGAGCTGGCAAGAAAGGGAAGGAAACAGTTTATATTGAGTCTTCAGCTCCCAAACATGAATAGATTGGGGGCATTGAGTTAATAGGAACCAGAAGAGAAGGCAATTTTTGGAATAGAACAGAAAATAATTCTACTTGGTAGGAGAAAGGAAATCAATAAAAGGTATATTGAAGCCCTGGGAACTTCTGCTATGAAGAAAGAACTCATGGGTATAAAACTAAGAAAGACCAGGGTATTTAAAAGAATACCAAAGATTCTACAGAAGAAAAGGTACTAAGGGAATATTCAAAGACAATCTGGTTTTCTACGACACTTGCTCTGGAAATAAAACTCCAAGGAAGTTAACCACAACCTCCTGAGCAGCTGCTCTTCCTGACCTTGGTTAACACACTAGAGCTTCTTGAGGGGAGATGAAGATTTTATTATTTTTAATAAAAAACTATGGGGTCCCAGGTAAATTTATCTTACCAACTTTTCTCTGATTATACACAAAATGAAATTATTCCCATAAGAAGAATATTGGAACAGATGGACTGCATAATCTACTTGAAATTTTTTCCCATCTGTATTTTTGGGCATCTGGGTATTAACTGGGGATTTCATGGGAAGGCATATGCTCAGAAGTGAAAGTCATTTTGAGATAGACACAGCTCAGTTGAGAAGACCATCATCATTCCTAGAAAAGGCCCAAGACAGGGCAGCAATTTAAGAATGTTCCAGTTGGTGAGCAAGAAGTGTCTGAAAAAATAAACTTCAATAAATGAAACTTTAAGTGCTGACCTTTCTGCTGTTGCCAGCAGATTGCAAAATTGTGTGAGAGTGTGTTTGTGTGTCTTTGAATGCTACAATTCAGTTTGGTTCTACCTGTGGGGTAAGGGACCTGCGTGGAGTATTTTTGGAAGTGTAAAGTGGTACAAACATGTGAGAGAGTGATTTGGGTATATGAGACAAAAGCCTTAACAAGATAAAACTTTGGACCCTTTTTAGTAAAGATATTCTTAGTAAACAATTAAATATATGTGCAAATATTTCAGCTCTAAGTATTTCTATTGCAGCAGTAATTGAAATACTCCAAACCTGGAAATCTAAACTTCTGATAACGGGAGTCAAGATAACAGATTTATTTTTTATATCCATACAATTGAAAACTGTGGGATCTTTGAAAATATTATTCATGGAAGCCTATTTTGATCAGGTTTAAAACGCACCCCAAATAATATGATAAAAATAATATAAGTAAAATAATATATCTTACCTTTGAGGTATGTACATATGCATATGTATTGAGTATTAAGATTTGGAAAGATCAGTGTCTTCATGGTGATTATCTCTGGTTGATGTTTTATGGGTGTCCTGAAATTTTTATTTTATTTTTGCATTGCTATATTTTCTAATTTTTCTACAGTTAACATACATGGCTTTTATAATCAGACATTTTTTAATGACCATGTTTTAAGGGGAAAAATATCCAGCATAGTTCTTCCTTTCCAGCTTTATCGATGAGAAAAGCAAGACATAATTTTTAATAAGTGAATAGTTGTGTGGTTTGCCATGTTTAATATACATCTCATGAATGGACACAATATCCTGTGAAGTATAAATCCTTTTATCTTCATTTTACCCTTATTTATAAGAAGCTGAGAGGTAAAGGGATTATATACAGCTTGAGAATAGAAAAGCTGAATTCAACCCAGGTGGGCTTGTTCCAAAACCCGTATTATTTTCACCACACCAGCTGTCACCCAGTTCCCAAATGATCTTCCAGAGAAGCCCCTTTACCCCTGCTTTTGATTTCCCAGAGTTCTTGCTTCAAATTGGCTTTGAGAGGCCAAGGCTGCCTTTTAGGGGGAAAAAACCCACAAGAGTTTATAGTCTATCTTATTTTGAATACCCAACAAATATTAACCTTTGGAGAAGGATTATTTCTGCCCTTGCTCCTCTTCCTAGAACAGAGAGTGTACTGAGCCTAGGATAATAGCATCTAGTAATAGGACACAGGGTGAAGAAAGAGGCAGGCTCTTCTGGGACAGCACAGAGGGAGCGTTATACTTGGCACTGGACAATCTGGCCGCCTTGTAAATGCTTCACTGGCAGGGTCCAAGGTGAACCTGCATCCCCGTTCCCAGTGGCCCACCCAGAAGAAATTCAATGAATTAACAAATGAGAAGTGGGTCAACCTTCCTCCAAGAGTGGGGTAATCTAAAGGATTAAAGGTACCAAGGGCAGTGGAGGAGGGAGTAGAGAGAATGTCCAAAGGGAGAAAATAGCTTTTAACTTTCTAACTGCAAAATAGGCAATACTAAGGCATAACGTTAAACACTTAGATGAAAGGGCCTATCTCTAATCAGTTGCTGGGAGAGACCAAAGAAATAGGGGAGCCATTGGCTCTGGGCTTGGTCTGAGTTGGAATGTACATCTCAAACCCAAAGTATAGGATTGTTTGACACATGTCGAGTCTTGTTTCACATTGATCCCCAGTGTGTAAGTGACTGACTGACGCTAAGTTACCAATAGATTTTACCACTCATCTCTTCTCATCCTGGTTTATTTTAGTTTATTTTCTGAACAGGTGGAGCATTAACATGCTTCCAGAAGTCAAAACTATATAAAGGATATACTCCGAGAAGTATTCCTCCCTTCTGTACCCACTCCATCTTGTTCCTCCTAGCCAGCTCTTGAAGGTAGCCAACTTCATAGTTTTCTGGCTTTTCCTTTGTGTTTCTTTTTGGAAAGATGTGTGAATGTATACGCATTTTGTCTTTTTTTCGTCTTCTAACACAAAAGGTAGATTCTATATATTCCTTTTTGCACTTTGCTTTATTTTTAACCTGACACTATCTCCTAGAAATCACTCTATAATCATTTTATACAAATCCTCCTTCTTTCTTTCTTTTTTCCTTTTTCTTTTCTTTTTTTTTTTTTTTAGACAGAGTCTTGCTCTTGTCACCCAGGCTGGAGTGCAGTGGTGCGATTTCGGCTCACTCCAACCTCCGCCTCCTGGGTTCAAGTGATTCTCCTTCCTCAGTTTCCCGTGTGGCTGGGATTACAGGCACCCACCACCATACCCAGCTAATTTTTGTATTTTTAGTAGAGACGGGGTTTCACCATGTTGGCCAGGCTGGTCTCAAACCCCTGACCTCAGATGATCCACCAGCCTCGGCCTCTCAAAGTGCTGGGACTACAGCTGTGAGCCACCGCACCTGGCCAAATCTTCCTTATTTCTTTAACAGCTGCCTAGTAATCCATTGTGTGTATGTACTGAAGTTTATTTCCACCCAGTTTTTAACTCTTGACAACTATTAAAAATTCTTTTTAAAAAATAGAATAAAACACATCGATGGCCTGTGAGATTATCATCGCCAGCCTGCACATTTGCATAGAGTTGAACATGTCCTCAAGGGAAGGAGAGGGCTCTGGGGTTGGCATATTGGGATGCAGAAGCAACCAGTTCCTGGTTGGGTGTTGAGAACATTTCCCAAGACTGAGAAAGGGTCACGGGTACATGAATGGTTGGGACACACTTCTCACTGTTTCACAGTGCACCAGGGAGGAGACAGATACCAGAGGAAAGTGGCTGTGGGGAGGACGCTCATAAGGAGGCAGAGCCCCAGGTACCAGGACCCTCAGCCTCACAAAGCACCTGCACTCAAGCTGTGCATGGAAACAACAGAGAAATCCTCCTTCAAGGAGCCACATGAGTAAGAACCAAGAGCCTCCTGAACAGAAGTTCTGCTCTTGGGAAGACTTCTAGTGCCTTCACAAGTTGGAGGGAGATCCATTATTGTATTTCCTGCCATCCCAATGGAATTGGGAAGATCGGCATAGACTATTCCTTTATATATTTGTGTATTTGTTTATCGCTGAGATGCAGAAGACTGTTAGCAGATTAAATTTTATTCAGGGAAACAAATGCAACATTTCTTGTATCCTGTGTATTGAAGTTAGATTCATTCCTCCTTCCTAGGTACTATCTTATTTGATTCTTACAAAACTACTGCTGAGAAGATATTATTCCAACTTTATAAGTTTTGACTCTAAGATCCTCAGAGACTAAGCTTCTTGTCCAAGACCACACAGCATATAAGAGGCAGCACTGGAGTTTGTACCCTATGTCCGACTCCAAACTCCCCAATTCATCTTTTCCAAAGAATAGCACTTCTCAAAGTAATGGAACCCATAATGAGTTCATGGTCACAGAAATCACACTCCTTCAGAGTGTTAAAAAATATACTCTGGCATGTTTTGTTCCTTCCGTTCAAACTCAGGAAACTCAGGAAGTACACAGAAGTACAAAGTATTATGTGCTTTAAAGTCTATATAAGGAAATCTGCAAGTGTCCAGGAATATTTTTGAACAATCGGATGAAGCAGTCATGGATATTTATTTGTCATGTTTTGTGAATGACACAACTCAATTTCACTTTTTGCTTGGTAGAGTCGGAAATTCACTCTAAACAGGAGAAGCAGCAATGAGAACTTCAAGAAGAGATATAAGGTAAATCAATTCAATTGACTATCAAAGTAGCTTTTTCTTTCTTTCTTTCTTTCTTTTTTTTTTTTTTTTTTTGAGGCAGTCTTTCTCTCTCACCCAGGCTGGAGTGCAGTGGCAGGATCTCGGCTCACTGCAACCTCCGCCTCCTGGGTTCAAGCAATTCTCTTGCATCAGCCTCCTGAGTAGCTGGGATTACAGGCACCCACCAACACACCTGGCTAATTCTTGTATTTTTGTATTTTTAGTAGAGATGGGTTTCATCATGTTGGCCAGGCTGGTCTTGAACTCCTCACCTCAAGTATTCTATGCGCCTCGGCCTCCCAAAGTTCTGGGATTATAGGCATGAGCCACTGTGCCCAACCTCTTTTTTATTACTGTCTTTGATTAAAAGTAAAAGAAAACCTTTCACAATGAACTTAAGGGAAAAGTGAGGTGGTGTTTGGAAGGAAGCCAAGGGCAGACAGGAGAGCAGAACAGGGAAGACGTCTGCAACCCAGACTGCCATTTTTTCAGTCTCTCTGGGACAATGCGGTGTTTTGTCTTTGCTTGTCTCTGAAAATTTGCTTTTCTCTTCCCTTTTTTCTTTGCTTCTCTGTGCATGTGTTGGAAAAGTATTATTTTGGCCTTCAGCATGTCTCCTCTTGGCTTCTTTCATAGACAAGAAAGGAAATAAGTCAACCATCGTGAATGAGCACAAATGAGCTTAGTAGAAAATGAAGAATCTAAAAGAGACTTTCTCCTCCCAAGTTCTAAATGACCTTTCGGTGGGTACAGAGCTGGCTCTTCAATGGAGGGGAGTTCAGGAGGCAGTGGGGGCAGATAGAGGCCTGGAAGTTCACGAGGGTACATTTGCAAATTGCCCAAGGTTGTGCTTTTCTAAGAAGCAGAAACAGGGTTTCAACCCAGCTGTCTCTGACTTAAAATCATTAGGCTAGAAGCAATCAGTTCATGGTTGGGTGTTGAGAACATTTCCCAAGACTGAGAAAGGGTCACGGGTACATGAATGGTTGGGACACACTAGGACTGTATGACAGGAGTTACTTTCCTATTCCTGACTCCCTCGTGTGTTGTTGGGAACTTCAAATAAGGTAAATAGCTGCTAATAATATCTTGGGAATTAAGGCGTACCCACCATATGTGACAAGTTTGTTACTGACAAACCCACCAAGCGCCAGACACACCTAAAGTAGCAGAACCCAGATTCAGAAGACAAGTGAGGCTGAGTTGTGCAATGCGGGCACGGGGCCTATCTTGATTGAAAATATTGATATTTCATTTATCATGGATTTTTTGCATCAATTTTGATTTTTTAGAAATAACACATTTAGACCGTTACTTATCTTGATTGCTAAGGTTTTTGATGCCCCCTGAAATTTTGCATCTGAGGTGAGTGCCTCACTCTCCTGACCCTACTCTTGCCCCTTGAGCCTTTTATCTTAGCAGGTTTCCCAAAGTGTGGGACACATAAAATTAGAAGTTCACACATAATTTTAGGTGCTACCTTGCCGTGATGTTACATAACATGGGGCACTTCATGAGAAAGTTATCTTTCCTTTTTCTTTCCCCATTCTTTTTCACCTTTGCTCCAAGTGAAAAAGTCTCAAGTTGAGTGCTAGCAAATATTCTGACACTTTTCTGACATTTGCTCATCTACTCTTTGAACAGTAAGGATTGGACTTCAGGCTCAAATCCCCAGGAGGCATCCTAGGTATCTTTCTGTTTGCCTTCTAGATCCATGCTCTTCCTTTTTCCATGCCCTCCTCAATGCCCTGGAAGACCTATCTCCATGGAAACCATTGGAGCAGGTCAACAGGCTGATCTGGCCTCTAGTTTCTGGATTGTCCTAATAATCAGAGATACCAGCAGACAATTGGAAGACAGGAAGAGGAGAGCAAGCTCAGAATCCTTATTTCTCCAGCTCATTCCCTGTCCCATTTGGCTTTGTTCCTGTAAGGCAGGTTGTAACTCCCACTAGGTCGCCCTTCACTTCCAAATATCACCGACCCTGTGTGTTCCAATAACCACCCTCATTCCTATACTCTCATGCCTAGGGTAGTGTTGCCAGAAAAATACAGAATATCCGGTAAAATTTGAATTTTAGATCAATGACAAATCACTTTTGGTATAAATAGGTACCATACATTGCAAGAGACATAATTATACTAAAAAAAACTTTATTGTTTTCTGAAATTCAAATGTCACTGGACATCCTGTGTCTTTATTTACTAAATCTGGTAAACCTGGCCTCGTGGATAATTGCCCTCTAATGTTACCAGCTATTTTTTTTATTTTCCTTAACTTTGCCCACATCATTGTTAATAGTTTCTCCATTAAACTCTCCTCCACTTCCCCATTTGACGATGTCATCTATTTTGTGATGTGCCCCAGACTCGTCACACTTCTATTAGTAGGCATCAATACCGTATCTGGCTAGAATTTTCTAACGTTGTTTTGTTTCTCATTTTTAGTTTACCTTCTCTTTATGGCAAGTGATATTTGTTTTCCTTTCATGGTAGTGAAATATATTTTCTTTTAAAAATAATTGGCTGGGCATGGTGGCTCATGCCTATAATCCCAGGACTTTGGGAGGCCGAGGCAGGTGGATCACTTGAGGCCAGGAGTTTGAGACCAGGCTGGTCAATATGGCGGAACCCTGTATCTACTAAAAATTCAAAAAAAAATTAGCTGGGCATGGTGGTGTGCACCTGTAATCCCAGCTACTCAGGAGGCTGAGGCAGGAGAATTGCTTGAGCCCAGGAGGCAGAGGCTGCAGTGAGCAGAGATTGTAACACTGCACTTTAGCCTGGATGACAGAGCAAGACTCCCTCTTAAAAAAAAGTTTGAAAATAGCAGTAGAGATAGAACATAACTATTTCAAAATTCATAGAGAAGGTTTACACGTGGACTTCCTTTGAGAAATACTCAGAGACAAAAACCATGACCTCTGGAGGCCTGCTGACACTGGTTCAAATCCCAGCTCCATCAGATAAGGCTGTTGCAAAGATGGAAGGAGATCCTGAATGCAAGGCCCTCAGTAGGGTGTTGGGACTGGGATCATAGCTGGGCCGTATTTAAGTAAATGCTTGCACACACACACACACACACACACACACACACACACACACCATCACCCACCCCAAAAGTAGAGTGTTTCACCCAAGGACACACAGCAAATGTGAGGACTGAGGCTGGAGTGCAGGAACTTGGCCCTGAGCCCAGTGTTTTTCCATAAGACTACAGGCCCCGTTGCCTGGTGTGCCAGGGAACTTCCACGTCAGCTGGCCCTGCTCCTTGCCCTGCAGCCTGTCTGGAGAGAGTGGTCAGTCCCCATGACGTGGTGTTTTGGGAGGCTACAGTCAAGGCATCTGAGTCTTGCCAAGTTGATGTTTCAGAGGGAGTTGTTGAAGACAAAAATTTTTCATTGGGCTTAGTAAGCTCAGAGAAGAAAAGAAGAGGTCTTGCTTCACTAGTGAATGAATGAATGGATAAATAAATAAATTCAGGGAGGTGTGAGGTAAATCTCAACCTGCCAAACCCTGGCTGCAGTGCCCTATCCCCATGCCTCCTGTATACTCCCCACCAGCTGCAAGTTGACTTCATGTGGCATCTTCTCCCCTTCTGGGAGAAATTTCCCACTTCAGGAAATTAGGTCTGGCCTGGGCCCCTCAGCTCTCTGGAATGTTGGTTAACCTGCTTCTGAAGTGGTATTCTGACCTGATCTAAGAATCTATTATGTGCAAAGCACAGAGACGGTGCCCAAGAATGAGCAAGAAGGATTGAGGATCCATAAATGTGTTCTCTAGTCAAGGAGAAGAAGCACATTTATGGAGCCACTCATGCTGCCATGGACAGTCCTAGAAACCTCACACACAGCCTTTCCCTCAGTCCTCACGATAGTCCTGAGATGGGGAAACTGCACCTCGGATACCAGTGGTGTTACCATCCAGTGTGCCCATCCTGTTAACTCACTCATCCTTACAGCTGCTCCTGAAAGAAGACACTGTTATTATTATTATTATTATTGTTTTAGATGGATTCTTGCTCTGTCGCCCAGGCTGGAGTGCAGTGGCACAGTCTTGGCTCACTGCAAGTTCCGCCTCCCAGGTTCACACCATTCTCCTGCCTCAGCCTCCCGAGTAGCTGGGACTACAGGGGCCTGCCACCACACTCGGCTAAATTTTTTTGTATTTTTTTTTTTTTTAGTGGAGATGGGGTTTTACCGTGCCAGGATGGTCTCGATCTCCTGACCTCGTGATCTGCCCGCCTCGGCCTCCCAAAGTGCTGGGATTACAGGCTTGAGCCACTGCGCCTGGCCAGAAGACAGTTATTGCCTCAACTTACAGGTATGGATGTGGAGGCTTAGAGAGGTTAGTGACGTGTCCAAAATCACACAGATGCTACGTATTAGAGCCAGGATTAAAACCTAGCACTGCAGCCCCAAATCCCAGCCTCTTTATGTCAGATTCTGCATGGCATGTGGTTAAGGAATTTGCTCACACAGCTGGTGAGAGGCAAAGCAGGATTTGAGTCCATGCACTTTCCTCTATATAATTATGCATCTCAAGGGATTTATTGTGTTGTAATCTTGGAATCCACATTTCTGTTGAATTGGGTTGAAGTACCATAAAAGTGCTGTGGGACCAAAACTGGGGTAAGAGAGGGAAGGAGGAAGGGAAAAGAAAGATGGCAGGTTGGCATCATAGGAGTTTATACAGAAGGCAGCGTTGAAGGATGGCCTGGATTTGATGAGATGGTCATATGGGCTGGACATTAACTGGGAAGGGACAGTGTGAATAAAGATTGGAGGTAAGGACAATGTGGGGACACAACTGAAGAATTATCTAGATTGTCTGCATCTTTGGTGCATGCCCATATTGGCTGTCTCTGTAGGTAAAGTTTCTCATGCGTGTTCATTGGGGTCCATTCTGTAGAGGTCTTCCTTCTGATATTCGACTCCAGACTTCTCACTCATAGGCACCAACCACATGAATCTTCTACCATTTTGTCCTTAAGTTTTCATGAGCCAAGGATTTGCCAGGAAAGCTAAGAGCAGGCAGAACTGGCATGAATAGAGACTCAAACTTTCTCAGCCAAGAGCACTTTATATCAAACATCCCTATCTTTCCTGGGTAGGTGGTTGTAGTAATGGGCTTCTCAGGCTTGGCACTGATGTCTCAAGTATCTCTGGAGGGGACAAACCTCTGCTTAAAGATGCATGTCTCTTAGGTGGCCAGACAGCTACATACATTGGCTTCTTTGGAAAGAAATAAGTTAGTTTGTTTTTTGGCACAAAGCCTTGTTATGTCAGGTCGTGTTTTGTGAAGCAAGAAACATGATGACTTTCATATTTGCCTTCTTTGATGAAAGAACAAAGCTGAGAGTTTTGCGTTTTTCCAACCTCTTTGCAAAGTGTGCCTTTCCAGAATTGTAAACAAGTAAGTAACTGATATCTGTCCAGTTTGCAAAGGGCTTTAGCACTTTTGATCCTTAATATAACTATTGGGAAAAATGGGTGTTAGTGTCCAAAGAGTCACTGATCTCTACAGACAGTTGACTAAACTGAGGCTGGAATTGGTTTGTAGAAATCAGGGATGAGAATCCAGCAAATGCAAAACTTCAGTGCTTGGTTCAGTACATGTGTCATTGTGTGATGGTATCTCTCAGGTGCTATTTCTCCATCATTTAAATTTGGTAGCACATTACACTTCCACTTAGCACATTTCAAATGTAATAAGGGTTTAAGAAGTGTTAGCTACACAAGACAACAAGTGTTGACAAGGATATGGAGAAATTGGAGGCCTTGTACGCTACTGGTCGAAATGAAAAATGGTGAAGCCACCGTGGAAAAGAATATGGAGGTTACTCATAAATTTAAAAATAGATCTACCAGGCTGGGGGCGGTGGCTCTCGCCTGTAATCCTGTCACTTTGGGAGGCCCAGGCAGGCGGATCACGAGGTCAGGAGTTTGAGACCAGCCTGGCCAACATAGTGAAACCCTATCTCTACTAAAAATACAAAAAATTAGCTGGGCGTGGTGGCACATGCCTGTAATCCCAGCTACTTGGGAGGCTGAAGCAAGAGAATGGCTTGAACCCAGTAGGCGGAGGTTGCAGTGAGCCAAGATAGTGCCATTGCACTCCAGCCTGGGTAACAAGAATGACATTTCATCTCAAAAAAAAAAAAAAAAAATAGAACTCCCAAATGATCCAGTAATTCTACTTCGAGGTATTTACCCAAAAGAATTGGAATCAAGATCTCGAAGAGATATTAGTATCCTCATGTTAATTGCAGCATTATTCACAATGGCCAAGAGGTGAAAACAACCAAGACCAACACAAACCTGAATCTGAGAAACACTGAGCAGGCAGCAGGCTGAGCTTATCTTGAAGGAATCCAGGTGCCTTCCAGGCCTGCTGCCCTAAGAGCTCTCTTGCCACTTAATACCTGGTGTCCCCTCTCCAGTTAAAAAGGATTGAAACAGCAACTGGCATGTTGATTACCACCAAACAGCTGCACCCCCAGCTCAGATCAGAGAGGCATCTGCTTGGAACAGAACATTTTGTTATTCTGGGTGCCTTTTTCTCCAGCAGTTCAAGCGTGATGGTGCATATGAGAGATATTGAGCAGATATTTATTCAAACACCTACCATAAACTGAAAAGTTAATTTAATTGCTCTGAGCTTTTGAAATAGCCTCCAAACTGTTACCAGAATGACCTTTCTTCAATTACTTCTGACCTTGTCAATGACCTGATTTTAACCCTTTAATGGTAGCCTCCTATCTACAGGATGAACATCAGTGTCCTTGGTGAGTCATTCAAAGCATTTCCTAATGTGATTCTTACTGACTTCTTTGCTTTATCTTCTGATCTCTCTGGCTTCATATATACACTCTAGTTTACCTAATCGCTACAGCTCCCTGGATGGGCTTTGCTGTTTCATGTCTTCTTTTATGCACTTTCAAATGCTGTTTCTGCTGTTTGGAATGTCTCTCCCTGTCTTGGTCACCTGCTGCATTTCTAATCATTTTTCAGGACTTAGCTCACCACTTTTGTAAAGCCTTTGAGATTAACTACTTCCTGCCATTGGAAACATATAAACCTAAGGGATACATTCATTCATACTGGATTACGATAGGTTATAGTCAATTTATTTACTTGCCTTTCTCCATGAAGGCATCTCCAGGTGAGCATATACTAATTGTGACAGCCACTAAATGAATACAAATTTCAACTTTTATTAAAGACCTACTAAGTGCCAAATTAGAGACCCAGGTATAACAGGCTGTATAATAGCCCCCCAAAACACCCACATTCTAACCCCTAGAACCTGTGAATGTTTCCTTAAAAGGAACATTGCAGATGTGATTAAGTTAAGGATCTTCAGATAGGAAGATTATCTTGGAATATGCAGGTGGGCCCTCAGTGTAATTACAACTGTCCTTTTAATGGATGGTAAGAGGAGGGACCACGTGGCAGTGTGAATACTGAAGCAAGGTGCTATACTGCTGGCTTGGAGATGGGGAAAGGAGGCATGAGCCAAGAAATGAAGTGCTAGAAGCTGGAAGGCAGAGGAACAAATTCTCCCCCAGAGCCTCCGGAGGGAGCACGGTCCTGCGAACACTTTGGGTTCAGCCCAAGAAACTGATTTCAGATTTCTGGCTGCCAGAAGTTCAAGAGAATACATTTGTATTGTTTTAAGCTGCTAAGTTTGCAGAAATCTGTTACAGCAGCAATAGGAGCCTAATACATCAGATAACAGATATAATAGGACAGGAATGACAGATGGTAATTATAGAGGAAGTGTGAAATAGAGCAGTGCTTCTCGAACTTCAGTATGCACAGGAATCACTGGGGATCTGGTGAAAGTCAGATGCTGAGTCACTAGGTCCAGGGAAGAATCTGAAGCTCCACATTTCCTTGCAAGCTCCCGGGTGAGGACGTTGCTACTTGTCCAGGGACATCACTTTGAGTAGCAATAAAATAGCAATGGCCAAATGTAGATGAGACAGATCAAAACAAAGAGTTTTGGAGAGGCAGCTGTGATTCTTGATATAATTTCTGTTTTTTTTTTTTTTTAATTTGTACACACTTGTTTTGTGGCCTAAGATATGGTCTATTCTAGAGAATGTTCCATGTACAGGTGAAAAGAACGTGTATTCTGCAGCATTTGAGTAAAATGTTCTGTAAATATCAGTTAGGCCTACTAGATGGAGTGTGTAGTTTAACTCTACTGTTTTCTTTGTTGATTTTCAGTGTGCACAGAGTTTTAAGGACACAAATCAGATGGGCATGAGTGAAGTGCCCAGGATGGACCTATGTTCATCCCACCAATGATTCAGTGCCCCTCCTGGTCAGGTGTCCAGAGGCCTCACACTTTTATTATGTCCATTATTCCCAGCAACCCTGCAGAGTAGGCATCCTAATGCTTGTTTGACAGATAAGGACATGGAGGCCTAGAGGATTAATGGCTTTGGCCACACCCACATGGGACTAGAATTGTGTAACTCCAACATATGTGGGTTACTTTTTTTTTTTTTTTTAACTTTACTACCTTTTCGAAATCATGGATAATATACATGTGCTATGGGGCTTTGCAGAAAGATTAGTGATCCCAGCTAAATGGAGATTTTCATCCTCCAATGAAACATGCTCATATTACCAGGGACAGAAATTGGACTTGCTAAACCTAGGCTGAAAAGGAACCAGAGTTTTTATCAGGGCATCTTCTTAGGGAAAGTGACAGCCCAAACGCTCAGAAGGCAGAGTGAGCCCTGCGCAGACAAGAGGGCTGAGAGGGTGGAGAAGGAAGGGCCTTGCCTCCCTGTTGGTGGTAGAGAGGATGTAGAGGAAGGTGCATGAGTATGAATCAGCCCTGTAAGAGACCCCACAGGGTCAGATCAGAGAAGCTAAGGGCAGTCAGCAAATCCAAGGAGCAAGGAAAAGGCAAAAATAGGAGGAGAAATTAAGACTAGTTCCAGATCCAGGACTAGATCCAAAACCAGAGACTAGATCCAATGCCAGGACTAGATCCAAATCCAGGACTGGATCCAGAACGGGGACTAGATCCAGAATGGGGACTAGATCCAGATCCAGAGACTAGATTTGGATCCAGAGACTAGATCCAGACCAGGACTAGATCCAGAACCAGGACTAGGTCCAGATCCAGCACTAGATTCAGAACCAGGACTAGACTGAGAACCAGGACTAGATCGAAATCCAGGACTAGATCTAGATCCAGAGACTAGATCCAGAACCAGGACTAGATCCAGAGCCAGGACTAGATCTAGAAGCAAGACTAGATCCAGATCCAGAGACTAGATCCAGAACTAGGACTAGATTCAGATCCAGAGACTAGCTCCAAATCCAGGACTAGATCTAGATCCAGAGACTAGATACAGATCTATAACTACAGAGGGACAGCAATGGTATCAAGAGCCAAACATCAGCCACAAAGGGAGCCACATCCTTTATCCATCGCCAGCTATGCAGCCTTGGCAGGTCTCTTCTTCTGCTGCCTGAGAATGGTTACACTGATGCTGAGTGGCGGTGAGGAATGGAACGAATCTACACAAGGCTTCGGTCATTCTATGCTGTGATGAAAGTGACCAATTCTCTTAGAATCACAGTGTCTGCTATTGTTCTTTATGAGTTAGTGGACTTATGGTCCCAGATGGAACAAAGTGACCTGACATACGAGTTTGCCACAGAGTTCCTGCAGCTTCTGAATGAACAAGCCCTATATTAGCAAGCTTTTTCTTGGTATTGTTTGGGTTATAGTTTTATGGCATAGAAGATAAAGAGAAATCTTTGCATTTTTTCTAAATTATTGAAGATCATCAGAGGTTAGGAGGAGAAAGGAAAAGTAAACTTTGGGTAGCAAGTTTTAATCTTTTTTTTTTTTTTTTTTTTTTTGAGACACAGTCTCGCTCTGTTGCCCAGGCTGGAGTGCAGTGGTGCGGTCTCGGGTCACTGCAACCTCCAACTCCTGGGTTCTTGCCATTCTCCTGCCTCAGCCTCCCGGGTAGCTGGGACTACAGGCACCTGCCACCACGCCCGGCTAATTTTTTGTATTTTTAGTAGAGATGGGGTTTCACCATGTTAGCCAGGATGGTCTCGATCTCCTGACCTTGTGATCTGCCCGCATTGGCCACCCAAAGTGCTGGGATTACAGGCGTGAGCCACCGCGCCCAGCTGGAGGATTGTTTTTATGGAAGTGCTGGTAGGGGTGGGATGCATTCTTTCCTTTGGACTTTAAACTTGTGAACAGAATTCTATAATCCAGGTGTTTTGGGTATTGTTTCTAAAAATACTTTGGCCCCTTAATGATTTAATTTTTATTGATCAACTTTAGGGTAATGGAGGATAACCCAATAAATTAATAACATATTGCATGGTTCATTTCTCATTAGCTCATCCAAGATCAACTGCAGAGGAGGACGAGGGAAATTTTATATGGGAACAATTATCTGAAAAATGTGAGTATCTCAAGATAATCTGATTGCTTAGTTTTAGCTAACCCTGAGGTCTAAATACTTACAGCCAAGAGAATTTATCTGATGAGTTTAGTCCAAGAAACACAACTTTATTTTCCCACTACTAGCTGAATATAAGTGTCAATTTAAGAGTGCTACATGCCCTACAAACATCGATCGCCTCATGTTCCAAATGAAAAAGTTCATTAGTGAGCTTCTCTCCTGATGTGTTATTATTAACTGGAAGCTAAAATTAATGAATTTTGTCGGATTGCCTCAAGTAGTGATAGGGAATGATAGAATTCTTCAGCAGTCGATTTCTATTCTATCATCTGCTTAGTTTTGTTGTTGTTGTTGTTTTCTTTTCTTTTCTTTTCTTTTTTTTTTTTTTGAGGAGTCTTGCTCTGTTGCCCAGGCTCTGGAGTGCAATGGTGCAATCTCGGCTCACTGCAAGCTCTGACTCCAGGGTTCACGCCATTCTCCTGTCTCAGCCTCCCGAGTAGCTGGGACTACCGGTGCCTGCCACCACGCCTGGCTAATTTTTTGTATTTTTAGTAGAGACAGGGTTTCGCCGTGTTAGCCAGGATTGTCTGGATCTCCTGACCTTGTGATCCACCCGCCTCGGCCTCCCAAAGTGCTGGGATTACAGGCATGAGCCACGCGCCCGGCCTTTTTTTTTTTTTTTAAATAAATGTCACTCATAGGGGTCTTCTGAACTTAGTATGGCCTGGAAATCTCAGGGCACAATGGATAAATTGCATTATATTTCTCCACTGCTGTAAATGTATTTGATATTGGGGTTCCTTTGGTTGCAAGAGACAGAGATCCAGTTCAGACATGCTTAACAAATCATGTTATCCACACACATAACTTGGAAATTCACTGATGATCAATAGCCAAAGGCAATATGAAAACATGCTGTATAGATGAAAAACACAGCTACCACCAAGCCCTTAACACATCTGATTTCTCTTCTTTTGGTCTTTCATGGGAAATGTAACATTAGTGGGGCTGGAATATAGGTTCTGTAATAGCAATCCTCACTTAAGTAGCCTTGTGTTCTTGGGCAAGCATTGAAATTCACCAAATCTTTCACTGTACAACAGAGCTTGCCATTCTAGTCTGGCACATAGGATTATAAGGACAAGTAAACAAGAAGCCAAGTGACAGAACTCTATGAATATATGTAATCGTCCATTTCATTTGTTCTTTGGGTCCTTTTAGACCCAACTGTTTCTAGTAGAAGTGGGTGTGGAAGAGGAAGCCATGGAGAAATAGTTGCCTACTCAATGTGGGCAGAGAATGAAGGTTTTCAAAATCGACAAGTCCCATGAAACGACGCACTCTTAGTGTTGTACTGAAAATCTGCAGAATGAGAGACACATGTCTTCTGAATATGATGGCTCAGACTATTTCTTATTTATAATATTTTCCCAAATAATTTCTCATATTTTTCTGTAATTTAAATCCATATTTTCAGGTCAGGATGCTTGTGATCGTTTAGTGGACTTGAAATTTTGCACAATGATGAACGATTTTTTTCCTGTCTTGATAAGCAAGTCATAGGGGATGGTCTGGGGAGATACATCAAAATTGTTTAATACAAGCACGTGTTTAGAACCTCAGAGCCCTACAGAGGCTTCCTACGTTTATCTGTATGAAGATCTCTGTTTTCTCCCCTGAGGCTGCACATAGGAACTGCTAAAGCAGTACAAGAAATACCAGCCACCGCAGTCTATCTTATATAATGATTTCCCTTTCAGTCTCAGGTTCTTCTGCCCAGACTCAGCTTGTTATCCCAGGCTTTATTCCTTTCAGGTTGATTTTACCCAAGGGGACTTGTGCTTCTGGCATCTTGTTTATAGCGGGATACCCTACAAAGCTCCAACATGCCTGCGCATGGCTGGACTCCAATGCTGGCAAGTTGCAATGTTCTTCCTGGTACATGGCTCAGCCCCCATGTGAATCGGTTAAAGAAAATAGATACCCAAGAGAGGGAGCAGCCACAGCCTCACATATCTTCCTTACATTTAGAAAACTTTCTCAAACTTCTCAGAGTGTTTTATATGTGGCCATTTTTTACTGCAGGTGTGAATATAGTAAACTGGGGTTAGAGGGGTGATGTTATGGCGCACGCAAGCAATGGACTTGGAGGGAGAACGAAAGGGAAGGAAGATGGTCTCGCAGCCATGAATATTCTACTAAAGTGTGGCCTGGGCAGCTAAACTGATGTACTCCAAAGATGTGCCAACGATGGCCTCCCTCTGATCACCTTAGGTGAATTCAGTCCCTGAAAATTCTAGTTTCAGAATTTGAATTTTTGCTTTCTATCTTTTTTAATTTAGGGATTAGGTTTTTTGTTTTGAGGGGATTTTGTGTTTTTAAGTTAAAAAAAAAAACTCCTCATACTCAGACATTCCAAGTCCTTATATTTTATATCCTTTCAAAACTTTGTTTTTAAAATTACTTTTATGGATTATTAAAGCAGTGTGTACACATTGTAGAAAAATTAGGAAAAAAGCCCCCCAAAAATAAAAACTACCAAAAAACAAAGAATGTAAGTGATAATTATAATCCCAACCTCCTCCCTGAGAAGACAATTTTTAACACCTCTATGAATATCCTTACAAATAGAGAAGTATGGATAAAACTGACAAAAATGAAATCATATATATCTTTCTATAATTTACCATAATTTATTTAAACCATTTACAACTTGTTTGGTGTCTAGGTTGCCTTCAATTTTTCCTAATGTATACAAATATAAAGCTGGACTAATTAGCTGAGAATAAATTAGACAATCTTTAAAATAGAAAAAAATGAATAATTCTAAAACATAATTAAATATGCATGAATAGTACTAAAATTAGCCCATGATGAAACAAATCATCAGTATTAAAAAATAATACAAATTAAAGTAGCAGTGCTTGGGAATTTTATTTTTACCTAATCATTACTGTGATTTCATTCTTGTATTGACCTACTTCTTGGCAATAAAATGACCTTGACCATCTAGTTTTCAGCCAAATTAATTCATTCATCCACTCAGTACTTATTTATTGAATTCCTAATGGAAAATAAAATATAATTGAAAGTCCCCACACTCACAGAGCTTGTGTTCTAGTGTGAGAGATAGGAAAAAAAACCAAGTATGTACCCAAAAAATACCAGATATGGAAGTAAAATATGGGTGCATGAGAGAGAATGACATCAGCGTTAGACTCTTCCAGGAAACGACAGGTGTAGTGAGAACTGATGATAAAACAAGTGCCATCCATGCAAAAACCAGGGTGAAGACAATTGCTGGGAGAGGGGCATCTAGTGCAAGAGCACTATGGTGGGGGCAAGCATAGCGTTTCCAACAGGAGAAAGAAGCACAAGCTGAAGGAAGTTCAGTGGCCAAGATCAAGAAGGGTCAGAAGTAGGCGGAGTCCACAATGTGCCAGTTTTGTCAACCAAAGACAAAGGTTGAACTTTATTACAGGCACAGGTGGGTAAGCGCACTAACCCACGCCTGCAATCCCAGCACTTTGGGAGCCAGATGAGAGAGGATCATTTGAGGGCAGCCTGGGCAACATAGCAAGACCTTGTCTCTACCAGAAATGAAAAATAAAGAAAGAAAAAAATAAAGTCAGTCACAGTTGGACGACACTAGAAGGTTTTAGGCCAAGAAACGGCATGACTTTATTCATGACTTCAAAAGATCACTCTGGATGTTGGGTGAAGAAGGGCATATAAGGAGCAAGAATAGGTGCAGGGGAGGTAAGGGGTTGAGGGGGATGATGAGTCTGGGACCAGGTGCTACAGGTGGAAAGGGGGACAGGATGCATTTAGGGTGTGAATCAGAAGCAGAATGAACAAACTTGCTGATGAAGTGCAGGGAGCAAAGAGGGAGAAAAACAAACTGAAGCATAACGCCTCTGGGACTACTAAGAAGAATTATTTTGTCTGGTGAGTGTTTTTGGACAAATAGCATAACATGTTTGGGCACCTATTATAATATAAAGCATAGTACAAAAATTGTTTCTGATAATAATAATTGTACTTTCCACTTATTAAGTACATGCTATGTACTTAATGCTGATCTCTTTTTTTCTTATTGAACATAGAGGGGATAAAAATATGTACGTTGAATTAAATACTATTCCTCTCATCTCACTTATTAAATTACCAAATAACCCATGTTTTCCATATGGCCTTTGCCCGTTTGAGGATTGCATTGCCAAGGAAACAGATTGTTAAGCACAGGCTCTGCAGGTAAATCCTATTAAATATGTCATAATTCAAACAAAATGCACAAAGCCAACTAGGCTTGGGTTTGGAATATTAGCTTCCAAATGTCCCCCTCCTAAGGCCTAACTATATACTTAATAAGGTTCAACGTTTAGATGCCTGTCTAATTCTACCCAGAGCCCTGGACTTGTACATTCCTGACCCAAATCCCTGATCTGAATGTCAGAATTTTTAATTAACCTCCCCAAATGGCATTTTCACATAATAAACTCTATGCATGCTGCTAGCTTCGAACAGTAGACAAAAAGTGATCCTTTTCTTTTCCTCAGTCAGATTTTTCCTTTGTAAAACATTAAGCAGAATGGCTTCATTACCTGGATATGCTTAAATGAGGCTGGGGAAAACCCAGAATTGGAGATTTCAAAAGGAAAAGGAATTAGAGATTAACTAGTTCCAATCCGCTTTATACGTAAGGAACCTGAGGTTCAGCAAGATTGTGATTTCTGTCTGCAAGGTTACAGAGCATATTTATGGACAGTACTAGGGGCAATGCCTACCTCCCCTGGCTGGTGATGTCTTCCTTTGTCTCAGGGTTCTTCCATTCACCACCCTCCTCCTAAAAGTCATCCTTGTTGTTCCTTCAGTATAAATTCTTCATTTCCTCCTCCCTCACCTACGTCCTTTGCTCCCCAGTCGTCTCTTCTGGCCCTCATGGCCTTAGCTCTACCTTTCTTCTGCTCATTTCCTAAATGCAGCTTATTCCTCCAAGTCCCACTCCTGATCTTATCATTCACCCCCCTCACTGCAACTCAGGCTCAGGCTCATCAAGCTCGTTACTGGATCAATGAATTCACCCACCAAATGTGTTTTGCACAGCATGTTTTTTTCAATTCAGTGCCCATGGCTTTTGCTAGAAGGCTGTCCTCATTTGACCCTTGTCATTTCATTAAAAAATATCCAGTGGAGTGAGAAAAAAGTGTAATTGAAACCAATGTACCACAAATAAACTCTTCTTATTTAGGAAAATTCACTGCTGAGCTTATTGAATGTGGAAGGTGGGTCCTAGTGGGCATGAGATGCATGGAGCCAAATAGACACCATCCTCTGAAAAGGAAATGAATGTCATTTTGGTGGTGGGAGCAAAGAGAAAAGCAAAAAGGAAGAACAAGCATGTGGAGGAATACAGCATCAGCCTGATACCCAACTTGGTAGAATGGACAGGACTTTTAAAGAACAAGAAAAACATAATATTCAAATTTAAGTTTGGCTCTCTTATGTTGCAATCAAAGTTTACCTGGCTGATATCCCTGTGTCTCCAATTAAAGCCACTCAATGATTTACATACAAGTTACTTTAGGAAAAACAAGGAGAAGCAGTCTCTGTCCTGGATTTGGGTTGGCACTAAGGAAAAAGACCTCAAGATGCAGAATACAGAACTAACATTCACTGAAGCTGGAAATTGAACCTAAGGTGATTAGAAGAAAGGTACTCTCTGAAGGATTTGAATAAATCTTGGGGAGAATATCGAGCTTTCCACTGGAATTACAATGGGGATTTAAGGCAAGTTTTTGTAGATATGAAGGGGCATGGGTCCTAAATATATGGCTAGCATTGAGGCTAGAAGGGTAAAGAAGAGCTAAGTCTGCTCCTCTGGTAGTTCATAGTACATCAAGACAGCTAGGTATGGAAATAACTAAGTTACAAGGCAAAAACTGGTTAAAGATAGGAGCCACTCACTCATGTCCACTCTGGTAGAGCACTTTATATACCTTATACAGTAAATGCAGGAGGGGGTGATTTACAACAATGCTAGACCACCTTAGGTTGACCTTTGTCAAGCAGTCTGTTGGGAAGAGACTGAATTTTCCTTAGCCCACTGAATTAGCTATTTGAGTAGAAATAGCTACTTCTCATTTAGTTGTACTCTTTTATTTAACAAATATCCATTGAGCACCTACTCTTTACCCAGTGTTGTGCCAAGTGCTAAGAGTACTCTTGTGTATGGACCAAAATTGAGACATGACTGTGCCATTATGGAAGTTGAAGTCCAGAGAATGAGGGGACATCAATCAAAGAATCAAGGGGATATCATATTGTAACTATGACAGGAGTTATGAAGTAGAGGTACATGGCACCAAGAGAGCTTATAACAAGGAGAACTAACCTAGCTAAGGTGTCAGAGAAGGCATCCTTCAACAATAAGTATGAGGTAACCAGGCAAAGGGAAATGATTGAGGGATCAGCTTGTGCAAGAGTTCTGAGGCACCCATGGACTGAAACTGAGCCTCTACAGGCCAGTGCTGTAGGAGTGGATGAGCAGGGAGGGGGCTCATGGTACTACACATAACCAGATAGGTAGACAGGAGCCAGGACACGGCCTTGTAAGAGCCATCCATCTTTTTCATAAAAAACAATGGGAAGCCATTTGAGTGCCTCAAGAAAATATGATGATATTTATATTGAAAAATAACTCTGGCTATAGAAGAGAGATGGTGCAGGGTAATAGTTACCAGATAGATGCAAAAGTTTTCAGACGTTTATGACAGCTTTAACTAAGTTGATGTCGGTAGAGATGAGAAGAACTAGATTTGATAGATATTCAGAAGATAAATTCAGTACGATTTGGCGACGGATTAGATATAGGAGTGTCTTAATTTGGTTTACCTAGAAACCTAAAGACAAGATTCAAGTTATTTATTTGGAATCTACAGGGCACATTGTTATGGGAGTGGAGAAATGAGACAAAGAAGGGAAGGCAGCCAATGAAAAGAAGTGTGAAACTTGCCACCACAGCGGGCACCCAGAGTTTAGTTCAGTTTGGGAGCAAGTACAGAACACCTGTCTCAGAATTATCCCACCCAAGGGGCAAAGAACCTGAGCTACTGATATGCAAAATCCCATCAGTCATTGGTTGAGGGTTAATGTAGGGGACATTAATTCCCTGTCACTTCCAGCTGGCCTGCTGTGGCTTTGGAAAAAGCCTGCAGGAACACAGATGCAAATGTTGGCTGTTGGAAGTGATCTGGAGCTCACTGCAATGGTAGGGTCCTAAGGATGTGGGTAGGACACAGACTGTATCTGTACATGGGGTGATCATTACTTCTCCAGTGTCCTAGTGTCCTGGCCACACATGAGTCATCTAGAGCCACTCTGTCCAGTAGAAATATACTGTAAGCCATGTATGTAAATTTAAATTTTCTAGTAGCCACATTCAAAAAAGTACTAAGAAACAGGATAAATTAATTTTCACCCTATATTTAACCCAACATCTCTAAAACATTATCATTTCACCATGTAGCCAATAGTAAGTCTTTGAAATCCAGTGTGTATTTGACTCCTACAGCATCTCAATTTGGACTAGCCACATTACAGGTGCTCTGTAGCCAGGGGTGTCTTGTGACAGCTTCACAGTTATCTCATGGGCTAGCCCAGACCCAAAGGCTTCTCCAGGAATGTTGATTCAGACTTTGATACATTTGCTTTAGCTTCTGTTTACTGGACCAACAAAGAAGAGGTGCAAAGGACACATATGTTATCAAAGACATCAGTGAGTTGACTTGGGTCTCCATTGTCCCTCTTTGTTCCTTATAGAACCTAAAGGCAGTCTATAGAGGAGTCATGGGGGCAACTGTGGTGGGGGAGAGGTGAGAAGAGCCAAGCAAGCAGTAATCTGTCCCCCTCACATACTTAACTGTCAGAGCAGTTTTACTTCTATATGTGGCAGGCAGGCCAGGCATGGCGGCTTATGCTTGTAATACTAGCACTTTGGAAGGCTCAGGTGGGAGGATTGCTTGGAGCCAGGAGTTTGAGACCAGCCTTTGCAACATAGCAGGACCTTGTTTCTATTTATAAAATAAAATATAATAAACATGATGTGGCAGACAATGAGTTTCCCATCATCCTCTTCCTTGTTAGCCGGGTCTGCCTCTCACAGTGGAGGAGAAAATGTCAGATGCCTATTTTCCTAATTTTTCTTGCAATTAGCATATGGGCTTAATCTGTCCAATGGGTCATATAGCTAGTGATGAGAGGAGACTGGGTTTTCTGTCTTCAGTCTTTCCTACCATACCATATTGCACTTCCAGAAGACTCTACATGTGGATAGGTCCATTCTAAGTTAAGAAAGAATAGAACCTAAGGTCCCCATAGTGTAAAAGGGTGTGAGAAAAGAGAAAAGAGAAGGATATAAAGACGTGTGTTTGTGATATGTTAGGACATTTTCCAGTGAAAGTTATAGAACTCTTTCTAAGCTTGCTCAAGCACGTTAGGGAATTTAACTACGAAGGGTGGGAGCATTTCATGGAAACCATGGAAACATCCGGGTCTCAAGAACAAACATCCAGGGATTCTAATGCCTTCACAACACACGACTGACTTTCATTGCTCTTCCATTCTGGTCATTGACTTTGTTCTCCTCTCTTGTTGCAGACAAGCTTTCTCTGCTTCCCAGGGCAAATGGTGGAACACAAACACCCACATATGCTCTCTTCCGGAGGGCAGGCAGACAGACTCTGCTGTTGCTTGGTACTAATCCCAAGGGAATTACTGAGGGACTAAATCTGATTAACTGAGTTTATGCTGGGAGGTCAGCAATGTCCTGTTTCCATGGTAATCCCAAGACAGAGGGCAGAGCTATTTCTCAAAATGAAGAGATGTTTCAGAAGGGGGCTGTGTAGTTTCCTAGGGCTGTCCTAACAATTTGCCACAAACTTGGTAGCTTAAAACAACCGAAATTTGTTATCTCACGGTTCTGAAGGCCAGAAATCTGAAATCAAGGCGTTGGCAGCATCACCCTCCCTCCAAAGGCTGTGGGGAGGACCCTTCCTTTCCTCTTCCAGCTTCCGGTGGCTCCTGGTGTTCCTTGGCTCGCGGCAACATAACTCTAATCTCTGCCTCTGTCTTCACATGGCTTCTTCCCTGTGTCTCTTGCAACTGTGTGTCTCAAATTTCCCTCTTTTTTTATTTATAAAGACACCAGTCATTGGATTTAGGGATTACCGTAAATCTAGGATGATCTCATTTCAAGGTCTTTAACTTAACTACCTCTGCAAAGATCTTATTTCCAAATAAGCTCACATTCACAGGCATTGGAGTTAGGATTTGGACATATCTTTTCGGGACCACTATTCAATTCACTACAGGGGGCTAAGATGGGTTAATATATGTTTGTAACAGGTTGAGAGTTCTAGCAAAATGTTCCCACTATCTTCAGTTTATCATTTAGCCTGATATTAGACCATACAGATTTATAGTCAGAAAAAATAACGTAGGCAAATTTTCAGAATGCTGTTTGGGATCCGTGAAATATAGCTGAAACTGAAGGCTGATGGAAGAAGATGAAATGAGACTAGAGTGAAGAAACACGTGAAGAAAGTGAGGAGAAGAAAATAATCGGAAGGAAAACTTCAAGTTTCACATAAATGATAAGTGAAAAAGAGAAAAAAATTGACACAGAGATGTCATTGACATCCATGATGAAGTAGAGAGTAAGGGCTTGAAGATTTAAAATGAAAATTGAGGAAAGTTATAGTTGAGGAAATATTAAACCAAGTCTACACCTATAAAATTAAAATTTATGGGCTTGAGTATGAGATCTTTAAGAAGGATAAATTGCTTCAGGAAATATTCTTCTTCCAGTTGTATCTGATGAAATCCCTGACACGACAACTACTGCTTAGAGCAAAGACATATTTCTACCATTATTGGCCAACTAACTTTAAACTCTGACTTCTTGGGCTCACTCATCAGTATGTACATGGGCCAAAATATTTCCCAAGCATATGTTACCTTCTGGCATTGCTCAAAGTTTTTTGAAAATCGAATGGACTTTAGATCCGGTATTTAAGTAGATCATACAAGTCATAAGCCACTGAATTAGGGGCCACCTATGGGTTTGCCATTGATCCTTGGTCCATTCATTTGAGGATAGGGGAACTCAGAGTGAGGGGTCTTATGGTGCATGGATCTGTCCCTTCCAGGGTTAGGTCTGGAATAAACACAGAGATACACATGTATTATACAGATATGCAAAGGAATGCAATGAAGTGGTGTCCATGCTATTAACATAAAGTAAGGGGTAGTTGAAGAAGTGTGCATGGAGAAATTGGCTCATAAATTCTGAGTTGTGTTCAATGTGGCGTGGCCCAGGGAGGTGGCTGAGTGGGGATGGGAGGGCAATGAAAAATTCTTAACAGGCCGGGTGCAGTGGCTCACTCCTGTAATCCCAGTACTTTGGGAGGCCGAGATGGTAGGATCACTTGAGGTCAGGAGTTTGAGGCCAGCCTGGCCAGCATGATGCAACCCCGTCTCTACTAAAAATACAAAAATTAGCCAGGCATCATGGCACGCACCTGTAATCCCAGCTACTCAGGAGGCTGAGACAGGAGAATTGCTTGAACCCAGGAGGTGGAAGTTGGAGTGTCCCAGCATCAAGCCACTGCACTGCAGCCTGGGCAACAGAGCAAGCTCCATCTCAAATAAATAAATAAATAAATAAATAATTTAAAAAAATCTTAATTGGGTATACACACAGGTCCCATTAGGAACCACACCAAGTATGTCACATCTGAGACAACTGGACTGGGAGATGATCACTCTAGCAATTTTAACAAAACTTCATGCTATTCTCAAATACGAAAGCAACTGTTAACAAGAATGAACAGTTGAATAATATCTAATCATCCTGTCTAAGAGGTGGAGGAACGTTTTCCCTTCTCAGTCCTTTAACTGGAAAGCTGGCACCATGAACAAGTTGTTAAATTAGCAAGTATGCCAGCACTTTCATTTATTAATTGGTATGTTCCATTTTAATCAAAATCATCCTGGCTAATTACTCATTTCACTGTGTGCAGCACCAGCTGAATAAGCTGGAGGACATGATGAAGGAAAAAATAAATGCTGTACTCTCTCTAGTTTATTAACTTGGAATTGTTTTCCCTTTCATATGTGGTGACTCAAGGGAGACGTAAATTTAACCTTCTATTCTTGCCTCATCTTCAAGTATGTGGTTATAGCAGAAAGAGTATGGGCTATGAAACTCAGGCATGTGGGTTTGGATGTTGGCTTTGCCATTTATGAACTGTGTGACAATGAGGAAAAAACTAGCATCTCTGATCTTCAAGGTCTCCTATCTAAAAATAGGAGTAATAATAGCATGTACTCACTACAAAGAGTTGATGTGAGGGTCAATGAAATAAAATGAAAGACTGGGTACATAATAGATAAATGTTAGTCTAACTCTGAACTAGAGAAATAACAATGATTATTGTTATTGTTATGATATAATGTTACAGTTATAATAGTACCATAATTAGTAGCCAACTGGTAACTGGGCACTTATTTCCCAGGCACTGTTCTGAGCACTTTGGTATGCTTTAAGTAAAGAGGTCACATGTGTTAACTCATTTAATCCCTGACAGCCCTAAAACAGAATTTATTTCTCCTACATTACAGAAGAGGAAACTGCGATCTACAGAGAAGGAATAACTTGCCCAAGGTCACAGAATAGGCTGACACTGGAGCTGAGGTTCAAAGCTAGGCATCCAGACTCAGCACTCTTAACCGCTTTTTAAACATTTTTTATTTATACTTATTTATTTATTTTGAGACGGTGTCTCGCTCTATCACCAGGCTGGAGTGCAGTGGTGTGATCTTGGCTTACTGCAACCTCTGCCTCCCGGGTTCAAGTATTTCTCCTGCCTCAGCCTCCCAAGTAGCTGGGACCACAGGTGCGTGCCACCATGCCTGGCTAGATTTTGTATTTTTAGTAGAGATGGGATTTCACCATGTTGGCTAGGATGGTCTCCATCTCTTGACCTCGTGATCCACTGGCTTAGGCCTCCCAAAGTGCTGGGATTACAGGTGTGAGCCACCGCACCTGGCCATCTTAACCACTTCTTTACCAAGATTGCAGGGTTGCAAAGAAGACAGAGTTGAGCTGTCTGAATGGCAGAATCTAGAGCATTTATAAAATCTAGGGACTGGAGAGATTAGATGTTTTGGGATGTCCATCTAGTCCCCACTTAGCCCTTGCCTTTGAACATATTTTTGGGTTCCTGGAAACCTTCCAGGTGACCCATGTTAGGCCAGATAGAATTGGGGACTGAGGCACTGAGTGTCTGTTGTTTTTCTATGTCGGTGTCAATCAATTCAAGATGTTTCTTGTAGCAATAATGACAGGATACAAAAGAAAAGGTTCACATCCTTCTGGCTTTGAGGTAGTTAGCTGTGTTTGTTCCTTACTGCCTTTTTTTTTTTCTTTGACACAGTCTCACTCTGTCGAGTAGACTGGAGTACAGTGGCACAATCTCGGCTCACTGCAACCTCTGCCTCCCAGGTTCAAGCAATTCTGCCTCAGCCTCCCAAATAGCTGGGATTACAGGTGTGCACCACCACACCTGGCTAATTTTGTATTTTTGGTAGAGATGGATTTCACCATTCTGGCCAGGCTGGTCTTGAGCTCCTGACTTCAAGTGATCCACCCGCCTCAGCCTCCCCGAATGGTGGGATTACAGGCATGAGCCACTGCGCCCCGCTGTCCTTCTTGAAGCTGATTTATTCAGTGGCTTCAGAGAGTCCCTGAGATCCGTACCTTGCCAATAACTTATTTTATTTGAGCCAGATATATTTAACTAAGACTCTGAACATAGATACTATAAAATACACCACTAAGAAGGAAGGGGGCAATACCTCCTTTGCTAAGCATCCAGCCCCATAAATTGTGTGGCCATGGGTGTGCTCAGATTGACTTCAGCTGGACCAGGCAGATCTGGGAGAGTTCACATAAACAAACAGTTTGGAAGGGAGGCTTTCTGCACTGTCGGAGAGGTCAACCATCTACCCGGCAATTATACTGCTGTCAGATTGTAAATACACATTTGCAAATGCTTCTGTAATTGTTCGGAAATAGTTCAGGCCTGTTCATGCAGGGCTGGTTACAGAATGTTAATGGGGTAACGTACCCAACATCTGCTTTCATGGTTGGAACCAGATCTCTGCCATTTAAACATATATGGGTATAAAGCAGCCAATCAGGTATTTGCCTTTGCCAACTCTCAGAAAAGAAAAACTCAGCCGCAATGGACAGTCACATGGCTGATTGATAGGTTTGGTGTGGGCATCACATTTTCAACTATAACAAAGTCTTATTAAACATGGTTTGGCTCTCTAAAAAGCTAATAACAACAATAAGATGTGAAATCGCCATCACAGAATTGTGGTTAGGTTGCTTGACTCACTTGCCTCTCTGGCCTCATGAAGGATGATGAATATAATTAAACAAAAAAATCCATGCTAACTCTAAAGCATGATATAGGCAGATACCCACATAAGAAGTAGAAGATCTCAAGGGTGCATTACAGAATGTCTGTCTTTTCGTCTTTTGATTTGGGGCTTATGCTTTAAATCACTATTTTGCTGCCGTCATCATCTCGAAACATACATCATTATCCCTCCCAATTGGTAGGCATATAAGCCTCTTATATTCCTCAATTTCAGCTGTTTTGGATGATTGCTGAACCCCACCTCCCACCCAGGGAGGGCATCCTATGTGTTCCCCAGAAGCCACATGTAAGGTGTCAGATTGGCCAGGCTCGGTGGCTCATGCCTGTAATCCCAGCACTTTGGGAGGCCGAAATGGGTAGATTACCTGAGGTCAAGAGTTTGAGATCAGCCTGACCAACATAGTGAAACCCCATCTCTACTAAAAATACAAAAAAATTAGCTGGGCGTGGTGGTGGGCACCTGTAATCCCAGCTACTTGGGAGGCTGAGGCAGGAGAATCGCTTGAACCCTGGAGGTGAAGGTTGCGGTGAGCCGAGATCACGCCACTGCACTCCAGCCTGGGTGAAGGAGCGAGTCTCTGTCCCAAAAAAATAAAATAAAATAAATAAAGTGTCAGATCATCCCCATTTCTAACTGCTTGCAACACTTCAAGTTCAGATGAATATTCTAGTTATTTTCAGGTGCTGGAGCGTATTGGTTAGCTCTGCTATAGAAAAGTGACTCCGAATTACAGTGGCAGACGGATGATACAGAATTTTATTCTTTTCTGATGTAACAGTACCAAGTGAAGAGCCCAGGTTAGAAGGTTACTTTGCTCCACAGAGTCATTCATCGATTCAAGCTCTGACATCTTTCGGTTCTGCCATTCCCCCAGAGAATGTCCTCATTTGTATGGTCAAGGCTGGGTTGCAGAGAAGTCCATGTTGCAGCTCATGGAAAAAAAGAACCAAAGGGACTCAAGAACACTGGCTTATGTCTTAGATTGGAGATGACCTGGAAAGTCAACTTTCACCCATAACCCATTGGCCTAAAGTAAGTCCCAGAGTCAACTTGAATTGCAAGGGATCCGGAGTAATGCTGTTTATACCTGGAGTGCTGGGGACCCAGCTTAAACTCTACCACCATAGAAGACAGGGAAGATAGATTTTGATGGATGACCAGAAGTTTCTGTTACATGTACAACAGATTAAAAATATATATATTGCCAGCTGGGTGTGGTGGCTCATGCCTGTAATCCCAGAACTTTGGGAGTCCAAGGCAAGTGGATCACCTGAGGTCAGGAGTTCGAGACCAGCCTGGCCAACATGGCAAAAACCCATCTCTACTAAAAATACAAAAATTAGCCAGGTGTAGTGGCAGGCGCCTGTAATCCCAGTTACTTGGGAGTCTGAGGCAGGAGAATCGCTTAACCCAGGAGGTGGAGGTTGCAGTGAGCTGAGCCAAGATTGTGCCACCGCACTCCAGCCTGGGTGACAGAGCAAGAGTCTCTCTCCAAAAAAAAAAAAATTATATATATATATTATAAATATATGTGTGTGTGTGTGTGTATATGTGTGTGTATATTATATATGTGTATATATATTGCCTACTGCAAATAAGGTAAATGCCACATGGTTATATATTCAAAAAATCTTTATTAAGGGCCTAGTATGTGCCAGATATTCTTTATTATATGTGTAAGAAAAATATTATTAACATATTGTGGGTGAAAATATGCAACACTATGAACATAGTTTTCATTTTTGAATGGCTTTTACTTTTTCAGACAATAGAAGGCAACTGGAAAAGAGGCAAGGATTCTAACTACATACTGCAGAAAAAATATTCACACCTGTCAAATTCCAACAGCTGGCATTGTTGTTGTTCTACGAATAAGCACACACAGAATCCTCGTGAATAGTTCTTTGTCTCTTGCTCTAGTAAATCATAACCTGCTTGTAGCTTTTTTATGAACCTTCAGGAATAACTCTTCAGAGGATGCTAATACATCATTAAGATTAAATTGAACCTCAAAGGTGGGTTTTTTTTCCAAAATGATAAAGGCCACCAACACTGCAAGGTTTGCCGTCATTCCCTTGATCTGGTAAGTGACACCGTCTTCAGGGTTTGTGTACTCAAAGATATGATTAATAAAACGGTGACCAAGACGTGTGACGTAATGCTGGTCATGGACCTGTGGATGCAGGAAATAGGCCAGAGGCACCAGGAATACATCCTTAACTTCAGCAGGATTCGGCTGGGCCTGGAAGTTGTGGTCTATTAAACCCACAAATGGAGTTATCAATGTATCTGTCTAAAAGCAGAAAACAAAACAGACAAATTAAGAAGTGAAGTGATACTGCTTCAAATCCTAAAATCATGCCACTTCTAGGTGAGCTAAGAAAATACACCGAACCTGGGAGAAGGGGAAGAAAGCTTATTCCGGAAACAAATTTATGTTCCCCCTAAAATGGGAGTCATCCTGCTCTACCTGAGGTGACATCTATGAGATGACTCTGAAAATGATTTCTTGTATGAACATAAAGTAGTACAATCTTTTGGAATGGCAATTTGGCAGTATCATAAAAATGTGTTCGCTTTGACCTGGGAATTGCATTTGTGTATCTGTATGATAAATTCCTACCAGTAAGAAAAGACACAAGTATAAACCTGAAGAATTAGTTTCAACAACAGCCCCAAATTCTAAAGTTATCACTCTTCACTTTATAGGCATTTAGGTTATATAAATTAGGGTTATATCCATAAAAGAGGATACTATGTAGCCTTTAAAAACAATGGGATAGACATCTTTCCTTCTCAGTAAAGAAAAAAATGTGCTATACTTATGAACAGAAAAGTAAAGTGATATAATACTAGTTATGACATATTCCCATTTATGGAAAAATTTCATAGTACATACACATATATATATAATTATGTGTCTTATATATAACTATATGTGAACTACTTTATATAACACACATGTATATATTACATGGGAGAGGGATTTCTATTTACAACCACAACTGCTTGCAAATGAACATGAGTGGCCGGGTGTGGTGGCTCACGCCTGTAATCCCAGCACTTTGGGAGGCTGAGGTGGGCGGACCACCTGAGGTCAGGAGTTTGAGACCAGCCTAGCCAACATGATGAAATCCCGTCTCTACTAAAAATACACAAATTAGCCGGGTGTGGTGGTGCGTGCCTGTAATCCCAGCTACTCAGGAGGCTGAGGCAGGAGAATTGCTTGAACTTGGGAGGCGGAGATAGATTGCAGTGAGCCGAGATCATGCCACTGCACTCCAGCCTGGGTGACAGAGAGAGGCCCAGTCTCAAAAATAAAAATAAATATATAAAAGTAAAAAAGCAAATGAACATGAGTGTTGTCAAATGAAAGACTGTTTTGTTATACTGGAAACCCTGAGAGGGAGGCCTGGGGCTGAGTGAGGATGTGGGAACTGGTAAGAGCTGCCTGCCTTTGTATTAGAAAGTGAGAAGAACTGGAATTCCTGGAGCATCCCAAGAGGAAGTGGGTGGAAAAAGCCAGAGAGGTAGACACATGGTGAGGCTGGGACCTATCCGGCCTGCAGAATGTTCTGAGGGACAGCCAAAGACAGGAAACCAAATTTAGGAACAGAGACAACTCAGACCATTAACCAAAATAATAGTGAAAGTCAACATTTGGACCAGGAGGAGACAAGAGGAACATAGACTTCGTATGTCCTTGGGGCAGGAAATTTGGGGTCATTAAGTTACCCGAGGGCAGAGGCAACATTCTACCAGCACGTAACACCACACCTGGCATTGGGGAAATGCTTAGTCTCTGAATATGGAGTTTTCCAGGTGGACTCTGAGATAAGGACTCAGATGCAAGTGATTTTTTAAGAAAGTGCTCCCAGGGGAAACAGTTAAGGGGAAGAGGGGAGCAATACTCATAAGGGAAGAAGGCTGGCAAGGGCACCATGGGGTGTTCTGGAGGGTAAATTAATATGCAGTTTGTCCCACATGGAGACAAGGGAGCTGGGATTTCATGCTCCCCAGCCCCAGTCAGTCACTGGTTAAGGACTACCTTGCCAGAGGTGAATTCACAGGCACTCCCAGCTCTCTGTGCAGGACACATGGCAAGGTGGCTCCAGTATCAAGGGTACCAGTATTCAGAAGAAAGCTGCCAAGTGTTGTCAGAGGCGTTTGAACCAGAGCAACTCCATCTTGAATAGGGGCTGGGTAAGATAAGGCTTGGAGCTACTGGGCTGCATTCCCAGGAGGTTAGGGCATGCTTAGTCACCAGATGAGACTGAGATACAAGTCATAAAGACCTTACAGTAAAGAAGGCCATCAAAACGCACCAAAACCAAGATGGCAATGAAAGTAACCTCTGGTCATCCTCACTGCTCATTATACGATAATTAGAAAGCATTAGAATGTTAAAAGATACTCCCACTAGTGCCATGACAGATTACAAATGCCACGGCAATGTCAGGAAGTTACCCTACATGGTCTAAAAATGGGAGGAACTCTCACCTCTGGGAATTGCCCATCCCTTTCCTGGAAAACTCATGAATAACCCACCCCTTGTTTAGCATATGATCAAGAAATAACCATAAAAATGGCCAACCAGCAGCACATGCTGTTGCTCTGTTATGGAATAGCCATTCTTTTTTTTCTTTACTTCTCTAATAAACTTGCTTTCACTTTATGGACTCACCCTGTGAGATCCTAGAACCCTCTCTTAGGGTCTGGATCAGGCCCCCTATCTGGTAACAGTGAGTTATCAGAAGCCCTGGGGTTGTAAGAGGAATATGAAGGGGCCTGGACAGAGCCCCAACAATGTATGCTCAGTAAATATTCGTGGTTGCTGCTACCATTGGTGACCACAACTTACGGGCACCTAGTCTAGTTCCCAGCACCCTCTGATTCCTTACAACAATCTGATCGCGAAGAAGCCTTAACAACTACAATTAGAGACGTGAAGAAACTTGCCCAAGGGCATATTCTGCTGATACTTGGCAGAAACTGGATTCGACCACAGATGTGTTGCTCATACTCCTGGGTATATTTCAGAGACCTTTGCAAAAAGTAGTACATAAATGTCTGACAAAAGGGAAAACTGGGGTGGGGGTTGTGGTGTCACAGCCTGCCTGGAAGGCTTATGTAGCGGGTACATACATAGGTGCATACATACATAGGTAGCTACTCTGGAGGCTGAGGCAGGAGAATTGCTTGAACTTGGGAGGTGGAGGTTGCAGTGAGCTGAGATCACTGGGACTCGAGATCACTTGAGAAAAGCCAATAGCACCCTTCCACTCCCAGCTATGATCTCCAGACATTACCAAATTCCCCAGGGTTGAAAAATCACTCCAGGTTAAGAGCCACGTAGATTAGATTATGCTTATAATTTTCAATAAATGGCATTTTTGTGATACATTTTAAAAATTAGCAGGGGCCAAAAAACAAAGCAACCCTCCCTTGCACTTCCAAACAAAGCAGACTTTTTAAAGCCTTTGTTTAATCTCTCAATCACGCCATTTTAGAAATCTCCTGTTCCAGGAGTATCTGGCCCCCAGGAATCTCCCAGAGACACTTTCCTGTTAATGCTCCTGAATTCTATCCACCCACATGCAGAACTCAGTAGCACCTGGGGACCTTGGGAACAGAGTTAGTCTCATTTTGGAAACTTTTAATCAGTATAGCTAAATTAGTTAATTGATTTCTAAAGTAAATCCTCCAAATGCTGGTGGATTTGCGGAAATCAACTGTAAAGAGTTCCCATTAGAAAACCAAATGGAAAAGTAATTGACACATTTCGTGTGTAATCCCATGTCTCCATCTCGCTTTCATACACACACACTTAGAAAACATTTATTGAGTGGCCACTAGCTTTTTGCAAACAAAACCACCCTTGGGTACTGACCTTTCTATTTTTAAAAAGGACCCAATTAAGACAGACATTGTCTCAGCATCACTGATCTTCAAAACACTGCCCCACCAAGACTTCAGTCAAGTGGAACATAAAGGATCATCTAACCCACTGGTTTTCTAAGTGTTAGGCAACAGTGGGACTGTTCTTTTGAAATAAAAACTTACCCGAAAGCCCAATATATAAAACATTAAGGCTGGGTGTGGTGGCTCACGTCTATAGTCCGAGCACTTTGGGAGGCTGAGGCAGGCGGATCATGAGGTCAGGAGATCGAGACCATCCTGACTAACACGGTGAAACCCCGTCTCTACTAAAAATACAAAAAATTAGCCGGGCGCGGTGATGGGCGCCTGTAGTCCCAGCTACTGGGGAGGCTGAGGCAGGAGAATGGCGTGAACCCGGGAGGCGGAGCTTGCAGTGAGCCGAGTTTGCACCACTGCACTCCAGCCCGGGCGACAGAGCGAGACTTGTGTCAAAAAAACAACAACAACAACAAAAAAAAAACCATGAAAAGTTTATACCTACCTCTGATACTGTGTGATGAGAGCACTTCACCTCTGTGGTGTTCCCAAATTATGACCCCAGCTTAACGATGAGAAAAATATCAGACAAACCAAAATTGGGGAACATTCTATAAAATACCTGACCACTACATCTCCAAACTGTCAGGGTCATGAGAAGAAGAAAGTCTGATAAACTATCACAGACCAGAGGACTAAGGAGACATGACCACAAAATACAATATGGTATCTTAGATGAGATCCAGGACAGAAAGGACATTAGTAGAAAAACTAGTAAAAAGCAAACAGAGCATGGAGTTCAGTTAACAGTAACATGCTGACACTGGTTTCTTTGTTGTGACAAATGTACACAGTGATGTAAGATGTCAACCACAGGGGAAACTAGGTCTATGGTCTAATTTCCTATAGTCTAGTTTCCTATGGTCTAGTTTCCTATGGTCTAGTTTCCTATGGTTTCCATGTGGTCATATGGAAACTAGGTCTACATAAGAACTCTCTGTACTACCTTCACGACTTTTCCATCAGCCTACAGCTATTCTGAAATTAAAATTAAAGGTTTTATTAAAACATTTATATGGTAAAATCATGCTGTTATCCAAGATCATACTTCTTAATACAATATTTACCCCTTCTAAAGTCAGTTAGTAAAACAATGAGGTTGTTGTGGTGAACCGATAGAAAGTAAGATCAGAAGCTGAGCACAGTGGTTCACACCTGTAATCCCAGCACTTTGGGAGGCTGAGGTGGGAGGATCACTTGAGGCCAGGAGCTCGAGACCAGCCTCATCAACATAGCGAGACCCCCATCTCTATAAAAAAAAAAATAAAAAAGAAAATAAGATGTGGTTATCTCAGCTCCAAAATTCATTTTTAAAAATATTTTAAATGTTTTGATGTATATTATACTATCAAGGAAATCCTGATCCAACACAAATGCAGTTATGAATAGTAATAGTTTTTAAATAGCTTGCCTAGTGATTTCACGGTTCTATTCAATTAATGTATCACAGAGAGGCTTTATTCTATAGTATGTAGAAAAATGAATATCCTTACGGCAGAAGTAATGCATTGGTGGTCTCCAAGGGGCTAAAATTTGGTATCTAGCACATTGGAGTGTCTGTTCTTTTTTCAACTGAACTCTCAAAACCAATGTATACTGGAGAAAAATAAATGTGAACTGAATGTTAATAATTCTGAAGCATCTCTCTAGGGTTCTATGGCATCCAGTTTGAAATCCACTGATGGGAGTTCAACCCTTTTATTTCTGGATGGGGAAAGAGGGGTCCGGAGAGGCAAAAGGGGTTGCCCATAGCCACTTGACTCATGAGGGGCAATGTCTGTAGGAGAACCTGTTCTCTTGACTTTATGTACAGTACTCTTTGGGGTTATGTTTGGAAAATGTGGAATCCTGAGAACAGTAGATCCACCTGGGGGTGGGGACGGTGCTCATGAGTGTCTCAGGAAACCCTTACATCAATAAGACATGGCACCAGGCAGCAGACAACTTCCACTTGGTGAGGACGGAGACCCACTTCCTCCTGGGCTTCCCGGAGAGCTGTGGCTGCATCATCCATGTCTGTAGGGTCACGCTTACCTCCAGGGAAGCAAACTTCTCCAGGGGCCCTTCTTAGCTGGATATAGAAAGAACAGCGCTACAATGTGGGATTCTAATTTTGGAACTATTTATGCATTCAACAAATACTTACTGGACTTCTATTTTGTACCAGAGACCATTCTTACCCAGGTGGTGGTATCAAGACCCCTATTGCCCACAAATGTGTTTTCTTGAATCCTTTTTAAGAAATGAACCTTGAAAATTTTTCTCACTGCTAACTTTTATTCTATTTGTCCCCAAAAGATACCACACACTGTATTAATCTGTTCTTGCACTGCTATAAATAAATAACTGAGACTGGGTAGTTTATAAAGAAAAGAGGTTTGGTTGGCTCACAGTCTCGCAGGCCGTACAGGGAGCATGATGCTGGCGTCTGCTTGGCTTCTGGGGAGACCTCAGGAAACTTACAATCATGGCGGAAGGTAAAGGAGGAGCAAGCACTTCACATGGCTGGAGCGGGAGACAGAGAGAGGGAGGGGAGGTGCTACACACTTTTAAACAACCTTATCTCGTGAGAACTCACTCACTATTGTGATGACAGTACCAAGGGGGAAATCCGCCCACGTGATCAAATCACCTCCCACCAGGCCCCAGGTCCAATATTGGGGTTTACGACTGAACATGAGATTTGGGTGGGGACAGGATCCAAACCATATCACACACACACAGATTGACACTGCTAGGGGGAAAAAGCTGAAAGAATAATGTAAGGGGCAATATTATCAACAGATAATTTTGTTGAGTCCTTTAATGGCTGCTTATTATGTTCTGGGCATGTTGTTTCATAAAGATTTTTCCCACTGGGTCCTCAGAACAGTCCTATAAGCTACTAATTTTTGAACGAGGTGAAATTCACATAAAAGTAACCATTTTAAAGTGAAAAAAAGCAGAGACGTTTAATACATTTACTGTGTTGTACAATCATCCCTACTATCTCATTCCAGAATATTTTCATCATCCCAGAAGGAAACCCCATACAACAGTTGATTCTCATTCCCCTCTCCCTCTGTCCCTGCTTTCTGTCTCTGTGGATTTACCTAGTCTCGACTTTTGTGTCTGGCATTTTTCCCTTCACATATGTTTTTGAGGTTCTTCATGTTCTACGTGTATTGGTACTTCCTTTTTTATGGCTGAATAGTATTCTATTGTGTGTATAGATCACAGTTTGTTTATCCACTCATGCATTGATGGGCAGGTAAGCTACTCTTTTCTTTTCTTTTTTGACATGGAGTCCCGCTCTGTGTCCCACGCTGGAGTGCAGTGTGCGAACTCGGCTCACTGCAAGCCTTGCCTCCTGGGTTCACACCATTCTCCTGCCTCAGCTTCCTGAGTAGCTGGGACTACAGGTGCCCACCAGCATGCCCGGCTAATTTTTTGTATTTTTAGTAGAGACGGGGTTTCACCATGTTAGCCAGACTGGTCTCGATCTTCTGACCTCGTGATCTGCCCTCCTCGGCCTCCCAAAGTGCTGGCATTACAGGCGTGAGCCACCGCACCCAGCCATAAGCTACTCTTATACTATTATTATTTCCATTTTCAGACAAAGGAACTTAGGCTCACAGAGGTTAAATAACCTGACCAAGTTCACTCAGTGAGCTGGAATATAAACCAGTGTTTAATTTACGAGCCTGTGTTTTTAATCAGTACAACACACATTTATCAAAAGTTTAGTAAGACACAAAAAATATAGGCCCTGGAGCTATTAGCATTGTGTTGGCATCTATGTTTATCTTTGCGTGTGTTGGTAAAGGAAAAGAGGTCTCCTCTTTCCCCGCATTGCCCCCTTCCTTGATTCCATTCCTTCCTGCCTTTAGGAGAACTGACAGTGTCTCTATAGCATCCTAAAATTACCCCCTTTCTTATCTCTGTCTTTAAAATTATTTCTCTCATATCTTGGGCAGAAGTGGAGAGGCACAAACCCTCCACTGTTCTCTCTTCTGCAGGGCCAAATATCTCAGCAGAGTGACCTCAATTTCTTTTATGCCCACTTGTGCCTAGTACCCACTATCCTTTCTCTCCTGAATTGTCAAGGAGCCCTCAGGCTCAGCAAGAGTCCTGGGTCTGCCTCTTTCCAACTGTGTGCAATGGGGTAATGACAGTGTGCTCCTCACAGAGCTGTGAAGATTGTTCCATGAGGATGGAGCGGATGCACGGGAATGGTGCGTGGCCACATTAAATATTTAATAATGAGAACTTGTAAGGTCAGTCCTGGACATTGAGAAGCTCAATCAAGAGATCATGTTGCCATTTTTAGCACCTAGGCCATATATCTATGTAAGGATAAACTAGATGCCTGCAATGGCCTGAATGTTTATTCTCCCATGAATCCATATGTTGAAATCCTTACCCCTAAGGTGATGGTATTAGGAGGTGGGATCTTTGGGAGGTGTTTAGGTCATGGGGGCAGAGCCCTCATCAATGAGATGAATGCCCTTATAAAAGAGACCAGAGACAGACTCTTTGCCCCTTTCCCTGTAAGGACACTGAAAGGATGACTATCTATGAACTGAAACAGGGCCCTCACCAGACTCCAAATCTTCTGGCAGCTTGATCTTGGACTTCCCAGCCTCCAGAACTGTGAGAATTAGTATCTGTTGTTTATAAGCCACCCAGTCTAAGGTGTTTTGTTATAGCAGCTTGAGAGGACTATGACAATGCCATGATAAACTTTTTGATATTTTATAGGCTTCAGCCTCATTTGGGCAAGACTTAAAAATTTTTTTTTAAGTCCTTCTGTGCTGATAAATCAGGAACACTGCAGAAATTGCTGCCATAGCTAAATCCTTAGACATCTTCACATCAATTACAGTTGTAAAAACAGGTGAAAAGAAGGCTGATGGACATATTTCTACTGTCTTGAACACTCACCAGCGACTGCAAATATGTCTTACCAAATGCGTAAGAAATACACCTAATGTTACAGCAACTCTGAAACAGTGCTTTATTGTTAGAACGTTCAACTCCAAGGCAGCCAGGGACAAACGCACCTCCAAGCAGTCATCAGGCTTGACAGAAACAGACCTGATATGATGCCTGTTTTAAATGTACAGTCACGTGTTACTCAACAACAGGGACACGTTCTGAAAAATGCATTAGGCGATTTCATCATCGTGTAAACAACACAGGGTGCACTTGCACAAACCTGGATAATATAGACTACTATAAACCTAGGCTATATGGTGTAGCTACTGCTTCTGGGTTACAACCTGTATACCATTTTACTGTCCTGGATATTGCAGGCAATAGTAACATAATGGTAAGTATTTGTGCATCTAAACACGGAAAAGGTACAGTAAAAATATGGTATAAAAGATCAAAAATGGTTCACCAGTATGGGGCATTTACCATAAATGGAGCTTGCAGGACTGAAAGCTGCTCTGTGTGAGTCAGTGAATGAGTGGGTGGTGAGTGGATGTGAAGGCTTAGGACATTAAACACTGCTCTAGACTTCATAAATACTAGACACTTAGGCTATAGTATGTTTATAAAAATATTTTTCTTTTTCTTTTTTTTTTTTGAGACGTGTTCTCGTCTGTCGACCAGGCTGGAGTGCAGTGATGGGATCTCAGCTCACTGCAGCCTCTGACTCCTGAGTTCAAGTGATTCTCCTGCCTCAGCCTCCCAAGTAACTGGAATTACAGGCACCCGCCAGCATGCCTGGCTAATTTTTGTATTTTTAGTAGAGATGAGGTTTGGCCATGTTGGCCAGGCTGGTCTCGAACTCCTGACCTCAGATGGTTCCCTCCACCTTGGCCTCCCAAAGTGCTGGGATTACAGGTATAAGCCACCACCCCCCGGCCTTTTTCTTTTTTAAATAATAAATTAACTGTAGCTTACTATTACTTCTTACTTTCTAAACTTTTTAATTTTTAATTTTTTGACTCTTTTGTAATAACACTTAGCTTAAAACACAAATACATTACACAGCTATACAAAATATTTTCATTATATCCTTATTCTAGAAGCTTTTTTCTATTTTTAAGGATTTTTTTTTCTTTTTAAACTTTCTTGCTAAAAACTAAGATACAACACACAGAATAATCAATATCACTGTCTTCTACCTCTACCTCTTGTCCCACTGGAAGGTCTTCAGGGGCAACAATAACATACATGGAGCTCTCATCTCCTACAATAACAATGCCTGTGTTTTTTGGAATATCTCCTGAAGGACCTTACTAAGGCTGCTTTATAGTTATTTTTAAAAAATAAGTAGAAGAAGAACACTCTAAAATAATGATTTAAAAGAATAGTGTAGTAAATTTCATAAACCAGAAATGTCATTTTTTATCATTATCAAGTATTATATATTGTGCATAATTGTATGTGCTACACTTTTAGACCACTGGCAACACAGTAGGTTTGTTTACACCAGCATCACCACAAACATGTGAGTAATGTCTTGTGCTATGACATTATGACTGCTATGATGTCAGTTGGTGATAGGAATTTTCAGCTCCATTATCATCTTTTGGGGCCACCATTGTATATATGGTCCATGGTCCATCATTGATGGAAAAACAGTTTTGCAGCACATGACTGTATTTTGAAAGGTTTCAAAAGTATCTCATAGCATACCAATTTTATTCAATTTGCCTTGTACACCTATTCCAATTAATAGGTAATAGGAATTGGAAAAGATCATTTTGGATTAGTGAGAACATTGCTCTCAAGAAAATGTTATCCTTGAGCTGGGCAATGATTTTTAAAATATGACCCCAAAAGCACAGGCAATGAAAGCAAAAATAAAACATGGGGTTACTTCAACTAAAAAGCTTTTGCACAGCTAAGGAAACACTCAACAGAATGAAAAGACAATCTGTGGAATGGGAGAAAATATTTGCAAACCATACATCTGAAAAGGGGCTAGTATCCAAAATATATAAGGAACTCAACTCAATATCAATAATAAAAAAAAATTTAAAAATGGACAAAGGAACTAAATAGACATTTCTCAAAAGGTATATGAAAAAAATGCTTAACATCACTAATCACCAGGAAAATTCAAATTAAAACCACAGAGAGACATTACGTCACACCTTTTAGAATGGCCATTATCTAAAAAACAAAACGTAAGTGTTGTTGAGGATATGGAAAAAAGGGAACTATCACACACTCTTGGTGGGAATGTAAATTAGTACAATCATTGTGGAAAACAGAATGGAGGTTTCTCAAAAAATTAAAAACAGAATTGCCATATGATCCAGCAATCCCACTACTGGTTATATATCCAAAGGAAATGAAATCAGTATATCGAAGAGGTCTCTGCACACCCATGTTTACTGCAGCATTGTTCACAATGGCCAAGACATGGAATCAACCTGAGTATCCATCAACAAGTGAATGAAGAAAATGTATATACAGAGAGGAATATTATTCAGTCATAAAAAAGAAGGAAATCCTGTCATTTGTGACAACATGGATGAACCTGGAGGAAATTATGTTAGGTAAAATAAGCCAGTCACAGATGCCACATGATCTCATTCATATGTGGAATATTAAAAAGTCAGTCTCAGAGAAGTAGAGAGTAGAATGGTGGTTACTAGCTGCTGAGGTGGTTTGGGGGGAGGTTGGGGAGATGTTGGTCAAAAGATAAAAAGTTTCAGCCAGTCAGGAGGAATAAATTCGAGAGATGTATTGTATACTATGGTAACTATAGTTAACATACTGTATTCTTGAAAATTGCTGAATGGATATAAAGTGTTCTTAGTGCAAAGATGATGACTATGTGAGATAGTATGTTATGTGTGGTGACATGTTACCATATGAGGTATGTGTGTTAATATGTTACTATGTGAGGTAATGTGTGTGGTGATATGTTACCATATGAGGTAGTATATGTGTTAATATGTTACTATGTGAGGTAATGTGTGTGGTAATATGTTACTATGTGAGTTAGTACATTGATTAGCTAGATTTAGTCATTCCATAGTGAATATATACTTCAAAACATCATGTTGTACAGGATAAATCTATACAATTTTATCTGTTGATTTAAAATTTATTTATTTATTTATTTATTGAGATAGAGTCTCGCTCTGTTGCCCAGGCTGGAGTGCAGTGGGATAATCTCGGTTCACTGCAACCTCTGCCTTCTAGGTTCAAGCGATTCTCCTGCCTCAGCCTCGCGAGTAGCTGGAACTACAGGTGTGCACCACCACACCCAGCTAATTTTGCATTTTTAGTAGAGATGGGGTTTCACCATGTTGGCCAGGCTGGTCTCAAACTCCTGACCTCAGGTGATCCCCACACCTTGGCCTCTCAAAATGCTGGGATTACAGGTGTGAGCCATGCCTGGCCTAAATTTTTTTTTAAAGAAAATATGCTATTTTGAAGAAAATATGTATGATGACATGTTACTATATGATGTATATGGTGATATGTTACTATGTGAGGTAATATGTATAGTAATATGTTACTATGTGAGGTATTGTGTGTGGTGATATGTTACTATGTGAAGTAGTATGTTACTATGATGTGAGGTAGTAAATTAATTAGCTAGATTTAGTCATTCCACAGTGAATATATACTTCAAAGCATCATATTGTACAGGATAAATCTCTACAAGTTAAATCTATTTAAATCTAAAAAGATAAATCTATTTAATTTTGTTTTTAAAAAAGAAAATATTACGCTGTTTTGAAGAAAACAGGCACATTTCTAAAACTGACTAATCAAAAACTATTAGCACTGCAAAGGGCTCTAAGCACAAAAGCGGTCAGTTATTTTTTTGATAAATAGTATACATTTCTTATTCAATAAAACCTTCTGAAATGCTACTCAGAGGCCAAGTAAAGCTGCAGCCTAATTTCCTAAGACTTCAATCTTTGCTTTGTTCCTGAATTTTCTCTTGCCTACTTCCAGTCCCAGAGAATGGGGTGCAGGGAGGAGGGTGGAGGAGGGTAGAAGAGGGGACAGAGGAGGGATGCGAGGTCAAGGGTGTGGGGGAGAAGAGCAGGACCGATAATGCAGAGCAGCTAATTCCTGAAAACTATAAAGTGGGTGGCTTTGAAGGCCTGAAGGGCTGTGCCCAGGTGTGCAATGGAGAAAGGGGTTTGCCAGCTCTTTGCTGGGCACCAGGGATCTAGGGTTCTGAGAGGAGTCCCTTATCCAAGGTGGACCCGGACAAGGAGATAACGAAAACATAGGTAGCATCCAACAGCATGCAGCACTATGGCATGCCAGCAGCCGTGCTGGGCGTTTTACAGATCTCTTTCAGGCTCAGAACAACCTTGCACATGAGGCGCTGTTTTCAGGCCCATTTTAGGGATGAGAAAACCGAGGTGATTAAGAGATTTACGAACTTTGCAGGCTGGGCGTGGTGGCACACGCTTGTCATCTCAGCACTTTGGGAGGCCAAGATGGGCAGATCACCTGAGATCAGGAGGTCAAGATCAGCCTGGCCAACCAACATGGTGAAACTCCCTCTCTACTAAAAATACAAAAATTAGCCAGGCGTGGTGGCGTGCACCTGTAATCCCAGCTAATTGGGAGGCTGAGGTGGGAGAATTGCTTGAACCCAAGAGGCGGAGGTTGCAGTGAGCTGAGATCACGCCACTGCACTCCAGCCTGGGCGACAGAGCGAGAATCCTTCTGAAAAAAAAGAAAAACTTGTTCGAGGTTCCAGAGCTAGTGGGAGATTGCACATTTGAGAAGGGTTAACCCACTTCTTGCCTTGCTTTCCCCATCCACTGGGGGGAAATCTCCTACCAGCGCCCTGCTTGTGTGAGGGGCAGAGCTCCAGTAGAGCTCCAGAGGGAATTTCTCACCCCTACAGCCAGATAGTGTTTACAATCAGATTGAATTAAATTTAAATAGTTTTTAAAAAGTGACCTTAATAATCAACAGGCAAAAGTGGCTCTGGGTGAAACAAAAGAAACTAGAGACCCCGTTGGTTGAGTTTGTAGTATTGTCTAGATTTCCTATATTATTGTTTGTTAGACAATTCTCTTTTATTTATTTATTTATTTTTATTTATTTATTCATTATTGAGATGGAGTCTTGCTCTGTTGCCCAGGCTGGAGTGCAGTGGCACGATCTCGGCTCAATGCAACCTCCACCTCCCAGGTTCAAGTGATTCTCCCTGCCTCAGCCTCCCCAGTAGCTGGGATTACAGGCACCCACCACCACGCCTGGCTAATTTTTTGTATTTTTAGTAGAGACAGGGTTTCGCCATGTTGGCCAGACTGGTCTCGAACTCCTGACCTCAGGTGATCCGCCCACCTCAGCCTCCCAAAGTGCTGGGATTACAGGCGTGAGCCACCGCACACGGCCATATCTGATAATTTTAAAAAATATATGTAAGTGCTTCTCCTGTGCTTATTGGCAGAGGTGGGAACAGACACTGGTCCCCTGGTTTCCATTTAAGTATTTCCCCCTGGAACCTGGATTTCTATCATGTCCTGAGTTCACGGCATTTCTGCCTGGCTCAGACCGAACACAATCCACACAAGTCTACTTCCACGTCCACAAAACTCCAGCTGATTCCTTGGCATTTTTTTTTTAAACAAAATACTTTTCATTATTCTGCTTAAAAAGCCTGTTAATATGGCTTATTTTCTTTTTGTACTTGGATAAGCTTAAAATGACTGCTTCACCAGCTTTTCCTTGGAAGTTCCCCACAGCAAGGGAAACTGACTGTGCTCACGGGTGTGGGGGTGGTAGAGTTTCGATATTTGTCCTTGCCCAAATCTCATGTTGAACTGGAGTCCCCAGTGTTGGAGGTGGGGTCTGGTTGGAGGTGACTGGATCACAGGGGCAGATTTCTCACGCATGGTTTAGCACCATCATCTTGGCACTGTCCCCATGATAGTGAGTGAGTTCTCATGAGATCCGGGGCCATTTAAAAGTGTGTGGTATTTCCCTGCTCTCTCTCTTGCTCCTGCTCCCCCTCTGCCATGATGGTACACTCCCTGAGGCCTTTCCAGAAACTGAGCAGATGCCTGTGTCATGCTTCCTGTACAGCCTGCAGAACCATGACTCAATGAAACCTCTTTTCTTTATAAATTACCCAGACTCAGATATTTCTTTTTCTTTCTTTCTTTCTTTTTTTGAGATGGAGTCTCGCTGTTCCTCAGGCTGGAGCGCAGTGGCACAATCTCGGCTCACTGCAACCTCCGCCTCCTGGTTTCAAGTGTTTCTCCTGCCTCAGCCTCCTGAGTAGCTGGGATTACAGGTGTGTGCCACCATGCCTGGCTAATTCTTTTGTATTTTTAGTAGAGATGGGGTTTCACTATGTTGGTCAGGCTTGTCTCGAACTGCTGACCTCGTGATCCTCCCACCTTGGCCTCTCAAAGTGCTGGGATTACATGCTTGAGCCACCATACCCAGCCTCAGGTATTTCGTTATAGCAATGCAAGAATGGACCAATACAAGGGGTGAGCCAGAAACTCCATTCCCAGCCCATTATTTCTGTAAAGTGACATCATTTATCTTAAAACTTCAGGTCATGTCTGACAGGTCACTTGACACTAACGATGACAGCTAAAACTTACTGAATTCTTCCTTGCCAAGTACCTGGGTTATATAGGTGCTTTACATTTGTTACCCTGTGAAATGTTCATAGCAGCTGTATGAAGCAGTTACTAATATTTTGTCCTCATTTTACAAGTGAAAAGACTGAAGTACAGAGAGGGCAAGTAACGAGGCCAAAGTCACAGCTGGCAAGGAGAGAGCCTGGATTCAACGTGGACAGCTAGCTTTAGAGCCTAGGCCGTTAACTTCTATGCTCTAGTATTTTCACATTATACTGGGGGTGGGATAGTCTAAAACAGTGGCCCTTGGTGGGGGGCAATTTGGCACCCCCAATCCTGCCAGGATAGTAGGCAATTCTGAAGACATTTGTGGTGTGTGTGCTACTGGCATACTGGACAAAGGGACAAAGGTGTGTGTGAGCTTGTGTTTGTGTGTGCTACTGGCATCTGGTGGGTAGAGGCCAAGGATGATGGTAAACACACCACATTATACAGGACAGCCTCCACACCAAAGAATTATTCAGCCCCAAATGCCAATAGCACCAAGGTTAGGTAACCCTAGTGTGAAAGCGTTTTAAACTGCTTGCTAGCTAAATTCCTTCATTTTCTTGTTAAACCTTCTCCAAGAAACACCATGTTATCCTGTGGCTTGTGGTTGTATGCCTCTGACATCACAATTTTGAAAGCCCTTTTGAGAATTTTGGCATCAAAGTGTGTGCAAGTGACAAAATCTCGTGAGGTCTTCTGATGTCCTGAGGTTTAAGGGCAGGAAATTTTTTGTCCACCTACCTTCTCTGACCGGACGGTGAACAACAAATGGAGTTTTCCTTCTTTAGCCACCAATGGCAAAAGGACGGAGTATTTGTTATATGGCAAGTGAGAATATTTGCCTCCAATATCATACTTTCTTAAGCGGGCCTTAGCATCATCTAGCAAACTGTTTCTAAAATAAAAACAAACCAGACAGACATTTTAGCAAGCAGAGTTATGGTAAAAAGCTTATAGTCCTGCCTCTGTTTCTGCTTTGTTGTGTATTTAGGAGTTTGCCATTTCTGACTCTCTGTGTATTTTTCAATAACACGACAGAAATGATACTATCTAAATTGCGTGGTTGTTCGCAAGATGAAAATGACAAAAAAACCTTCTAAGCACACAGTTTAGTACACAGGTTCTCTTTGAAACATAAAGTATGGTAAAATGTTTTTTCAATAATGCAACAGTTGAATTTTGAAACCCATAATTATATTCAGAGAAGACAGGTTTGATGAAAAAGTCATTGTTAAGGTTAGAAGGTTAGAAGACTACCTTCTGTTAAGCTGGCCCTTATGTTCTCAAACTCTTATGTCTTCAACTGCTTATAATAGTGGTTCCCAAGCTTTAGCAGCAACAGAATCACCTGGAGCGCTGGCTGTCACATAGACTGCGAGGTTCAGTCCCAGACTGTGACTCAGTAACTCTGGTGTAGGGCCTGAGAATTAGCATTTGTATCAAACTCCCTCATGACAGCGTTACTGACGCTGTGGACAGGGGAACACATTCTGAGAACAATTTCCCAATAATATGCAAGCATTTGGATTTAAAACCGCAAATGGTGCCCTTCCTATGTGGACTTGTTTTGGTCCTTTTGACAGGTGTGTTCTACTGCTAGTTTGTATAGTGGGTTGAACAGTATCCCCTCACCCCTGAAATTCATGTCTACCCCAAACTTCAGAGTGTGACTTTATTCAGAAATAGGATCTTTTCAGATGTAATTAAAGTGAGCTCTAAATCCAATGACTGTTGTCCTGATAAGAAGCAGAAACGAGCCCAGTGCAGCGGCTCACGCCTGTAATCCCAACACTGGGAGGTTGAGGCGGGAGAATTGCTTGGGCCCAGGAGTTTGAAACCAGCCTGGTCAACATGGTAAGACCCTGTCTCTACAAAAGAAAAAAAAAAAAAGCATAAATTAGCTTAGGCATGGGGCATGCAACTGTATTCCCAGCTACTTGGAAGGCGGAAGTGGGAGGATCACTTGAGCCCCAGAGTTCAAGGCTGCAGTGAGCCATGATTGCACCACTGCACTCCGGCCTGGGTGACAGAGTGAGACCTGACTCAAAAATAAAATAAAATAAAAGAAGAAAAAACATGGAGAGATGCACACAGGGAAGAAGACCATGTGAAGATGGCGGCAGAGGTTGAAGTGATGCTGCTGTGAGCCAAGGAATGCCAGAAACCACCAGAAACTGGAAGAGGCAAGGAAAGGTCACCCCCAGAGCCTTCTAAGGGAGTGAGGCCCTGCCGATACCTTGATTTTGGACTTCCAGGCTTCATAGCCATGAGAGACCATTTCTATTGTTTTAAAACACCCAGTGTGTGGTACTCTGTTATGGCAGCCCTAGAAAAGGAACAGCTGATTTTACTTTTTCTGTGGGAAGGCAGCTTTGCATAGTGGGCAGAATCAGCTATTTAAGATACCCAGAATTGGCTTCAAATGTATATAGGAGGCCTGGTACAGTGGCTCATGCCTGTAATCCCGGCACTTTGGGAGACTGAGGAAGGTGAATCACTTGAAGTCAGGAGTTCGAGACCAGCCTGGCCAACATGGTAAAACCCCACCTCTACTAAACATACAAAAATTAGCCGGGCATCGTGGCACATGCCTGTAATCCCAGCTACTCAGAAGGTTGAGGCAGGAGAATCGCTTGAACCCAGGAGGCAGAGGCTGCAGTGAGCCGAGATTGCCTACTGCACTGTAGCCAGGGCGGCAGAGTGAGACTCTGTCTCAAAAAAAAAAAAAAAAAAGTGTATACAAATGACTTCTCTGAGTTTCATCTTCATTTGTGTCAGGCTTGAGGATATTTAAGAAGATTAAATGATGCAGTTCATATACTGTGGCTGGCACACAGCTGGTGCTCAGGGAATGGTAACCACTGTCATAAATCTCCCCATCATTAGATAAGCAGTTGTTTGCAGGAGGTATTTGCTATTTTTTGCCTCTTTCTAGGTGGCAGGGTGCTCACCAGATGTGGTTGGGTAACGGCAGTGTATTTCAAAGACCAAATGGCCTGAAAAAAATCAGTGAATGCTGGCACAGGGATTGCACAGTGCATCTGGATGCACGCAGGCCAGCCTCCAGAAAAGGAAACTGTGGGCTGGTGGCTTTTAACCACCCGGAAACCACAGAACTGACCAGACAAACCAGCCAAAGTAAAAGGCTGCAAAAACGTTATCTGTCCACTTTAGGGGCTGGCCGCTGGAATAATCACCAAGGTATCAACAGCAGTAGCAGCCACCCCGTTCTGAGCATGGTCTCAATTTTGACGTTTCTCATTTTATCCTCACAACAGCCCGGCAAGTGATCACAGGGTCACCTCCAGGCTCAGAGAGTTTACGAAACTGACAGACCCAAGGTCACAACTGAAAGTAGCCACCGGGGGACTTGAATCCGGGGCTGCCTGCTGCGGGTCTGTGCCACTGTCGGGGGTCCTGGGGTCCAACTCTGGAGACGCGGATTGCAGAACAGCCAAGCCGGCTGGGAAGGGGAGCAGCGTGTATGTAAACCATACTGGCTTAAGCCGGCTCTGTTCCTGGCCAGAGCAGTGCAAAGGTTCGGGGACCCTGCGGGTTGCTGGAGGCGAGTGCTCCCCCATCCGGCGCTCGCAGGTGGACTGGCGGGAGCTGCAAAATCAGTCCCGGCCAAAAGGCCCCGGTGGCCTCCGCTACGATCAAGGCCGGGCCTGACCAAGCTCGGGGTGCCAGGGCCCGGAAAGCCTTTACCTGACTGGCTCCTCGGGAAGACCAAGTCGTGACATTGCCCTGGGGAATGTTTGTTTCCGGGCGGACTCCTCGGAGCTGCTCGGTCGGTCGCGCTTGCGCAGAGCAGCTCTGGGCTTGGGAGCGGCCTAAAGCCAGAGAGAGGGGCGGGGCTTAGAGCACGAGGCGGGGTGGTGTCTGGGGCGGAGACAGGGGGCGGGGCGGTGCGAGATCTGGGATCGGAGGCCGGGATCGGGGCGGGGCGGGGCTTATAGCCAGAGGCGGGACTTGAGGTGGGGAGAGGCGCGGGGCGGGACTTAGGGCCGGGTGTTCCTGGTTGCTCAAAGCAGTTTCTGCCGGGCTCCTTGGGCTTCTATGGAAGCAAGAGGTATAGGAGGAGTTGTGGAATTTAGAGCTGGAAGAGTTAAAAAAAAAAAAAATACAGTGTTGGTGAGGTGATAATATTTTACACTCGCATTCGCTGTTGCTGGAAGGTTAAGGTGATTCATTCAACTTTTTGGAACTGCTGTCAGCACCTGTTCACCGACCACCTGTATGCACTGGGTGCAGATCCCACAGCTAGCGAAAAGACACGTGGAGCTCACAGTCAAATGGTAGAAACATAAATTAATCACACAGGGCTGGATGCAGTGGCATATGCTTGTAATTCCAACACTTTGGGAGGCCAAGAGGGGAGGATCACTTGAATCCAGGAGTTCGAGCCCAGCCTGGGCAACATGGCGAAACCCCATCTCTACAAAATAAAAATAAAAAATTAGCCAGGCGTGGTGGCACACACCTGTGGTCCCAGCTACTCAAGAGGCTGAGGTGGGAGGATCGCTTGAGCCCAGGAGGTCGAAGCTGCAGTGAGCCGTGATAGCACCACTGCACTCCAGCCTGACAGAGGTAGACCGTCTCAAAAATAAGAAGAAGAAGATAAGAAGTTTTTAATGCAAAAAAAAAAAAAAAAAAAAATCACACTGATAAAGCAGTGGCCTTTGGTCCTTCTAGAGCGTGTGAAGGAGAAATGTGACCCAATTAGGAGACAGAAGAGGCTTGGTAGAGGAAATAGAAGTGCAGCTCATCTTGAAAGCAGTAGTTCTCAAAGTGTGGTCCTCAGACCAGCAGAATCAGGATCACTTTGGTCCTGTTAAAAATGTGGACTCTGGGCCAGGCGCTGTGGCTCACACCTGTAATCCCAGCACTTTGGGAGGCCAAGTCGGGTGGATCACCTAAGGTCAGGAGTTTGAGACCAGCTTGGCCAACATGGTGAAACCCCATCTCTACTAAAAAAACAAAAATTAGCCAGTGGCAGGCGCCTGTAATCTCAGCTACTAGGAGGCTGAGGCAGGAGAATCGCTTGAACCTGGGAGGCGGAGTTTGCAGTGGGCCGAGATCGCGCCATTGCACTCCAGCCTGGGCAAAAAAAAGCGAAACTCTGTCTCAAAAACAAAACAAAACAAAACAACAACAACAACAACAACAAAAACCAAGAAAGAAAGAAAGGAAAGAAAGAAAAGAGAAAAGAAAAGAAAAGAAAAAAGACGAAAAGAAAAGAAAAGAAAAGAAAAGGTGGACTTTGGGGCCCATGTCACAACTGCTGAATCAGAAGCCAGGTGTCAGGCCCAGTGATCTGTGCTGTAAGGGGATTCTGATGCTCTGTGCGGGATAGAGGACATAAATGAGGAAAAAGGCAAGGGAGAGTGTTCAAGGAAGAGGGCAAAGTTTGTGCAAAGACAGCAGAAAGGGGCTGGAGAACAGTGTGTGTGAGGGAGCCTGGTGCGAGCTGAGAATCCAGGGGTCAGTGTAGGGCTGACTTCTCCCTTACAGGCACAGGACACACACAGTAATTTTAGGGACCTGTGAAAATGTTTTAATTGTAATTTCTTTTTAAATTAGAAGAAGAAAAGGTATGTAATAAAAGCAATATATAATAATGAATCCAGCTTGGATGATAGTCATTTTATGAATTCAGTCATAAAATATTCACTTTAAAATTATTTTATGGAAGAAGGGGTGCACAAAAACAAAGTAGCTAGGGCCCATGAAAGTAATATTGTGGCTGGCCCTAGGTCAGTGGGGCAGTTTGTGAAATTATTAATGAAATGAAATATTAATGAAATATCGCTGTGATATTTACAACATCCAGTGTTTACACACCGTGACATCAATGAAATATCGATGTGATATTTATAATATCCAGTGTTTACACACTGTGATATTAATAAAATATGGCTGATATTTGTAATATACAATGTTTACACACCGTGATATTAATATAATATCGCTGTGATATTTATAATACCCAGTGTTTCCACACTGTGATATCAATGAAATGTCTCTGTGATATTTGTAATATCAAGTGTTGATGCACCATAACATCAATGAAATATCACAGATATTTACAACATCCAGTGTTTACACACCATGACCTCAATGAAATATCAATATGATATTTATAATATCCAGTGTGTACACACCGTGATATTAATAAAATATGGCTGTGATATTTGTAATATACAGTGTTTACACACCGTGATATTAAGCAAACATCGCTGTGATATTTATAGTATCCAGTGTTTACACATCGTGATATAAATGAAATATCGCTGTGATGTTTATAATATCCAAGGTTTACAAACTGTGATACCGATGAAACATCGCTGTGATATTTATAATACCCGATGTTTACACAAAGTGTTTACACACTATGATGTTAAATATCGTTGTGATTTTTATAATATCCCGTGTGAAATTAATGAAATATCACTGTGACACTCATAATATCCAGTGTTTACACAGTGCTTACACGCTGTTACGTTAATGAAATATCACTGTGATATTCATAATATCCAGTATTTACACACAGTGCTTACGCACTGTGACATTAACGAAATATCGCTGTGATATTCATAATATCCAGTGTTTCCACACAGTGCTTACACACTGCGATATTAATAAAATATCGCTATGATATTCATAATATCCAGTGTTTGCACACAGTGCTTACACACTGTGACATTAATGAAATATCGCTGTGATTTTCATAATATCCATTGTTTACACACAGTGTTTGCACACCGTGATATTAATGAAATGTTGTGATATTTCTAATATCCAGTGTTCACACATAGTGTTTACACGCCATGATATTAATGAAATATCGATGCAATATTTATAATATCTAGTGTTTACACATCATGATATTAAGGAAATATCGGTGTTATATTTATAATATCCAGTGTTTACACACCGTGATACTAATGAAATATCGCTGTGATATTCATAATATCCAGTGTTTACACACAGTGCTTACACACTGTGACATCACTGAAATATTGCTGTGATATTTACGATATCCTGTGTTTACACACTCTGATATTAGTGAAATATCACTGTGATATTGACAACATCCAGAGTTTATACACTGTGATATCAGTGAAATATCGCTGTGATATTTACAATATCCAGTGTTTACACACTGTAATATCAGTGAAATATTGCTGTGATATTTACAGTATCAAGTTTACACACTGTGATACCAGCAAAATATTGCTCTGATATTTACAATATCCTGTGATTACACACTGGTTACACACTGTGATATCGGCGAAATATCACTGTGATATTTACAATTTCCAGTGGTTACACACTGTGATATTGGCAAAACATCGCTGTGATATTTCCAATATCCACTAGTAACACGTTGTGATATTGGTGAAACATCACTGTGATATTTACAATACCCAGTGGTTACACACTGTGATATCAGCGAAATATCGCTGTGATATTTATAATATCCAGTGTTTACACACAGGGCTTACATGCTGTGATATTAAAGAAATATCGCTCTAATATTTATAATATCCGGTGGTTACACACTGTGATACTAGTGAAATATCACCCTGATAATTATCATCTCCAGTGGTTACACACTGTAATACTGGTGAAATATCATTCTGATATGTATAATATCCAGTGTTTACACAAAGTGTTTACACGCTGTGATACTAGTGAAATACCGCTCTGATACTTATAGTATCCAGTGTTTACACACAGTAATACTAGGGAAATTTCGGTCTGATATTTATAGTGTCCACTTTTTACACACTGTGATACAAGGGAAATTTCGCTCTGATATTTGTAATATCTAGTGTTTATACACTGCGACATTAGTAAAATTTCTCTCTGATATTACTAATATCCAGTATTTACATACTGAGACATTAGTGAAATTTCACCCTGATATTTATAATATACAGCGTTTACACACTGTAACATTAGTGAAATATCGCTCTGATATTTATAATATCCAGAGTTTACACACAGGGTTTACACACTGTGACACTAGTGAAATATCAGTCTGATACATATAATTTCCAGTGTTTACACAAAGTGTTTACACACTGTGATACTAGGAAAATTTGACTCTGATATTTATAGTATCCAGGGCTTACACACTGTGATACAAGGAAAATTTTGTTCTGATATTTATAGTATCCAGGGTTTACACACTGTGATACTAGGAAAATTTTGTTCTGATATTTATAGTGTCCAGGGTTTACACACTGTGATACTGGGGAAATTTAGCTCTGATATTTATAAAATCCAGGGTTTACACACTGTGATACCAGGGAATTTTCGGTCTCATATTTAGAGTATCCAGGATTTACACATTGTGATACTAGGGAAATTTTGCACTGATATTTATAGTATCCACGATGTACACACTGTGATTTTAGGGAAATTTCGCTCTGATATTTATTGTATCCAGGGTTTACAAACTGTGATATTAATGAATATTGCTCTGATGAGGATACATGTAATATCCAGGGTTTACACGCTGTGATATTAATGAAATATCGCTCTGATGATAATAATTGTAATATCCAGTGTTTACACACTGTAGTATTCATGAAATATTGCTCTGATGATACTTGTAATATCCAATATTGACACACTATGATATTAACAAAATATCACTCTGATGATACTTGTAATATCCAGTGTTTACACACAGTGATATATATGAAATATCAGTGTGATGATATTTACAATATCCACTGTTTACACACTGTGATATTAATGAAATATTTCTCTGATGGTATTTATAATATTCAGGGTTTACACACAGTGATATTAATGAAATATCTCTCTGATGATGTTTATAATATTCAGTGAGTGAAATATCACTCTGATATTTATAATATCCGGTGTTTACACACTGTGATATTAATGAAATATGGCTCTGATATTTATAATATCCAGTGTTTACACACTGTGATATTAATGAAATATTGCTCTGAGATGTATAATATTCAGTATTCACACACTGTGATAGTAATGAAATATGGCTCTGATATTTATAATATCCAGTGTTTACACACTGTGATAGTAATAAAATATCGCCATGATATTTATAATGGCAGTGGTGTACACACTGTGATGTTTATGAAATATCGCTCTGATAATTATAACATCCAGTGCTTATACACTAAAATATTAATGAAATGTCACTCTGATATTTATAATATTCAGTGTTTAGACACAGTGTTTACACACTGGGATATTAATGACATCTTGCTCTAATATTTATCATATCCAGTGTTTAGACACAGTGTTTACACACTATGATATTAATGAAATATCACTGTGATATTTATAATATTCAGTGTTTACACACTATTGATATTAATGAAATATCGCTCTGATATTTATATTATTCAGTGTTTACACACTGTGATATTAAAGAAATGTCACTCTGATATTTGTAATATCAGTGTTTACACAGTGTTTAAACACGTTGATAATAATGAAATATGACTCTGATATTTATAACATCAAGTGTTTACACACTGTAATAGTAATGAAATATCCCCCTCATATTTAAAATATCCAGTGTTTACACACTGTGATATTTATAAAATATTGCTCCGATATTTATAATATCAGTGTTTGCACACACTGTTTACACACTGTTATATTAATGAAATATCACTCTAATACTTATCATATCCAGTATTTACACTCAGTGATTACAAACCATGATATTAATGAAATATTGCTCTCATATTTATAACATACTGTGTTAACACAATGTTTACACACTGTGATATTAATGAAATATCACTCTGATATTTATAATATCCAATGTTTACACACGGCTTCCATGTTATTATGAATAATATCACAGGGTGTACACCCACTGTGATATTAGCCATTATATCAAAGATATTATAAATAATATCACAGTGGATGTACAACCAGGGTGTACACCCATTGGGATATCAGCAGTAAAATCTAAAATATTAGGAGTAACATCACAGGATGTACACCAAGTGTGATAGCAGTACTGTGATATTAGCAGTAATATAAAAGATATAAATAACATCACAGGGTATACACCCATTGTGATATTAGCAGTAATGTCGAATATATTAATACTATCACAGGGGGTACACTCACTGTGATGGTGGCGGTGATATTGAAGGTATAATGAATAATATCACAGGGTGTACACGAACTCTGATATTAGTGGTAATATTGAATATATTATGAACAATATCACAGGGTGTACACCTACTGTGATATTAGTGGTAATATGAAAATGTTATGAATAATATCACGGAGTATACACACAGAGTGTACACCCACTGCGATATTAGCAGCAATATCGAAGATATTATGAATATTTTCACAGTGTGTACACTCAGGGTGTACATCCACTGTGATATTAGCTGTAATATCGAAAATATTATGAATAATATCACGGAGTATGCACACAGGGTGTACACCCACTGTGATTTTAGTGGCAATATCAAAGATATTATGAATATTTTAACAGTGTTTACACACAAGGTGTACATCCACTGCAATATTAGCTGTAATATCGAAAATATTATGAATAATATCACAGGGTGTACACACAGTGAGTACGCCCACTGTGATATTGGGAGTAACCTCTTGAAGAAGATATTAAACATAATATCACAGGGTGGACACACAGGGTGTACCACCCCTGTGCTACTAGTAGGATTTCTCTAAGAAGATGTTAGGCATAATATCTCAGGAAAGGTACACATGGGGGATACACCCCCTGTAATATTAGCAGTAATCTCTCGAAGAAGATATTAGGCATGATATCAGAGGGGATTACAAACAAGGTGTACCCACGCTGTGATATTAACAGTAATCCCTCAAGATATTAGGCATAATATCACAGGGTGTACACCCACTATGTGATACAAGCAGTAATGTCTCAAGGATATTGTGCACAATATAACAGGGTGTACACCCAGAGTGTACACCCACTGTGACAGTAGCAGAAATATCTCTAGGATATTACGCATAATCTCACAAGGTGTACACTCAGGGTGTACACCAACTGTGACAGTAGCAGAAGTATCTCGAATATATTGTGCATAAATTTACAAGGTGTACACAAAGGGTGTACAACCACTGTGAAAGTAGCAAAAATATCTCGAGGATATTATTCATAATCTCACAGGCTGTACACCCACTGTGATATTAGCAGAAAGAGCGTGAGGATATCATGTGTAATATCACAGAGTGTACACGCGTAATATCAATGTACACCCACTGTGATGGATATTAGCGGAAAGATCATGAGAATATCATGCATAATATCACAGGGTGTCCACACAGGGTGTAAACCCACGGTGATACTAGCAGAAAGATAGGGAGTATATCATGCTTAAGACCACAGGGTGTAAACACAGGATGTACACCCACTGTGACTGATATTAGCGGAAAGATAGCAAAAATATCATGCATAATATCACAGAATATACACACAGGGTGTACACCCGCTATGATAGTAACAGAAAGATCCCCAGGATATCATGCATAATATCATAGGGTGAACACCCACTGTGATAGTAGCAGAAAGATCGCGAGGATATCATGCATAGTATCGCAAGGTGTGCATCCAGGGTGTACACCTACTGTGATGTTAGCGGAAAGGTCGCGAGAATGTCATGCATAGCATCGCAAGGTGTGCACATAGGGTGTACACTCACTGTGATATTAGCAGGAAGGTCACGAGGATGTCATGAATAGTATCGCAGGGTGTGCAAACAGGGTGTACACCTACTGTGATATCAGTAGAAAGGTAGGGAAAATGTCATGCATAATATCGCAGGATGTGAACACAGGGTGTACATTCCCTGTGATATTAGCAGAAAGATCGCGAGGATATCACGTATATAATATCACAGGCTGTACAGCCACTGTGATGTTAGCAGAAAGATTGGGAGGATATTATACATGATATTATACATGATATTATACATGATATTATACATGATAATATCACATGTATAATATCACATGGTGTAAAGCCACTGTGATATTAGCAGAAAGATCGCGAGAATATCATGTATAATATCACATGATGTAAAGCCACTGTGATATTAGCAGAAAGATCGGGAGGATATCATGTATAATATCACATGGTGTAAAGCCACTGTGATATTAGCAGAAAGATCGCGAGAATATCATGTATAATATCACATGGTGTAAAGCCACTGTGATATTAGCAGAAAGATCGCGAGAATATCATGTATAATATCACATGGTGTAAAGCCACTGTGATATTAGCAGAAAGATCGGGAGGATATCATGTATAAGATCACATGGTGTAAAGCCACTGTGATATTAGCAGAAAGATCGGGAGGATATCATGTATAATATCACATGGTATAAAGCCACTGTGATATTAGCAGAAAGATCGGGAGGATATCATGTATAATATCACATGGTGTAAAGCCACTGTGATATTAGCAGAAAGATCGGGAGGATATCATGTATAAGATCACATGGTGTAACGCAGGGTGTAACAGTCACTGTGATATTAGCAGAAAGATCGCGAGAATATCATGTCTAATATCACATGGTGTAAAGCCCCTGTGATATTAGCAGAAAGATCGGGAGGATATCATGCATAGTATTGCAGGGTGCGCACCCAGGGCATACACCCACTGTGATATTAGCGGAAAGGTCGCAACGATGTCATGAATAATATCGCAGCGTGTGCACACAGGGTGTACACCCACTGTGATATTAGCAGAAAGGTTGTCAGGATGCCATAGTTAATATCGCAGGTGTACACTTACTGTGACATTAGCAAAAAGATCGTGAGGATACTATGCATAAATATGCATAATATCACAGATTATACACGCAGGGTGTACACACAGGGTGTGCAGCCATTGTGATTGATAGATATTAGTAAAAAGATTGCGAGGGTATCCTGCGTAACATCACAGGGTGTACACACAGAATGTACAGCCACTGTGATTGACTGCTATTAGCGGAAAGATCGCGAGAATAGCATGAGTAACATCACAGGGTGTACACACAGGGTGTACAGCCACTGTGATGGATTGATATTAGCAGAAAGATCTCTAGGATATTCTGCGTAACATCACAGGGTGTACACACAGGGTGCACAGCCACTGTGATTGATTGTTATCAGCGAAAAGTTGGCAAGGATGTCTTGCATAAAATCACAGGGTGTACACACGGTGTACAGCCACTGTGATTGATATTAGCGGAAAGATCACGAGGATATATTGCATAACATCACAGGGTATACCCCAGGGTTTACAGGCACTGTAATTGATTGATATTAGTGGGAAGATCGCAAGGATATCCTGCATAACATCACAAGGTGTACACACAGGATGTAAAGTGACTGCGATTGACATTAGCAAAACGATCGCGAGGATATCCTACATAACATCACAGGGTGCACACACATGGGGTACATGCGCTGCGATATCACCTGGAAAATCTCGAGGATATCATGCATAATATCACAGGGTATACACCCACTGTGATAGTAGCAGAAAGACCGTGAAGATATCATGTGTAATATCAGAGGGTGTACACCCACTGTGATAGCAGAAAGATCGTGAAGATATCATGTATAATATTACTGGGTGTACACCCAAGGTGATAGTAGCAGAAAGATCGCGAGGATATCATGCATAATATCACAAGGTGTACACCCGCTGTGATAGTAGCAGAAAGATCACACGTGGTATTGGAAAAATGACACTGATAGACTTGCTTGATGTGGGGTTGCCACAAACCTTCAATTTTTAAAAGACCCAATATCTGCAAAGGATAATAAACTGCAGTGCAATGAAATAAGTTGTGCCTGTATATCCTGCCTATTAAAAAAATGGTGTAAGGTGATTGAACTGATATTAACGCAGAAGCTAAGTGGGGAAAGTGAACTGTATAAGTGGTAATTGGGGGGGGCGGGGGGGCGGGGTCAGAGGCAGTAATTTTACCAGAAGCCAAGGATAAGGTGCTAAGATGTTCAAAGCATTTACATTTATCTTTGAATTTCCAGGTAGCCAAGGGAAGAAAACAAGAACAATTCTCTCTTTTTCATTCCATGTCTGTGTCCTGTTAAATGTTTCTACCTTGTATTTTCCTTGTAGTGTGTCCACAGATGATGGGCCCCTGTAGCTGCTGGGGAGGACCAGAGTTCTTACCCCTCTCAGTAGGGCAAAAGAGAAAGTGAGAGTAGATCAGCATATAAGTCTTAAACCTGCCCTTACTTCTGAGGGGTGGGGCATCCTCTGTGTGTTTTACTAATGACGTTTTTTGGGAACTGACCTTACAAAGTCCACACTAGTTGCAGTCCTGGACCCAGTCCAGTACACTGGAGAAGGGCCTGCAGAGATTGTGGTTTGTCCCTGGTAGAATAGGATTTTAACAACTACGAAGTCCACAGAAAGGCAATGAGTAATCAAAGAGTTTTGAAGGGGAGGAGCCGGCATCGTCACTGAGGGGTATCACATGTGGATTAAGTCCGGGTGCTACAGAGACAGTTGAAACTGGATTCAAATCCGGCCTCAGATCTTGCCTGCAGTTTTAAACTGGTAGGTTAGATAATGGGGCCACCCCATCAGGGCTGTTTCAGCACCGGTTGAAATTATGTACATGAAATAGGATAGTGAGTTCTTGGTACATAATAAATGCTCCCTCAATGGCAATGTCACGTGTGCTGATTTACAGAGATCTTTTTGAGCTGATTGTTGCTCATCTTTTTACCTTATTATGCTTATAGGCATTCAAGTGTAACATGTTTCAGCTGAGTGTGAAGATAATACTGTTGCTCACCGATTTCTAGTTCTCCCTTTCTTCTTGGACACATAGGAGACTCCTCTTCCCTCACAACTAGGCAGAGTCATGAGACTTGTTCTGGCTAATGACATGTGAGTGAAAGTGATGTGTGCCTCTTATGGCTAAGACAGTGAAAAAACCACTGCAGGAGTATCCTGTTTCTGCCTTGCAACAGTATCCTTGGAGCCACACATTGAGGGAACTGTGTCCCAAGATGCTAGAGCTCTGTGAGCCTGGGTCTTGGGTGATTGGAGGAGGGCTCTCCTCCACCCATTCCCCTACTCTTGCTATTATATACACACATACCATGTTGGACATATAATGTGAGCGTGGCATGTAATAAAAATAAGCCACTGAAAATTTGTGTTTATTTATTTACTGCTTACCCCATTCTAGCTTAACTGGTACAGCACTTCAGTCAATGGATTTCCAGTATCCAGCAGAGGCAAATTTGATACAGTGGAAACAAACATCTCAATTTTCATTGAATTATAGTTAGGGGTCATAAAATTATGCTAATAGCCTTGAATGCTCTATTACTGAGAAATTAGAACCTTCCAGCTAACAAACACCGAGATCATGTTAATCAAAGAATGAGTTATTTCTCTGAAATAATACGTGTTCAGCGTTTTTATTTCTATTATGTTGTTGCTGTTACATTTGGATCTTGGAAATGTTCCTTGTAGATAAGTGTGTGCCTTACAACAAATCTATGAGGTGGTACAAAGCCTACATATGCAAATGTGTGTATAGACATATATGTATGTCACATATTAACTATCATGTATAGCACAGACTAAAGGTGAATCTGGATGAAGGTGAGTCTGGAGTCTGGCCGGGGGTTTTACCACTTAACTACGCAGAGTCTGCCATCTTTGAGAAGTTTAGAGAGGCTTTTTTAGGAAGAGTTTTGCATTGGTCTCCCGAGCAGGTAGCAAGTATATCAGGACTTCCTCCCTCATTTAGAAGCGAATCAGAGCATCTAACAGAAAAAAAAAAAACATTATAAATGAAGGAGAGCAGAGAAGGAGAATACACTGCTGTCTAGAGCAGTGGTTCTCAAACTTCAATGTGCGTCAGCATCACCTGAAGAATTTGTGAAAGTGCAGATTCCTGGGCTCCACCCTAGAGTTCCTGATTCATTTGTTCTGGAGTGGGGCCTTGGAATTTGTATTTCTAGCATGCTTCTGGGTGATGCTGCTGCTGCTACCTGGTTCTCAATACCTCACTTTGAGAACTGCTGCCCCAGAGCTTTGCTTGTCCAAGCGTATTCTACGGATTAACAGCATTGGCATGAGCTGGGAGCTTGGTAGGCATGCAGAGTCCCAGGTCCCAACCAGACCTGCTGAATTGGAGCCTGAGTTTTACCATGATTCCCAGGTGAGCTGTGTTCACAGTGAGGTCTGAGACACATCACATTGCAAGAAAGAGAAGTGCTTTCCAGCACAATATGAGCTTTTGAGAACCCAGCTGCTACTAGTAGTGGTTCAGCTTCCCTAGTGTCTACCAAGTTCTGCCACAGTCCCTTTCTGTTTTGTGATCATATTGAATAGGTTTTCATGTTCCTCTGATCCCCAAGTGGAAGTAAACTTCCCAGCTCTGAATGCCCATTGTAAGTTACCAGTTTGCACGATACTGCAGTAGGGGCTATGATACCTCCACAGTGTGTTGTACAATGTGGTGTGTACCAGCTCTGAGTTTCAATCCCAGCTTCACTACTGCATTGCTTTGTGTCTTTGACAAGGTAGTCTCCTTAAGCCTCCTTGTAAAGGAGCTTAATTGTCAGATCTACCTTACAGGATTGTTGCAGATTGTTAATGTGCATGAAATTCTGGAACAATGTTGGACATATAGTGTTTCTTAAATGATAGTCATTACTATGTTCTCTCTCTCATGAAGCTTTTCAAATCTAAGCTTCAATCATGAGTTCTTATCTACATGCCCAAACACACACTGTGACTGTACGGATGTCTGAGCTTGTGGATAAGTGTTTCATCCATCTCTATATCTTGATAGCACTTAGCACACAGTAAGATGCTCAGTAGATGTTGTCTGAATGAATGAACCCGCAAGTATGTGTGTACATTGTGTGTGTTCTCACTGTACCTATAAGGCTGGGAAGTGGGGCTTTCAGGAACACACACAAAATGCAAGAATGAGAAAGGTACAATATAATCAAGCAGCAACTTGTTTTCCCGGTTTCCCGACTCTTGAAGGCTGATTCTTTGTCAGAGAGAGGCAAAACCAAGGCACTGTGAATCTCAGTGGCACAGTAGGGTTAGAAGACACACCCAGGATAGGACAGTCCAGGAGAAAAGGCCAGATACCCAGGGAGGTGGGGAGCTGAGACCAAAACCCAGCCCTGGGCTGGCTGCCTCACACTCTCTCCCAGGTGAATGAATTATGCTTAGCAGGTCTTGAAACTCACTTGCCACGCAGGTTGCCACATCTTTTCCCACACCTTCCCCACTCCACTACCGCTACCTCCACCTTGTGTCATCTTGCTCAATTATTGATACAAGAAAATAAAACCCAAAGGAGGGTCATAGCCCACAATAAGCTGCCAAGACATCATAGGCTGTTAGACTGTCACTTTATCTAACTCTGGGCTCAAGAAACTGACTACATTGTTCACTCTAGTACCTGACAAAGACTCTCCTTGGGTAAACTTTAGTAAGGCTCCTCTTCTTGACTAGGCTTTGACTTTGGATAAAACTAAAGTGCTGTCTTTGGCCTGCCTGTCCCAGTTTTAGCTTGAATGTTACTATGTCAGTTTAGCAAGAACCTCCATACCCTTGATATCTGATCACCCTCCGTACCTGCTCAATTTCCTCCCCCACAACTTTTGGTATATAAGTCCTTGACCTGTCTCTAGTAAGAATCTCCCTATTCTCTATGTCTCCTCTTAGTAATTTTCTTTCGATTGATCCCCCTCAGTCTTCTCACTGGTGATCAATCCTCAGGTGTCTGTGCTATATTCTAAGTTGAGCCTAATCTCTCCTAAGATGATTATGATAGTCTTGACACCTGTTGCGATAGACCTGCGCAAAGTCATACTAACCATTCCAACATGTGTGACAATAATTTTTTCTTTAACCATCCTCAGACCCAAGCACAGTGTGTGACTGTCGTAAATTTGTGTAACACACTTGCTGCCTCCACGCCCACCGTTAGGCCTGACATAGGTGGTTTGAAAACCAGTTGTACCTCATCACCTTTGGCCTAGTTAAAAATTCCTCTCCTCCTGTCCCTGTTTGCAGTATAGCCCGCTTGTTCCTCATCCCACTGACCCTAAGCCCAACACACCAATGACTGCTGATCATGATAAAACACAATGGTCAACACCAGATTCATGTAAATAAATTTCCCCCTTCTCAAACATGTTTTCCTTAAACTAGCCAATCCATAGGCCCCTGGGAAAATCTAAGGGATGATGCCCCTGGACCTTAATAAAGTCCTGCTCCCCGAGGCCCTCCCTCTCTTGCTCTCTGCCCATTGGTTGAGTTCCTTGTGGCCTCCAGACTTCCTGTAGCCTCCTGTTGGCAACTCCGACCTCTCTGGATCTGTAAATAATACAATTTTTGTTTCATGCATCACGATTTCACCTTCTCATTGTGTCTCACCTGCCCTTCACACCTGAACCTAACTCTTTTCCTGTTGAGGGCTCTCCTAGAAAGTGGCTACCTTGGCTCATGGCCACTCTCCAGAGAGAAACCTGAAGACCAGATTAGAGAATATGACAACAGCAGCCCATGGTAGTGTGACACATGAGACTGGGGCAACGCAGAATAGTATGATGTTTGGATTCAGGGAGTTCTTCCCCTTTCTAGCTGTGTGACCCTAAGCAGATCACTTAACCTCTGTGAGTTGCAATTTCCTCTTCTGGAAAATGAAGATAGTACCTATACTACCTATCTCAATGGGTTGTTTTGAGGATTAAATAAAATAATGCAAGAAATGTATTTAGCTCTGGTTCTAATACCAAAAAAACTATGTATATATTTATGTATATATGTTTTCATTTACTTAGAGATGGAGTCACACTGTCACCCAGGCTGGAGTGCAGTGGTATAACCATAGCTCACTGCAGTCTCAAAATCCTGGGCTCAGGTGATTCTCCTGCCTCAGCCTCCCGAGTAGCTGTGACTACAGTTGTGCGCCACTACACCTCATTAACTTTTTAAAATTTTTTGTGGAAACAAGGTCTCACTATGTTGCCCAGGCTGCTCTTGAACTCCTATCCTTAACTGATTCTCCCACCTCAGCCTCCCAAAGTTCTGATATTATAGGCCAAACAAGTATTTAGAAGATGCTACGAAGGAAAACCACAGGTTTTCATGTTCTACTTGAATTTGCAATTCACCCCACTATGCACTGGCTACATGATCTTGGGCAAATTGTGTCACCACCAATCCATTTCCTTTTTTGTAAAATGGGGTGACGATACCTATGTCAAGGGACTCGAGAGGTGTGGTGAGAAATAATTGGAATCATCCATAAAATGGAGAACTCTCCATATTCATTCAACAAGTAATAGTGCAAACTACATATGGGACACTGGAGATAGAATGATCAAGCAGACCTGATCTCTTCCACCACATGACTTATGTTCTAATGACACAGACACATAAACTGATAATCAAGGAAATAAATATATAACTTTACATTTTAGTAGGGGTTGGGCATGGTAGCTCATGCCTGTAATCCCAGCACGAGGTGACCAAGGTGGGAGAATCACTTGAGCCCAAGAGTTTGGGGCCAGCCTGGGCAGCATAGTGAGACCCCCCGTCTCTCTCTCTCTCTTTTTTTTTTCTTCGAGTTGGAGTCTCACTCTGTCGTCCAGGCTGGAATGCAGTGGTGTGGATCTCGGCTCATGGCAACCTCTGCCTCCCGGGTTCAAGCAATTCTCTGCCTCAGCCTCCCGAGTAGCTGGGATTACAGGCACACGCCACCACACCCAGCTAATTTTTGCATTTTTAGTAGAGATGGGGTTTCACCATCTAGGCCAGGTTGGTCTTGAATCCTGACCTCATGATCCGCCCGCCTCAGCCTCCCAAAGTGCTGGGATTACAGGTGTGAGCCACAGCACCTGGCCGAGACCCCTCTCTTCACAAAAAAATACAAAAAAAATTATCCTGTAGTGCCAGCTACTCGGGAGGCTGAGGCAAAAGGCTCAGTGGAGTCGCAGAGTTCGAGGCTGTAGTAAGCTGTGACTGCGCCACTGCACTCAAGCGTGGGTGACAGAGCAAGACCCTGAGTCAAAAAAAAAAACAAAAAACAGTAAAGTGAAATAACTTTCAATAGGTATCAAGAAGGGGAGAAAATACAGAAACCTCTAAGAGTATAAAGGGAGGGGGCTAATTGAGAATGAGTAGATTCTAAGAAAGTAGAATTTAAATGGAGTTCTGTTAAATGAAGGAGAGAAGTACACATGAAGTCCCAAGGTGCAAAGGAGCTCAGAGCATTGGAGGACCCAAAGGGACAACAGGTGGCTGCAGGCAGCGGGGAGGCACTGGGGCATAGAGATGTGGGAAGGGCCAGATCATGCTGGGCCTTTTCAGTCATATTACAAAATTGGAGATTTAAGCCTCCATTGCAATCTAAGCATTACCAGCATTGTAAGCATCCCCTGAAGATTCTCTCCTTAAATTGCCTCCTAGTTGCCATGTTTTTGAAAACTGTTTATGTAACAGCTGTGGCAATGAAGCTTTGTTGTTCTGTGATTACTTGTCTTGCTAACATCTGTCGGTTCCTCCTAGAACTCTGTTTACCTAAGTTGGTGAGGCTGGTACCTAGACCAATGGGCTTTAATATGATAAATGGCCCACTAAAGTGAAAGGAGCAGGCATACAATGTTAATTTCCGTTCCATCCAGGAAAAAAGAAAAAGGTTACCAGCTGTGAAAAACCACCCGACTAGAAGCAGGTTTCTGATTGTCAGCCCGCTGAGAGATAATCTTGTCAGCATGACCTGCAGAAGTGGTAATAATTTGCAATTATGTACCAGCCTTTCTCTTAGGGCACACAAACAGTTTCTAAATATTTCCCTCAACTCAGTGAGGCAGAGATGCTGGGATGTTATCATTTTGCAATTAAAAAGTCATCTTAGAATAAATGCTTTAATAACCTTTCTCATGTTGCGCGTTTGGGAAGCTTCTCGAGATTTTTTCCAGGAGGGAAATGGCACCTAGTGATGTTACGTGAACACATAAGAGCTTGGTGCTTTCCTGCTTGTTTTTACTCTGGGTTATTGCTTAAATTCTGAAGCAGCGCCATTTTGCTTTCCTTTTGCGTTTAAGCTGTACCATCAGATGTATTAGAACAAAAGCCGTTTAACCCAGACATCCCCCAGAACCAGTAATACCTTGGCGAGCCCTTTATAAAGGCCAAAGGAAATAATGGCAATGAGCTCCTTCTTTAAGTTATTCCAACAACTTCCTACATTGTTGAAGAATGTATCTCACTAATGGATTGCTGAGAAAAACACTTCCTTTTCCCATTTCAGAAATCCTTCCAGAGCTGAGACCATGCTTTCCATCACCCACGAGAACCAAGTGTCTGTTACAAGAGGTTATGGTGATGGTCTCTGCTAAGAGCCCTGATAAATGTGGGCTCTAATCTTGGTTTTGGAAGCCACTAACCTTGCATGACTTTGGCAAAACCACTTAACCTGTGAAAACTTTTTTCCCTTTTATTTGAAATGGCTGCCTTCTTGTGATTGCCCAGAAGTTCTTCTTGCCCACTGCACAGATAAAACCAATTCACTGAGACAGAGGTATTGCAGCAGAAAAAGAGTTTAATTAATGCAGGGTTAGCCACATGGAAGATGGGAGTTTATTACTCAAATCAACCTCCCTGAAAATTCAGAGGCTAGGAATTTTCAAAGATAGTTGGGTGGGCAGAGGGCTAGGGAATGGGGAATGCTGAGTAAGTCCTCCATGCATCAACTTCACCTCTCTCAGAAGCATCACAAGACAATAAAAGGAAAAAAAAATACCCTTTTCTTGAAACAAAAAGTCAGACAATTTATTAGCATCAGGAGAGTAGAGAATGATCTTCAGACATCTAGTATAAGTAACTCAACTTCTGATGGGGAAATTGGGACATTGACAATGAAATGGCAACATGTCCAAGTTCAGAAAGTTTAATAGACAGAATTGGGATTGGGACTTAGATCTCCTGTTCCAAGCCTGGAGAGGGAAGTTTGAGCAAATGAGAGTACACTGTTGGGCTTTGAGCTGTTTAAACTTAAGCAGTGGAAGTCAAGGCAAACACAACTTTCACAAAATTGAACAAGAAAGAGAAATCTCATGCAATAATAAAAACTGTGCACTAGAAATATGGCTAGTATGAATTCAGGCATGCTTTAAATATAAAATGCATACCAAATTTTGAAGACAGAAATTGTTAATAATTAATTACATGTTAAAATAATACATGAGATGAAACTAAATATATTAAGATTTCTTCTGTTTTTCTTTATTTTTCTTCTACATGCGGCTACTAGAAAATTTAAAGTCACATATGTGGCCTGCAATTATATGGCATATTACATTTACATTTTTACTGAATAGTGTTGATGTAAGGGACTTAGTAAAATGCAGTTTCCAGAACCCCTCTCCAGAAGAAGTAAATAGCATCTTTGGTTTTGAAATTTGAGGACCTTAATTTTAGGATTCCCAGGTAATTCTGTTGCAAAGTAAGTGTTGAGACTAGAATGTGGCCCCAGTAAGCTGGAGATGGCTGCGGGCTGCCCCTTTAGTTCACCGCAGTCTGCACTATTCCCTGTTGTCCCCTAGACATTGAAGCAGAGCATCCCTTGACATTGATCCTACAACAAACATCAGCACAAGTGAATGGATACAGATGAGTGTAAAATATTTTTATTTACCCACGTCTCAAACTTACTTGGAGGAAAAATATAAATCATCTTTACTTCCACATATACTCCCTCCCATTTTTCTTGAAAGACAGAATTCTCTTTAAGTGTATCAAAGGCAATGAATCGTGAGGCTGTAATCCATTTTGCTCCACTAGGACGCAGCCAGGGGTGATCTGCCTGACCCCTCTGGCTAAGGAAGTTATCCAGTTAGCTCATCTAACCAGAGTCCAACTGTTCCCTCTGCTTGTGGCATGTGTGATTCTAGCCCCTTTATGACTGTAAAAATGCTGAGTAGTTAATTACGCTCTGAATCTCATCAGGATTTTTCAATAATTTTTTATGTCAGACGTGGCTGAAACCCTCTTAAGTTTGGTCAAGATATTCTGCTTCTACCAAGAGTTAAAACTGGCTGATGTAAATTTTTTGGGCCGGGCACCGTGGCTCATGCCTGTAATCCCAGCACTTTGGGAGGCCGAGGTGGGTGGATTACTTGAGGTCAGGAGTTCGAGACCAGTCTGGCCAACATTGTGAAACCCCGTCTCTACTAAAAATACAAAAATTAGTTGGGTATGGTGGTGCAAGCTTGTGGTCCCAGCTACAAGGGAGGCTGAGGCAAGAGAATTGCTTGAATCTGGAAGGTGGAGGTTGCAGTGAGATCACGCCACTGCACTCTAGCCTGGGCGATAGAGCAAGACTCTATCTCAATATAAATAAGTAAATAAATAAAATAAATTTTTTGAAAAACCAGACAATTACTTTGTCTTTTATTTACAATCTGGGCTATACATTTGAGTGCCCTCTTAGCAATAAGCTGTGAACAAAATAAATTTCATGTGTTAGGTTAGATTTAGGAGTGTCTTTGTTCTGAACCATAGACAGCATTGATCATTATCATTTTGCAAGGAGTCTCTGGGATAATCCTTTTCTTGGGAAAGGTAGGACTTCTAGAGAAAATCCCACTTGGGAGAAACACTTCCTATTTACTTATTGTCACTAGACGATCCTTAGTGTCAAGGGAGCCGGAGATATAAAACTGAAAGATATGACTTGATTGTAACACAGCAGTGGAATCCCAGGTATCAGTGTTGTGTTTGAAATGTTGAGAGTATCTATTCATTTTCTTTTGCTGCATAAAAAATGACCACAAGCTTAGTGGCTTAAAATAACATTTGTAATTTTTTTTGTTTGTTTTGCTTTGTTTTGTTTTGTTTGAGACAGAGTCTCACTCTGTTGCCCAAGCTGGAGTATAGTAGCAGAATCTTGGCTCACTGCAACCTCTGCCTCCTGGATTCAAGTGACCCTCCCACCTCAGCCTCCTGAGTAGCTGGGACTACAGGCATGCACCACCACGCCTGGCTAATGTTTGTATTTTTAGTAGAGATGGGGTTTCGCCATGTTGACCAGACTGGTCTCGAACTCCTGACCTCAGGTGATCATGCCGCCTCAGCCTCTGGAGGTGTTGGGATTACAGGCATGAGCCACTGCTCCTGGCCATGACACTTGTTATTATCTCATAGTTTCTGAAGGTCAGGAGTCTGGGCATGGCTTAGTTGGAACACTGCTCAGAGACCCACAAGGTTGCAGCCAAGGTGTTGGCAACATTGCCGTTCTCAACTGGAGCTTGGGGTGCTTTTCCAAGCTTATTCCAGGTGCTGGAGGAATTTAGTTCCTTAGGGCCGAAGGTCCCCATTTTTCCAGGAGTTATCAACAGGGTTAGTCTCAGCTCTTGGAAGCCTCCCTCTCACCACAAAGCGGTTTCTTTTCTTCAGGCCAGCAAGATCACATCTCTGATGCTTCACCTTCTTGTAAAGTCTGATTAGGTCAGACATACCTGGGATAATCGCCCTTTTGATGAACTCAAAGTTAACCAGTTGGTAAGCTAATCATAAGTGAGATGTCCATGTCCCACACTCAAGGGAAGGGGACATACGCTGACGTGGGGAGAAGGGGCAGACATCTTAAAACCTTACCTATCATAGTCTGTCTTCTGGCCCCCAACAATTAACTCCCTTCCAAGGGTCTCGTGCCATTATAACACCAATTTGAGATCCAAGATCTCATCATCTAAATTATGTTCATCATAGTAACCTATTGTATTCACTCATTTCACTCACCCTCAGGGGGAGAAGATTACACAGGTGTATACAAAAGGTGGCACTTTTGGGCACTATCATAGAATGCCTATGGTCACAGAGCATCTACCTATGACTCTTAAAATGAGTAAAAAGTCATTTTTGCTTGCAGTGTTCCAGTCGTGGCATATTAGGCCTTTTCTGATGTGCTTGGGAAGCCAAACCCTCAATATCTTTATCTTCCCTGTGATTGGATTTCCTTATCCCTGCTTGTTAGGCCACTCCTGAAAGAGTCTGAACTGCACACAACCAGGCTACTCAGAAAGAGATCCCCAAAGTGGACTTTCTAGGAATGGCAGAAGAAATAGCACAAGCACCTGTCCAAGTTGTGGCTGTTAAGCCTGCTGGATCAAAAATAGAAGTTCCTGCCCTCCTCCAAGCAGAGGAGAGAGGATTCTGTTTTTGCAGGTGTTTGGAAGTTGGCGCAATAGCCACAAAACTCAACCCTCTTCCCCATAGCATGTATCCACCTCTAGCTAGAGGGGTAAGAAATTATAGCTCTTATTTCCCCTTTTTGCAAGGATCTCTGTCTTTGCTTCCACACTGGATTTCCAGAGAAATGAGACATCTTTAAGGCATGTTTATGCTTTTTCTCCTTATGTTTGAGTCTTTGATTCCAGGTAAAGGTCATTTATCTCAGGGAGAAAAGCCTATTTCACACTCTCCTGGAACTAGGAAAATAGCCTTTTGATCTCATTAATAAAGTTATAGATTGGGCTTAATCAAAAATAAATATTGTTGCTATTTCTTAGTCAATATGTCATACAGATTTCTATAAATTTAGAAATCTATAAATAACATTAATATAATTTCTATTTGATTTTCAATAGCTTATGTGTAGATGTATATACATAGGTGTGTAGATTTTGAGATTAAACTTTTCAAATTAAAGAAATACTATAAATCTTTCTAGAAGACTTAGAAAACTGAGGCTAATTAAAAGAGAGAATTAAAATAATCCTAAATACCATCACAGAGAAGTAACTACGTTATTTATATTTTTCTGTAACTTTAAGAAACATATTGCAGCTTGTATACTTAAAAAGGTTTTTTTCTTATGAAAAATTGGAGTATTCTATAATACGAACAGTTTTTTGTCCTGCTTTTATCACTAAACATGTTATATCATAAACTCTTCTCCAGACCGTTTTTTTTCAAAAATTATTTGAAATTTGGTAGTTAAAATTTGCATTTTTGATGAATTGGAGTTGGTTCTTGTTTTACCAGTGGAGGCTGGAAATACGTCATTAAAATTATTATCTCTCTACACGATGATGGCAATGATATTAAATATAACTTCTAAAGAATTACCTTTTTATCTTTCAGCCACAGAGTAGCAGTCTTTGTAAGGTGACTACTTGCTCATTTTTCAGGTATTTAGTATGAATATGAGGAGAAGGAGGAAATTTACTCTCACTGATGTTCTCTCTGTGGTCCAAGTGCTCCCTCATTCCTTGATTGGCAGGGAGGCAGCATAGAACAGGATTTTCCAGCATGGGCTTCATGGGTTTGAATCCCACCTCCACCATTTGTAGGCCGTGTGACTTTGGGCAAGCTACTTAACCTCTCTGTTCCTTAGTTTCCTCATCTGTAAAATGTGAATAAAACAGTGATTATCTCATAGGGGTGTTGTATGGATTAAATGTGGCAATAAATATCAAGCAATTTAGATGAATTCTAAAGTAAGAATGGTGAATATTTACAAATGTCAGATATTCTCCTTCCCCTCTTTCTTCTCCTTATCATCATCATCATCATCATTTTCATTTTTTACTTCTAGCTTTTCTTTCACTCTTCAGTATGAAAACGCTTCAAGAAGCAAAAGTTTTATTGGGATGTATATCTTGTCTTTTCCTCATCTAGCATAGTGTTCTACCCTTAGTTAAAGTTGCTTCATAAATATTTGTTAATTATTTTGTCTTTTTCCTGCTCTACAAATAGACAAGCATTTTTTACTCCAAGGACTATACTCCAGTCATTGCTATAACACACAGAACAATTTCATATACAATAGTTGCACAGTCACACAGTTATTTTACAAATTTATTGCTCAATTATACCAACCTATTTTATCACATCATTATGTACACCTATGATGTGCAAGGCCTGAAGTGAATGCTTTGTGAGCCACTGCCCCACCAAAAAGCCAAAAGTATACTATGTTTTTGTGTTTAGAATGTGCTCAGTATTTTGTTAGTCTTCTAGTTTTAACACAGACCTGTCAAAGACTTTGCCTACCTGATTATTTTTATGGTTTTTGGCTGGTAAGGCTCCAGTTTGGAGAACAGTGTTTTTTTGGTTTTACCAATTTTAGTAATAACTGAATAAAAAGGAAGTTTACTTGTAAGTGAATTCTGAAATTAAATATTATATACAAATCATGCAGTCCAGGTGTGATTGTAAATTTGTTAGCCTAATTGGATTTGCTACAAGCTTCTTCCTTTGTCTTGCGGAAATAAAGGAAAATGAGCACCGAAGAGTCACTGAGTAACAGTGCCATGACCCAGTCACAACAAGCAGGTTGGAAAAGTTGGTGCTAACTGAGGCCTGGCAGCGTCTTTCTCATCATTTCCCTCTCTCTCACCTCCAGCCCTTTATTCTTACTCTTCTCTCTACTCCTCACCTCTTATTAAACATAAAGTAAAGCTCCATGACCCAATTCAAGATTCTCCATGGAACACTTTTTGATAGAAAAAGATGGAAGGAGCTACTTTCGGGCTCGTGACAACTCTTGTTTGCAGTTCTTATTGATAATAGGCTAGATAATGAACTCATGGTTTCCATGAACTAGCTAGGATTTCTATCCTATGTAAAGTAGCAATTCCCTGCTTTATTTTTCTTCGTAAACTATGACTACCTGAAATTTCATTATACATTTTACATGCATTTGTTCATTGTCTAACCCACTAGAATACAAACACTGTAGGTGGAGGGCTTATATTGAATTTACTACTATATCCCCCAGTAGCTAAAACAGTGCCTGGTTCTAGTCTCTACTCAACAATACTTGTTGAATGAATGAATACTTATGCAAGAGTTGACTGGTGTACAATATAAAGATAGAATTCTGTCTCTTATTGCCCTCTTGCTTAAGAAAAGCAAGACAGTGGCAATGAAGACCAACATAAACCACAAAGAGATGCTATGCTTACCCTTCACTTCTCACATGCAGGCTGTCAGCAAGGCTGTAAGTTCTGTTTTGAAAATGTCTTGAACCTGACCATCTCTGTTGCTACCAGCCAAGTCTAAGGCATCGTCATCTCCATATGCAGTAATGCAAAAGCCTGTTTACGGATGTTTCTGCTTCCCTCTATGTCAATCCATCCCCTCACACAGCAGCATGAGAGATCTTCTTAAGTTTGAATTGCATTGTGTCAGTATTTACTAAAAATCCTGCACACCCAGAACTCTTAGTGGATAATCCAAACTGGTCTCCAGGCCTTTGCGGCCCAGCATGACCAGCTCTTTCCTTGCTCATCAATGTCGTCTCATGCTTTTCCACTTGTGGCCTGCCATACTCCAACTACGTTGGTTTTCCCTCTGTACCTGGCATTTGCCAAGCTCTTTCCCACCTCTGGGCCTTTGCATATGCAGTCCCCTCCATCTAGAATTCTTTTCCCCAAACCCCTTCTCTTCTTTTAGGCTGAGATGTCACCTTTGTAGAGATACCTGCCATTCTCCCCACCGAAATAAATGACGTTCTGTTAGTCTCTGTCGATCCCTCTTTTGTTTATGTTCATTGCCTGTGTTACAGCCTCTGATTATTTGTTTCCTTCTCTTATCTGTATCCCTAGAGTGTAAGCTGCAGGAGGGCAGGGAGAGTGATTGTCTTTTTCACTGTTGTGTTCCCAGTACTGAGCATGAAGCTGTTCGTTAAGCACTAAGCAGGTGCTGATACTAGTTTCTCATTGCTGCTGCAACAAATTGCCACAAACTTTGTGGCTTAAAAGAATGCCAATTTTTTTATCTTAACAGTTCAGGAGGTCAGAAGCCCAAAAGGGGCTTCACTGGGCTAGAATCAAGGTGTTGGCAGGGTTGGAGGCTCTGGATGTTCTAGGCAGGGCAATCTGTTCCCTTGCTCTTTTTGTATTTTGGAGGCTGCTCTTGCTCCTTGGCTGGTGGTCTCCTTTCTCCATCTCTCTGTGCCTTTCTTTCATAGTCCCATTTCCCTCGGACTCTTCTGCCTCCAACCTCCACTTTTGAGAGCCTTGTGATTACAATGGGCCCACCTAGATAGTCCAGGATAATCTTCCTAGTTTAAAACCAGCGGATTAGTGTTCTTAATGCCATCTGCAACCTGAATTACCCTTTGCCATGTAATTAAACATGCACAAGTTCTGGGGATTAGGAGATGGACATCTTGGGGGACCATTATTCTACCTTAATAAATATTTATAGAATATTTGAATAAACAAATGGCCAAGTAGTTTGGAAGTTCCTTGTGGACAAATGGCTGTATTTACGTGTCTTTTTGTTGGCTTTTGTGCTTGCTTAAGCTAAGCCGATATTCAGGCTTTTAATTACTCTGGGCCCTTCCTGATTCTCACAGAGGTACAGGGGACTCAAGGATAAGTTCTTCCTTTAATTACCAGCTTCAGAAGAGAACCTGGAGACCCTTAAGGCACTAGGTGAAGAGGGATTTCAAGATCTAATTAAATATCTAATATTCTTTGGAAGGCATGAGATTTATAGATGGTGCCACTGTAATTGGCATGGTCTCTCCAGGAGTGACAAATGTAGGCATTATAAATGTTTGCACATAAGGTAATTCTAACCAAGATGATTAATTTCTGGGAGATAAATACAGGTAAGCTGAAGGCCATGTTTGCAATCAAGTAGAGAGCATTTTCTTCGATCTGAATTGAATTCCAGCAATGGAGTGGAAAAAATATAGAAGTAGATATTTCATGGGGACCATATGAATGGTGCCATCCTCACCTATAAGTGGGATGAAGTAGTAATGTGTCTACTGAGAAAAGTTGCAGACATCCAGCATCCCATAATCTTGTTTTCCCCAAGGACAACACAGTAAAGATAGTTGTGCAAGATGATTTTTTCTTCCTGGGTGAGACCTCACATTTATCTGTCATCTCTTGGGCTATTTTTAGTGGCAGTGCTTTGAAAACTTAAGGAGCCTATCTCCCTGCACCAGGCTCAAGCACAGGGTTGCTATGCAACAGGCTCATCTCCCTGGTGGTTCTCACACTCTTTTCTCTCAGATATTCAGTGAACTGGACCTTGGCTGAAACCAAACAATAGACTGAAACTGCCTCATGAGAAGAAAGAGCAACAGCTTTGGAATCTTACCTGCCAGAGTCCTCACTTCACCTGCTCCCAGTTGTGTGACTGTGGGAAAATCTCCTTATCTCCTCAGGCCTCAGTTTCCCTTTGTGTAAGATGGGGATGTTACTGGTATTTAACCCATGAGGTTACTGTGTGGAGCAAATGTGATTCTACACTTAAAGCATTGAAAACAAAGAGGTTTCACAGAATGGTGGACCATTTTCAATTTGCACAAATTGAGTTTTGTAAAATTGTGAAGAAATTCTATCTGTTAACACTTTGCCCCTCTACCTATTGTGTTTGTTAGACTCTATCATAAGAGACACAGTGGCTCAAGCCTGTAATCCCAGTGCTTTGGGAGGCCGAGGCGAGAGGATCACTTGAGGTCAGGAGTTTGAGACCAGCCTGGCCAATGTGGTGAAACCCCGTCTCTACTAAAAATTAGTTGGGCGCGGTGGCTCACACCTGTAATCCCAGCACTTTGGGAGGCTGAGGCGGGTGGATCACGAGGTCAGGAGATCGAGACCATCCTGGCTAACACGGTGAAACCCCGTCTCTACCAAAAATACAAAAAATTAGCTGGGCGTGGTGGCGGGCGCCTATAATCCCAGCTACTCGGGAGGCTGAGGCAGGAGAATGGTGTGAACCCGGGAGGCGGAGCTTGCAGTGAGCCGCGATCGTGCCACCGCACTGCAGCGTGGGCGACAGAGCGAGACTCCGTCTCAAAAAAAAAAAAGAAAAGAAAAGAAAAGAAAAGGAGGGCTGGGTGCAGTGGTTCACACCTGTAATCCCAGCACTTTGGGAGGCCGAGGTGGGTGGATCACTTGAGGTCAGTAGTTCAAGATCAACCTGGCCAAAATGGCAAAAACCCGTCTCTATTAAAAATACAAAAATTAGCCAGGTGTGGTGGCCCATGCCTGTAGTCCCACCTACTGGGGAGGATGAGGCAAGAGAATAGCTTGAGCCTTGGAGGCAGAGGTTGCAGCGAGCCAAGATTGCGCCACTGCACTCCAGCCTGGGCAACGGAGTGAGACTCCATTCCCCGCCCACCCACCCCCTAAAAAGAAAAGGAGGAGTCAGCAAATGGGATAGCATAGGAATAAGCAGCTGGAGGAAAAAGGAGAGGGTCGGTCATAGGGGAGAAGAGAGGAGGAGTCAGGGAGGCCATGCAGCAGACTCTGACTCGGGGAAGGGCTCCTAACTGACTTTACCTCCGACTTGGGCCTGGGAGGAACCAAATCAGTATTACTTTATCGAGACAAAGTGATTTAACATGCCTTTATTAGATGTATTAGAGTTAAGGATCTGTCTAGGAGTGATAGTTTTATAGTGCTCTTCAATGGTTCTCAGAATGTATTTATGACATTTTGGTAAAGAATTCTTTCTTCCTCTCAGAGCGATGGTCATTTAAAAACGGTATAATATGGTTAGCGAAGACACATACACCATTGAATGGTGCGCCCTGAAGGGCCAGTGAACTGTGTAGACAGATACAATTTAACCCTCTTCATTCCTTCCTCATAGGTAAGGCAGTGATGAGGGAGGGGGGTGCGTAATGGACACTTGGATAAAACAATTTACAAACACAACCATGTTCACCAGCAAAATTATTTCATCTGTGTAGTTCAACAACTTTGGTACCAGTGCCCCATGGAAATAAAAAAGGCTTCCCTACAGCTTGTCTTCCTCCTCTATCCCAGCTGATCTTACATATTTTCTGTTAATTCTCAACTTCCAAAACACATTTCTGCTCTAATAAAATGAATGGACGTAGGTGACAGAAAGCAATGATTCTTGGAAATTATGAGTATGTTCTCTCTCTCCTCCTCCCTCTCTTCAAATGCACATTACGTCCTTACTGTGTTCCAGATACTGAATTAGATTCCGGGAATAGAGCAGAGAACAAAGAACACAGAATCTTGACCGAATTGTCTGTATTTTTTTTTAAAAGGAAGCAAATGCCTTAAAAATGACCCCACATAGATACTTATGAAAATGATAAAGAAAATAAGCAGAATGTGGTGATGAGGAAAGGAAGAGGTGCTTGTTTCCTATAGGATGGCCAGAAAAGGACTCTGAGGACGTCATATGTAAGCCAGGAGCTGAACAATAAGTCTTGAAAAGAGCTCGGGAAGAAACCTGCAGGCAGAGGGAGCGCCCAGGTGGGAAGGTGCTAGAACTCACTAGCAGTGGGGGAGTAGCGTGAGGCATATTGAAGAGGAGGAGAGGACCCCAGGGACCTGATGACCGAGCCCTGAAGACCACCTGTGAAGACTCTGAAGGTGCAGAGGGCGGTAGCAGAGATGAGATGGGTGGGACAATTGTGAATGGCCACACCTGTTCAGGTAGGAGCCCAGGGTGCCCTGCCCCAGGGTATGGCTGATGATTGAAGACAGGAGGGCAGATTTGAGGAACATTTTACTCAGTCCCATCTCCATGTGACTACACTTGCTATAGTAGTATTTAAGATTTATTTATTTATTTATTTATTTTTTGGGCAGAGTTTCGCTCTGTTGCCCAGGCCGGAGTGCAGTGGCATGATCTCAGCTCACTGCAACCCCCACCTACCAGGTTCAGGTGATTCTCCTGCCTCAGCCTCCTGAGTAGCTGGGATTACAGGCACACACCACCACACCCAGCTAATTTTTGTATTTTTAGTAGAGATGGGGTTTCACCATGTTGGCCAAGATGGTCTCGAACTCCTCACCTCAGGTGATCTACCCGCCTCGGCCTCCCAAAGTGCTGAGATTACAGACGTGAGCCACTGTGCCTGGCCAGTATTTAAGAAATTTTACTAACTCGTGATAATATCTCTTCCTGGAGCTTTGGGGGATGATGACATCTGCTAGATCCTTTTCTATAGTGCTGTGAGGTATAAACTAAGCTGCTTTTGGGTACTCAATTCTTGTTAATATCTGTAAGAGAAGGAGGCTTGTTAAAATATCACCCTCGGCTTTCATATTCTTAAGGGAATATCACATGGCTTCCCATAGCCTCCTTTGAAGGGTTCTTTCAAATTAAAACCATGGTGCTGGTGGAGGAAGGGAATAAAATGATAAAGTGTTTTTGCTTTGAAATTCACTGGAAAAACTGCCCAGTCAGTAAGCATTTATTAAGTGCTTCCGTGTAGGGCAGCTTTTGACCTATCGAGTCTCAGCCTAGTTGTAAAGTCAGAGACACAAGTAAATAATGTCAGTGGATTATAGGTTTGAATATAATGTGTACTAAAAAATGATGGGGCCACAAAGTCAGGAGTTAATGCTGCCTGTTGAGACTGAAGAGATTTCTCAAGGGAAGTGAGATAGAGGCTGGGTTGACAAGTCTGAGCATTGGTTCACCAGGTGGAAAAGGGGAGTGAAGGGACTTCAGCCATAATGAAATAGTCTGTGCAAAGGCCCTGAGGCAAAAAGAAGTATGCAGGTCTCCAGAAAGCTGAGTCATCTTAAAGGTACATGGTGATGAGCAGCATCAGATGGGACTGGACAGCTGATAGTGGGTAAGCCTATTATGGGAATCCAGGACATTCTAAGCAATTTGGACACTCACCGATAGGTCAGTGTTTTTTTTTTTTTTTTTTTTTTTTGAGACAGGGTCTTGCTCTGTTGCCCAGACTGGAGTGTAGTGGTGTGATCTCGGCTCACTGCAACCTCCACCTCCCAGGTTCAAGTGATTCTCCTGCCTCAGCCTCCCGAGTAGCTGGGACTACAGGTGCCTGCCACCACGTCCAGCTAATTTTTGTATTTTTAGTAGAGATGGGGTTTCACCGTATTGGCCAGACTGGTCTCGAACTGCTGACCTTGTGGTCTGCCCTCCTCAGCCTCCCAAAGTGCTGGGATTACAGGCATGAGCCACTGCGCCCGGCCAGGTCCATGTTTCTAAAACCCAGTTTCAATCATTCAAGTATCATTTTTCATTATATAAGACCAGTTATAATTACATACATAATACCAATATTATAAAATTGTTTTTTCTTTATTTTGTTTAATGTACATAGGAAGGAAATTTTTAAACATAGTATTTTAAAGAAACTTTACATTTCAACTGAATTATGAGTTTCGTGTGCTTGGTGAGTTTTTACATGTTACATGTTAAATACATGACTTCTGAAACATAAAAAGCTCATCTGCAAACTCCCTATAGTGCCTCACCCACATAGTATCTCATGCCATTAATAAAGCTGCAGGTGAAGAGAAGAGATGGAGGGTTAGAAGTGAGTGTATGATATATCACACCTGTGTCTGAGAAGCACCGCTCAAGTGACAGCGTGAAGAGTAGAGCGGAAAGGAAATTAGATTTTCAAAGTGCATTCCATTCATTATCTGCAAAGTTCAAATAATTATACAAATGAGGTACCTTCTACTGTGTCTGCAGTAGCACGGGGGGAAGTCACAGTATCGCAAGCCTCTGATTTTGTGGTGTTAGAGATATCAGTGCTCTCTCCCCTCCTCCCCTCTGCCCTGAGATTCTTGGATTCTGCCTCACCTCATCGGTGTTTTGGTAGAATTCAAGATTCAACAGGCTTTTTGATGGGAGGTGACATCTTTGTGCTAGAAGGGAATGTTACTGTGGAAATAAATATTGGAGGAGACACTGTAGTTCCTGAAGGACCATGGTGATAAAATCAGCTGGGACCTGTTCCCTGCCAGTGTTCAGGAAACACAGGGAGCCTGGGTGGTCTATTCTGGCCACCCAGGCCTTGCATCAAGACCTTGCCAATCCCTTTCCAGCAGGATAATGGAAAGCCAGAATGGGGCTCAAGGCATGTTTGCCTGCCTCATCAAATATAGGAAAAACAGTTCACATGGCATCTCGCTCCAGGGTCAAACAGGCAGATTCCTCCAGGGGCTCAACAGGGGCTTGATGAGAATGTAGTGGAATTGGCAAACTAGAACACCTGACCCATTTAAAGGGACACATAGTGACTCAGCAGTGCCTGCCTCTCTTCCAATGATGTCAAACGAAATTGGCCTGGTGTCTTTACATCTCTCTCTTTTTCAAGGAAATCGGGATATTTTTTTCTTTTTTTTGGTGTCATCTCACTAATTTTGTTGATTGTCTCCCTTTTCCTCTCCTCTCCTCTCCTCTCCTCTCCTCTCTTCTCCTCATCTCCTCTCCTTTCCAAAAAGGGAAAGCTCTGTGGCCCAAGCAAAACACACCTGCAAGCCACAAACAAACATACATGATATGCAAGGCCCATATGATGTATGGGCCCTACATCATAACCTCGGAACTAGCTTACCTTCCCATCTGATTTTGCACCATTTCTGACAGTTATTGGTCTCTGCTTGATCACCTCTGAAAGCCAAAGGGCTCACTACCTCAAAATCAGCCTTCTGCACTGTTAGACAGAAAATGCCTATGTTCAACAGAGAATTCTTACAAAAAAAAAAAAAAGAAAGCCCAGATGTCTGAGCCTGGAACTCAAAACCAACTTCCCCACCTGATATGGTTTGGATCTGTATCCCTACCAAATGTCATGTTGAATTGCAATCGCCATTGTAGGAGGTGGGGCCAGTGGGAGGTGACGGAACATGAGGGCGGATTCTCATGAATGGTGTAGCACCATCTGCTCGGTGTTGCTGTAGTGATAGTGAGTGAGTTCTCGTGAGATCTGGTTGTTTAGAAGTGTGTGGCACCTCCCTCTGCTGTCTCTTCCTCCTGCTCCCGCCACATGAGACTCCTTGCTCCACCTTGCCTTCTGCCATGATTGGAAGCTTTCTGAGGCCTCCCTAAAGGCAGAAGCCGCTATGCTTCCTGTACAGCCTGCAGAACTGTGAGCCAATTAAGCCTCTTTTCTTTATGATAAATACCCAGTCTCCGGTATTTCTTTATAGCAATCAGAAAACAGACTAATACAGCACCTCAGCCTAGCACACGCCTTGGGAGCTGTTCTCTGGCCTCCAGATTGGCGTATCAGTGTCTCCTGAATTTACCTTCTACTTCCCCAACATCAAGGTTTTGTTCATGTACTCCCCGTGTCTAGAATCCCCTGGGTTCTGCTCTTAAATGTGCTAAATTTAATAGCTTATTTTTACAAGCTAGCAAAGTCATGTCTGCAAAAGTAATGCACTTCATGAAGAAAGCAAATTATATATTATGAATATAGTTTAAAAAGGTCCTCAAGCTGAACCTACCTATTTAAATGCTGCAAGTCAGAAGCCCGATAGTTTTAAAGGAGGAATACAAAATGACAAAATGAATTTTGCATGTAGTTTCAATCCTAAAATATGTGTGGATATTTTTCTCAGTAAGAGGATCAAAAATGAGACTAACTGCAAGAAGTGAGAAGGTGGGAAACTCCGTAATTGGTTTGGCTACTGGAACACATTTCCATGAACTACTTATTGATTTTTCTAGTTTTTCCCTGGTTAGGGGTTTATGAGAGGTATGTTCTGAGTTGGCAGAAATGTAGCACAGACACCATTATCACCAATCCTTCCTGAGTCCATCACAAACACTACTAATGGAGCACAGTGCTTTTTCTAGCAGAATGTGAGCTCTGCAGGGCAGAAACCACCCTCCCTCATTCACGGATACATTTCCTGCATTTGAGACAGTTGCTGGCATATAATATTTGTTAATTAAAATGTTTGAATGTCTAACCACTAAGGTCAGACTCACTTTCAGAATCTTCCCCAACAGGTTTCTCTAGGTGCCTCTGATCAATTGAATTGGAACGTGATTGTCAATCCTGACTTTAAGATTTCTTTTAGGCAGCTGAGGTGGTGGTGGTGGGGGAAGATTTCAGTGCTGGGGGGCTGTGTTAAAAGCCTCATGGGAGGTGGGGTGGGGTGAAGGGCTTTGCATCTGTAGGAATGCTCTCATTGCCCTTCCTAGAAAACAATCCTAGAGTGGTAAGGGGTGTTGACATAGAAGCCTCTTATTGGGGAGTTTGAACACTGTGGCCCATGTTCAAATTCTAAGAGACTCTTAAGTCTCTTCAAACACACCATCTCCAATTCCCGTTTTCCTCAAAGGAACTGGGGAGATGGATGCACTGGGAACTATACTGCACCTGGAAGATGAGGTTCCACTACACAGATAGCTGGTGCTTCTCACTGTGCACACAGGGTTCCAGAAAAGCAGGCTGGGGTTCCCTTTTCTCATCCCCTAACCCCAACTTCAAATTTTACCATCAACTGGCTACAGAGCCTGAAGTCTTGAGATCCATGTGGCTGGCAGGTGAGGAGCCTGGGGGAGTTTCAGGGAAGGTTTTAGTGAGGAAGAGCATCTGAGTTGGGCTTTCAACACGGAATAGAGATTTGAACAAGCTTGTCCCATGACCTGAAGCAGAACACAAAGGTGGCAGAAAATAGCATTAAGTTTGGAGTCAATGGAGATGGTCAAGAGATGCCCATCTTTTCTGAAAATGCTGAAAAGATACATAAGACTGGCCTTTAGATTTGGAGGATTGAGATGTGTTTTACTGGCAAATAAAACTCTGGTTTGATCTTAAGGAGTAGTGGTACCTTTAATCAGAAGTGAAGGCCGGGTGCCGTGGTTCAGGCCTGTAATCCCATTACTTTGGGAGGTGGAGGTGGGAGGATCACTTGAAGCTTACAGGAGTTTGAGACCAGCCTGGGCAACCTAGGGAGATCCTCTCTCTGGAAAAAAAAAAAAAAATTTAAAAATTAGCCAAGTGCAGTGGTACATATCTGTAATGACAGTTACTTTGGATGTTGAAGTGGGATGATCACTTGAGCACAGGTCAAAGCTGCAGTAAGCTCCGATCACTCCAGACTAACAAGAAAGCAAAACTGCACTCCACCTGGGCAACAGCGTGAGACCCCCATCTCAAAAAAAAAAAAAAAAAAAAATTGTGAAGACTTCCAAAATCAGGGAGGGATGAAGGACAGTTTAGGTGACTGGAATTGTGAGAAGTGGGTTGTAGAAAGGCTCAGTGAGGCATTTCTATCCAGGGGAGGCGGGTACTCTATGCCTATTTGTTTTACAGACATACCATTAACTATTTTAAGGACTAATGCGAGCAGAAGACAAACATATTTAGTTTGGGACAAACTGGTTGGGTGCTTAAAAACATAGAAGGATCAACATTTCTGTGATTTTTTTTTTTCTTTTTAACTTCCTGGGCCATGTGATGGATCGTACTGCTAACCAGCCAGCAGGTAGAATTTGAGGCGCTGATCTTTCTCTCTGCAGCTGGACTTTTCCGCTAGAGACTTTTTCTCCCTGTCACTTTGGGCTTCACCAGTCCCTGCATTATTACCACAAGCACAGAGGACTGTGTGCTTCCCTTAGCTCATTTCTGATGGAATGCAAAGTAGCATTGTGGATGAGATAGGCATTTTCACATTTTTTCAAATAATTTTTTTTCTGTCACTGCTTTTGGCAGGCTTTGTAGCCTCCAAGCAAGTAGAGAACTGTATTTTATTTTCAAACAGCCAGAAGGAGAATTTCATGAAATTACAATGATTAGCAGTTTGTAGTTAGTGAATTCCAAGGCTGTTGGACATATAATCAGGGGGTGATGATACTACTCCTTCCTGAGGGCAGACTGACTTCTGGAAACTTTTAACATGGCCCAGTGATTTGGAGGGATTTGGGAGCAATGAGCTCTTTTTTTGTTTTTTGTTTGTTCGTTTGGTTGGTTGGTTTTTTATTTTTGAGATAGGGTCTGGCTCTGTCACCCAGGCTGCAGTGCAGTGGTGTGATCTTGGCTGACTGCAACCTCCATTTCCTGGGCTCAAGCAATCTTCCCACCTCAGCCTTTCAAGTAATTGGGACTACAGGCACACACCACCACACCTAGCTAATTTTTGTACTTTTGTAGAGATGGGGTTTTGCCATGTTGCCCAAGCTGGTCTCGAACTCCTGAGATCAAAGCAATCTACCCACCCCAGCTTCCCAAAGTGCTGGGATTACAGGTGTGAGCCACTGTATCCGGCCGTGATGAGCTCTTTGAGTGAAAAGTAAACCTTGGGGAAAAGAGGAAAATATATTGGTTGGAGAGACCATGGGGGAGAGTCAGACTTAATTTACCCATTAGGATCATTTCCTGTAATAAGTTGAAAAGGGATTTAGGCTCTATTAGAGTAGAACTATATGAAAAAATTGACAGAAATTTCAAAGCGAATGAAAGAAATGTACTTCAAGGACTCTCATTAGACAGCAAATTATCTTCCATTAGACAAGGTTCAGCTCTAGACAAGACCTACAGGAAGGGAGTATCACCAGTAATCACTGGCTTTGCCACACATTTTTTACCCCCAGTGGCTTTGTAGACACAAAACGATGCCAGGGGTAGGACCAGAAACAACTCCACTGTCAGCCCAGTGCTCTCTGCTGCAAACATCTGTGTATTCCTAGGCAGGATATTGGCCATATATACTCTTTGATTTTCTATCTAAGGACCCAGAGCTCTCCTACTTTGTGATTCTGGGGTCTCTGTTGGGAGATGGACCTGTATGCCAAAAAAGATGACGCGTAACTATATTATATTGCATGTAAGATCCAAATAGGAGGAAGGAGGAAGAAATCAAGTGGAGCTGTGATGACTAGAACTTGAGTCAAATGTGGTAGAACCTGGAAGGGTAGTGGTGAATGGCACAGAATTTGCAGAGAGTCCTGGGCTCAATTCCTGCTCTGCCACCATCTGGACAAGTTAGTAAGAAGTGACCTCTATCTCTGACTGAAATGGGATGACCGGGCTAATTTGCAGAGCTGATTGAAATAATGTGTATGTATAAGAGTTAGGACAGTGACTTAACAGTGTCACCTAATATCTGTCCTCCCTTTTGGGTTGCCGAACAGAGTTCCAAATTCTCTGCTACTCCTTCCATTGAGAGGTAGAGTCCAGTTCCCTCCCGCTTCTATCTGAGCTGGCTCGAGTGCCTTGCTTGACCAGTAGAATGATGTTCTGGGACTGAAAAGGCTAGATCATAAGGGGTCTTGCAGCTTCTGCCTTGGTTTTTTGGAAAACTTGCTGTTGAACTCTGAGACTGTCATACTGGGGAGACCACGTGTGTAAGCACACAGAGAGGCCCGAGGCTGCATAGAGAGAGATGGTGGGCAGCGTTGTGCTGAACCCTATTAACCTCAGTAGGACAGCACTAGGTTCAAGAAACTGAAGAAGTGAGCCAGAAAAAGAGATATGGAGTTTTATTAGGGGCTTACCTATGAGAGAGAGAGTCCAGTGGTGGTGGGCTAGACAGGAGAACCACCTAACTTACAGTCCAGCGGCAGTGAGCAGGACAACATCCCTGCATGGCCCAGCAGTGGTGGGCTGGGTAGTTATACTAAACTGCAACCAATTGCAAACAGCATACAGTTTATATATAATAGGATTTTCACTTAATACCCTCCCTTTAATGACCTCTACCTGGCCACTTCATCCAACCCAAAACCCAGGACCTTAGTCCCCTGTATGGCCCATGTTCCATGGGATGTGACAGCAGGAGGGTAGGGAAGGAGTGGGGGGTGGCCGGGAGAGCTCAGATGTTCCTCATAGAGTCTGCCATACAAGGTCATTCTCAGGGTATGCTTGTTATTGCTATCAGGGCATTTACCCTACAGGTAGTTCCAACCATCCAAACCTAGGCCATTGGGTCAAGGCAGCAGAATACTCAGACGTTGTGCAGCAGAGATGAGTGGTCTCCTTTGTACCTCACAGAACCATGAGACATAATAAGAAATAGGGGTGATTTTAATCCCCCAAGTTTTGGTGTGGTGTGTTATGCACCAAAAGTTGCTGCCTGGATGCTCACATTCATGCTATTGAGCTGTGAATCCTTCCTTCCTGGCAGTCCCCACATACCTCCTTCATTCTCAAATTTGCTTCAATTCTGAGTTTTGCCTGGCTCTAAACACTTGCCTCCGAGTTCTAGTTTCACCTACACCAAAATCACAAAGAGAACATAAAATTGAGAGTGTATAAGGAAGTGCCGGGTACTTAGTAAATACCTACTAAAGAGAAAATCAAATACAGTTTCTGGAGAATCTGCCAAATAAATGGCTTCACTGAATTAAACAAGTTTAGTAAAACTGGGTGATCCATTTGGCACAGCTTTTGTCGTGACTTAGAATACTGAGTGTGGGTCAGCTTCTATCTTTATTTCAGGCTTCTAACCCAGCACTTGTTCTCTCAAATGAGGAAGAATTCCAAGTGCATCTATCAAAATTCACAGTTGGATAAAGCATACCCTGGGGGTTGGTTCCCTCCTGCAAAATGCTTTCTTTATTTTGGTAAATCATACATTGTGAGAAAGAGTTAATATGCTTCCTCAGAGAAAGATAGAGTATTTTTCACTAGTATTCAATTGATCAGTGATCCATTTGTTTTATCTGATGGCTTTTCAGTTTATAATGAAAGTTAAGGACTTTCTTTCTACAAAGATGCACATATGCATGCAAACAATATTCTTCATGTACCTATGGAAGGAGTGGAGCTTGGTCAGAGACCTCAGAAGCCCATTCCTGCATTGAGAATCCTTGACCTAAAAAGGATCTTATAATTTATTAATACCTTCTTCCTAGATAGAATGCTCCTAAACAAATTTTTTATTTGTTTGATTTGCCTGCTTGGGTCATATGGTATAGAAGAATCTTTCTCCTTCTCCGAACCATCAAGGTTTTTAGTAGAGTTAAGGTTGTTGATACGACTTTGAAAAGCTTTTATACCGCTAGGCTATTGAAGGTAATTAGACTGATGCCTTGCCTTCTTCTTTGTTTGATTTTTCTCTTGGATGTTTCTTGATTTTGCTCCATTTATTAAAATCACACTCAACAGACCTACGAAAGCATCCGCTTGTAAGGAGAACTCATATTTAGCTTGAAATCAGCTAAGGAAAGTCTCCTCCAACCACACTGATTGCAGAATGCAACGCATAATTAAGTGTTTACTGAAAAAGCCAGCAAACAGGGCCTGGGGGAATATGTCAGAGCAGCTCTGGTCTCCATAGCAACATCCAATGAGCCTTCCAGAATAATGAATGTGTTCTCAGGATCACTGATGCAAAATGACAAAACGGCAGCTAAGAAGAACAGAAAATCAACTACATCATTATGTTCAGAGAATTAAATATTTAATATCTTCGCTTTCTCTCCAGCATTCAATAATCCACATTTATTTTTGGTTGTTTCTAAGTTGCTTAAATGGAGGGCAACTGACATCTGTTGAGTACACCCATAACTGCACGTCTCAATGCCAGTTACATAGCACTGTGGAACACATTTTAAGCAATTAGGAAAATGTAGTGTCAAAAATCACAACACAGTTTTTATTAGTCATGATGCTAGACTATCCTCTCCCACTGATGAGAATATATTCTGCTTGAAATGAAAAATTAAAAAAAAAACACTCCAAACCTCTTTGGGCAATTTTCTTTCCTCATTGAGAAGTGAGTTCTGAAATTGAGTGGTCTTGGAAGGAGGTGGGTGGGGTTGAGGAGCTGCCAGTTTTCTGAGGGTGTTAAGTGCTCAATGAATGTTTTCCTACATGGAATCTTGGAGCCACATCCCTGACTCGGACACTTGGGGCTAAGGAAGCCTCAGCAGCCACAGCCCAGACATCTTTCTCTCCACTTTTTGATTTTCTCATGAGGTAACTAGGCATCAGTGGGTCAGGGCTGTCTCCTATTATCAACAAGATAATTTACTTTGACTCAGTGACATCACCATCCATGACAGGCAATCAGACTATACATGTAAAAAACAAAAAACACTAGCTCAGTGGTCACCAGTCAGTGCTAACAGGAGGACCAATGCAAAAGAAACTATGCAAACTAAATAAAGACGGGGGTCTGAAGGAAAACTTACCTTTATTTTCCCATCTCTACGTTTGGGAGATTTTTGCTACAGGATACTTATTTACGATATATTGCTGAATAATTGGTTTAGCATAATGGCATATTTATGTGTGTGTAAGCATATTCATATATACATTGTAGAATAGTAATACTACTAGTAATCACAGTAATATTATTTATTGAACAACTATGACTTGTCATGCACTTTGCTGGACAGTTTCATGTTTATTGCATATGATTATCATAACGACCCAGCAATGCATTTTATCCCCATTTCCATATAAAGAAACTGAGATTCAGAAAAGCTAGATAACTTGCCCATGACTAGAAAAGGATAGGTGAGAATTCAAATAGAAATTTGCCTCCAAAAATGGTTTTATAGGAATGTGTATGTTTATATATGTACCTGGGGTGCACCTCATGGGCCATGGTTAGGTAGTTTCATGAAGCTGGATGAGGAATCATGCTAGTTAATGCAACACCAAGGATGTATTGCAGCCTAACAAGCCCATCATCTTCAAAGTGTGTGTAACACGTGGTGAACGCACTTGCACCGTGGCGGTTTCCTTTCTCCATCTGAGGATTCCACAGAGTGCTCCAGCGGAGTTTGTTGCTTCCTCTGAGAAACACTGAAGAGGAGGTGGGTAGCAGCCAGTCAAACCGCCGGAGACAAGCTGCAGCTCTTGATAATAAATGTGTGCAAGCCTGGCTGTGTGGAGTCGGGAGTATCGGCTGATGCGTGTTGTGCTGAAACCAGCCTCCATTAGGTGAGAATCACCCTGAATGGGAGTTCTGAAATTTAAAGTTTCTACTGGGATATGAATGAAATGGAGGAGAGTGTGTGTGCATTATTAATATAGTCCTCATCATTCATTACCTTTGGCTTTTAGGATCTTGTCTCTCACACAGCCTCTCAATAGATGACTATAATTTGGAGGTTGGATGACCTGAGACCGTTATGTAGACGAAAGCCAAAAATTTCTAGAACTGCGATATGCATCATTACTTTTCACAATTCCCTGTAGCAAAGAATATGGATTTATTTTTTTTTTTTTGGACAGGGTCTCACTCTCTCACCCAGGCTGGTGTTCAGTGGTGTGATCTTGGCTCACTATAGCTTTGAACACCTGGGCTCAAGCTACCCTCCTGCTTCGGCCTTTTGAGTAGCTGGGACTCCGGGTGTGCACAACCATGCCCAGCTAGTTTTTCAATTTTCTTTACAGACAGGGTCTCTCTGTGTTGCCCAGACTGGTCTCGAACTCCTGGGCTCAAGCAGTCCTTCCACCTCAGACTCCCGAAGTGCTGAGATTATAGGTGTGAGCCACCATAACGGCCAGAATATTACAGTTATGAGCAAGACACATCAACCTCTGTACTCATATTCATAAAAATTGTAGTAAGTATTCAATAATTGTTAGAATGATGATGTAATAAAATAATAACCAAGGACTTTTTATGGACTATCTCATTTAATCGTTATAGCGATGCTTTCAGGTGAAGAAACTGATGCTTAGCAAAATTTAGTAACGAGGTCAAGGCCACAAAGCTGATGAGAGATAGAACCAGCAGCATTTTTGTAGACCTGACAGCCAATTCTAGGTTCAGTTTCTAGTTATTTTTGTAGAAAATCAGAAGTTAACTAGACAGATATTCAAAGCTATCCTTATTTGTAACATATTTCAGTTAACGAGATTAAGACCATGATGCATTTAATAGATAGGGCTTATTCTGTGTTAATCAATGCATTCATTGGTCCATGCAATATGATTGAGTATACACAATGAGGCAAAGTCTATACTGAGTACTGAAGAGATAAAAATAAGTAAAGTATAGTTCCTTGAGAGAGGCTAGAAAATCTTATCATAAAAGGCATACACAGGGTATTAGGAAAACCAAGAAAAAGAATACTTCACTCAGGTTTAGAAGTGGGAGTGGAGTTCAAGGTAGTTGCACAGAGCCAGTAAGATAAGTCAGAAAGCTGTTGTAAATGTAAAGAGGAATGGGCCAGGGCATGGCTGGGAAATGTAGAAGGGTAGGGTAGGGTGACAATCTGAATATATAATTACTGGGTTACTTACTAAGAGACCTAGCAGTCGTTTCCCTTTCAACTTCTCCCCAACCATGGAGCAAGAACAAGGTTCGAAGCAGCTTAAAACCAGAAGGCTCTTTGGATTAAAGATAGTTGAAATTCCCAGCATTTTGGAGTTCCTAAAACAACTCAGGAAACTCATGCTCCTGCTAACATTCTGTTTTCTACAGCACCTTTGTCCCAGGGGTAATTACAGGGCATCTTTTTTTTTTCCTTCACACTATAGCTCCTTTTTCTTTCTTTCTTTTTTTTTTTTAAGAAAATCATTTGTCTTATTAAAAATGACCAGTATGAGAGGCCAGGTACGGTGGCTCACGTCTGTAATTCCAACACTTTGAAAGGCTGAGGTGGAAGGATTGCTTGAGCCCAGGAGTTTGAGACCAGCCTGGGCAACTTAGCAAGACCCTGTCTCTACAAAAAATTACCCACGCTCCTGCAAAATAAATAAATAAATAAATAAAGACCAGCCTGGGAATGTAAAATAGCGCAGCCACTTTGGAAAACAGTTTGGCAGTTTGTTAAAAAGTTACACATAAAACAAGTTCAGGCCTGGCACAAAGGCTCACATCTGTAATACCAACACTTTGGGAGGCTGAGGCATGAGTATTACTTGAGCTCAGGGGGTTGAGACAAGCCTGGGCAACATAGGGAAACCTTATCTCTTTAAACAAAACAAAACAAAACAAAAAAAGCTGGGTGAGGTGGCATGCACCTGTAGTCTCAGTTACTCTGGAGACTGAGGTGGGAGGATCGCTTGAGCCCTGGAAGGTGAGGCTGCAGTGAGTAGTGATCATGCTGCTGCACTCCAGCCTAGGCAACAAAGCGAGACACAGTCTCAAAAAAAATAAATAAATAAAATTCAAAGTATTAAAAATTAGACATAAATTTACTATATAATCCAGCAATTCTATTACAATGTATCTACACAAAGGAACGGAAAACACGTGTCCACATGAAGACTTGGACATGAATTATCATAGCAACATTATTTGTAATGGTTGAAAACTGGAAACAATCACAAATCCATTGAATGGTAAATGCTTAAACAAAATGAACTGCATCCATAAAAGGAATATTAATCAGGAATAAAAAAGGAACAAAGCCCTGTTACATGCTAGAATGTAGATGAATCTGAAAAACATATGCTGAGTGAAAGAAGCCAGATGCAAACACAGTTTCTATGGTGGCATTGACGTGAAATGTCGTGAAAAGCAGAACTTTAGCAACAGAGGATTAGGGGTTACTGGAGGTGGAAATGAGGCATATAACCTCAAACTGACACAAGGGACCTCCTTGGGCTAACGGAAATGTTCTAAAACTGGATTATGGCACTAGTTGCATAACTGAAAATTTACTGCAAAAATCATTGAATTGTACACTTAAAACAAATGAATTTTATGGTACTGTATATAAATTATATCTTTAAAAATATTTTTATAATGATCAATAGCCTTCTAAAATTTTCATTTAGGTTAGATGGCATATCTGAAATGTCATTTTAAACATTAACAACTATAGCAGTCATTTTGGCTCCACACTCTAAAAAACACAACTTTCAAAGCTGTTTTATTCTTTGGCTTAGGAAAGAAAAGAACACAAGACTTTAAGATGGCTCAGGGATTTAGTAAGTCATTGAAGCTGAAACTTTCCACCATGTTCATTGAAATTAAAAGATTATGATTTGCAGATGTTTTCCAGTGGGTCTGGACTGTTTGTCAGCATTTCAGATTCTGTAGAACTTTTTGGGCATGCAATGGAGCAATTAGTGCTGACAGCCCTTTTCTATAATTGTGCTATATCTAAGGCTAGCCCTGGAAATAAACGGTGTTGCTCAACTAACAGCTACGAATTAGCCAAGACAAGAGCATGTTACTTTCCTTTGGTTATGTATCAAATTAGCATTTCACAGGATCGCATGTCTTTTTTGAAGAGCCATGAAGCAGACATTATGGACGCATTTAAAGGAGTCTAATTTGCCTCGATTCTAGTTGTATGTATTAAGCCAACTTTTCTTGGATAAGGACTGAAAGGTATGTAGAGAAATTTAAGTCTAGGAGAGAGATTTATAAGATCAGCACAGATCATTCCCAAGAATCCAAGCAGGCATCGCATGACATTTCAGACTTAACCTTTCACCTCCTAGGAGAGCTGGGTCTTCTGCTCCAGGCTTCCACAGTGATTAAGAACAGTCACTAGTCTCAACCACGCCTATGTTTTGAGTTCTGATTCTACCACATGTTACAACCTTTTTTTGTTTGTTTGTTTGTTTTTTTGAGACCAAATCTCGCTTTGTCGTCCAGGCTGTAGTGCAGTGGTGTGATCTCGACTCACTGCAACCTCCGCCTCCCAGTTTTAAATGATTCTCCGGCCTCAGCCTCCTGAGTAGCTGGCATTACAGGTGTGTGCCACCACGCCCAGCTAATTTTTGTATTTTTAGTAGAGATGGGGTTTCACCATGTCGGCCAGGGGTGGTCTCGAACTCCTGGCCTCAAGTGATCCACCCACCTCCACCTCCCAAAGTATTGGGATTACAGGTGTGAGTCCCCGTGCCAGGCTTTTTTTTTTTTTTTTTTCCTGGGACAGGGTCTCACTCCTGTCTCCCAGGCTGGAGTGGCAGTGGCACAATCACAGCTCACCACAGCCTTGATGTCCTGGGCTCAGGTGATCGTCCCGCCTCAGCCTCCCAAGTAGCTGGGACTATAGGTGCATTGCTAATATTTTTTGTATTTTTAGTAGAGATGGGGTCTCTTTATCTTGCCCAGGCTGGCCTTGAACTCCTGGGTTCAGGCAATCCTTGCCCCTCGGCCTCCCAAAGTGCTGGAATCACAGGCATGAGCCACTGTGCCTGGTATCTCCTACTATCATTGCAACTTTTGGTGAATGATATGGTTTGGCTGTGTCCCCACCCAAATCTCATCTTGAACTGTAGTTCCCATAATCCCCACGTGTCGTGAGAGAGACCCAGTGGGAGGTAATTGAATCATAGGGGCACTTACCTCCATGCTGTTCTCATGATATTGAGTGAGTTCTCACAAGATCTGATGGTTTTATAAGTGGTTCTTCCCACCTTCTCACTCTGCACTTCTCCTTGCTGCTGCCACGTGAGGAAGGATGTGTTCGCATTCCCTTCCACCATGATTGTGGACTTCCTGAGGCCTCCCCAGCCATGCTGAACTGTGAGTCAATTAAGCCTCTTTCTTTATAAATTACCCCGTCTCGGGTATGTCTTTATTAGCAGTGTGAGAATAATCTAATACAGTGAGTACCTGACATTTTTTAATCCTCAGATTTTCTGTCAGAAAACATAAAAATTACGTCTGTTCCAGAGGGTTTTGTTTTGCTTCTGTTTGTTTGTTTTTGAGACAGAATTTCGTTCTTGTTGTCCAGGTTGGAGTGCGATGGCACCGTCTCAGCTCACTGCAACCTCCGGCTCCCGGGTTCAAGGGATTCTCTTGCCTCAGCCTCCCAAGTAGCTGGGATTACAGACGCCCACCGCCATGCCTGGCTACGTTTTTTGTATTTTTATAGTGACGGGGTTTCACCATGTTGGCCAGGCTTGTCTTGAACTCTAACCTCGGGTGATCTGCCCGCCTCAGCCTCCCAAAGTGCTGGGATTACAGGCGTGAGCCACCGCACCCGGCCCCACTGGGTTATCGTGAGGGATTATAAAAATAATTTATATGGAGAGCTTGGCCCAAATTAGGTATCACAAAACATAGGCTATTAGTAACGGTAGTTGTGGTGTCCTGTAGAATCTTCTATCAGAGATAGAAGCACTGTTTTGTAATTATAGTTTAGAAACATCTAGAATGTGTTCAGATGTGAACTATTTGAGGAAGGAAATATCTTCTTATGTTCTTGGCATGAAGCACCGTGCCTGTCACACTGTGTTCCTCTATAAATATTTTTCTACTCATTGAGCTGAATGGTGCCTCATTTTATAGATGAGAGAAGCAAGCTCAGAGATGGTGAATGGTTTCCCTAGGTTGCATAATCTGTGCTATGATGGAATCCAGTATTTCTGGTCCTTCGCCTGAGGCATTTAGCCCGGTTAGCAAAATAGAACGATTGGCTGGGAAAAAGCTGGGAAGTGGGGCAGATTCATAACACACTGGCCAGGCTGCAGATCAGGAGGGTGCTCATGTTTTTAGCTGGACCTCATGGTTGGTTGCCTGAACCACTGTCTCCCTAGCACCTTTCATACCCTGAACTCTACTTTTCACTGTGCCTACCCAGCAAAACCTTAACATTGTGTCAGTAGTGAATTTTCCTTCCCTATTCTTACTCCCAGGCTTCTGAACTTTATGGCAGAAACCCATGTGACTAGGCAGGATGCTACATTACAAATTTTTGGATTCCAGTGCTTAATGAAGTACCTGGGACATAGTAGGCACTTGGTATGTCTTTGAGAGAGTATGTGAATGAGTGAATGAATTAACATGTCTTAGTTCAAAGTCCTGTAGTTGTCTTTGGTCAGCTCCTCTCCCACCTCCAAAGTCATTGAAGGCAATATAAGAGCAGCTGTGAGCCCATTCTCTGGAGTTTAGACCCAGTGGCACCATTTCCTATCAGCATGCTCTTGGGCAATGCACTTCATCTCTTGTCTTTGTCCTCATCTAACAATAGGGATCTCTTTGTCCTCATCTAAAAATAGGGATAGTAAGAATATTGACTTCATTGGGTGAGTGAGAGGAATTCATGCATTAATTCACGTAAAGCACTTCGCACTTGCCTGGTACATCAACGAATATTGTCCTATTATTATTATTATTACTCCTATAACCAACACAACCTCTGACTCCCAAACTGGGGAGGAAGATTTTGCTCTTGACTTGAAGGAGAGATTTGGATCCCTTAGGTGTGAATGATCTCACATTCTAAATTCCTACTCCCAGATTTTAAACCAGGGAGACACGTGGTCCAATTTGTATTCTAGAAAGAGTACAACTTCAGGAGAGTTACTTCAGAATAAGCCAAAATGTAGAACTATAGAAATTTAGAGGAGAAATAAGATTTGAGGGTCATTTATTAAATAAGATTTGAGGGTCATTTATTAAATTTGAGGGTTATTTATCAAATACGCCAAAATGTAGAATTATAGAAATTTAGAGGAGAAATCAGATTTGAGGGCCGTTACTTTTAATGGCGAAAACTGCACTTACTTTTGCAACCTAATAGAAAACTTTCACCATCCATTTGGGAAAATTGCAATCCACAGTTGAAGTGACTACCAGACTGACTCCAGGTCTCGGGCATATTGAGTCCCAGCTCCAAGTATTTAATATTTCTCATGCTGTCATCTCTTAGCGCACAGGCAAAAATGTGTCCTGTGCTTTTTAACCTCCTCTGACGCTGGTGGGTCTGTGCCATCCTCTCGTTTAGGTCTAACGGGGAGAATGTGTTGTATAATCCTGCCCTCTGCTGGATAGTGTGCATATTGCAGCAAAGGGAAGTGCATGAGAAATCCGTCAATAAAGCCAGCCAGATGTCAAACTGAAAGATTCTCCCTGCAAGGAGAAATGGCAATCCTGGGGTTCCTTGGGGTGTGTGTGAGGGATTTCTTGGAATTCTGGTACCAGGATGGAAAGCGTAGTCTTTTATTAAAGGAGCGGGGGCCGAGCAGTGGGGGGTGATAATGTTTCTTTCAAGAGGAATATTGGAAGCGGCCACTCCTTTAGCCACCCGTGTAATTGTCATTCTTTTACTAAGTCTCAAACTCTTTCCGTATTACTAAGAGGTGTTTTGCAGGAGTCCTGGTCTATTCTACTTTGTAAGTCTGTGAACATTTAGAAATTGGTTTATCAAGTCCCAGAAGAGTGCATGCAATGAATCTACCCTGTGGACAAAAAAATTTGCCAAGCATAGTCAGTTTTATAAAAGATGATCAAGTTAAACCGGGACTGAATGTAGCTATGAGTATAACCATTATTATGTCAAGAGGGTGACAGCTTCACAACGAAGCCTGTAATTCTCCATCACAGCGTTTATCTTGCTTATTGAATTCCTTAGACTTTCTTACAAGGCTACAGACTGCATAAGGGCAGGGATCATATTCACCTTATTTTGCTGCTGTAGCCCCAGAATTTAGTAACAGTGTCATGTACACACGAGATCCTCAATGATTAGTTCTTGCCTGACCAACTGAAAATCCTGTTGACTGTCTCTAAAGTCGTGTTGATAGCTGATAGGTGAAAAGTTCCTTTGTGTTTTTGGATAAATATCTGCAGTGTGGGTCATCGTGTTGCAATTGTTTAGTCTTCGACTGTGACCACAACACAAGGAATCCATGGAACTAAAAGTACATATTTGAGCTTAACTTTCTGAGCATTGAGGCTACCAACTCCTTAAAGGGGCAACCATGTGAGTAACAAGGCTTAATTTGATTATTTACTAATACAAAATGTGTGCTTTTATTAACTAGGGTTAGAGTTTTGCATTTACTGGCAATGAGAATTTGGGCAAGCCATTTATTGACGCTAAGCTTCTGTTTCTGTATGTTTCTGCGTGGAGATACAAGTAGTATCTATTTCATAGTTTTGTTCTGAAAAATAAACGAGTTAATTTATTTAATTTACTTGGCTCCAAGGCTTATACGTGGAAAATGATCCGTAAATATTATCAGTAAAAGAAGCGGGAGGAAGATACAGGAAGGAGAAAGAAATAGCTATGGTTGTTTTTTCAGATACAATTGGTGATTTCATTGCCCTTGTTATATTACCTATTAGGCATAATGTTTGTTAAATCTCATTAATTCAAACTACCTTTTTTTTTTTTTTTTTTTTGAGACCAAGTCTCGCCCTGTTGCCCAGGCTGGAGTGCAGTGGTGCAAACTCAGCTCACTGCAACTTCCACCTCCCGGGTTCAAGCGATTCTCCTGCTTTAGCCTCCTGAGTAGCTGAGATTACAGGCACCACACCTGGCTAATATTTGTATTTTTAGTAGTAACAGGGTTTCACCATGTTGGTCAGGCCGGTCTTGAGTTCCTGACCTCATGATCCGCCTGCCTCGGCCTCCCAAAGTGCTGGGATTACAGGTGTGAGCCACCGCGCCCGGCCTCAAACTCTTTTTTTTTTTTTTTTGAGACAGCGTCTGGCTCTGTCGCCCAGGCTGGAGTGCAGTGGCGCGATCTCGGCTCACTGCAAGCTCCGCCTCCTGGGTTCACGCCATTCTCCTGCCTCAGCCTCTCAAGTAGCTGGGACTACAGGAGCCCGCCACCGCTCCCGGCTAATTTTTTGTATTTCTAGTAGAGACGGGGTTTCACTGTGTTAGCCAGGATGGTCTCGATCTCCTGACCTCATGATCCACCCGCCTCGGCCTCCCAAAGTGCTGGGATTACAGGCGTGAGCCACCACGCCCGGCCTCAAACTCCTTTTATATAGAGAAACCACATTTTAGGTTTTAAGTTGCTACATTATCTAGTTGGAGAAATTACTTAAAAATACAAAATTAGCTGAGTGTGATGGTGCGTGCCTGTAATCCTAGCTACTTGGGAGGCTGAGGCAAGAGAACCACTTGAACCCAGGAGGCTGAAGTCACAGTGAGCCGAGATGGAGCCACTGCATTCTAGACTGGGCGACAGAGACTCCATCTCAAAAACAAAACAAAACAAACAAACCAAAAGCAGTATTTCATTTTTTTTTCTTATTTCAAAAAGTAATCCATTCTCACCATGGGGAAATTTGAAAATATAGAAAAGCACCAAAGGAAAAAAAAATTACCATTAACCCCACCACTCAAAGTTAACTACTCTATAACCTTTATGGATTTTTACATTTTATACAACTCTTATTAAAATCATTCTGCCTTGTAACTTTTCTTACTTGTCATGACTCCTCTCCCACACTATCAGAAATCAAGTTTTAGAAGAATATTTAAAGACTGACAGTACCTGGTTGCATGGGTTCACCGTAACAGAGGTAACTAGAACCTTGTTGCAGGATGTGAGATGGTTCCAGGCTGTACTCTATGACAATCACATTGTGTGAAGCCACCTGATGACCTAAATCCTTGCACGGATTCTTTATACTTTTATTGGGGGTAGGTGTTTTGGCAGTGGAGTTACTGGGTAAAAAGATATCCATGAATATACTTTTCTCAATACCACACATGGTTTAATTATCGGAATCAGATCTCAAATATACACTGAACCTCAAAAATGGTGAGGGATAAAGAAAGATCTTCTGTCTAAACTCCAAATTCTAGCAGGGCGCGATGGCTCATGCCTATAATCCTAGCACTTTGGGAGGACGAGGTGGGAGGATCACCTGAGATCAGGAGTTCAAGACCAGCCTGGACAAAATGATGAAACCCCGTCTCTACTAAAAGTATAAAAATTAACCAGGCGTGGTGGTGCACACCTGTAATCCCGGCTACTTGAGAGGCTGAGGCAGGAGAATCGCTTGAACCCAGGAGGTGGGCGTTGCAGTGAGCCAATATCCTGTCACTGCACTCCAGCCTGGGCAACAGAGTGAGACTCTGTCTCAAAAAAATAAACAAAAATGGACTCCAAATTCTGGCCTTCTTTTTTTTTAAATTTTATTATTATTATATTTTAAGTTTTAGGGTACATGTGCAGGTTTGTGGGGTGGGGGGAGGGGGGAGGGATAGCATTAGGAGATATACCTAATGCTAAATGACGAGTTAATGGGTGCAGCACACCAACATGGCACATGTATACAAATTCTGGCCTTCTTTAACCTTGTTGACTCTCTTGGTGCATTTACCCAACTCCTCTGCCATCCATTTTCCACCCTTCTGAAGGGCAGTTCGCATTGCTCCTTGCTCCTTCCCTGGGAAGTAGTAGTGACTCTGGGCCATGGCCCTGGTAAGTGTTTAACAACTGACTCTCCAGAGAAGTGAGGGATGCCCTCATGTGTAGCATTTGCCTTCTGTATTAGTCAGGGTTCTCTAGAGGGACAGAACTAATGGCATATATGTATATATGAAAGGGAGTTTATTAAGGACTGTTGACTCACACGATCACAAGGTAAAGTCCTACCATAGGCCGTCTGCAAGTTGAGGAGCAGGGAAGCCAGTGGTGGATCAGTCTGAGTCCCAAAACCTCAAAAGTAGGGAAGCCCACAGTGCAGCCTTCAGTCTGTGGTCAAAAGCCCCAGGAGCTCCTGGCAAACCACTGGTGTAAGTCCAAGAGTCCAAAAGCTGAAGAATTTGGAGTCTGATGTTCGAGGGCAGGAAGCATCCAGCAGGGTAGAAAGATGAAGGCTGGAAGACTCGGCAAGTCTGCTGTTCCATCTTCTCCTGTCTGCTTTCTCTAGCCGTGCTGGCAGCTGTTTAGATGGTGCCCACCCAGATTGAGGGTAGGTCTGCCTCTCCCAGTCCACTGACTCTCCAATGTTAATCTCCTTTGGCAACACCTTCACATGGGTATTATATGCACAATGCTGTGAGATCAAGATAGTTATCGCCAGCTTCGTGATCACAGACACACCCAGGAACAATACTTTGCATCCTTTAATTCAATCAAGTTGACACTCAGTTATTGACCATCACACCTTCCACGGTGTAAATTCCCAGCATGGCCAATTTTAAGCCACCAACATGATATCCCTGAACATGGAGCTGGGAAGGGAAGTGCACAAGTGGCTCTGAAGAGCTGGAATGAGCCAGCTCTAGCATACCACTGTGGGTACCAATGAGTAGACAAAACAGCCACCTGTCCCCTCTTCCTTCCCTAAGGGAGCTATGAAGGCCAAGAGACATGTTGCTTTTCTCATTCCTCTTTACCTTAGGCTCCCGTCAAAGCCTTGAGAAGAACCAATTGTCATTCCAGGTGAAAAAAAAGCACCTCACTGTCCCTCTTTACCTCTCCCAAATATTTTCCATCTGGTTGTAGAGACATTATATTTCAAAAAGTTACACATGCTTCCTTTTCATAATTATTGGTAAATAGTTTAACATGCAAACATCTAATTGTGGGAATGATAACTGAAATCTGCTTATACTAACATGGAAATGACTACCATAAAATCACTTCCTGTTTAGATCGTGTTAAACATACTAGATGGGTTTCAGAAACATTCGTTTGCATTAACAACTTCATTTTACAAATTAAAAAAATCAAAACACAGACAGGTTCCTTAGTATGTCCAGTTGGATTTCAATTTTTTTGTGCAAATATTTGCAGAGCATCCCGGCATATATAAGGGTTCATATTGGATGCAGGGATGGATACAAAGCTGGACAATTTGAAGTGCCCCATATTGGGCATTTCCTAGTGTCAAGAAATGGGCTAGAAATTTTACATATCACCTATGTGGTTTAGTCTTCATGATGAGCCTGCATGGAAGGTTGTTTTCATCCCTGTTCCATAAAAAAGGAAACACTTTTGGGATCAAACCCAGCTCACTGACTCCTGGCTGCAGGTCTGTTTTCTGAGCCACTCAGTATTGGTCTGCTTAAGCTGCCATAATAAAATACTATAGTTTGGTATTGGGTTGCTTAAACAACAGAAATTAACTTTCTTGCATTCTGGAGGCTACAAGTCCCAAATGAAACTCCAGCATAGTTGGGTTCTGGTGAGGGCTCTCTTTTTGGCTTCTTGCTTTATCCTCACGTGGCTAGGGAGGTGGGGTTGGGGGAGAAAGAGAGAGTGTGCTGCCTAGCTCTGGCCTCTCTTCCTCCTCGTATAAGGACACCAATCCTATTGGATTAAGGCCCCACCCTTATGGCCTCATGTAACTTTTTTTTTTTTTTTTTTTGAGACAAGGTCTTGGTCTTTTGTCCACGCTAGAGTACAGTGGCTAAATCTTGGCTCATTGCAACCTTCTTCTTCTGGGCTCAAGCCATCCTCCCACCTCAGCCTCCCAAGTAGCTGGGACCACAGGTTGGTGCCACCATGCCCAGCTAATTTTTGTATTTTTTGTAGAGACGGGGTTTCACTATGTTACCCAGGCTGGTCTCAAGCCCTGAGCTCAAGCTGTCTGCCCACCTTGGCCTCCCAAAGTGCTGGGATTACAAGCGTGAGCCACTGCACCCGGGTGACCTCATTTAACCTTAATTACCTCCGAAAGATTCTGTCTCCAAATACAGTCACAGTGGGGGCTGGGGCTTCAACACAGGATTTTTGCTGGGACACGATTTGGTCTATAGCACATTCCAACATGCTTCTTTCCCTCCAACAGTTTCAAATATATGTATTTGGGTGCATATGTTTGAAAATGATCATTGGAACTCAGCTCTCTTTCCCCCAACTCTGTCATCCCATGTGGCTTACACCGTTAAGAAGAAAGATGGGCTTTAATCAAATGTTAAATGGCAAGCAATGGAAACAAAATACTGGTTTACACCCCAACCTAGATGATTCTCAAATGCATTATATGATGTAAAAGAAGTCAGACTCAAAAGACCACTAAGTGGATGATTCTGTTTATATGACATTCTAGAAAAGGTTAAACTATAGGGATAGAAAATGGATCAGTGGCTCGTGGATCTTTTGGGGGTAGGAATTGGGATGGAGAAAGGAGTCAAAGCAGTATGGGGGAATTTTGGTGGATGGTAGAACTGTTCCATATCTTGAGTGTGATGATGGTTATACAACTGAATGTGCTTGTCAACTTGCAGAACTATGCCATAAAACGTATTTTCTGTTTACTGTATGTAAGTTTTACTCAGAGTGGCTGGGATTGCTGTCGTTCATGTCCTGTCACGTGAAGTCTGGGGATCCAAGCTGCTCATCCTAGCTCTGCCCTTCTGCCTCCTTGGGTGTACCTTATGGGGACTCTCCATATACAATTTGTTTTTATAGTAGCCAGCCACTCAGCAAACATAATTTTTCTTTTTCTTTTTATCTGTGTCCTTATTGATTTCTGTGTCTGGGAAACAGGCTTGGCACTGGGCAATTTCATTTATGTTGTCTGGCATTATATGCACAATGCTGTGAGATCAATATAGTTATCCCCAGTTTCCTGATTAAGAAACTGCATCTGTGTTTCCTTCAAATAACACAAGTGGTAAAATGGTAGAGTAGCATTTCCATCTTGGTACGCCTGGTATCATAAGTGTTCACTTATGGCCTCCTGATTAGTTTGTCTCCTGTTAAATATTGCCAGCATTTCCTTTCATGGCTCAGTGTTGGTGAGAATACTACTTAACAGAAACCCCAACTGAAACCGAGTATCTCTGTGATCCCAAGAGAATGGCAACATCGACTGAAACTTCTTTCTCCAAGGCTCCCACATCTTCACATCTCATTCCATCACATGCCCAACTCTGAAATAATTGTTGTGGACACAGAGTTGCACACATTTTGATTGGCTTAAGCCAATCCTAAGGCTCACTGCAAGGCTGGGAAATACCGTTTTGTTGTTCAGAAGGAGAAAGGGGAGTGGGCTGCTGGGAAGGCTTCCAACAAATATCTGCTACAGTCCTCAAGCCTGACCAAAAAAGCTCACTCACTGGCCAAAAATATGTTTCCTATTATCTATGGGTGTGTTGTCAACATCTTTTATTTGTAAAGATGCAGACAGGGTTGGAAGGTGTCTTGTCTAACACAAGTATCTGTGGTCAGTCTCTGGAGGGGCACCCTGAGCTTGCTGGAGCATCATCACTTTCTCAGTTATGATAGAGGAAAGAGGGTTAGAAGGTGGCTTTGGAGTGTGGCAAGAGAAGTTGTGATCTTCCTTTTCTTTCTAAATCCACAAGCATCTGAAGATCTTCCATGGATATAATTCTGGTGAGAGTGGAAAGAAGAGGAGATTTGTGGTCACTTTTGTACAATAATTAGAATCAACATTTATTTAGTGTCTTATGCAGCATATATTTTTGGGATTTATAAACAAACAGCATGTGGAGACTGCTGCGTACTGAGTTAAAGATGTAGTTTTCTCCAACCACATTCTATTTTCCAAAGATCTCCATTTAGTATGCATGGCAGATCTGCACACAGCTTGTTGTCAAGGATGGAGTGTTTCATCCTTTATTCCAAATCTGTGACAGAGACAGCTGGATGTTCTCAGTATGTGTTCTCTCTCTTTCTTCTACAGTCATAATAATAGAATAAATTGTAGAATAAAAAACTACATTCTTCAGTCTCCTTTAAGACTACTCATGGCCATGAGATTAAGTTCCATTCACTGGGATAGAAGCAGAAGGGGTATGTGTAACCTCTAGAAAGCATTCTTAAAAAAATAAAAAATTAGAGGCGGGCTTTCACTCTGTCATTCAGGTTGGAGTGCAGTGATATGATTGTGGCTCACTGCAGACTCGAACTCCTGGGCTCAAGGGATCTTCCTGTCTCAAGCCTCCTGGGTAGCGAGTAGCTGGGACTACAGGCACATGTCACCATGCCCAGCTAATTGTTTATTTATTTATTTTTTTTATGGAGACAAGGTTTCACTATGATGCCCAGACTGTTTTTGAACTCCTAGCCCCAAGCAATCTTAGGAAGCAGTCTTGAAGGAAGGAAATGTGACTTTCTGCCTTTCTTCCTTCCTTCTGGCTGGAATGTGGGCAAATTGGCTAGAGCTGGGGTTGTCACCTTGGATCAGTGGGTGAGAAATGTGTGCTGATGTTGGTAGAGAAACAGGATACAAAGCATCTGGGTTCTTGATGAGCATGGGGTCATCATTCCAGCCCTGGACTGCCTGTGTTTATGTGTAAAAGAAATAAACCATCATGTACAAGCCATTCCAGTGTTATTTTTCTGTCACTTGCAACGGAGCCTAATAATAACACTGATAGCTAATGGTTAGAACAGTGTCTGGCTTACAGAATCTTCACAGAGGGAAGCCTTTACATGGACTCAGTTCATCTTTACTATAACCCACACGGGTTATTGTTACTTTACCCCTTTTATGAATTCATCCATTCTTGCATTGCTGTAAAGAAATACCTGAGACTGGGTAATTTATAAAGAAAGAGGTTTAATTGGCTCATGGTTTCACAGCCTGTACAGGAAGCATGAGGCTGGCATCTGCTCGGCTTCCGGGTGGGCCTGAAGACGCTCACGATCATGGCAGAAGGTGAAAGGGAACCAGGCACATCTTGTATGGCTGGAGCGGGAGCAAGAGGGGTGTGGGGTAGGTGCCAAGCACTTTAAACCACCAGATCTCATGAGAACTCACTGTCGTGGTGACAGCACCAAGGGGGATGGTGTTAAACCATAAGAATCCGCCCTCATGATTCAATGACCTCCCACCAGGCCCCACCTCCAACACTGAGGAATACAATTGAACATGAGATTTGGATGGGGACACAGATCCAAACTCTAACAGGAAAGTAAGTCCAAAGCCACACACACACCAAGTGGTGAAATACAGATTTTTGAACCAAGGCTATTTGGCTTGAAGAGTCCCTGTACTTAATCTCGATGTTGCCTTTAGTTAATATTAATGTTAATACCACCCAGCCGGCTCTGCTAGAGAAATCTGTACAGAAGGAGCTCACGTCTGGCACAGCACACTGAGGAAGTTACTAGATTGGAGTTTCTTTCAGAAATTGCTTTCTGATGAACTGAATGCAGATAATCTCAACCATATGGATTAAATTGCCATTAAAATATACATACAGGTTTAAAAGTTGAGAGCAAAGCATGTAGCCAAATACACAGTGTGTTTCCTTATGCTTGTAAGGCTGGATAATTAGCCTAAAGTGCCCAATGGCTCCAGCACGTTGAAGTTCACCTATTCCTAATTAATTAGGTTTTGTGGTGTTTTTAGAGTATCTTTGGGCAAATTACAGATTGAACAGGACCTTCTCTCAAGCTCCTGAGGGCAGATGTGTGTTTGGTGTTTCCAAACCTAATTTATTGTAACCTGAGAAACTTACTCTCTTGTTAACAGATAATTTTTTCTTGTTTCTATTTCAGAATTTCAGACTTAAAAATCTCTTATGAGCTTTTATAAACTGGGGAAAGCAATCTCAGATCAGATAAAATCGAAGGAATCATATTCATATCCAAGACAACAGAGATCTTGAAAGATTTTATCATGATTCTTGAATTGCTTGTCAATAATTGTGTGAAAAAACAAACAACCCCACAAAGCTCTGTTGTTTGTCAATAATTGAGTGAGCTCGATAATAATTGAGGCCTGTTGGGCTTCGTGGGGTTGTTTGTTTATTTAGTCAATTATTGACAAGCAATTGTTTACTAGATGCTGTCTTCTAATAATGTCATTTTGGGTAAGTTACTTCATATACATTGTCCCTAATTTATACAACATTTATACAAGGTTAAAAGTCCTTTGCACACAGTAGGTAACTGAAAATGACAGTTGTAGTTGTTATTGTCATTGTTTTCAAGGCACTATGCTAGGCAAAGAAAAAATTAGCATAAAGTTAGAAAATATAGGACAGCCCCGGTGCAGTGGTTCACACCTGTAATGCCATCACTTTGGGAGGCCAAGGCAGGCAGATCACTTGAGTTCAGGAGTTCGAGACCAGCCTGCACAACATGGTGAAATTTTTATCTCTACCAAAAACAAAAACAAAAAAATATTAGCCAGGTGTGGTGGCAAAAGCACGCCTGTAGTCTCAGCTATGCAGAAGGGTGAAGCAGGAGAATCCTTGAACCGGGGAGGTGGAGGTTGCAGTGAGCCGAGATCACACCACTGCACTCCAGCCTGGGCCACACAGCGAGACTCTGTCTCAAAAAAAATAAAGAAAGAAAAGAAAAAAACAAAAAAGAAAATACAGGGAAAACTTGCTATATCCTCTCTTCACCTTTACAAAGATGGCTACTCATTCATTTATTTAAATGTCAGAAAAAGTTTATTCAGCATCTATTATTTTCCAAATACTTTACTAGGTACTGAACACTTAAATTGATGCTTGGTTTTGGTTTTAAGAACTCTCCTTATAATCTACAGTAAAGCAGCACAGTCCAGCAGAAATACAATGTGAGCCACAGACGTAACTGAGATTTCCTAGGAGTCACATGGGAATGTAAAAGGAAACAGGTACAATAAATCTGTTAATTTAACAAATTTGTTAATGTATTTTGTTTCCATTACCTCTGTTATCTTTTCAACATAAACTCAATATGAAAAATACTAATAACGTATTTTACATTACTGTTCATACTAAGTCTTCATCTAGTCTATATTTTACGAATACAGCACATGTTAATTTAGATGCTAAGTTTCCATTGGAAATACTTGGTCTGTTTTAGATTTCATAAAATTTACACCTGAAAAAGTAGACTTGCATACTCCAGTTGTTCCATACTTTTAAAATTTCCATAAAGGAAATCAAGTATCAGCTTTTATATTTATTAGAATTAAATAAAATTAAAAATTGATTTCCGTTGTTGCACTAGTGGCAATTCAAATATTCAACAGCCACATGTGACCAGGCGCTACCAGAATGAACAGCAGAGGTCTGGAGATGGCGGTAACCAGTAAATAATCATAGAAATAATAGTTCAGTGAAAATGTGGTAAGGATTTTGAAGGAGCCGTTAGCAGCACCGAGAATGCATGAGCAGAGGATCAGCCTGGGAGATGAGGACACTTTCCTTGAAAAAGGGATATTTTGACCAACGTCCAAAGGATGACCAGGAATTTTTCAGATAAAGGAGGTTGAGAAAGATCATGTGCAGGCCAGGCGCGGTGGCTCACGCCTGCAGTCCCAGCACTTTGGGAGGCCGAGGCGTGGGATCACTTGAGGTCAGGAGTTCGAGACCACCCTGGCCAACATGGTGAAACCCTGTCTCTACTAAATATACAAAAAATTAGCCAGGTATAGTGGTGCGTGCCTATAATCCCAGCTACTTGGGAGGCTGAGGCAGGAGAATTGCTCAAAGCCAGGAGGCAGAGGGTGCAGTGAGCCAAGATCATGCCACTGCACTCCAGCCTGGGCGAGAGAGTCAGACTCCATCTCAAAAAAAAAAAAAAAAAAAAGAAAAAAAGAAAAGAAAAAAGAAAGAGCTTGTGCAAAGGCCCTGTGGTACGAGGGAACATGGAATTTAAGAGAGAACAGAAGGAAAGCAAGTGTGGCTGGAATTAAAAACAAAAACAAAAAGAGGAGTAGAAAAGATAATGCTAGTGAGATTAATAAAGTCTAGGCCATTCAGGAACTTATGCACTAAAGACCCAAATCCCTACCATGACCTAAGAGGATTGAGAAATTATTGAAAGATTTTAAGCAAATCCAATGTGATTGGATTTGCATTTTTTAAAAAATAACTTTTCCCCCTTATTGCATGTTCTCTAGGATCCCTCAATAGAATGCTTCAGGAATCATTGACACACATTCATGATTGACAAGTGAGAAGAAACCCATGTTCCATCTCAGGATTAGGGGCTTCATTTAGAGTGTACAATCCAACAATAAAAGGTGGTTCCCCACCCCTTAGGAACTAGATGAGATTAACTCAACCCCTTCCCTGACCATCTGGTGGAAGATGAAATTCCCTCTCAGTCACTGTTCAAATTCCCAGTGGCTTGTGACCTAAAGTACTATGGCAGCTGTCTGACACAGAATTATATAACAGAAATTCTGCAGACAGGAGGTGACAGATGTGCAGCCCGACTAGAGTGTCTGGTACTGGATGGAGCAGGACAAGTGTCAGTTCTTTACCCTCTCCCGGACACCTTCCAGAATAGCTGATGTGCTTACTCCCATTACAGTATTTAATCTAGTAGGGAAGACAGAGAAACTGTAATGTCTTGTTAACTTTTTGCATGCCTAAGAGAACGGTTGCTAGGTGTGGTGGTCCACGCCTGTAATGCCAGCACTTTGGGAGGCTGAGGCAGGGGGACAGCTTGGGCCTAGAAGTTTGAGACCAGCCTGGGCAACATAGGGAGACCCCTTCTCTACAAAAAAGTAAAACCTTAGCTGAGCATGGTAGTGCATGCCTGTAGTCCCAGCTACCCTGGAGGTTGAGGTGGGAGGAACTCTTGAGCCTGGGAGGTCAAGGCGGCAGTGAGCCATGATCATACCACTGCACTTCAACCTAGGCAACAGAGCAAGAGTCTGTCTCAAAAAAAGTGTGTGTGTTGAAGGGGGGTCTATGCCTTGTGTGTAACACTGTGCCTGGTATGTGGTAAGTTCCCAGAGATAATTAGTGAATAAAAACTTAGCAAGAACTGGACACATGGAGGAGAGATAAAGACATATAAAGACATCTCAGTTGGGAAAAGCTGTGAGTAAAGAAACTGAGAAATGAAATCAAAAGGATGAAGTTCTTTTTTTTTTTTTTGACAGAGTTTCGTTTTGTTGCCCAGGCTGGAGTGCAGTGGTGTGATCCTGGCTCACTGCAACCTCTGCCTCCCAGGTTCAAGCAATTCTTCTGCCTCAGCCTCCCAAGTAGCTGGGATTACAGGTACGCGCCACCAAGCAAGGCTAATTTTTGTATTTTTAGAAGAGATGGGGTTTTGCCATGTTGGCCAGGCTGGTCTCAAACTCCTGGCCTTAGTTCATTCACCTGCCTCGGTCTCCCAAAGTGCTGGGATTACAGGCAGGAGCCTCCACACCTGGCCCAATACATGAAGTTTGTTATTGTTAAGCACATTGCTGCTTTTCTTCCCATGTAACTCCACCAAAGACATTTTTCCCCCCAAGTTTTCTAATGGGCTGAAATCAAGTTGAGGATAGGGACCAGTGTTATAAATAAAATGCTTGTTCCTTGCTACCACAAGGAAAAATTAACATTCAGACAAAAAAATTTTCTCAGCAAGCCAACTTTACTTTCTGCAGAAAGGGTACTGCTCATCAGCAATCTTGCCATGAGAGTACAATGAACAAAGGAAAGATAGGAATATTTATCCCTTACGCATTGGGTGCTTACTGCTGTGTCTGATCTCTGTTGGTTGGAGCTGGACCTCCCAGTCTAAGCTAAACCTGATTGGCTAATAACTCAAAACTTTTCTAAATCGGTAGAGGCAATGGAGAACAAAATGAAAAGAGGAAGTTGCTTGCGAAAGGACTTAGAAAAGTAATAACATTTCAAAATAAGGAAGGGGCATAGGCTGTGAGCTGGAACTTGCCTGTGAACATGCCTAGCACAAATATATTGGTTAAAGTACAAGGACATAGAATGTACTACGTGCCTGTGAGCATGTCTACCACAAGTATCTTGGTTAAAGTACAAGGACATAGAATGTACTTATTCCCTTATGTCTAACAGCTGCATAGGATAAGGCTTAACAAAGAGTTATTAGCAAAAAGCAAGAAGGCTTTCAAGAAAGTCTTTAAAAGAAACTATTATTTCTAATATTTATTATTATTATCCTTTAACAAGAATGGAAACTTTGAAGAGAACTTTTTACTTTCCATAACTAGGTATTCTACATTAGCACATCTCAACCTTTAACATAAATCACCCACAGACCTTGTTGAAATGCAGATTCTAAATCAGCAGATCTGGTGGGCCTGAGGTTCTGCATTTATAACAAGCTCCCAGGTGATGCTGATGCTACTGACCTGAGACCACACTCAGAAAGCCTATGTCTATACAAAAATCTGCACACAGATATACTTATAGCAGCTTTACTCACAATCGCCCATACTTGGAAGCAACCAAGATATCTTTTAATAGGATATAGTAAGGTAAATATGAATAGTTTGTGGATAAACTGTATACATTCAGACAATGGAATATTGTTTAGCACTGAAAACAAATGAGCTATCAAGCCATGAAAAGATATGGCAGAAACTTAAATGCATATTAGTAAGTGAAAGAAGCCAATCTGAAAAGGTTAGATCCTATAAAATTCCAACTATATGACATTCTGGAAAGGCCAAAACTATGGAGAGAGTAAAAAGATCAGGGATCACCAGGGATTAAGTGGGAGGGAAGGATGGACAGGTGGAGCACAAAAGATTTTCAGGGAAGCGAAATTACTCTGTATGATGCAAGTGATAGACACGTGTGATTATGTATTTGTCCAAAGTCATAGAATGGACATAAAGAGTGAACCCTGATGTAAACTGTGACTTTAGATGATAATGGTGTGCCATTGTAGATTCATCAGTTATAACAAATATACCATTCTAGTGTGGGACATTGATAATGGGAGAGGCCATATGTATGTCAGAAGTATATGGATATGTCTCTACCTCCCTATCCATTGTACTGTAAACCTAAGACTTCTGTAAAAAAAATCATTATTTATTTATTTTATTATTTTTTATTTATTTATTTTTTGAGACGGAATCTTGCTCTGTCATGCAGGCTGGAGTGCAGTGGTGCGATCTAGGCTCATTGCAAGCTCCGCTTCCCAGGTTCACACCATTCTCCTGCCTCAGCCTCCCGAGTAGCTGGGACTACAGGCGCCCGCCACCACGCCTGGCTAATTTTTTTGTATTTTTAGTAGCGACGGGGTTTCACCGTGTTAGCCAGGATGGTCTCCATCTCCTGACTTTGTGATCTGCCTGCCTCGGCCTCCCAAATTGCTGGGATTGCAGGCGTGAGCCACCGCGCCCGGCCAAAAAAATTATCTTTTTAAAAAAATTCTCTATTCATCCCTCCCTCCCCCTCAGCCCCTGGCAATCACTGATTTTTGTTGTTGTTGTTTTTACTGTCTCCATAGTTTTGCCTTTTCCTGAATGTCATGTAGTTGGTGTTATATAGTAAACACAGACACACACATACACAGACACACACACACACACACACGGCAGGGGAATGCACATGGTTAATGATTTTTTTTGTTTTTTAATGCCATTTTTGTAAAATTCAAAAGCTACAAGCCCCGATGACAATGGTCTTTGGACTCCTGGTTCAGAGTGATTTGCAAGCCTCATTGAAAAGTCCACTAGGGGGAGAAGTTTAGTAGCGTTGGAACTCTTCTCGTCAGCCAGAAGTGATTTTTTTTTCCCCTTGAAGAGTCTGCTTCTCAATAAACAAAAGATCACTCTCAAAATTAAACACTCCCATGCCAGATGGCTTGATGTGCGTGTCCGAAGATTTTCCTGAGGCACGTGTGAATGAATGTTCAGCAGAAGAGTGGCGGGCGTCTGGGAAGAGCTGATGCTTCCATCCCATGGGCAGCCAAAGGGTGGGCGTCTGGGAGCAAGAGCCTGAACATCTCCAAAGATCGCGGCTGTGCGTGTTTATTCACAATGAGTGAAACAAACTCCTGGATTGTTTAGGCATTGTTGAGGAGATCGCACTAGGCTCCCACAAGAATGCTGCATACACAGCAGGGTTGTTCTCAGTACAGGTTAGGGGCAGACACCCAGCAGTGCTGAGAGATTCTTCCTGGGGTAGGACAAGTGTGCCAAGAAGCATATGCTATCCAGAGAGAGGGCACCTTTACTCACTGTAGGCTTTTAGCTACAATGTATAATTGGAATGATGTTCTCAGTGCTAAACCTCCTAAGATGATGTTTGCCATAGTGCCAGAGGTTTAACCATCAAGGAATAATGTTTTGGAAGCAGTGGCCCTAGACAGCCATCATTTGTAGACACTTTTCTCAATTTCTGCCATGGCTGTGTGCCACGTTTCTTTAGTTTCCTTTAAACAGAGTCATTTTACTTAGGATAAAATAAGTTATTTTCAAAAGAGGCATATAGCTATTATAATTGGGAAAACAAGTTCCGTTTGCCATAAATAGAAAGCATGTGTAAAAATAAATTCAACAAAGACACAACCATATTACTAAACTCTAGCTAGAGACTGTGCCCTCCTCAAGGTTTTGAAACTGAGATCTGCTCCCTAGTAAACAAGGGAATTAGCAAGTACTAGAAAGAGGTGTAAAAGATGTTTTAGTTCCCACATGATTTTTTTTCATTTTTTCCCCTTCAACAAAATAATCAAGACGCCTGAAAGGCTGAGAGATACAGAGCTAGGGACAGAGTCCTACTAACTTAGTGTATTAGTCCATTTTCACACTGCTATAAAGAATACCCGGCTGGGCGTGGTGGCTCACACCTGTAATCCCAACACTTTGGGAGGTCCAGGCGGGTGGATTACCTGAGTTCAGCAGTTCGAGAAACCCTGTCTTTACTAAAAATACAAAACTTAGCCAGTCATGGTGGCACGCGTCTGTAATCTCAGCTGCTCAGGAGGCTCAGGCAGGAGAATCGCTCGAACCCAGGAGGCAGAGGTTGCAGTGAGCTGAGATTGCACAACTGCACGCCAGCCTAGGCAACAGAGCAAGATGCTGTCAGAAAAAAAAGAAAGAAAGAAAAGAAAAGAAGGAAGGAAGGGAGAGAGAGAAAGAGAGAGAGAGAGAAAGAAAGAGAAAGAAAAAAAAGAAAGAAAGAGAAAGAAAGAAAGAAAGGAAGAATACCCAAGAGTGGGTAAAGTTTAAAGGAAAGAGTTTTGACTCACAGTTCTGTATGGCTGGGGAGGCCTCCAGAAACTTACAATCATGGCGGAAGGCAAAGGGAAGACAGGCATCTTCACACAGCTTTTTCTTTCTGTGTCATTCAGAGTTACTTAATGTCTGCATAGCCAGCCAATCTGTGATCCACCCAAAAACACCTAACGTACCACCAGTGGAACTCCTCTAACACTTGGGTGAACACAGCTTTAACTCAAAGAGATGAAAGCATCACCTGCCAGAAAGCTCTTCCTCTGCTGCCCCAGAGGTGAGAAGCTGCTCAAGTCCTTCAAGAAGAAGGAAGCTGCAGATCTAACCCCAAAACTGCGTTGTCAAAAATAACAGATAAACTAGAATTCAGAAGCATCCTGTTACCTGGCTAGCGGTCTGTATTTCTCTCTTTGTTTTAGCATCTCCAAATAAAGATATTTGAGCTAGTTTTGTTGACCCTCTGGGGTGAACAAACTAAGGTCTGTTCACTAAGATTGCTTAGGAAGAATTTGGACAAAGTCTGCTCCTCATTTCATCTCCCCCATCACTCAACATTCTGTTTGCCACTAAGCCTTGCAATTTTTGCAGTCTGTTCCCTGGTTTTCATCCTACATGGTGCTGCCATTACTCTAAAATATCATTTGCTGTTGCCTGAACATTAATAATGCTTCTGGCTGGGTGCGGTGGCTCATGCCTGTAATCCCAGCACTTTGGGAGGCTGAGGCAGGAGGATTACCTGAGGTCAGGAGTTCGAGACCAGCCTGACCAACATGGTGAAACACCGTCTCTACAAAAAATACAAAAATTAGCCAGGCATGGTGGCGTGCGCCTGTAATCCCAGCTACTTGGGAGGCTGAGACAGGAGAATCACTTGAACCCGGGAGGCAGAAGTTGCAGCGAGCCGAGATCATGCCACTGTACTCCAGCCTGGGCGACACAGCGAGACTCCGTCTCAAAAAAATAATAATAATAATAATAATGCGTCTCTGACCTCTCCATCCTTTAGTCCATCATCCACAGAAAATGATCTTTCAATCACATTTTTCACTCTGGTCTTCCTCTGCTTAAAGATTTCTGAGTGACTTGCTCAAAGTCATGCAAATTGTGAGTGGCAGAGTTGGGATCCAAATTCAATTGTGTGGTTCCAGAGGTCAAAATTTATCACCACATGAGTCTTCTTTACCAAACAACGTAAACAACTGACATTTTGTGAAGAGGTATTTTGTAGGCTTTCAGAACCCAAATATGTTCAATATTTCCCAGGCATAAAAATAGGTATTAACAAATCAATGTTCATTAAGCATGAGATTAATGTGGACACTGGGTGGAACTGAGAAGTTCGGGAGGTAGGGTTAGCTCCTGGCCTGGCTGAATCCAGAAACCAGGTGATATGGTTTGGCTGTGTCCTCACCCAAAATCTCATCTTGAATTGTAATCCCCATAATCACCACGTGTAAAGGGAGAGGCCAGGTGGAGGTAATTGAATCATGGGGTTGGTTTCCTCCAGGCTGTTCTCATGATAGTGGGTGAGTTTCATGAGATCGGATAGCTTTATAAGGGGCTCTTCCCTGTGGCTCTTCACTTCCCTCTCCTGCCACCTTGCTAGGAAGATGTGTGTCTTCCCTTTGCCTTCTGCCATGATTGTAAGCTTCTTGAGGCCTCCCCAGCCATACGGAACTGTGAGTCAAGCCTCTTTCCTTTATACATTACCCGCTCTTGGGTAATCTTTATAGCAGTGTGAAAATGGACTTAATACTCCAGGTTTGTAGGATTCTGTCCCTGGCTCTGTATCTCTCAGTCCTGCTTAAATGTGTATTGCTCCATTCTTGAACAGATCTTCCCCTAGTGGTAACTAGATGGCTGACAGAAGCTCACTAACCCCAGCAACTTACAGGGAAAGAGATGACTCAGCAACTTCCTCGGTCGTACTTGCGAAAGTTCTGAGACTGAAATCTCATTAGCAGGCAAAGGTCAGGTGATGATAATGAACCAATCACTGCAGCCAGGGAAATGGATTATGCTGATTGGCCCAACCCAGATCATCTGCCCTCCCCTGGAATGGCGGTGGGATTAGCCCCATCTGAAACAAAAGGATGCGGGCTGGAGGAAAGCAGTTCTCCAAAAAGAAACTGAGATGCTGTTACCAGGGTAGAATGAGGAGAAAAGGGGAGTAGATGCTGGGTAGGTGAAAGCAACAAGTGCTGGTTGCACCCACTCTGTGCTTGTGATTGGTTATATATTGTGTGAGATGAAGAGACATTGAAAGCATGTTTTGCTCCCAAAGCATTATTAATCGGGTATTGGGTAAGAAGAAACATGAACTAATTAGAGAACAAGTGAAAGATATTATCTCCAGCTTATTGTTCACAATAAACAGCGAAACGAGGTATAATAGGAATTCAAAAAGGGACGAGTCATTTTCGAGGGGCAAAATCACTAGAGAGTTATCTCGGAGAAGGAGAGTCTTGAGAAATAAGTGGGAAAGGTGGGCAAAGGAAAGATTTCAGTCTCCACGGCCTCCTCCTTCTGCCGTCACGCCCGTGAATATGTTATCTTACATGGCAAAGGGACCCTGCAGATGAAATTAAGGCTCCTGATTAGCTGATAATCAGTCGTTGGGCAATTTTCAGTTGCTGAGTCCTCTAGCAACCTCTCCCTACAGCTCTTCCCTGGAAGTTTCCCTTAGCAGGGGATGAAAGGATATCGACCACTAGCTTCAGCTGAGTGTTTAATAAAATATTAATAAGATCCTTTTGAATCAGACGCCAGGGGAGACCTAGAAATCTGCATGTTAAGTTGTCCTTCCCAGATTGACTCTTACGCATATTAAACTTTGAGAACCATTGGCTTGTGAGGTCAAGGGGATAACATTAATAATGTAGGACTCTACAGAATATTGCAACTCGAGCTTCTGCTCAAAAGCTCCTCTGCTCCCCTTCCCTTCAACTTCCCTTTCTACTTATCTGCTTTCTTTGATCTATTGGTTGTGCGTCAAATTTGCAAATGGTCAGCGAAGGGCTTAGGGGTGAGACTGGTGTGTGGTAGAGGCATTTAAAATGGATACATGATAGTGGTTGGTGGAAAAAAAACACTTGAATTCTTGGCTTTTCCCATCTCAAGCCCTACTTCTGTTTTTTTTTTAGAATGGGAGTTTTGAGCCTGTGAGCCATATATAATTTTAGATGTTTATAGACGTTCTGGAAGTTGGGTTTCAAACTATGTGCTGATACATACATGAGAATTTTAGGTGGAGGGATCTATGGCCCTGTCAGTATCTCAAGGTGGTTTCTGACCCTGAGAAATATAAAATACCACCACCTTGGAGACATATTCTTGGGGACCAAGGTCTCTTCATTGAGATTGCTCAGGAAGAACTTGGACAAACTCTGCTCTTCATTTCATCTTTTAGTTCATTCGTCTCATTTTTGAGTAAACTGGAACTCTGAAAGTCCAAGCTGCCAGCCCAGCACCTTTCTTGTGTCCTGGGATTATAGAAATATGAAAGGAATTTGTTTTGCTGAGTAATTTTGAGTAACTTGAGCTCTGTATTTGGGGGAAAAAAGAAAAATCTATTAAGCAGTCCTGTGCCCTATGGCGTAGACAACATTTCTCCAACTCAGATGTCCCCCCAAATTGAAATCACTGTTACCCTGGTGGTCCAGGAAGTGGCATGCCTGAGTTTGAGAGAACAAGACTCATCACTGGGGTGATCTTTAATAGAACTCTTTGTTGAACAATGGTTTTTACCCCAGAATGTGATCACAGCTGTTTTATTTTAGCTAATGCAGCATTTCAAGCAATTAAATCCATATTCCTCTGTGGCTATTTATTTTCACGAAGTAGTTCTCAGTGTATTGTCATGAAAGAATTCTTTGAGACTTGCAAAGTTAAAACAGTATGTGGAAATTCTTTTTTCTTCTAAAATAGCCACATCTGCTTCTTCAAGTTGTCTTCCCTGTGTTGATGTCTCATAAGGATGTCAAGTTGTAATCTCTAGGAGTTGGGTTCAGTGGGAATAAAAGAGATTTATTCTTAAGGGACTATAGAATAAATATTATGGTAAGTCACAACCTAGCAGAAGGAAAAGGATCTATTTCTTTTGACAGCAAAATAATCCAAAGTATATAGGTAACATGGAGATCTTAACTGTTAGAAAATTAAAAGTTATTTCCTGGTTGTAAAATTGCACACTATATGAATAAAAGATTTGATGTATCTGATTGTTACTCCCTTTTCTTCCTTGTGGTTATATGTTGTGTATTTTATTCCATCATTCAACACATATTTATTGAGCTGCTACTACATGTCAGAAATGAAGAAGATGGGTACAACTCTTGATCTTGTTCAGTTTCTATCATTTTTGGAAATACAGACAAAAAGCAAGCCAATGAAAACAATGAATAGAAGAATTATAGACTATGGTATGTGCTAGGAAAGAAATAAAGGGACTAAAGTAGAAAAAGAATTGGGAAAGGTAACTTTAAAAATACAGCCATGGAGCCTCTTTTGAGGACTGAATACTTAAACTGAGGCTTAAAAGAAAAGATGATTCTTAAAGGAATAATTCATATATTCATGTGAATAGGGGAAAAGGGCATTGTACATACAGGAAATTGCTTATACACAGGCTTAAGATGGGAAAGAGCTTGGTGTGTTTGAAGAACTACAGGGTGAGTGACATGGAATAGTGAGATGAGAATGAATGGAAAATGAATATTATTACTTTCATCCTATTGAAATGTGATCATACTCTTGGGTCTGAAATTACACGGGAATAGTTAGTGCCATCTGGCTTGTCACTGCCTAGGGATGAGGTATGTCCCTCTCAGCAAAATCCAGGCTATAAAGAGACTGTGGGTGGGTGGGAGCAAAAAATGGTAGGGTGCTTTAAGAAGGGAGCAGATTGAGTGATTGGTTTTTGTTTAGCAAAGCTACAGTGAGCACAGCAATCAACCTGCAGGGCTCACACAGCCAGAAGTCAGCCAAGATGCCAGAGAAACTGTTCCAGTCACTGGGGCTATACAGGAGCCTCTAACAGGGAAACATGACGATTTTACATTGTTTGTGCTTGCTATATGGATAAACTTTTTTGTTTTTAAATTAAAAGAGAAATAACCTAATTTCATCACCAGTCTCAACTGTGCTAAAGAGAAGTAGGGAAGGGCTCCCACTCATTGCATCCTTCCCAAGACTTGAGCTAAGGAATAGAGGCAACCTGGGATGGTGATGGCAGCAGGAATCAGAAAATGGAGAGGAGAGAAAGAGATCAAGGTCTGTTTTGTCAGTTTCCCTCCTCTTCCTCCCCTGAGTCAGGTTGGTAGTCTAATGCATGTGGTTTATCAAAATGATCTAAAAACACTGGGTTGGACACCATGCTGTCTATTCAATTCACTTTCACTGAGCACTTAACTCCAGGCAAAGCCTTGTGACAGGTAGCTTTGGAGATACTAGTATGAGTTGCATACTAACTTTCACTTCACGGAGCTTGAAAACATTAGGGAGAGTCATCATGTATAGAAATAAATGCTGTGATAATTCAAAACAAGAACATGTTATTTTTGGAGGGTAGAATCTGGAAAGGTTTTATGAATGAGGAGGAATTCCAGACAGACTTCAAATGATGACATTTGGGTGACAGGAGAGCTGGAGGAGTCTCAGAACATGATCATAGACTGGGCAGTAAGACTTGGTCATTGGTGTGTGTGTATATTGCTGGAGTAGAGAGGAGGCTTTAAAAATGAAAGCTAATGCATCTGGGGCTTAATACCTAGGTGATGGGTTGATAGGTGCAGCAAACCACCATGGCACATATTTGCCTATGTAACAAACCTGAACATCTACGTACATATCTTGGAACTTTCAATTAAGTTTAAAAATAAATAATAAATAATGAAGATAGTCAAGATCATTCCCAGAGGTTCCAATGAACAAGGCCTAGGAATCTGTATGTTCAAAGCACTGCCCATGAGTCTGATCCAGAGGGTGCAAGAACCACACTTGGAGAAATGCTGGTCTACAGGAGAGAAGGCGGACTTCAGTGGTAAAAATTCTTGAAGGGCATCTGTGTGGTGTAAACCTGGAAATACTAGTAGAGCCACACACACGTAAGTCTTACATTCTCAGTGCTTTATTTTGTAACGTAGCTACCATTTTTTGAGGAGTCATTATAAACGAGATCCTCAAAAGAACATTGTGGGCAAGTCACTCTAGTCTCACTTAAGATGAGGGTACCTAACCTAAGACTTGGTTAAGTAACACATTCAAGGTTCCCCACATAGTAAGTGGAAAAGCTGGGATTCATACCCAGTTGGTCTAATACGTAATGGGTGCAGGAAGTCAAAGTGATGAGAACAGAGATTTAGGATGACAATTGACTGCATGATGAAAGAAGAAACTGGTGGTAGGGCTCTAGTGTAACAGCTCAGACAGACAAGGGTTAGGTACGAAAGATCTGCCCCAGTTGCAAGAGAAGGGAGATGTTGCATGAATCCCTACAACTTTTTGTCAGACTGAATCACATGAGGTTGAGTAGGACAACCACACTTATTGGTGTCTCAAGATTTTGGCAAGGTAGCAGAAGCCTTGCATAACCACTTACAGAAACCTTTCTCCTTTGGGACTCCTAGTACTTGGTTACTGTGTGTGTCTGTTAAATATGATTTATTTACTCCCAAGTCTTTCCGGCGCACAGTGGAAAAATAAGTGGTTGAAATCAGAACTCCTGGGATCAAATCCTAACACACTCCTTAATCTCGGGGTGATGCCGTGCATTTAAATATTTTTATGCCTCAGTTTTCTCATCTGTAAAATGCAGAGAGAGTAGCTACATCTTCAAACAGTTGATAATGGGGTTTAAATGAAATAACACCTGTTAAAGGCTTGGAACCACCTCTCATACAGAATAAGCACTCATGAAGTGTTAGCATTTACTCATTGCAACTTTTTAAATACAGAGTCTTGCTTGGTCACCCAGGCTGAAGTGCAGTGGCGTGATCTCGGCTCACTGCAACCTCCGTCTCCTGGGATCAAGCAATTCTCCCGCCTCAGCCTCCTGAGTAGCTGGGATTACAGGTGCCCGCCACTGCACCTGGCTAATTTTTGTATTTCTAGTAGAGACGGGGTTTCGCCATGTTGGCCAGGTTGGTCTCAAAACTCCTAACCTTAAGCGATCCACATTCCTCAGCACCCCCAAAGTGCTGGGATTAGAGGCATGAGCCACCGCGCCTTGCCTGATTGCTACTTTTAAATTCTATTTTGATTTTGAATTTCTTCAATTTCCAGAATTTGTGAAATTAGGATTTGCTTCTTGCTAGGTTTATTAACCATAGGCTTATTTGTTCACTGATGACCGAAGTTTCTATGTCAAGTGTCTGTCTTTTGAAGAGCACAACAATGGACAGTGATCAAGAGGAAATGTCTCTGCTTAATTTTATTGTTTTCGCATCATCTAAGGAGTGTGAAGTGGGTTGATAATTCAGTCCTAGAAGGACATTGGAATGTTAAAGAGGAAACCTATTGTTGCAATTATATCAAACTTGGCTCTTCCAGTGACAGAGAGAAGCTCCATCATGGTAGGATTTCCTTCTTAAAATGCAAACAAGGCACTGCTCAAGAGAAGGAAGGAGAATATTTTCTTTTTAATCATGCTGCCTAGCAATGTCTCTGGGGCTGTTACGGAGGTAGCTTTTATATACGACTCACATAAGTTTAATGACTAAAGGTTGTTATTGTGTTACTGTTTTTCTCCCTCCAGAGGAAGTAATGCAGCAACTCTGTGTTTGAAGACTCTTCTCATTAGTCTTTTTATTTATTTGAAATTGGTGCCATCATCTGCATAAATCATGGCAATTCTAAGAAGCCTGGCACTGAGTATGGCTGGCTGTTAAGAAAATACGCTAAATTACTGAAAGAGCAGCTTTGCATAGTTAGGAAGAGGGTTCTACTCTAGAGTTCTCAGAGGAAGTTAAATTTATGATGGAGGCAAAAGAATGAGACCGAGCCAGATATTTAGACCTTAGGGAAGAGTAATCCAGGTGGAAGGAAGAGTTGGTGCAAAACTGTGAGCCTTTGCCAGGAAAGATACGACACATTTGAGGAGCTGTAAGAAGTTCTGTGTGCTTGTGTGTGGTGAGCAAATGAGAAGACGGTGTGAGTGGAGAAATGCCAGAAGCCAGAGGAATAGGGCTTTGAAGTCCATGATTTCCTTCTGAGTAGAACTGAAGCCATTGAGCACATCTAAGCAGGGCTGTAAGATATTCTGATTTATATATTTTAAAACATTCCTCTGATCTGGTAGAGAATAGATTAAAGACAAAATTAGAGACAGAGGGTCAGTTGGGAGGTTAGTGCTGTCTGCAGTGGAATATAGTAGATACTTAGTGAACTTTGTTAAAAAAAATACTACACAGTTTATTTTCTCTTGGGTGCTTGAGTTGAAGAAAAATTGTGGATTATTCTAAAGTTAGTGTGTACATGAAAATAAGCAATTGTAACCCCTGAAGAGCTGCAGAAGCTTCTTAACTTTTCTGGAAATCGTTTCAGAATTCTGAAAATTAAGCCCAGTACCTGTGTGTGGGTGTGGAAGCTTCTCTACAGCTTGGCTTGTCTAACCTGAGAGCACAACACAACAGTTTTAGAGTGCATTGAAGAAAGTGAAAAGCCTGGTCTCCAAGAAGGGAAGCGTCTGTCAGTTAGAGGTCATTTACTTAAAAAAATAAAACCAGAGACAGAAGAGTCTAGTGGAAGTGGGTGCAGGATGCTGAAAAAATAGAAATGTCAATGTCATAGTTACCAGCAGGAACTGAATCAGTTGTGGGGGAAAATGGACAATGGGGCACCTACTCTTCAGGGGCAATGGGATCCATCCTGCACGAGGCCCAGGGCATGGACATGACCCACCCTGAGGAGCCTACTCAGCACTAGACAGGGACTAAGCTAATTTGGAAACTTCTGACACTCTGAGAATAATTGCAAGTCAGTTTGGCCAAGGGCAAATGACTGCCAATGGTGAAGTCATTTTGCAGAATTTTGCTTACCCAAACACTACAGCTGGAGGAAATAAATGAAATTTAAGCAGTATATTGGACTCCCAGAGAGAAACTTGTAAGGTAGAAAAGGAACCCATTTAAAGAACCTTAGCTCTTCTTAGAAATCCATGGAATTAATGAAATCCAGCTCTCTCTCCCTAGTTGACCTCAGTTTCCTCGTTTCAGTCCAGGCCTGGTACCGAGAATCAGGTTTTTAGAAGTATTATCTGAGCCTGCTTAGAAGTCACTTGATTCTTCTTGCTCACAAGCAAGGAAGCTAAGATCAATGAATCTTGGCTTCATGTCGTTGGAAGCTATATTTTTACTCAGAACTGGGAAGAGTGCTTTAGTATTGTAGCTGCCTGGCAATGGAACAGACTGCCTTGGGAGACAATAATAATAATATCAGGTTAACATTTATTGAGCATATACTATGTGCCAGACACTAGGCTAAGTGTTTCACATGCATTATCTTACCTGGTTCATAGCAGAGATCATTTTACAGAGAAAGAAACCAAGGTTTAGAAGAGTTAAGGCTGGTGCCTAAGGTCACACAATTCTACATTTTTATCCCTGGGGTGGGGTGGTCCTTGGTAAATAGAAACTGGGTGTTTCAAAGAATAAATGAAAGAATTAACTTGATTAAATTCAAGAAATGTTTTTGAAAAGCTATTATGGGTCAAACAGAGTGTTCGGCATTTTTGGATAAACAAAGACCAATATGATCTAGGTTATGGCTGGAAGATCCTTCCAGACTACTAGGAACAATTTAGCATATGCTTTCTAATTTATAAAATTAAGCATTTACAAAGTTCTAGAAAATGCGGTGGGAGTATTTGGTTACATCTTCAGGTAGAAGATAATTAGGAAAGGCTTCCTGCATGAAGGGGAATGTTGAGGGATCATGTGGGAAGGGAATTGAAAACAGGTTGGGGACCACATGGAGTATTCCAAGCTATGGAGCTTTCATTTTATTCACATGGGTATGAGGAATTCACTAGTGCTTTTTCTGGTAGGGGGTGATCTGAAAGCATCAAGAATTACCTGCTAGCTGGAAATGAAGAGACCTACTTAAAAAAAAGAGCTAAGGTGGGCCAGGCACAGTGGCTCACATCTGTGATCCCAGCACTTTGGGAGGCAAAGGCAGGTGGATCACTTGAGGTCAGGAGTTCGAGACCAGCCTGGCCAACATGGTGAAACACTGTCTCTATTAAAAATACAAAAAATTAGCTGGGCGTAGTGGTGCATGCCTGTAATCTCAGCTACTCAGGAGGCTGAGGCAGGAGAATCGCTTGAACCTGGGAGGCAGAGACTGCAGTGAGTCGAGATTGTGCCACTGCACTCCAGCCTGGGTGACAGAGACCTCACAATCCCGGAGGAAGGCAAGGAGGAGCATGTTATGTCTTACATGGATGGTGGCAGGCAAAGAGAGAGAGGTTATGCAGGGAAACTCCCGTTTTTGAAATTGTCAGATCTCATGAGACTTACTCACTGTCATGAGAACAGGACGGGAAAGACCTGCCCCCATGATTCAGTTATCCTATCGGGTCCCTCCCACAACATGTGGGAATTCAAGGTGAGATTTGGGTGGGGATACAGCCAAACCATATCAGCCATGGACAAGACAGATTCAATCCTTGTCTGCATGGAACTTAAATTTCTGTGAAGAGATGATCACATACGTAATTAGTAAATTACAATTGCAGCAAGTGACATAGAGGAAGAATGTTAAGAGTGTCCAGCTCCTAACTGGTACTGGGCCAGGCTTTCATGAGAAAGGAAATTCAAGTTGAGACCTGAATGTAAGTAGGTTAGTCCTGGCATACCTATTTTAAGTGCCATGTTTCCTTGTACTTTTAATAAAAACAGGAAAAGATGTGGACCCTTTAGGGTGCTTGAACCTGTAAGCTGCACGCACCAATGAGATTCTTGGTGCAGGTATAAAATGTCTTGATACAGATCTTCATGATGGAAGGTGTTACCCACATGTATGTTGCTAATATCAGCTCTTGCTTCTGCTGACTTCACCAACTGCCTTGTTAGTTGGCCTTAGGTTGCCTGGGTTATTCTTATATTCTGAAAATGTGCTTCATTTTCTCCAAAGCAATGACTTGGAGGAGACCAGAAATGATGCTGTGGTAAGAGAATGACATAGGAATGTAGAACTGAGGGCTGAGACTCTGGCTGGAGATCACTCGGCCTGCCCACAAATCTAAAAATGCACAGTTTGACTGTAGTGCTGGAAAATATCTCCTAATGTCTTGGCTTCTGTCAACAGAAAAGAGAAAGTTAAAATCATGGATGGCAGCAATTTTATTAATTCAGGAATCTTAGCACTCTAACACTGCTCATTTTGCCCTAATGATTAAAAAAAATCATTTCACAGTGAATTTGTCTTGAACAATGTGCAGCTTATTGGAAAGGGAAGAAAAGAGGGAAGGGGGAGCAGAATTACAGATTGAGGGCACATCGGGGACTCTTGAGAAATACTGTTGTTCTTCTGGGAGACAAAGCTGGAGTGGGCTTAAACGCTTGTCTGTTGATGCCACTCTTGTCATTTTTCATTGCATATTGCTGTGCTGATCTGATTGTTGGATGCCTTTTCTTAGTATGTGGAAGCATCTGCCAAGGTTGATCCAAGGAACTTGGAATTGGGCTGAACCTGTTCATCACTATGATCCAGACATCTCAGCTGCCTTCAGTTTTCTGATTGAAAAGCTCACATTTTTGCCTGTGTGGATAAGTTGACCCCCCAAGGGGGCTTTCAATTAAGTACAAAGCCAATAAAATACCAGCCACTGAGGAGAAAGGGTGACCTCATATTGAAGTCTTCTATATTTTCTTTTATAAAGACATGAAATAGGGCTGGATATGGTGGCTCACACCTGTAATGCCAGCACTTTGGGAGGCTGAGGTGGGAGGATTGCTTGAGCTCAGGAGTTTGAGACCAGCCTGGGCAAAAGAGCAAGACCAGGTCTCTACAACAACAACAACAACAACAAAAAAAAAAAAAAAAAAAAAAAAAAAAAATAGTTGGGTGTGGTAACATTCTCTTGTACTCTCAGCTACTTGGGAGGCTGAGATGGGAGGATCACTTGAGCTCAGGAGGTCAAGTGGGAGGTCACTTGAGCCCAAGGCTGCAGTGACCTGTGGTCATGCCACTGCACTCCAGCCTGGGCCACAGAGTGGCAGAGAAAACAAAAGTAACATAGTAGATCTGCTGAGATCTTCAAGGTATCTCTTTCACTGCAAATTCTTTTCACAGGTGACATTTATCTTTATTCAAAAACATTACCTGAGCATCTAAAATATGCATGGTTATGGGTTGGATGTGGTGAGTAGTACAAAGACACGTAGACCTATTTCTCCCAAGAGCTTCCTGAAGGCAGGAAGTAAAGCAAACACAGATCACTGCATTATGAGGTTAAGGTAGATGTTCTTACAACAGAAAACCTATCTCAATGACCTGTCACTTGCCAGGCTATATATGGGGCTCAAAAGACCTCAGAGTTGTGGTCCGAGAAATGCTATCCAAGCACTCTAGGGTTTGGGGCAGCAAGAATTCCCTTCTGGCTACAGAAATGGAAAGGTTCCTTGGAGGTGGGGCCCTTGAGCTGGGTTTCAAAAAATGGAAAGTGTTTTAATGGACAGAGATGGTGAGTTGGGTAATTTGAAGGTGAGAATATGGCCTGAGCAAAAATAGGGATGAAAAAGATTTGCGTGTTTGGCAAAGGGTAAGTGCCCAGCCTGGCTGGGAAGAACTTTGCTACAGAGCAGTGGGTTATCTTTGTCATACAACTCTCTCTGTTTTTTGAATGTTGATTAAGATATCACATAAATTAAAAAAATACAAATCACATTCACAGCTCATGGAATTTTCACAAACTGTATACACCTATGTAACCAACACCCAGATCAAGAAAGTGAACGTTAAGTGTCTCTAGAAGATTCCCTCACTCACTTTCCATCCATCCCTCAAGGTAATCTTCCTCCTGACTTCTAACAGCATAGATGAATTTTGCTTGTTTTTGAATATGATATAAAAGGGATTACACAGTGAGTGCTTTTAAATGTGTCTGGCTCCCTTGCTGTGTATCACAATTGTGAGTCATCCTGTTGTTGGGTGTAGTCGTAGTCTGTCTGCTTTTATTACCATGCAGCATTGTACTGTGTGACTGTACCACCATGTTCTTACCCATTCCACTTTTGTTGGCATTTGGGTCATTTCCACTTTGGGGGAAATTGTGAATATGCTGCTATGACTGTTACTGCACAATGTCAATTATTGATGAGCGGATTGATGCATTTCTGTTGAGTAAATATCTAGGAATGGAATTTCTGGATTGTAGAATTGAAAATCCCCTTTTAATGACAAATACCTCTATCCCACATGATTCTAATTATACTTTTAATATTCCTAGGTTTGAAAATATACAATGATAAATATCTTGTGAATTCAATAACATTTTAGAATCAACTGGTATATGACTAATTACAGAAATATCTTGATATGTGCATGATGTATTTTGTCTGCAGACAGGGGTTAGTGTGCATATGGACACGCAGATCCCATGCAACAACTGAGTCCCCAGTTGGGAGCCATAGACTTAGGTAAATGGTGAGGTGTGAGGCCAAGGAGCAATCATCAGTTTAGTTCCCTAGCATTTTCATTGTTCTAGGCCAAGACTTTAGAGAAATCTAGTGGGAGTTTCCCCCTACATTTTTTGTTCTTCCATGAGAAACCACATGTGCTCCCTAACTATAACTGTTGCATTGTTAGGAAGATAGTATAGTCAAATGGAATAATGACAACCATTGGAGAGGAATCTGGGTTTGAACCCTAAACCTACCACTTATTGTATGACTAGGTAAGAAATGAATTGTCTATGAGCCTCAATTTACTCATCTGTAAAATGGAACTGAGAATATCTGTTTAGCATATGGATCATGAAAATTGAATAAGCTAATGTATGCTAAGTGCCTGACATTGTGCCTTCTCACTGAATGGTAGCTGTGGCTACTGATTTGATTATCATCATCACCGTCTTTTCCTACCTCTGCATGTGTTTTCTCCTTTGGGTTATGTTCTTTCTCTGGGCATGTATTACCCGTGTTGTGTAGTGATTGCCTCCTCCCCATTAGTCTCATAACTAAGGAAAACCACTTAGATTGCTCAGCACCTTGGGCCCCAGGCATTTTTCCTTTTTAGATCCCCAAACGTGCATTTGGTGTCCAAGATCCCATTTCATCAAGCTTGCTGGTGGACAGAGCAAATCTGATAAGTTCATTGTAGCTGGAGGGCTTATGGCTGATAATAACTTCCTATGTTTGCCATCTCCCTAGTCAGTTGCCTTTTGAGTTTTTAATTCATCCAGAGAAATGAGTTGAGTGATGGACTTTTTGGTCCCATGACCAATTTCTGAGGGAGTTACTTTTGGTTAAAGAGAATGTTTTGTATCTCCCTCTTAAAGCATTGTTTGTGGGAGACTGATGGTTAATTTTGTGTCAACTTGACCGGGTTAAGCGATGCCCAGAGAGATGGTAAAACATTATTTCTGGGTGTGTCTTTGAGGGTGTTTCTGGAAGAGATGAGTATTTGAATTGGTAGACTGAGTGAAGAGCCACCTGTGCCAATGGGGATGGCATCATCCAGTTCATCAAGGGCCCAAGTAGGACAAAAAGGCTGAGGAAAGGCAGATTCACTCCCTGCTTGAGCTGGGACATCCATCTTTTCCTGCCCTTAGACATCAGTGCTCATGGTTCTTGGGCCTTTGGACTTGAACTGGGACTTTTACCATGGGCTCCTCTGGTTCTCAGGCCCTTGGGGTTGGACTAGGACTACATCAGTAGTGTTCCTGGGCCTCCAGCTTGCAGTATGCAGATTGTGGGACTTCTCAGACTTCATAAACACATGAGCCAATCACTGGTAATAAATATTTCTATATATTTCCCTATGTCTTCTTGGTTCTGCTCTATGGAGAATCTGCTTACCAATACAGGTATTTCCTATGTAATCTTCAGGGGGTGCTTTGTACCTGAAGGGTTATGGATATTGTATGGAGCTGGTGGAAAGTCTATGGGGAGGGGGCTTGGCTGAAGGTATGAGAGGTGGAAGTGTAGAAAAGAGCTAGTATCTTTGACTGGGTCCTTTCTATACTTCCAAGGAAGTAGGAGGCCAAGGAAGGTGGAAACAATGCCACCAGATGGTTTCTCCTACCTTTCAGAAGTAAATTTGATTTCAAAGCCAAGCAAAGAGAGAGTCAGATGGTTTGGTTATTTGTCTGGGTTTGGGGTGAGACAACAGGATAGAGGGAAGTTTCTGGCAACGGGCCTGACAAAAGCTGAGGATCAAGCAGGCGATGAAGAAAGAGTGAGTGACAGGTCACACCCTCATGGGGCACTAGAGCAGTCCTTCTGAGGAACCGATTCCCAGGTGATTATAACTTTTGATGAAGAGCAGTCAGATAGAGTTGTGTTTTGAAGCACACAACTGTGGATCCAGTCAGTTCTTAAAACACTTAGAGCTGAGCAGATGGATTCTAACAACTTATCTGATGGTAATGCCTGTTCTGACTGCTAACCAACTGTTCTTGGTCATTATCGGTCTTCTTGGAGGTAAAGGAAAGGAGCTGTATTTTTCCCACTTTGATAAGTATTTTCTCTCCTTGTCAGCTCTTTAAGGCCAGATTGCCTAGACGCCCCCCATCCCTGCCACCCCCGCCCCACATCCCCCGCCCAACTGGGCTCCCTGCCTCTGTGAAAGCAGAGGCATCTCTCATAAGATTTCAAGCGTAAATGCTCCCCATCCACATGCCAGAAGTGTGTACAATTCAAATATAGGGAAAATCAAATATACCAAAATAGGGTTTCTTGAAAATCCTTCTGCTAAGAGTAACCAGAAAATGCTTACCTGCCTGCTTGATATCAACTAATAATTTAAGAAAAACACACATATGAAAGTTGCTTTTTATAATTTCAGAGTTTGGAAATTAAAGGGGGGGAAAAGTTGCCGAGAAAAATGTGTTAAGTTTACTGATCCTCAACTATCTGGAAAACAGTTTGAGATCCTCAGCCAAACATAAAAATCTCTGGCTAGGTTTTTATAACCCTGCTATCGACAGCTAATTTCTTGAGCAAATTTATTCACTGTTTTTTTTTTTTTTTTTAAATTGGTAGCGCGAGCCACCTCAGATGTGCATCCTGTTGAGAAATTCCTGAGTTCAACTTTCTTAAGCATTTCTGTTTCCTTCTTAGGTCTGAAAGAAAATTCTGGCAACATGACATAGTGTTTTTGTTTTTTTTGTTTTGTTTTGTTTTGTTTTGTTTTGTTTTGTTTTTTTTTGAGACAGAATTTTGCTCTTGTTGCCCAGGCTGGAGTGCAATGGTGTGATCTCGGCTCACTGCAACCTCTGCCTCCCATGTTCAAGCGATTCTCCTGCCTCAGCCTCCCTAGTAACTGGGATTATGGCACGCGCCACGTGCCCCCTCGCTCAGCTCATTTTGTATTTTTAGTAGAGGTAGGGTTTCACCATGTTGGCCAGGCTGGTCCTGAACTCCTGACCTCAAGTGATCCCACCTCGGCCTCCCAAAGTGCTGAGATTACAGGCAAGAGCCACCGCGCCAAGCCATGACATTTTTTGACTGTGACCTTTCACCAAAGGGCACACGGTGGAGAAGCCCTTCTTACCTTCTGAAGATAAGGCAAAACGTCTTGTCTCTAACACAGCCTTCTTTCTTTGTTTTTTTTTAGGGGTTAGAAGGAAGAAAAAGCTGAAACTCTGGATTTTGACAGTAGAATTCAGCTCTTTGTCTCAGGAGGAAATGTCTATGGCTGTTTAAAACTTGGAATCTTAAGCTAGAATCTGATTTCATTTATAAAAACCAAATCATTTATTTAGTGTCTGAACAGGGCCTTACATCTAGGTCACTGTTCTTAACTTGGATTGTAAGTAACTCTTTGTTTAGGTTTCCTCCCAAAGCAGGCCTTGAGACAAGGACTCGTGTGTGGTTAATTTATTAGGAAGTGGATCCAGAAAAAACAGGTGAGGAAGTAGAGTTAGGGGCAGGAAAAGGAGGAAAAGGAGGAAAGCCAATCAGTGAGGCACTCATGAGCAGACTTTCTGCAGTGGACAACCAGGACTCACTCCCACTGGAGACCCTCTGAGAATCTACGTAGGGCACAGCCACCATGAGGATGGGAAAACCAGTGCGTTTATGCACCAACTCTAATCGTTCCCCTTTCCCACAGCAAGTATCCAGGGAACCCGAGGAAATTCTGACAGTGACTGGAAATATAGGCATTGGAGGGGAAAGCTGCCAGCATGCTGGAGACAATCAGGGCCTGGGGAGCTTCCACGGGCCAAGGAGATGCACGAGGCGTTGGCAGACTGTGATTCAGTGCTTGTAGACAAATTATGTCCCCTCTAAACCCTCATTTCTCATCTTTAAAAGAAGGAATTGGAATTTCCAAACTGGGTCTCCTGAATGACAGATGCTCCTTACAAAAATTGTTTCTTGGTGAAATAACTGCATTCACAGCAACCTGGATAGAAGTGGAGACCATTATTCTAAGCAAAGTAACTCAGGAATGGAAAATAATACGTTGTATGTTCTCCCTCATAAGTGGGAGCTAAGCTATGAGGATGCAAAGGATTAAGAATGATATAATGGACTTTGGGGACTTAAGGAAAGGGCGGGAGGGGGATGAAGGATAAAAGACCACACATTCTGTACAGTGTATACTGCTCGGGTGATAGGTTCACCAGAATCTCAGAAATCACCCCTAAATAACAGTAATGTAACCAAATACCACCTGTTCCACAAAAACCCATTGAAATTTAAAAAAGGTTACTTGGTCAAATAGCTTTAGGAAGTATTAGATTTAACATTTTTTAAAACTGCAGGGCATCTTAGAGCCTCTAGCCAAGAGTGGGAGAGCAGGGATGGTGTATTTGACCATGGGATCCTCACTCTTGTTGTTTTTCCAGACAACACCTGTGAATGTCTTGAGGCTGTGGTGGTTTGTGGCATATGGTTTGGGACAAGCTACATTAGGTTACTCAACTCCAGCCCAGCTCTCTGGTTGACAGAGTCAATAATTGCAACTCTTTAACTTGGTTCAGAGGAGATGTGGAATGCATCAGACGGGTTCTAGGCTTTCAAATCCCATTTTCATCTCTTATCTGTTGGACTTGTGACTCCGCTTTCTTTTGATAAGAGCTTTCTGCAATGAGAAACAAAATTAAAAAACCAGTGTATCTAGGAGAAGGACCTGGGAAGCCACGTTGTGGGCTTGATAGAGATAACTGTAGGGTCAGAAGAAAGGGAGACTGGACTCTGGTCTCGGCTAGACTGAGGCATTCCCACCTGTGCTGTCAAAGGACTCTTTAGCAGCTTTCCTGTGGGTGTTTCCAATCCTTATCACACCTTAGAATTACCTGAGGTGCGTTTTTTTGTTTTTATTATTGAGACAGTTTCGCTCTGTCACCCAGGCTAGAGTGCAGTGGTGCTGTCTCAGCTCACTGCAAGCTCTGCTTCCCGTGTTCACGCTATTCTCCTTCCTCAGCCTCCTGAGTAACTGGGACTACAGGTGCCCGCCACCTGCGCCCGGCTAATTTTTTTGTATTTTTAGTAGAGACAGGGTTTCACCATGTTAGCCAGGATGGTCTCAATCTCCTGACCACCTGAGGAGCTTTTAAAATAAGACCTGTGCTTGAGACTTCCTCCCAAAAAGACAGTTTATTGTTTTTAGTGTTTCTGAATGTTGTCAGAGAATAGGACAGACCACAAATGACTTAAACTGTGATTTTATTTTTAAGGCTCCCAGGATGTGATATTTCCAAGGGAAGGGATAAGTTAGCTAGCATTGGTGGCTACTCTGTTAGAAAGTAGCTAGCATTGGTGGGAGACCCTGTGCATAGTCTCTTACTTAATACGTGCACTTGGTGAAAAAGGATATTTTGAAACTGATTTGCTCACAAAGACCCTGTATTAGATTCCTATTGATTGCAGCTGTAATAAATTGCCACAAATTTAGTGGCTTAAAACAAAATATATTTATTATTTTACAATTTTGGGGGTCAGAAGTCCAAAATGAGACTGACAGGGTGAAAATCAAGGTGTTGGCAGGGCTGCCTCCTCCTGGAGGCTCTAGGGGAGAATGTATTTATTTGCATTTTCGGTTTTTAGGGGCTGCCTGCATTCCTTAGCTGTGGCCCCTTCTTCCATCTTCAAAGCCAGCAGTGTCCAGCTGAGTTCTCATGCTGTCATCTCTCATTCTTTTCTGCCTGCCCCCTCCCCATTTAAGGGCTCTGGTGATAATACTGGATCCACCTGAAAAACCCAGGCTACAGTTCCATCTTAAGGTCAGCCGACTTGTAAGCCATCTGCGACGTTATTTCTCCTTTGCCATAAAACCTCACATATTTTCAGCTTGCAGGGATAAGAATGTGGACATTGCTGTGGGGGCTGTTATGCAGCCTGCCATAGACACTGAGACTAACGCTCTGTGTTTAAAGCTCAGATGATTCTCAAAGGCCAGACTTCAGGCCACAGCGCTATGCAAAAGATTTCTTCATTTGCTTCACGGTTACTTTCAGAAACATTTCTCAATTTATTTGTCAAAACACACCACAGTGGGGCTGTGGGCAAGTCTTTTAACCTTTGAATGTCATGATCTCAGTTTGCTTTTCTGCCTTCCTCACTGGGATGATGTTAGAATAGGATGTGTACGGAAACCTATTTCAGAAGCCATGCAAGACCAACCTCCTGTAAAGGATGATCATTAGCATAGATCCCACCCATAGGGAGCAAGAATATAGTTTTTTATGTTATTCATTCAATAGTCTACTAGGCCATGAGTTAATTGAAGGTATGGTAAGGGTTTTGTTTATGCCTGTCTTCCAGAGCCTAGCTAGTTTCAACACAAAGTGTTCGTCTTAGTCCATTTGGGCTACCACAACAAAATACCTTAGAATGGGTAATTTGTAAACAATAGAAATTTGTTTCTCACAGTTCTGAAGGCTTGGAAGTCTAAAATCAAGGCACTAGCAAACTTGGTATATGGTAAGGGCCTGTTCGTCATAGATGGCACCTTCTGTGTCCTCACATGGCAGAAGGGGCCAGGGAGCTCCCTTGAGCCTCCTTTATGAGGACACTGATCCCATTAATAAGGGTGGATCCCTCGTGACTTAATCTTCCTAAAGACCCCACCTCTTACTATCACGTCAGGTATTGGTTTCCAATGAACAGATTTTCGGGAGACATCAACATTCCACCAATAGCAGTGTTTGACATTGGTTGCTGAATTCTGCAATAAGTAAAAGTCTAGACAGAAGGGCATATATACTAGGATCTGAGAGAAATGCAATAATAAAATGTAGTTGCCTGCCTTGACGAATTAATGGTCTAGAAGGGGGAAACAGAAACATGTAAATGATAAAGAGTAGAAAATAGTGTCAGAAGCAGAAGGCAACAACTCTGGAGTTTCCAAGGATGGAGAATTTAACACAGAGTTGAAGAAGTCAGGCAATGCTTAATTGACATGGTGACACCAGATAACAGGGTCTGCAAATCCATGGCAATTGTACTGCTCCTCTTCACTTCCATTGCCATGGTAGACATAACTAATCAATCTTGTGTTCTTTCCCAGTAAGCCAGTGATTAGGATTTAGTGCAGATCTCCGGTCACCTGTTGCTAGAAATTGGCAAGCAAGGAGCTTAAGTCCAATTTATCCTACTGCATTCTAGGTAGGATTTCTCTACTGGTATTTTAGCAGATTAATTTTGCCTGAAACTCACTTACGGCAAAGTGTTATCTTAAGGTCCCCTTGGGCATCCACAGTAAAATAGCTCACTATTTTTAGATTTCCCTAGATGAACATTCCCAGCAGTACAGCGTTCTCTGGATGTCTCAGCACAATTTTTGTTCTGATTGAGAGCCAAGATTGGGAGGCTTTGTCTATACTCTCAGCTATGTGATTTAAGGGTCTGTTGCCAACCCTGCTGGTAAGGGATATGCACTTGAAAGCATGCTGACATGAGTAACCGCAGCCTAAAACAAGGACCCAGTTGTGTATCTGTTTATACATCATTGCTCAGTGCTGCGTCTTCAAATCTTTCACAGTACGGTGAGTTGCGTCTCTAAGTTTGCTTGGAGGACACCTTGTGTTTCCACCCTCGGCATGGCAAGAGATTCCCCAGACAGAAGCTTTAGGGACAAACAAAAAAGGCAGGAAAGGAGAACAGCCCAGAAGGGTGACAGAGTCTTATTCCCACTTCAGGAAAGGACTTATTCCTCACCAGGAGCAAGGACTTCTTTCTTTAAGCACAATTCACTTGGTCCTGAGCCCGTGACAGCATGAAGGATTAGATTACGCAGATTGATTTGGAAATGTCTATTTCTGTTCTTAAAACATGAAATGATAAAAAAATTTTCAGTAAAAGTGTACAGAAACATGTGGTCTCAAATAGTCACCTGGAAAAAAAAACAAATCCCTCTTTAGTTATGGGTGTTCAATCTCTTAAAAGTGGAAAGTGATTTTAAGCATTTTCACCATCATTACTGATAAGAATATTTGTGTATGTATATGATATTATATATGATACTGTGATCAGATTGATGGGTAGTTATCTGGGAGGAGAATCTATACTCTGAGTGAGAGGAGAACAACATTCTAGGCTGTTTCCCTATTCTCCCAAACCAAAGAGTACTCTGGGTTTTTTTCTAATCCATTTTTTCTGCTTATCCGCAGGAATTAGATCAACAACAGTCAAATGATTGCCTCACATTTATGGTCATCAACTAACTTTTGGGAACTTGGAGCTAGTGCTCCATATAAAGAAAATGTGGTGAGAACTCTTAGCTGGAAACTTCAGGCACTGATTTTGGCTAATTTAAACAGAGAAGAAGTTTTATTAAAAAGTGTATTGTTGAAAGAGCTGAAAACCAGGCCCAGATTTATACAGCCAGAAATAAAGATAAAAATCATACCCTAGAACTGGTCTGGGGCAGTGGGAGGAAACACTCAAAGCCTGAACACTTTGACTTGTACTCTAAGGCTCTAAGATGCCCTGCAGTTTTAAAAAATGTGAAAGAGATAGTCTGCTGCAACCTCAACTGCTGCCAGAGGTGGCCCTGATTCCTGGCACCTCTTTTTCCTGTTTTTGTTTTTTTGAGATGGGATCTCACTGTGTTGCCCAGACTGGAGTTCAGTGGCATGATCGTGGCTCACTGCAGCCTCAACCTTCCAGGATAAAGGGATCTTCCCACTTCAGCCTCCCAAGTAGCTGGGACCACAGGTGCATGCATACCGCCACAACTGGCTAATTTTTAAATTATTTATAGAGATGGGGTCTCACTATGTTGCCCAGGCTAGTGTTGAACTCCTGGCCTCAAGTGATCCTCCTTCCTTGGCCTCCCAGAGTGTAGGGATTACAGGTGTGAGCCGTTGCACCTGGGCCCTCTGGGTCCTGTTTGAAAGTCCATTGTGGGTGGGTCTGAATGACACCCTGGGTCCTGTGTTCACACCCTGGCTGCAAGGGAATCTGGGAAATCAAGATTCTGACATTCTCAGCATCTGTAGTAGAATACAGGTAGAGTTCTCCAAATGTAGAAGAAAGTTGAGATGCTGGGAAGCAAAGTTGAAAAGTGTTTGCCATAAGCAATTAAAGGCAGAGTAACCAGCAGGTGCAAACTCACAGCTGCACAGAACCTAATTCAAACACAGCCTGGGTCCTCCCAGAGTTTATAGTTCATTAAAGGACATGGGATACAGCACATGCTGCCTTGTATTAGAGTTATTGTTACACCAACTGGGTGAAATAAAGCTTTTTGGAGCCTAGGGAAATGAGATGTGAAACAGCTTTACAATGATTATGAAATTATGAAATGGAATGTTATATGATTGTGGCTATTAAAGCAACATCTGTATTTTAAAGACTGTAAGATGGGAGGAGGTTTATGGGTGTTAGATATACAAATGCCATCTTCTGTGGCACAAATCTGAGTACTGAGAAAGATTAGAAAAATTCTTTTCCTCCTATGTATTGAGAAAGCTGGAATTTGGAGAATGAAATATTTGTAAGGAAATGAGACTTCTGCTGTTATATGCATGGAGCTTGTGTTTCTAGATCGGTTTTGAGACAGAGTAAACTGTTGGGGCCCATTAAAGTACAGCCTTAGCCTATGGAGGCAAAGGAGATGAGTTTCATATGAATTTCATTCTTGTTGTCAGTCAACCAACGAAGAGATGGGTTTTAGGTGAACAATAAAGATGTGGGTCTCTCTGTTGGACTCAGTGTTTCCACTATGGTGTACAAGATTTAGTATAGCTAGGAATGGACTCTTAGATATTGAGAGTTAGAGAAAGATGAAAAATCAGGAATTATCTTCAGCCACATGGAGCCACAAGCAGGAAGTGCATAGGGTCATACTTGGTAAATCAGATTATCTACATTCACGGTCCTCTTTATTTTGGTGTTGATATCCCATTTAGCAAAGCTGAATGTGACCATTCTAGCATTGTCTTCATCATGCTAGGGTTATAAAGAAAAGACTCTTTCATCCACACTTAGGCTAAAGTTTGAAAAAATATTGAGTAATTACCCCTCCAACACTACCCAAGGCCGATGAGGCAGTGGCACCAGAAATGCTACAAGGAAAGTGCATCTTAGGGACAAAGTCAGAGCTGTACCTTCTAGCTCCCCTTCTGAATCAAAAGTGGGGGAACTTGAAGGTTCTCAATTTTATACTTGGTAAAGAAGAGAAAGGGGGATTTCTTAGCACCGTTTCCTAAAAGTCAGGGAATATGCATAAGTAAAGATGAGAAATCAATGAAACATAGCAGTTCCTCACCTCATGGGCAAAAAGTACTCAGTTGTACCAAATAAAGTTTGGGAAGAATAATGTTAAATGGGTTGCCCTGTGCTCTCTATAAAAGGAGAGTTTTAATGGTACTTTCTGAAAGAAGGACTTATTCTTTTTTAAAGATACTGTCCCAAATCACTGTGGCTTGTAATTAGTACTGGTGGCATCTGGCAGATCCCCTGGTTTGACCACTTTTGCAGGGTTTGATTTCACAGTTGTGGTTTTTATGCAGGACAACATTATTTGATCTAGCAATTTCCATGCAAATTAAAGGCTGAAAATGTGTGCTACATAGTGAGATACATTGTTCTACATTTTATGCGGACATCGATTTAAAGGAAGACTAAAACCCCAGTGGATGAGACTGTTGACTAGACATTTCTTAAAATAAATAACAGTTGATAAAACTGCAAGACTAATGTCTGAACACTGACCACAACCCAGACATATTACATAGCTTTTTCATAGGATCCTGAGTATACAGCTTCACAGGGAAGAAGTTATTCACAGGTTATGGATGAATTCTGGTAAAATCTTTTTGGTGGAAATCTTTAGAGAGATCTTGCGTTCTTCCTCCCTGCCCGCCTCTTCAGAATCGTCTCGCACCAACTTTTACCTTATTTTTTGTATTCCTTGATTTTTTTTGTCCTGTCCTTTTCCTCCACAGAACATTGGGACATGCTGTCCTCTGGGTCTGGAATAATTTCTCTGCATCCTTTGACCACACCCCTCACCTAGCTAATGCCAGTATGCCAGTTCCTCCTCCTGGTATGTGTCCCAGCAGGACTTAGAATGGCTGTTTCAATTATCCAGCAGGTTTCTATGTTACAAGCTCTTGGATAATCATGCTCCTCTCTTTCAGGGCACTCTTGTTGGTTTATAATATATCCTCAAGGAAATCACGGCCTCGTTCCATCCACCAGGTTCATCACACCCATTGAACTGTAGGCTCCAGGAGAACAGAGTCCTCACTGGGTTTTGCTCCGTGTACCCCCTGCCCCTGGCATGCTAAGCAGTGTAACTGTTAGTCCTCGGCTTTTGTTAGAGTAGCAAATGAGGTATGCTTACAGCAACATTCTCAGAGGCTCACAGAGAATTCAGTGGCAGAGCTGAAATTCAAACAAAGTCTCTTTGATTCCAAAGTCAGTAAGTATTGTTTTGTTTTGTTTTGTTTCCAACCTCCACCTCCTGGATTCCTGGGTTCAAGTAATTCTCCTGCCTTAGCCTCCCAAGTAGCTGGGACTGCAGGTGTGTGCCTCCATGCCTGGCTAATTTTTAAAAAATAAGTAGTGGTTTAAGAGTGTAGATTCTGGGGTGAGGACACCTGTGTTGAAATCCTGACTTTATCACTTCCTAGCTTTGTGATCTTGGGTAGGTTACTTAGCCTTCTATAACTTTGCTTCTTTATTTTAAAAATGTGATTAGTAACTACCTCAGAGTTTTTGTGCCAGGTACAGCATCATATCATTCTCCTGTCCCAGGATATATGTACCTAGTGATTGTATCACATGCTAAGAGAAGTAGATACCAAATGCTTGGAATGAGGAAGCATTTACTTAGCATTTGAGAGTAACAGACAAAGGAAAAACTAAGAAGGGTGACATTGAAACTTGGTCTTGATTTAGACTCAGAGAAGGGCATAAAAGACAACATAGAACCTCTGCTTCTGACATTCTGACAGATGGAATTGGAAGGGTGCCTGTTAAGGGCTGAATTGTGCCTCCTTGCCAACCTGTATGTTGATTTGTATGTTGAAGTCCTAACCCCAGTACCTCAAAATGTGACTGCACTTGGGGAAAAGGGAAAGGGTGATTGATTGATTCATTTTATTTATTATTTAAAGAAAGAGTCTCACTCATCACTCTGTTACTCAGGCCAGAGTATAGTGTCATGGTGCTGGCTCACTGCAGCCTCAAATTCCTAGCCTCAACTGATCCTCCTGCCTTGGCCTCCCACGTAGCTGGGACCAAAGGTGTGTGCCACCACACCTGGCTATTTTTTAATTTTTCTGTTGAGACAGAGTCTTACTATGTTGCCCAGGCTGGTCTCAAACCCCTGGCCTCAAATGATCTTCCCAAGTCAGCCTCCCAAAGTGCTTGGAATATAGGTGTGAGCCACCATTCACAGACAGGAAGGAATCTTTAAATACATATTTGTAGCTGGGCATGGTGGCTCAGGGCTGTATCCCAACACTTGGGAAGCCGAGGCAGGCAGATCACTTCAGGTCAGGAGTTTGAGATGTGTCTGGCCAACATGGTGAAACCCTGTCTCTACTAAAAATAAAAAAAATTAGCTGGGTGTGGTGGCACACAACTGTAGTCCAAGCTACATGGGAGGCTGAGGCAGGAGAATTGCTTGAACCCGGGAAGCGGAGGTTGCAGTAAGCGGAGATTGCTCCACTGCACTCCAGCCTGGGTGACAGTGCAAGACCCTGTCTCAAAGTAAATAAATACTTGCTATAGTCTGAATGTTTGTGCCCCCACCCCCAAATTCATATTTTGAAACCTGATCACCAATGTGATATTAGGAGGTATTAGATTATGAGGGTGCATCCCTAATGAATGGGGTTAGTGCCCTTATAAAACAGGCACCAGAGAGGTGCCTTGCCTTTTCACAGATAGAAGTTACTATCTGGGAACCAGAAAACAGGGCCTCACCAGACACTGAGTCTGCTAGTTCCTTGATCATGGACTGCCCAAACTCCAGAACTGTGAAAAATAAATTTCTGTTGTTTATAAGCTATCTAGCTTATGCTATTTTATTACAGCCACTTGAACAGATGAAGACAGTATTTAATTTAAAATGAGGTCACTCGGGTGGGCAGTAATCCAGTAAGACTGGAATCCTTCAAAGCAGAGGAGATTTCGACAGAGATATGCACAGAGGGAAGACCATGTGAAGACATAGGGTGAAGACAGCCATTGACAAACCAAGAGGAGGGCCTCAGAGGAAGTCAGTCCTAGTGACATCTTGATCTCTGACTTCTAGCCTCCAGAATTGTAAGAAAATAAGTTTCTGTGTGGCAGCTGTATTAGTCTGTTTTCATGCTGCTGATAAAGACGTACCGAAGACTGGGCAATTTATGAAACAAAGGGGTTTAATGGACTCACAGTTCCATGTGGCTGGGGAGGCCTCACAATCGTGGCAGAAGGAAAGGAGGGGCAAGTCATGTCTTACATGGATGGTGGCAGGCAAAGGGAGAGAGCTTGTGCATGGCAATTCCTGTTTATAAACCCATCAAGATCTCGTGAGACTTACTCACTATCACGAGAACAGCACGGGAAAGACCTGCCCCCGTGATTCCATTACCTCCCACTGAGTCCCTCCTACCACACATGGGAATTGTGGGAGCTACAGTTCAAGATGAGATTTGGGTGTGGACACAGTCAAACCATATCAGCAACCCCAGCAAACTATGTAGTGTTTCACATGAAGTCAAATATGTAGACATTCTAGATAAAATATAAACATGTATCCTCAAATGAAATACGCAGCCAAGATCAAAAGAAAGAGTAGATCTCCATATATTAGAAATAAAGATGGAATTCAAAGGCAAAATTTGAGGGTGTGAACTGATATTTTGCATCCCAGAAAGCATTGCTCAAATGGCAGGTGACTGAAGTTTTAATTCTTCCTTGAAGACTGATGCCTGCAAGGCGAGAATTTGGAACTGAGACCCTCGCACAAAACCAGGAAATGCTGCCTCAATGTTGAAGAGGAATTAGAAAAACTGCTCATTAGTCACAGAACCAACAAGGAGCTTGGCTCTATTTGTTGTTCTGGATAAGGGGAAAACCTTCCTAGGAGTGAACAAAGTAAGAAGTTTGGCCATGCTTGTGTGTTTAATCTGAATTTTCACTATCATGTCACTGGAATTAATGTAAAAACTAGTCCAAAAATAAAGATGGGAGAATTAAAATATATCAGTAATTGCAAATCAAATAAATTGATTTAATTTACATATTAAAAGGCAGTGATTCTCATACTGGGGAAAAATCTGTTTTACTTACAAGAGATAGTTGAATTCATAATGCAGAAAAACTGAAAGTTAAAAGGTGGAAAATATACATTAGGTAAAACTGATAGTCATATTAATGTCAGTTAGAATGAACTATAAGGTAAAATATATTATTAGGACTTATAGAATTCTAACAGAAGGAAATAACCAGAAAGATACTGGAAACTTGACCCTGAATGCACATATAAAAAGATAATCACAAAAATATGTAAAGCAAAAATGGACAGAATTGCAAGGAGAAATGGTCAAATGTAGAAGTATAGTAGGAAACTGAAACGTGTCTCCTGTGGATACCAATAGATTAATCAAATATCAGTGAGGCTACAAAATATATGATCAATACAGGGTACATATGGGACCCTGTTCCAGAAGTTAAAAAGTTCTCACTTTTTTAAAAAAGTACACATTGAAACTTTGTAAAAATCATACACCAGGTGACAGTAACTCACAGCACACATCAACGAATTGGTACTATACATACCAGCATACATTAATCTTGTCCACCATACATTAATCTTAGAAG